>NC_000006.12:169504144-170125061 GCF_000001405.40 Homo sapiens | reverse complement strand
GCCTGGCTGTCAGGTAGTTACATGCCTGCTGGGCAGGAGAATTTTGTTTACCTTTTTTACATTCCATAGATCAGAAGTTGGCAAATTTTTACCTGTGAAGGGCCAGACAGGAAGTATTCCAGGCTCTGCCGTGACTCTTCAACTGCTGTTGTAGCTGAAAGCAGAAACAGATAATAGAAGAATGTTTGTTCCAATAATGTTTTACTTATAAAAACAAGCTGCCAGCTGCGTTTGGCCCACACAGTATAGTTTGCTGACCTTTGTTATAGACTACTGGGATAATCCCTTATCCAATAGGATATTCATGAGCAAACTAAACAATTTATATGAAATTGAGTTTATCTCAGACAGAAAGATTTTATATTCTAAAGGAAGTTTATTTATCTCAGACCTATTTAAATATCTAAATGTATAAAACAGACCTGATCATGATTATTCACAGTAAAAGGAGTTTTGCTTTGCAAAAATATGCATCATTTGTTATCATTTAGCACTTGTTCTCCCAACATGAGATGCCTGTTTACCACTTCACCAGGAGCCTGAGAGGCAGGGAGACCAAATCTAAAAGCTTTGGACCCTTACAATTTATTGGCCAACCAGAACTAAAATAAAGGCAGTTTCAATGCAAGTCAATGAGAAAATAATTTAATTCCACCACCAAAATTCAATTTTCAAAGCTGCATCTGGGTTTGGCTCTGATGAGATGCAGTCATTGCACCATTCCACCCTCACAGGGGATGCGGCTACTGACCTGTACAGAGGCACGGAGCAGCTGCTGAGGGGCTCTGAAAAGCAAGTCATTGCAGGGAGATTGGAGGAGACCAGAGCCCAAATCTCTCCAGTAGGTAGTGAGTTTACCTTTTTCCCCTTCAGTACTCCTGGCTTTAACTGGACATAGCCTCAAACTCAATAGGGACACAGGATAGATGGAGAGAACCCCATGAGAAGCCCTAGTCCTGGCTCACAGAGCAGAAAAGGGGACCCCTAACACTCACACAGAGCGGGGGTCTCATTTTTATTGTTTCCACTTTTTCTGTTCCCTGTGCCGCAGCCCCAGCTGTCCATGAAGGCTGCTGTGGTGCCAGCAGCAGGAGTAACCCACAGGGCTCTCTGAAGAGTTTACCTTCCTCTCTGACTTCAGAGATGAGATCCCAGGAGGGCTTGCAAACCTATGGGGCATTACGGAAGGGCTAATATTTGTGTCATGGAAATCAAATAGGAGAGAAGAAAGAGTGAATGAGGCAAATGGAGAAATATATACATACATATGTATATATATTTTCTTTTTTTCTTGAGATGGAGTCTTCTTTTTTTTTGAGACAGAGTCTTGCTCTGTCACCCAGGCTGGAGTGCCGTGGTGCGATCTCGGCTCACTGCAGCCTCTACCTCCCAGGTTCAAGCAATTCTTCTGCCTTGGCCTCCCAAGTAGCTGGGACTACAGGCGCGTGCCACCATGCCTGGCTAATTTTTTTTTGTGTGTGTATTTTTAGTAGAGGCGGGGTTTCACCATGTTGTCTAGGATGGTCTTGATCTTCTGACCTCGTGATTTGCCCGCCTCGGCCTCCCAAAGTGCTGGGATTACAGGCAAAAGCCACCGTGCCCGGCCGAGATGGAGTCTTGCTCTCTTGCTCAGCCTGGAGTGCAGTGGGGCAGTCTCGGCTCACTGCAACCTCCACCTCCCGGGTTCAGATGATTCTCCTGCCTCAGCCTCTGGAGCAGCTGGGACTACAGGTGTGTGCCACCACACCCAGCTAATTTTTGTGTTTTTAGTAGAGACAGGGTTTCACCATATTGGCCAGGCTGGTCTCAAACTCATGGCCTCATGATCCACCTGCCTCGGCCTCCCAAAATGCTAGGATTACAGGTGTGAGCCACCATGCCCTGCTAGAGAAATATTTTTAATGCTGCAAAACAAATTACCACAGCTTAGTGGCTTAAAACAACACCCATTTATTATTTTGTTTTCTGTGGGTCAGAAATCTGGATATGGCTTAGCTGGATTCTCTGCTCAGGGTCTCATGTAGCTGAAATCAAGATCAGGGCTATGTTTATTGGAAACTCAGGGTCTTGGAAACTCCAAGCTCACATGGTGGTGAAGTAATTCAGTTCTTGCATCTGTAGAACTGAGGTCCCATTTCCTTGCTGGCTCTGAGCTGGGCTCTGCTCTCAGTTGCCAGAGAATGCCTGCATTCCTCACCCTCCTCCCTTTATCTTCAAAGTCATCAAGGGAGACTCTCCCTTATGTTGAATAACATTCATGCTTCCAGTATTTCCAGGAAGAGCCAAATTCCTTTCTAAGGGTTCACTTGATTATGTCAGGCTCATCCAGGATAACCTCCGTTTCCTAAAGTCAAATGATTTGGGCTTCAATTACACTTCAGAATCCCTTCATAGCAGCACTTAGATGAATGTTTGATTGAATAACTAAAAGAAGATGTGTGTATACCAGGGAGTGGGAATCTAGGGAGCCACAATAAAATTCTGTCTACCACATAAATAATAGCTGAAAACTTCCCAAATTGACAAAAGATGTAATATGCACATTCAAGAAGATAAGTGAACCTCAAACAGGATAACCTAAAAATCCATGCCGAGACACATTATAATTAAATTTCTGAAAACTAAAGACAAAGAAAAAAATACTGAAGGCAACCAGGGAGAAATGACACCTTACCTATAGTAGAAAAACAATTATAATAACAGTGAATTTCTCATAAGAAACTATGCAGAGCAGAAGGAAGTAGCATATTTTTTCAAGTGCCAAAAGAAAACAACTGTCAATACAGAACTCTACATTTGATGAAAATATTATTCAAAATAAAAGTAAAATAAAGCATTTTCAGGTGAAAGAAACAAAGAGAATATTTGCCACCAGATCTGCTTTAAAGGAATTGTTAAAGGAAGTACTTTAGACAGAAAGGAAATGGTACCAGAAAAAAATCAGAACCTTGGTAGTTAAGGAAGAGCATCAGAAATGGTAAATATATGAGTAAATATGATAGACATTTCTCCTCTGGAGTTCTTTAAATTATATTTTATAAAAGCAAAAATTATAACATTGTCTCATAGAGGTTTCAATGTATATAGGTGTAATACAACATAAAAGCAGAGGGTAAAGGAGTCCATATGGTGACAAGACTTGTATGCTCCACTTGAAGTGGCAAAATGTTGATCCTAAATAGAATGTGAAAAGTTAAGTATGTACACTGTAATCTGTAGAACAACCACTAATAACACTAGTCAAAAAGATATGGTAAAAACACAATAGGTAAATGGAATTGTAAGAAAAGGTCAGATAACCCCCAAGAAGTCAGGGGAAGGGAAGCAAAATGATCAAAAACACAGGAAACAAATGGAAAACAAACAGTAAACTCATAGATCTAAATGCAAACATATCAATGTTTAGACTACATTAAATGTTAATGATCTAAACAAATTAATTGAAAGACAGAGATTATTTTAAAAAGTTAAAAAAAGACCCAACTGTATGTTGTCTACAAGAAACTCCCTTCAAATATTATGATATAGATAGGTTAAAAGTAAAAAAAAATTAGAAAACTATTCAAAGGAAACACCAATTAAAAGAGAGTTTGAGTGGCTATATTAATCTTAGACAAAGTAGACTTCAAAGAAAGCTTCCAGGGATAAAAAAGAATATTTTGTAATAGTAAAAAGTTCAATTAACCAAGCAGACTTAACAATCCTATATATGTATGTACATTACATATCTACAGTTTCAAAATACATGAAATAAAAACAGAACTGAAAATAGAAATGCACAAATTCACAATTATAATTGTAGACTTCAACACCTTAATAATTGATAGAACTAATAGACTAAAAATGTGGGAGAATACAGAACTGAATAGCAACATCCACCAACTGGATCTAAATAGGCATTATAGAG
Source organism: Homo sapiens (assembly GCF_000001405.40). Lineage (NCBI taxonomy): Eukaryota > Metazoa > Chordata > Mammalia > Primates > Hominidae > Homo > Homo sapiens. The sequence goes on along the minus strand of NC_000006.12, from coordinate 170,121,154 downwards.
CACTCTACTGAATAAGAGAATACATGTTGTATTTGAGTTCACAGTAATCAAGATAGACCATATCCTGAATCAAAAACAAATCTTAAGACATTGAAAAGAGTTGAAATCCAGTACATTCTCTGACCATAATGGTGTTAAAATAGATGTCAGTACAAAGAGATACCTGAAGATCTCCAAACACTTCAAAAATCAAACAAAACACTTCTAAATAATCCTTGGATTAAAAAAAGTCTCAAGAGAAATTAGAATATATTAGAAGTCTTTATGAAAACAAAAATACATGTATTAAAACTTGTGGGTTGCAGCTAATGCAGTATTTACAGGGAAAAATATAGCATTGAATGCTTCTATTGGAAAAGAAAAAAGAAGTCAGAACAATACATTTCAAATCTAACAGCTGAGAAAAAGAAGGACCAAAACAAAACAAAACAAAATACAATGAAAAACCAAAGGTAAAACCTTAATGAATTAATATAAGAGCAGAAATACAACTGGAAACAGAAAAACAATATAGAAAAATGTGTGAAACAAAAAAATCAGTCATTTGAATTGATTAATTGATCAAAGCTCTTGCAACACTGACAAAAGAAAAAAATAGAGAAGACACAAATATCAATATCTGGAACAAAAGAGGGGACAACACAACAGAACCTACAGACATTAAGAGGATAAAAAGGGGAATGCTATGAACTCCAAACCCAGACAATTTCACTGGCAAATTCTACCAAATTCTACCAAAAATGTAAATAGAAAATAACATCAGTTATACACAATCTCTTCCAGAAAATATAAGAAGAAAAATTTTCCAACTCCTTTTATGAGGCTGATATTTCTCTGATAACTAAAACCAGACAAAAACAGTGTGAGAAAATAAAACTACACATGAATGTCTCTTATGAATATAGATTTTAAAATCCTCAACAGAAATTAATTCTACTTGGTGTGTATATTATTTATATATTATATCATGTATATAAATAATATATGACAAAGTAGAATTTTATTGCTGGAATGCAAGGCTGGTTCAATAGTTGAAAATCAATTGACATAATCCATAATATTAACAGCTGAAGAAGAAAAATCACACAATAATACCAATTGGTACATTGCAATCATTTGACAACATTTAATATTCATTCATGACAAAAACTCTCAGCAAATCAAGAATAGCAGGAAATGTCCACATTCTGATAAGAAACATCTCGAAAAGGAAACCCTACAGATAACTTCATATTTACTGGTGAAAGACTGAATGTTTTCCACAAAGATTGGGAAGAAGGCAAGGATATCCACTCGTCCTCCTATTCAATATTGTACTGGAAGCTCTAGTCAGGGAAGTAAAAGGCATGCAGATTAAAAAAAAAGGAACAAAGCAGTTCCTATTCATAGACAATATGATATTGTACACTATAAAATCCTAAAAAATTCATGAAAAGTCCCCTAGAACTAATATGTGAGTTTAGCAAGTTTGTAGACTATAAGATCAACAAACATAAATCAATCTTAATTCTATATATTAGCAATGAATAATTGGCAACTGAAATTAAAATAAAAATATCACCTAAAATAGCACAAAAATAAAATATTTGATTATAAATCTAACTCTCTCTATATATATAGGATCTATATGCTGAAAACTACGAGGTGATGATGAATGATGAAAACAATGAAAGATCACCTAAATAAATGAAGAGACATACTGTACTTATCAATTGGAAAACTCAGCATAGTAAACATGTCAATTCTCCCCAAATTAACCTTCATATTTAATGCAATTTCAATAAAATCCCAGCTAGATTTTTGTATTATATAAGGAAGATGATTCTAAAATTTATACAGAACAACAAAAAATTAGAATACTCAAGGCCGAGGTGAGCGGATCATGAGGTCGGGTGATTGAGACCATCCTGACCAACACCATGAAACCCAGTCTCTACTAAAAATACAAAAAATTAGCCGGGTGTGGTAGCGGGCACCTGTAGTCTCAGCTACTTGGGAGGCTGAGGCAGGAGAATGGCGTGAACCCGGGAGGTGGAGCTTGCAGTGAGCCGAGATCGCGCCACTGCACTTCAGCCTGGGCAACAGAGTGAGACTCTGTCTCAAAAAAAAAAAAAAAAAAAAAAAAAAACTAGAATACTCAAAACAATTTTGGAAAAGAATAAAGTTGAAGGAACCACTCCATTTTAAGGGCTATAATAATTAAGACAGTATGATATTGACAAAGACAGTCACACGCCTGTGACTGGGCTGATGGGGCAGAATAGGTAGTCCAGAAATAGACCCACACAGTTATGGCTAGTCGTGGCCATAACAACAGAGGTTTAAGGCAATTCAGTGGAAACAGGATTTCAACAAATGCTCTTGGAACAATTGGACATCCATTTGCAGAAAAGTGAATATTGACTTAAACCTCAACCTTATAGAAAATTAATACAAAATATGTCATAGACCTGAATGCAAAAGGTAAACTGTAAAACTTTTAGAAGAAAACATAGGAGAAAATCTTCATAACTTGGGGTTAGTCCAAGAGTTCTTAAACACACACCAAAACTACAATCCATAAAATAACTGATAAATTGGACTTCATTAAAATGAAAACATTTTCTGTGAAAGACAGTGTTAGAAAATGAAAGGACAAGTTACAGAGTGGGAGAAAATATGTTCAAAGCACATATCCAACAAAGGGCTTGTCTTCAACATATAAAGAACTCTCAAAACTCAATAGTAAGAAACCAAACAACCTGGTCAAAAAAAAAAAGAGCAAAATATTTGCATAGACACTTCACCAAGAGATCACAAATGTGGCAAATACACGTAGGAAAAGGTGTTTAACATCACAAGCCTTCAGGGAAATGTACATCGGAGCATGAGGGGCTCCTGCTGTGCAGCCATTCAAATGACTAAAATAAAAAATGCTGACAACACTCACTGTTGAGAAAGATGCAGAGAAGTGGGAACGCTCACACTTCCTCGTGGGAATGTAGAATGGAAAACAGTTTGGCAGTTTCTTATAAACATAAACATACCATGTGATTCATCAATCCCAGTCCTTAGTATCTTCTGTAGAGAAATGAAACTTTACGTTAATCTAAAAACCTGCACACAAATATTGACAGCAGCTGTATTCATAAACTGTTTTCCAGTTTGGCAAAAACTGGAAGCAACTCAAATGTCCTTCGATGGGCGAAAGGATAAAGGAACGGGCCCCTCCATGCCGTGGAATACCTCTCAGCAGCGAGGAGACAGTGTGGTTGAAACCCAAGGCCTTTTGCTGAAGGAAGGCAGGCAGTTTCTGAGGTGGCATTCCATCATCCCACCTCCGTGACTTTCTCTGGAGAAGGGGTCAGGGCCAGGGCTTCGGAGGGGCTGGTGTGTGACTGAGGAGAGGGGGTCAGGGCCAGGGCCTTGGAGGGGCTGGTGTGTCACTGCGGAGAGGGGGTCAGGGCCAGGGCCTTGGAGGGGCTGGTGTGTGACTGAGGAGAGGGGTTACTGTGGGGTTTGGGGCATTGGGATGTACCCTGCCCTCATTGTGGTTGTGGCCGCTGAAATCTACACAGGAGTTAAAATCCACAGAACTGCGAACCGTGGGGCGTTGCCTTGTGTTGTCTGTTTACCACAAGGAAGCAAGCCTGTGTCTGTGGCTGTTTCTAGGTCTGCCGTCCAGACGGAGAACCAGAGTCCTCAATTAGGAGGTGCTGTGGGGAGTGGGTCCCAGACCGAGGGAGGCAGGAGGCCTGTGTTGGGGCTGCGCTGAGCAAGGGGGCTGGGCCTGTGTGACTTCTGTCTGGTGGGCGAGCTGTGCTGGGCCACGGCCCTCGGAGGGAGGCTGGCAGCTTCCTCCCATGCTCCCTGCCTCCTGTACAATGGAGGAGGCTGAGGGCGGCTGTGCTGGGAAACGCTCATTCCTGACCTATGGGCCTGGCCACCCCAGCCTGGGTTCTGGACCCTGGAAAGCCCCGTGCCCTGTAGCTGGGGAGGGTGAGCTCTTGGGGCATGAGGGCAGCTCCTTCTGGATTGTTAAGTGGAGGAAGCAACAGTTTCATTTGACAGAAATGTTCTCTGAAGGGGAGTGCATGGAAAATGCTTGGACAACTCATGTCACTGGAAAAATAAGGGCTCCTTCCCTTCAGCCCAGGACTGGCCTCTCCTGGGCCCTTAGAAAGCACCATGGCCTTTCCTCAGAGTCCTGGCGGCTGTCACCCACCAGGAAAAGCGCCTGAGTGGCCCAGGTCTGATGGGCAGATAGCTTTGCTCTTGTTTGCTGAGGTTAGAGACTTCCTGGAAATCCCCCAGCCTCCTGCTCTTCCTCCTGGAACTCAGCCCCAGCGCCGATGGGGACGTTGCAGCCTGGGCTCTGGAGCTAGTCCCATCCTGCTAGCCCTTCTTAACACAGCCATTACCTCCCAGAGAAAGGAGCTCAGACCCAGCGGGAAGCAAGGAGGGAGGGAGCTACCAACACTGCTGTGACCAGCATTTCCCTAGGGCAAAGCAGCACTAGGAATGAGACCATAATCCCGCACAACAAACACGCCCACACCTTTTTTTTTTTTTTTTTTTTGAGACAGTCTCACTCTGTCACCAGGCTGGAGTGCAGTGGCGCGATCTCGGCTCACTGCAACCTCTGCTTCCGGGGTTCAAGCGATTCTCCTGCCTCAGCCTCCTGAGTAGTTGGGACTACAGGCACGCCACCACACCCAGCTAATTTTTGTATTTTTAGTAGAGATGGAGTTTCACCATGTCGGCCAGGATGGTCTCGATCTCCTGACCTCGTGATCCACCCACCTCGGCCTCCCAAAGTGCTGGGATTACAGGCGTGAGCCACCCTGCCCAGCCTACACACCCACACTTCTATGACATTTGCAGAAATAGAGCTGGCTAGCGGTGGGGACCATAGAATGATCGATTGAAGCAGAAGACAGTCGTCGTTGTTATTGGAATGATTTCCAGATGGAGCTCTTCATTACTGTTGCAGAGCTCAAGTACAGAAACATCCCATTTCAGTCAAGCTGATGTTGACCTGGGAGCCTGCATTGTTCCAACAGCGTCTAGCTTGTCTTAAGTCTTGGTAATGGCAATTGCTGTTACCACGCAAAGGCACCCCGGATAGCACTGGAATTTTCAGGTGGTATCTTGTGAGGTAGATTCTGATTAAGACTTCATAATTTTGAAATCTGAATTTCATTATGTATTAATGCTGCCTCAGAAATCCAATCTTGGCTTTCTTTCCCGTCATTGGATAGAGATGGTGCTGAATGCATTCTTTGGAAATACCCACAGTCTGTAAAAATTGTGTGCGATGCTTCAAAGGGTACAACGTGTCCACATGGGTTCTTTGGTTTGAATCCATCCTCCTGAAACCAAACACTGTGTTTACAAAACAGAAGATTTTCTCCTCCATTTCCTGTTCCTGCAGTTCATGGCCTCTCGCTGAGCACGCCCTGTGCTGGGGATAGGGAGGCCTCCCCCAGGGCTCAGTGAAGGCTGGATGTTCCAAACGCCTGCTGGCTAGACGGGAGACCTGGAGGATGTGGATGGGCGGGTTTCCAGGGCCGGGCACGTTTCCAGGTTGCCATCAGCCCCAGATATCCAGCCCTGGGGTGGTGGCCCCTCCCCAGCATCCGAGGCCCAGGGCCCTGTGTGAGCTCAGGAGAAGCCTGATGCCAAGGTGAGAGTAGGAACCTGCGGAGGGCCTTTCTCATCAGGCAGTGCCAGCCCTGCAAATGGTTTATCTCATTTAATTGTTATAGCAACCCTTAGACGGAGTGCAGACTGTGCCCCTGTGTTTCCAGGAAGAGCACCAGGGTTTAGGGGCTACATAACTTGCTGAGTCAGCCAGGTAGTGGGGCAGAGCTGGGAGTCAGACTCTGAAAGCAGAGGCTTCAGCTCACATGCTTGGCCACAGCTGTGTGCTCCTGCTGTGGGATGCTGGGTCTGGAGGACAGGACAGAATGTCTGGCCCCTGGCTCTGGTCCCAAGGCATTACCTGGACAGCAATCCTGGAGTCACCTGGGCCCTGGTCAGCAATGCAGAGCCTCGGTCTCAACCGGGAGTTTCTGAATCAGCATCTGCATCTTAGCGAAACCCCAGGCGACCCACACATACATTCAGGTGAGAGACCCATTGATGTAGTTCAGCCTCCATGGTTCATGGTGGGGAATGGAGGCCCAGGGGCCACAGTTAGAATCCAGCTTCCAGACTCTCACCAGGGTTGTTCCCACTTGGACAAGATGGAGGTTCAGAGGATGCAAGTTACATATTAGGAAGGAGAGACAGAAGCCAGGAGAGGTAGGGAGGGACACACCACATTATTGGTTTGGAAGGCAAAGGGAGTCAGTTTCGGGCAGGGGAAGGATGTGATTGAAGGCTGCCATGTGCAAAGCCTACTGAAATGAGGAGAGCAAAAAGAGGGAACCTTGGGGAGATGGTGGTGGGACTTACGACAGGAGTGTGGGATAAGGAGAAAGTAGAGACCCACGACAACAAGCGGGGGGCTGCAGGTTGGCATTGGACATCGCAAGAAGAGGGAGGAAGGGCCTTCATTCTGTGGGGTCTGAGGCTACTGGTCAAAGCTTGGGAAGGACAAGTTAGGAACACACCCAGGCCAGCGGGAGTGGTAAGTTTGTCTTGACATGTTGGGTGGAGGTGGAAAGTCCAGAAGGCAGGGAGAAATGTGTTTCAGGGCAAGGAAGGGGTAGACGAGCTTCCTGATGACCTCAGAAAAATGTCTAAGCCTCAGGAGGCCTGGGCACAGAGCCTGGAGATGCAGGAGACCAGTGGGCCACAGAAGTTGGCTGAGTTCCAACAAGTGTGGGCATCCTGAGACCACCCTGAGGGGACTGGGACAAGACAGAGTCTGAGGCCCAACCAGGAAGATGAATACAAATAGGAAGATAGAGGTTCAGATGCAGACACAGATGCAGACACGGATACAGATACAGATGCGGATACACAGATGCAGATGCAGATCCAGATTCAGAGGTAGATGCAGATACAGATGCAGATGCAGATACAGATACAGATGCAGATGCAGATACAGATGCAGATGGAGATGCAGATACAGACACAGATACAGATATAGATACACAGATACAGATGCAGATGCAGATACAGATGTAGATACAGGTACAGATACAGGTGCAGATACAAATGTAGATACAGATGTAGATGCAGATACAGATGTAGATACACAGATACAGATACAAACGCAGATGCAGATGCAGATACAGATACAGATGCAGGTACGGGTGCAGATACAGATGCAGATAAAGAGACAGATGCAGATGAACAGACTCTGTCTTATATCTGTATGTGTATCTTCCTTGAACAGACTCTGTCTTGCATCTGCATCTGTATCTGCTATATCTGCATCTACATCTGTAACTGTATCTGCATCTGTATCCATATCTTCACCTGTACCTGCATCTGTACCTATCTGTATCTGTATCTTCATCTGTACCTGTATCTGTATCTGCATTTGTATCTGTACCTGCATCTGTACCTACATCTGTCTCTGCATCTGCATTTGCATGTTCCTTTGCATCTGCCTCTGTATCTGTATCTGCACCTTTACATAATTTTGTTTCACCATGTGATTGACATGTTTCCAGCAGACCCAAGACACAGGTTTCAGTAGTGCTACTGATGCTGATTTGCAGGAGGTGTGCTTAGGGCCTAATGTGGATGCCCCTGTGGTCACTCTGGACTGTCTTTCTCTGCCGTCTCCCTCATCAGTGGTATTGTTGTTGCCCGGTGGTGGAGCTTCTCAGGACCTTATACCTTTGGATCTGTTCTGTGTTGCCAAGATGTTCATCTGCTGCCCTGTTATCCACCAGTGCCAACTTAAAAAACTCAGATGGGCTGATAGTGCAGAAGCTGGCCCTCATCAGCATCTTGAGGGGAGAGGTTCCTGTGGGAGGCCCTGGTTTGCAAAGGCGTATTTAACAGTATGTAATATTTTGTGTTTGGAAAAACAAAAATACAGTTTTTCTGATGCAACTACAACAACAAAGTCCTACAAAACCTTTTTGGTCATTTTGAGATTTCCAGAAAATAGTAATTTCCTAGGGAAAGGTGCCCAGGACTTTCCTGGAGGCTCATGTGAGAATATCAAGGAGGGGCAGGGCGGGGGCCTTTTTTCTGTCCGCATCACAGGGCTGTGTTTAAGGATGTTGAGAAGCTGTGTGGTGGGAGGAGAGCGGACCCTTGGGTTTGATGCCGTAATTTCTCCTAAACAGGCAGTCACTGTGCAGAGAAGGTGGGATGGGAGTGGGGGAGCCAAACTAAGTACGGCTTCACTTGAGATGAAAAAATCATTCCAACATTATATTTCCTGCAATGAAATCATCATTTAAAAGATGGCCTTGGCTAGCAATCATTCCACAGACCATTGGGCACCTGTGGTGTAGGAGATACAGTTCCCACCACACACCTGTGGGTGCGGCCGTCCAGCAGAAAGCCACACACAGAGCCACCTCTTCCAAACCAGCTGCGGGCACAGGGAGCCTTTGCCCCAGCTCTCTGCAGGCCAAGCAGCCTAACCCCACAGAGCAGCAAATAGGTCCCTGGACGTGGGCATTTGGGGTTTCCTCAAGACTAGGGAGAGCAGGAATTTGCCCCTGGAATTAGCTGGTCTACACCGTGCTTTAAGCGTGGTTGTAGTAATGCAGGTGATACAGCCAGTCGTTCAGCTCCACAGGTGCCATCTCCAGCCCACTCCACGGCCAGCACAATAGCGCCATTCTCTCCTGCATCCTGTGGAGACAACTCCTGAAGAGGTTGGCTTGGAATGCTGGCCTTGGGTGATAAGAGCCTGTCACCACAGCTGTCCTTTTGGGAGGGGTAGGAGGAAGGGAATGAAACAGTTAAAAAGCCCAACCCAAAGGTCTGCAGAGCCTCTAATTAGCAGTAGCCTGGGACTGCGAGGACTCTGTGGATTAACAGTTTGGATCCACAGAGCAGGATGACGAACTGTTCTCAAAAATATAGTGTGTGAAGCCCATGGCGGCTGGTCTGGGAGCGTCTTCCACCAGTGCAGGTTGGATTACGGTTTTCACCCCTGCGTGCTCACTGTTTGATCCACCAGTGGCGGCTGCTGAAGCCCTGGCCTTGCCCTCCATCCTGCCTGCTTAGCGCTTCCCTGGGGCCATCCCATTCCAGGTGAATCTGGCACCCTCATGCCGGGCAGGACAGTCGCCTCCTTTCCCTGGAAGTTACTTTCCCTGGAAGTTACTCTCCCTTAGTCATCAGTGCTGTCCCAGGAATGCCGGTGGAGGAGGCGCAAAACGTGAGGGGCCTTTCCTACTACACTGCCCGAGATACATTCTCAGCAGATGGGCATTTGATGGCCTTATATGTGCCACTTACTTTGAACAATCAGAGGGTTCACTGGATGTGGCCCTGTGGCTTCCAGTCAACACAGAGATATGGCTGATGCCCTGACGAATGTTGAAATAAGCCTGTTTTCTAGTTTTTCAACAGTTGTTTTTTTTCTTTTTCTTTTTTTTTTTTTTTTTTTTTTTTTTTTTTTGCTCTTTTAGGCAAGTTAGATGCTATTTTTAACAAACTAGTGCAAGATAGACACAAACCAGAGCTTCAGACAAACACTCATAAGGGCTGGGCTCCTTACTCAGGTTTAGTATTTATGACCCGGTTCCAGTCTTGGCTTTGTAACTCACTTGCTCTATGTGACCTTAGGCAAATCACTGATGCTCTCGGCTTCCTAATCAGTACAATGAGTGGATTTGTGCAAATGAAATCAGGCCCTGTTTCTAGCATGTTTGGAAAAAGTCGAAATGGCCTAGAAATGTTGAGTGTGATGACTGGTCACAGCACTCAAGCTTGGCCCGCGGTAATCAGGGGTCAAGTTCAACCCATAGAATGAAAATGATCTTAAATTTTATTTTTCCCAGAGGAAAGCAAAAGGCGGCCTCTGGAGCCCACAGTGGGGTGGTGGAGGAAGCAGGGCCCTCCTCTCTCTCGGGTTTAAATAAAACCACTTCAGGTTTGCCATTTCGCCCACTGGTGTTCTCAGTGCTAAGCACGTGGCAGAAGCTGTAAGCTGTAACCCTCACGCCTCTGTGGTCAATGCCACATTAATCCCAACATTGCCGCGCAGAAGGAGCATGTTTCAGAGCCATAAAGACCCACTTGAAGTTCCCCTGTACCGGGCAGCAGGGTGGGTCCAAGCACCACACACTTGCAGGTGTGGCTGTGGCCTGAATCCTGCTGGAGGCTCCCATAAGCTCCAGCTCTGGGAGGGACATGAGCGTCCGTGCAGTCCCCGCCTCCTTCTGCAGGTGAGAACGAACACACACCCTGCAAAAGCGCGTGGCCGCCCGACAAGGCTGGGATCGGTGCTCTCCTTCCAGCGCCGGGTCCAGGGCCTTTTCCAGCTCCATCCACGTGGTGAAGGAGCTGAGCGTCCTCTGGACTGAGGCCAGGCAGGAACGCGCCGTCAATGTGAGGGAAAAGGCAGAGTCGCTTCCCTTTTGCAGATGAGACCTCGGCTCTGAGAGAGGCCTTGTGGAAGATGAGACCTTGGAGGGCCGTGGCTGAGCGGCCGCACGCTCCTTCATCCGTGCGTTCACTTGCTGGGCGATTTGGCCACACACCTGGTGGGGACTGTCGGACTGAGCATGGGGCTGAGATGTGCAGGCTGCGTCCAGGCTGCTGATGCCAGCGAGCACTTGGGAGCCCTGAGCAGGTGTTCCCCAGGCAGGCGGACACTGACTGGAAGGGCCGGGTGTCTCCGGCTGCAAGCCGGTGTGGACGGGCGCTCCCGGGACCACCCTGGCACTCTGTCCCTGTGTGCCGCGGGGACCAGGGCTGCAGACCCGTCCTGAAGAGGCTGTGGGCGTTTCCATCAGCTTCTTCTGCTGCCAGAGCCTGAGGCAACAGGGGAGTTGAAGGCCACACTCTGTGGCCTTATTTATGGATGGAGCTTTGCAACCTTGCATGTTCGTTCTGCTCTCTGAGCCTTTAATTTGAATGGCGGCCACAGGGTGCATCGTGGTCTCTGGTTTACAGCTGTACCCGTCACAACGCTGGCTCTCTTAATTAAAGGCTTTTTTTAAGAAATAGAAATTTTTATTAAAAATACTTATTAAAACCAGTCCTCATAATTTAGGCATGAGTTAAAGAAATATAAATACTTAGGCATCATTAATGATTTTTAAAGTTAAATTTAACAGCTGTGAATCATTTTTCATTCTACCTCTGGATTCTCTCCAGGGTTAAATGTAATTTTTTGGTGTGTTCACAGATTTAATATTTGTATGAAGAAGACTTGGGTTTTTCCTCTAGAATCCAGTACGGATCTATCAATATAACCTTTGAGACAAAGAAGGAAATAGTATGTTAGCTACTGCTAGAGTGTCAGTCAGGAATAAATGGCATTTGAGGGCCTTAATGTCTATTTATATGGAAAGAGAAATGGGGAATGTAGGCACTTAGCTAGATTATCTGTGGAAATGTAATTTCTGATAAAGTTTAAGATGTGGCCAAGAATGAGGCCATCATCTTACCTATCACATTTCTCCAGGTTGATAGTTTACTTCCTGGAAGTGGCTCCTTAATGAGTAAAAATGCAAAATAACATGTGTATGTGTGTGAACCCTACTTCTAATTTTTGCACAAGAAAAAAACAAAACAGAAGAGGAAAAATGTCAGACGCATAAAAGCAAGTGCCATACTATGCCTGGACCATCTCCCCAGGGGCGGTCAGAGACAGGCTCTGACCCTGAAAAAGACACCTGGTATTGTGCCGCCCCAGGGGTGTGTGGACGTGACGGCAGGAGGCCCCTGGACATGGAAAGACTGCAAACCATCCGCCCACTTTTCTCAAGCTTCAAAATACATGCTGCACATTTTAAAAAGCACCAAGCAAAACAACAATGTCATCAACACAAAGCAAAATCATAAGAAAAATATTCAAGAAGTTATTAGTAAATAAGGCATTGGTTTAACATAATATTTAAGGAGAAGAAGGACTAAGGGTGGAAAATCAGAACTCTGGGAGTAACACGATGAGGCTGTGCCTCCTTAGTGAGCTCAAGGAAGGGCGCCCCGCTCCTGAAGTGTGGACGCACGGCCTCGTCCTCTCCTATTACGGGATGCCACTCAGTGCTTGAGGAGCCAGTCAGCTGGGAGGTTATAAAACAATGTTATAAGCACATGTATTCACCACAGGGGGTTACAATAGGGAGCCTTATGTGGTAACTTACAACGTAAGGGAAACGTGGAAATTCTGAAAGCTGGGCCAACAGACAGACGGACAGAGCTTCAAGCATGACACCATGGAACAAGACCAAGAAGACCCTCAGACCACTTCGCAGGGCGGTCCTGCCTCCTGTGTGGTGGCTCCTCTTGGTGGGTGGCCTGGCCCCACCCAGGCCCTGGAAAGCTCAGGCCCCAGAGGAGCTGTGGATCTCACTATCGGGTTCCTCACGACACCAGAGCCCCTCAGCTCAGGGCCAGGCGCGGCTCTGGGGGGCGTGTGACAGTCTTTCCTGGGACTTCTGGCCTGAAGCCAGAGGTGCAGGGGCTGCCCATTTTCTGGGGTAAAGCCCTAAGTTAAAGGCTCTGGAGCTGCTGGTGGCCCTTGGTTGCTGCAATAGGGGAAACTGACATGCAAGGGAAGTGTGGAGGTGGCCGGAAGAAGCAGGTGTGTGAGGTGAGAGGGCGGGTCCATGTGAGGGGAAGGGTCCTGGAAGTGCGGAGGTGGCCGGAAGAAGCAGGTGTGTGAGGTGAGAGGGCGGGTCCACGTGAGGGGAAGGGTCCTGGAAGTGTGGAGGTGGCCGGAAGAAGCAGGTGCATGAGACGGGGAGGGCAGGTCCACTTGAGGGGAAGTGTCTGGAAGCGTGGAGGTGGCCGGAAGAAGCAGGTATGTGAGGCAGGGAAGGCTGGTCCACTTGAGGTGAAGTGTCCTGGTCAGGCTCAAGGGGTCTGGAGCCAGATGGCTTCTGCAAAAGTCCTGGCTTTATTCTTGGCATGCGCACTTGGGACTCATCCTCATGTCTCAGCTTCCTTATCAATAATAAGTTATGTCCCGGAATTGTTGTGACGATCAAATGTGTTCATGCTCTGGGGTGCTCAGAACTTGGCCTCTCCCAGCCGACCTTCCACACGCATCCGCAGCTGTCTCGTGGCTGCAGACGTTGTCTCTTCACAGGTACTGTGGCCTCTGTGCCAGCCACAGGTCCACCTTCCTCGCAGCCTCCTGGCCCTTCTTCCAATGCCAGGGGCCAGCACACTTCTTTTATTCTTGCTTTCTGAAGCTGATTTAAGTTGGCTTTCTGAAATCTTCAAGCAAAGCAGCTCTTATTAACACACCATATAACCTGCATCTTTCCGGCAAGTCTCCAACACACACAGCCCTTTCGCTGATCCTGAGCACTGAGGAATTTCCTACGCAGGGTCCGTGTTTGTGGCTGTCACCTGCAGACAGAGCTCCTAGTTTCATATATTGTTTCTGAATATATACTCAGATATCCCAGTGCACCTACATTTATTATATGTAAATTCAGATACCATGGGCTTGGTGTGGAGGGCAGAGTGGATGGCTCCTCCCCTGTCCCACCGTGGGAGTGAGTGTGAGATGGGAGATGGGAGGCTTTTGAAAGTTGTTGTTTTTCAGAAGGTGGTGATCTTGCTGCATTGAGCTTGATTCTGGTATTAAAATCTAGGTGCTTTTGCAGACACCATAGCACCTGGCATGACGGCTGACTCCTTCTCCCAGAACTAACTATGGGAAAGCCACAGATGGAAGAGGGAAGTGTGGACGTGAGGAGCATGAGCGCCTAGAGAAGCCAGGGAGCGGCAGGACCGCCATGTGAGTTTGGGTGGGAGGTGGGGGCCAGGGCTGGAGAGGTGGAAGCTGCTGACGGTGCTGGCTGGACGTGAATGACAGCACTAGGGGCTGGAATTCATATTTCCCCTTCCTCATCCAAACTCCTGAGGTGGAAACTGCACCCAGAGGAACACCCACTCAAGAGCCGATTCCTCACCAAAGAGGTGTCCTGGGGGACGGGCAGTAGAGGTCGGCCTGGCTCTGCAGCCCGTCCTGCCTGCTGCGTCTGCCTGGTGCTTGCCCCTCTCCTCCAACCCGGGGCTGGGGTCTTGGTCTAGGGCTTGCAAATGTACCTGAGAGAGGAGCTGATGCCTTCAAGGGAAAAGAGCCCACAGGCAAAGTACTCGGACACCTGACCAGCACAGCAAATACAACACACCTTGAGGCAGGGCTCAGACTCAACGCCTAAAAGGCATAATGTCCTTAAGGAGACAGGGGAGATTATTACTGAAATAAAGCACTAAATATCCTCAGGAGGGAAGAAGGGGCATTAGAGAATTAAAAGTGGAATAGTCATAGTCAGCATGAAGAGGCTAATGAATGGACAGATAGCAAACAGGCAAGTTTCCGTGAAGGTGAAACTAGTGAGGTGCTCCAAACCAAGTAGCACTGCAGCAAAGCCGTCCCGCTGAGGGAGACGTGTGTGTGTTTCTGTGTGTGTCTGTGTCTGTGTGTTTGTTTCTTTGTGTGTCTGTGTCTGTGTGTTTGTTTGTGTGTCTGTGTCTGTGTGTGTCTGTGTGTGTGTGTCTGTGTCTGTGCATGTGTTTCTGTGTGTCTGTGTGTGGGGTGTTTATGTACATGATCACACACATATGTTGTAGAATACAGCTAAAACTATACTTAGAAACATTTTGCTTTAAATACATTTGTCTAGAAATAGGAATGGCAGAAAAATATACTCCAAACATTTAATTCAAGAACTTTGAAAAAATCAGTAGAGAAAATCCAAAGAACAAGAAGGAATGCAGTGCTAAATGTAAAAGAGAAACTGCTGAAATAGAGAACACAGAAAGCAAGCAAGCAAAACACACAATGCACACACACACACACACACACACACACACACACAATAGAGAAGGCTAACGGAAACAAATCTGTTTCTTTTTAAGGACCTCTGGCAAGACTCATGAAGGAAAAAAATGTGAATAAACAATGTAAAAAATATAAACATATAAATGAGAAGGCAACATAATTTTAGCTACGGTAGAGAGGAAAAATTAGTAAAAGAATGTTATAAACAACTATAACCTAAGCAATTTGGAAATGTAGACAAAATGGATGCATTTCTGGAAAAACAACAAAATGGCAAATTGGTGCAAACAACAGGAAACTTGATTAGGCTAACAAACAATAAATAAATTAGAATGGGAATCTAAACTTTTTTCTCTCAAACTCAAGACTCACAGTTAATTTTAACTCAAATAGTAGTTCTAGAAACTAGAAAAATAGTGAAAATATGCCCAGCTTAGTTTACAAAGCTAGTATAATTTTTATTCCCAAACCAGATAAAAGTAACACATGGAAAGAAAATTTTAGGTTCATTTTACTGGTGAATGTAGATTTTTAAAAACTAAAATAAAATATTATTCAATGGAATCCAACATTATATTCGAACAGCAATGCATAATGATCAAGTAGGGCTTATCTTAGGAATGCAAGGACAGTTCAACATCAGAAAAATTTTTCAATACAATATTGACAAACTTACAGAAAAATCATATGATTACCTTGGTAGATGCAGAAAAAGCATTTACCAATGTTCAACATTATTCAACACCAATTTATGATGTTCAATACCTATTTACAATAAAAACTCTTTAAAAGCCAGATATAGAGGCCTTTAACTTTGCAAAGTTGTATACTTTAAATATACTGCAAACTCTATCTTGATAAAGAAAATGTTCTTCATAAGATGGGAAAGAATACAAAAATAATACCAAAATAGTTTAAAATAGTACTAATATCCTCTCTGATGCCATGAGGAAAGAGACGAGTGTTCCAGATTAACATAAACTTACAACATTAGAGGCTTAGCCCAGTCACCAACCAAAAAATACAATAAAAATAAGATGCATTCACAACAGCAACGAAAATCAAAAGTATCTGAGAAGTTCATGTAACAACTCCTCTGTGGGGAAAAAGATAAAAATCTGTGAAAGAACAACAAAGAAGCTCTAAGTATCCAGAAAGACATTATGTGGAGAGATCTTGGATGTGATGACGATATTTTAAAGACGTCAGTTCTCATCAGGACCACCTGTAAATTCAGTGCAATCCTAGACAAAAAGTAAAAGCCAGAATGAATCCATAGCTCAAGAAAATTTGTGTACACTAAAAATACAATACACAGTCAACAATGTGTGTTTTGTAAGAACATCTTCAAATTAGGGCATGTTCATCTGAAACATGCTCATGGTGGGGGAGAAGAGAAAATTGGAGTGGGAGATGGGGGTAAAAAGAAATAAATGAATAGGCAAATATCTAAATGCTGTAAAAACGCCAGGTGGAGTATGATTCACACAATCTTCCGCATGTGAAGTCCAACATTTTTCTAAACGATATATTTCATATAATAATATTTGTTAAATGCAAGTCAATTACTTCACCTGGTGTTTAACCAAAGAATCCATAATCTCTTTTAGCACTGAAAGAAGAACTGGCTGAAATTTTTGCATGATGGTCTATTGGTCTCCAAAAGGTAGTATCTGTGCAGTTTTTAAGGATAATTCTGACTTTACCCAGTTTTTACCCTGTTTCCTGACTTTAGAATAAATCACATTTTTTATGGAACTTATTGGCAACAAAAGATTAATTCAAGAGAAAAATGGGTAGCAAAACATGCTGATCAAATATCTGGCAAGGACCTGGCAATTTTCAAAGCAACAAGACAGAAATTGTAGCAGAGTCCCTGGGGCTGCTTTCTAGCTTCCAGGGTGAAAGATGAAGAGGTTGGGTAAAAAAAATTAGTGGGTTTCCTAAAAAAGCCCTTAGGGAGTCAGTCCCTGTGTGAAGCTGAACACTTGGCACCTAGAGACCTTTCTCTCTTGTCCCTGTAGAAGATAAATTATGCCCATGCGGTGGCTCATGCCTGTAATCCCAGCACTTTAGGAGACTGAGGCATGAGGACTGCTTTAGGCCAGGAGTTTGAGACTAGCTTGGGCAACATAGTGAGACCCCATCTCTAAAAAAAAAAAAAAAAAAAAAAATTATATCAGCTAGGCGCAGGCCAGGCGTGGTGGTCCACACCTGTAATCCCAGCACTTTGGGAGGCCGAGGTGGAGGCGGGCGGATCACCTGAGATCAGGAGTTCAAGACCATCCTGGCTAACATGGCAAAACCCTGTCTTTACTAAAAATACAAAAATTAGCCAGGTGTGGTGGCTGTCCCTGTAATCCCAGCTACTCAGGAGGCTGAGGCAGGAAATAGCTCAAATCCAGGAGATGGAGGTTGCAGTGAGCCGAGATTGCACCACTGCACTCCAGCCTGGGCAACAGAGCAAGACTCTGTCTCAAAAAAAAAAAAAAAAGAAAAAGAAAAAGAAAAAAAAGTTCAGCTAGGCATGGTGGGAAGTGCCTGGAGTCCCAGCTACTTGGGAGGCCAAGGTGGGAGGATCCCTTGAGCCAACACGTTCAAGAATGAAGGGAACTGTGATGGTGCCTCTGCACTCCAGTCCAGGTGGCAGAGTGAGAACCTGTCTCTAAAAAAAGAAAGAAGATAAAGTAAAGCAGAAAATATAAATCCTGGCAAATTGATTTTGTTTTGCTTTTTGCCGTTGGCTGGTCTCTGTACCCCCACGGTCTCAGAACGCCTACCTGGAGGGACACGCACTTCCTGACAGCAGTGAGTTCTTCCTCGGTGGTGACCACGTTTCCTGTAAGGATGGTCAGGGGTCTGCACAGGCTTGGCGAGGGGCCCCGTCTAGTGACCGCGATTTCTTTTACTGACGACACTGCTGTGCTTCTGCGGAGCTGGCCTAGGGCATCCCTGCTGCTCATGTTTTGTCAGTAGAAGCAACTTCCTGGCTGGGCCTGATGGAGGTGGAGGAGCGAGGCCTGCTGCGAGACGGAGCCCATATGGGTCTTCCTCAGGAAGGAGCTCAGCTTCAGTCATCCCTGGGTCCGTGGTAACTGAACAGGAACCCCAATTCAGAGCCGCGCAGATGCAGTGGGCTCAGCGTAGATTTTACAGAGATGTGGCCCTGGCCCCGGGGCAGCAGGAAGAATGTCACAACAAAACGCCCTCAAAAGCCTCAGCCCAGGACCCCCACACATCTGGGGAATGTGGGCAGAGGCCAGACGTGGGTCCCCGGTTGCTGCCTGCACAGGGCTTCCTCTCCACATGGGTTCCGCGGCTGCCCCCGGGGCTGGGAGATCGGATGAGGGGCCTGGGCAGGCCAGCCTGGAAGAGCCCTCCGGTCCTCTCCCCGCCAGGCTTTGCTCAATCCCCAGAAGCTTTTCCACCACTGATTAGTTCGTGCTTGCACTAGGACATCTCATAAACGGAAACGTAGGGTGTGCAGTCCTGAGTGGGGAGCACCCAGCGTCTGAAGCAGTCTGGGCTCCTCATTGGTGAGCCAGGTCCCACAGTTTACCCTCCTCTGGAGTTGGCCATATGCCGTCCCCAGGTTTGGGCTGTTAGGAATAAAGCTGCTATGAACATTCTTCTACACATCTTTTAGACTTGGACATATATTTTCATTTCTCTTGGGTAAATACCCAGGATTGGAATTGCCAGGTCCTAGGATAAGTGTGTATTTATTTTTGTAAGAAACCGGCAAACTCTTTTCAACCCATGTGTAGCCTTTCACAGCTCCTCCAAGGATTAGGAGAGTTCTCATTGCCCCACATCAGTGCCAACATTTGGCACTGTTCCCTTTTGATGTTTTAAAAATGCAAAAAGCTTATGTTACTTGAACGTCTCCTCCCTCTCACCTCAACCCAATTTCTGCAACTGCTGACAAATGGCAGAACCAGCCCATGTTGGAGTCCCCTCCTCCTGCTGCGGTCACCCCAGAGGAGGCTCAGCACAGCCAGAGTCATCAGAGGAGGACACCAGGCAGACAGAGAGGAAGACACGGAAATGGCAGATGGGGCCATCAGATCCAGCACAGGGAGCGGCTGAATTCAAGAGAATCCTGCAGCAGGCCAAAGGCGGGGGGTGGGGTGCAGCCATCACATGCAAATTCAAACCAGGGTCCTTTGCTCGCTAGTGGAGGGGTAAGGACGAGTTCTCCCTCTGTCAATTCTTTATAAGAAATTGGATGAAAAGGAATAATAATGTTTGATCCATGTGGTCAGCGGGGGTTTAAATGCTGCAGTGATGCTGTAGGTGCAGTTCAGGGCTCACGAGAGAAGCTGCTTTACCCAAACACCACCGTTCCCAGGACTCTGGAGCAGCTGAAATCCACAGAATGCCATGGCCGACTCCAGATGCACCATGCCACCCACCCCAGTCCTCAGTCCCCAGGGACATCACCGCCACCCCCGGTCCCTGTGGACACTGCTCTCTGCCCTGGGCTGTCCTGCCCTACTCATGTGACACCCACAGCTCCCTTGCAGCAGTGGCAGGGTTGGAAGCTTTAATTTTGAGGGATTTTTCCTCTGTGATCAGCAGTGATTTTTCTGGAAGTTGGAGGGCGGGTCCCTGGAGCAGCCATGGTGCACACTCATCGGGGCCCCGTGACCACCTGAGGTGGCCCTGCTTCCACTCTTACGAGCTCTGTGCTCGGCTTCCCATGGCCTCCCGGCCAGTGTCCCAGGATCGGGCTCCTCCTGGGCCTCAGGCTTCTTGTCAGGGACATGGGGCATCTACGGCCTTGCTACTCTCACCTCTGCCCAGCCCCGCTCCCACCACAGCACAAGGGGATGGGCCAGAAGATGTGGATTTTCCTACTCACAGTGTTGTTGGCTGAGCCGGAGGCAGAGTCCAAGGACAGGACCCTGTGAACCACGGGGTCAAGGCTGACCAAGTCTGAGGGAGTGCAGGGGGTGGACTTGCTGCCCAGGTCCTCACTTCCTCCCCACAACTACCCCTTTCCTTCCTTTCAACCTCCTTCACGCTGGGATTTTTCCACCTATCAGCGGCATTCTCTCAGCAGTTAGGGACAACATTTGTCTTGCGCACAATGTAAATGTGACTTCTTTTTGACTGACAAACCTATGTTAATTTTCTTAAGTGCAAGGCCATATTTTGTGCTGCTTTACTGTTTTTGAGGTAAACTCCACCTGACCTCCTGTATTAGTCTATTCTTACACTGCTATAAAAAACCGCCCGAGACTGGGTAGTTTATAAAGGAAAGAGGCTTAATTGACTCACAGTTCCGCATGGCTGGGGAGGCTTCAGGAAACTTACAATCATGGCGGAAGGGGAAGCAGCACCTTCTTCACAAGGTGAAAGGAGAGAGCAGAGTGAGGAGCAAAGTGGGAGGAGCCCCTTATAAAACCGTCAGATCTCGTGAGAACTCCCTCACTATCACGAGAACACCCCGGGGGAAACTGCCCCCAT
Organism: Homo sapiens; assembly: GCF_000001405.40. Classification (NCBI taxonomy): domain Eukaryota; kingdom Metazoa; phylum Chordata; class Mammalia; order Primates; family Hominidae; genus Homo; species Homo sapiens. Next base: position 170,100,804 of record NC_000006.12, on the reverse strand, counting down.
GATCCACCAGGTCCCGCCCTCCACACGTGGGGATTGTGGGGGTTACAATTCGAGATGAGATTTGAGTGGGGACAGAGCCAAACCATATCACCCTCCATTCCCTGTTCCAATCATTTGATACATTTTAGGGGATTTCCTATATATATGTCTTTTCCTTCAGAGAATTCACAATCTAGACGTGGAATAACAATAATCGTTACTTAAGAAAAGACAATGTATACTGAGGAGCTAAATTCAATGCCAGCAGCTGAGGGCAAGGAGGAGTTGGGAGCTCAAGGCAGGAGAAAGGCTGGGGGCTTCAGACAGCAGGGGCAGCAAGGGCCCATGTTCCTAGAACGGGCGACATATTGAAGACACGGGTAGGGGCAGGGCATAGGGAGGCCCTGGAGGCTTTGAGAAGATGAGGAACAAGTGCTATCTAATTTGTAGGATATCGATCTGGGCTGGGGTGGGCGGGGGTTCTCAAAGTCAGGTTCCAGCAGGTGGGGGCCTGGCTAGGTTCACGCGGCCTGAGTTCTGCAGAGTGGAGTGGGAGGGGTGGGAGACCCTTCCAGCAGATCGCAGCCCACTGGGGCAGGTGAAGCCATCCCAGGGGCAGCGGGGATGAGGACGGGCTGCATCTGAGTGGGGAAGGGAAACTGTTTTAGAGCAACTTACAACAGAGGGAGGTGGAGGGTTCGGTTTGAAGGGGCAGAGGGACCTGCAAACCTCTTTTCTCCCTCTCTCCCTCCTTCTTCTTTCCTTCCTCTATGCTATCCAACCTTCCGTAGAGTTGATAGGGCAGCTGTGTGTCACCTTGTTGGAGCTTCTCTCTCCTCACGTTCTGGAGGGTGTTTTGACACTTTTGAATATTCCTAGTGCTTCTCAGTAAAACTCTTCATTTTTCCCTTCATGGCCATTTCCTCTAAACCCTGGGCCTACCATTCTGTGATTAGCTAAAAGTCTCATTGGCAATTAGGATGCAATTGGGAACAGGAGGGACGTCAATCAGATCTTGGGTGTTTTTGTCCCATTAAGTAGGAGCGTGGGCAGCTCATTTGCTCTGAAGAGAAGCAGACGCAGCTTCCTCTCCGTGTGGAGCTCTGCGCCAGGAGTGACCTGTTCTTTGGAGGTACAAACCACCTTAAAGATGAGTAGCTCAGAGACCACAGGAAAAGGTGGAAAACACAGGCTTTTCTGGCTGACTGTAATCACCTCTTTGTCAAACGACTTCATCCAGGGTTGACCGTGAACTCTGCCGACCAGCCAGCCAAGGGCAGTGTGGTGCCTGGGCTCAGTGAGGTCAGGCCTGACCCCGTGTCCACGGCGACTGCTTTGCCCTGTGCGAGAACCAACAGGCCTGTCTTTAAAGATATTAATGTATTTACTCATTTTTGCTAAAACAATGCATTTTATTATACTTTGCTAGTGTATAAAATGCAGAAGCAAAACAGAAGCCACGCAGAAACCCACTGCTCCAATAACTTCGTCGCCATTTTATTTTGTGTTCTATGTTTGTGTGATCTCCCTGGTCTGGAATGGAAATCTGTCGTATAAACTTGTCTCCTGTTTTCACTTTGCGACATAGTCTTCTTGCCTTCCCGGGTTATTGAAAATGCTTCTGCACCGTATTTTAAATGGCCCTGTGTGTGTACGGCCATTGTGCGGGCATCATTCAGTGACTTCACCAACTCCCGACTGTGGGGCTTCTGGGTTACTTCCCGTTTCCCCACAACGTGGGAAACAGAGACGGGGAACATCATAGTGCTGGCAGACACACCGACTGCCTTTCTTTTCAAGGACGTTGTGCGGCGAACGGCTTGGAAGGTGGCAGCTTCCTCAGGAGCAAAGGACGGCTGTGCCGGGGCGGCAGGAGGAATGCGGCTCCTTGAGGGCTGGCGCCCTTTGCAGGTGTCTGCCGGGCCCCTGTGCATTGCTGGTGGGACCCGGGCTGGGAGCTGGTCTCAGGACGTCTCCAACCCAGGGGTCTAGTCTTCTTCCCATAACGATGAAGCCACGGCAGGCTGTCTACTCAGCTTGCACGTTGGGTAAAACCTCACACTCCCACGGTCCTTGACTGAAGCTATCTGAAGTTCCAAGCTGGGTCAAGGAGCAGGATTATCCCCACTGCTGGCTCTGCAGGCGATGCCCTCGCCGGGTGTGCGTGTTCACGGTGAGCATGTCCTGACTCTGCTGGGGTCACCGATGGCTCTGTGGGTGATGCCCTCGCTGGGTGTGTGTGCTCATTGTGAGCATGTCCTGACTCTGCCGGGGTCACCGATGGCTCTGTGAGTGATGCCCTCGCTGGGTGTGCACCCTCACGGTGAGCATGTCCTGACTCTGCCGGGGTCACCGGTGGCTCTGTGAGTGATGTCCTCGCCGGGTGTGTGTGCTCATGGGGAGCATGTCCTGACTTTGCTGGGGTCACCCGTGACTCTGTGAGTGATGTCCTCGCCGGGTGTGTGTGCTCATGGGGAGCATGTCCTGACTCTGCCGGGGTCACCGGTGGCTCTGTGGATGATGTCCTCACCGGGTGTGTGTGCTTATTGTGAGCATGTCCTGACTCTGCTGGGGTCGCCGAAGGCTCTGTGAGTGATGTCCTCGCCGGGTGTGTGCCCTCACGGTGAGCATGTCCTGACTCTGCTGGGGTCACCAGTGGCTCTGTGAGTGATGTCCTTGCTGGGTGTGCACCCTCACGGTGAGCATGTCCTGACTCTGCTGGGGTCACCCGTGACTCTGTGAGTGATGTCCTCCCTGGGTGTGTGTGCTCATGGGGAGCATGTACTGACTCTGCTGGGGTCACTGGTGGCTCTGTGAGTGATGTCCTCCCTGGGTGTGTGCCCTCACAGTGAGCATGTCCTGACTGCTGGGTCAGATGTTCTACTTTTGGACCAGGACAGGCAGCCTCATGCACGGAAGCTGTCCCTGTGGCAGGGCCCTGTTTTCCCTGCTCTGATAGAGGCAAGGAGGCTCCCTGGTTCTCAGGGTTAGTCCTGAGGGTGACTGTGGAGAGGGCCTGTATCTCTGTGCCCGCCCACGGGAGCTGCTGTTTGCAGCTGCAGGAATCACATCTTCTCCCTGCCCTGCTCTTCCCGCCCGCCACTCTCTTGGTGGCTCTCTCTGCAGCCCTGCCCTCCCCTGGGAGCTCTGCTGGCCAGTGCCCCTCACTCTCTGTATTTCCAGGAAGGTGCAGGCCTCTGCCTGGAGTCAGTTCCAGGTGTCGGCTCCTTTGTTTCCTGAGCAAGGGTGACACGGGAATCAGGGTCCCGCAGGGAGGAGGAGGACACACCGCCATTGGGGGATGTGTGTTCTTTTCTTCCAGAACTCCGGCAGGGTAACTTCACATGCAGGAAAGCCTCCTCTCCCTCAGGTTAGCCGCGTTGCCTCACTTCCGTCTGGCGTGCTCTTCCTGCAAGGGACAGGGTGACTCCCACACCAGGCTGCTGACCACTCCCCGACATGCGGGATCCGCACCTTAGCCCTCCTGGCAGGGCTGCAGAGGTCACGCTCCCCCAGGACGGGGAAACACGCAGAGCGGAGATGCCAGAGCTGTTTTGCATGTGGGGAAACCGAGGCCTAGAAAGGCCCGAGACTTCCTGGAAGTGTTGTGCGTGGTCCCAGTGCTCTTTCTGTCTGGAAGGAGCTGGCTCATCTGAGAATGACCTTTGTGTTTCAGGTTAACTTTTGTCTCTTGGGGAAAAACACACCCGTCCTCCCTTCTCTAAGCCTATAGGGCTGGTTCAGAGTGGGGAAGGGTTAAGGAGGCCCTGCCAGGTGGGGCAGCAGGGGCTGTGACGGGCCCCCTCCTCCCAGTGTATTTTCTGTTCTAAATATGGACCAGAGGAGACAGCTATTTTTAGGAAGCAAATGGTAATGCTTAGAGTTCTGAGGTTTAAGTAGTCATTTAGTCATAAAAGCTGAATTCACAGGCTACAGAAAAACAGTCGTTTCCCCTGGTTGATGATAGAGGTCTTCAGGCGCGGTAATTGTTCATCGTTTTATGAATGTGCCGAGGGCTCTACCCCAGGTTCCCTGGGAGAAAGGCAGGACTGAGCTCCCCCAGCCCTGCTGAAGGAGGCGATTATCCTGCAGCTGCGGGTGTGAGCACAGCCTCCCACAGACCCCATTACTGTGCCGTCCGTCCGCGTCTACAATGAAGGGAAGATGTGATTTAGAGGCTCTGAGAAGAAACACGTTCAGAGCCTTCCCCATCAACGTGCTCGCAGCTGACCTCAGGAGCGGCTGAGCGTGCACAGGCTGCTGTTCCAGGGGCCTTTGTGATTGTCAGAAAATTAAAGCTCAGGCTTCCTAGTAAAAGCATTGGAAGAGCATCACCAGTTGCTGGACTTATTAGTCAGAAGGAGAGCTGCGAAGATGGAGATAAAAAGCAGAAAACAGTTTAATTTGCAGAGCCGAGCCCCAGGGCGCGGAGAGGCGCCTGTAATTACAGTGGCGGCCAGCCCTCCTGGAGGTGGCTCCAGGCTGCCTGCGCGGAGGGCGGCTGGGAGGGCCCAGGGCTGGGAGGGAGAGGAAGGCACTGGGAATGGTCTGAAAAAGGACCAGAAACGAAGCTGTAGGTGCCGAGGCCTTGGTTCTGAACGGATTAGGGCAGAGCCTTCCCAGACACAGCCTGCAGGGTTAATGCACTTTCTCATCGACGGAGACGCAAGGTGCTCATAAATGATGTTCAGAGAGAAATAGCAAGGGGAGATTTATAACAATTCAAGGGAATAATCAACTCGGGGAGAATGGCTCTGTCTTAGGAGCTTTTCACTCTGGAGAGGTGGCATTGCCTCAGCAGATGTGAGGCCGTCAGCTGGGGTAACAGCGAGTTGACACAAGAATGCTGTCCTGGGGAAATCAGCCCAGAATTGAGACCCGGGAAGGGGTGGGCCTTTTAACCGCTGGGAGAACCTGGCCTGGCCGCCTTGTTCCCTCACAATCCCCAAAGCTCCAGGGCCCGCACTCTGTTCCCAAGCTGGGGTCACATTTACTGCTGGCTCCAGGCCAGACTGGGCCACAAGGACAAGTTGGCTGTGGAAGAGGCCACGACTGGCTCAAGAGATGTGTGGCCTCCGGAGGGAGAAAGAAGGCTGGGCTGAGGTCCCCATGCTCATTGAGCTGCAGAGAAGGAAGGGGCCTCTCACAACTGCAGAGGTGCTGGCAGGGCAAGGACAGTGGTCCTTAGAACACAGCCCTCCCCAGAGCGGAACCCTGGAGACCTCACAGGGGAAGGTCTGGCCCGACCTTCGGAGGGGCCGTGCGCAGGGCGGCATGGAGGAAAGGGAAGGGCGAGTCAGAAGGGGAGTGACTGCAGCCTCTGCTGCAGGAACAAGCGCAGGGGGCTGGACAACAGCCCGAGGCCAAGTGCCCTCCCCGGTCAGTGCCTCAGTCATGGTGGCCGACGTTCTGAGGGGGACCAACCTCTGTGCCTCCTCACCTCCTGCCCAGGGGCTCATTTTCCCAAGGGGCTTGGCCGACTGCCCACAGGCTGGAGATCCCTGGACCCCCGAGAGGGTGCTGGCCAGGTGGGGAGCCTTTCCAAGGACGGCAGCAGGCAAGAGCATGCCCTTCTCTGAGAAGAGCCCTCAGTCCTATTTCCACCCCTTCGAACATGGAAGGCAGCAGGCAAGAGCATCCCCTTCTCCGAGAAGAGCCCTCAGTCCTATTTCCACCCCTTCGAACACCAGCCCTGCCTCCCCTCCAGCCCAGGATGGGTAGACGCAGGCCTGCAGTGCCTGGCTCAGATGCTCGTGGAGTCCAGTCTCCTGCCCACAAATTGCTGTGTCCAATAGCAGCCCATCCATCGGGACCACGGCCATCTCCGCACTTCAGACAAAGCTCCTCCTCCTTGATTAAGTGGGAATGGAGGGCCAGTTTCAAAGGCAATGAGCCTTCCCAAAGCAAAGGACTTAGGATTCCCAGGTAGGGGGTCCCTGGCCTCCCAGCCACCAGGGTGACTCCTGACTGCTGAACCAAAGCTGGGGTCAGATGCCACACGTGAAACATGGCAGGAGGTGTCTGGCTGGCTGGCAGGGGAGTCTGTGCCTATTCTCTTCTTCAAACTATAAAAAATACAACAAATTCAGCAGCCCAGAGGGAATAAGAGAAAGACCCTTCACTCCTCCCCACTGTGGGGTGTAGATGCATGCAGTACACTGAGAGGTTCCGGCTCCTGGCCTGCCCGTCCCCAGCCCCAGCTCAGGAACTGGTTCATCTGCAGGCCCTAGGAGCTCAGCCATGGCTCCCAGCGCGTGGTGGCTGATGGGCAGAGCTCGGATGGTCTGGGTGTGAACCGGAATGGAAGGAGCTCAGCCATGGCTCCCAGCGCGTGGTGGCTGATGGGCAGAGCTCGGAGGGTCTGGGTGTGAACCGGAATGGAAAGAGCTCGGCCGTGGCTCCCAGCGCGTGGTGGCTGATGGGCAGAGCTCGGACGGTCTGGGTGTGAACCGGAATGGAAGGAGCTCGGCCGTGGCTCCCAGCGCGTGGCGGGCTGTCCTGGGATGCTGGGACCTGCAGTCAGCTGCCACTCTGGTCCCAATGGTTGGGGGACATGAGGCTGGTTCAGGGGGAGGTTTGGGAACAAGGGGAGTTGGGGAGCAGGCGCCGCGCCAGGTGGGAGGTGGAGCCTAGCACGGCAGTGCTGCTGAACACCAGCTACAGTTCCCTGAGGGTCACCCAGCCAGTCCATGCCTGCTGCAGAGAGGCCTGGGGCCAGGCTCGCCTGCTGGACAGAGACCCCTCTGGGAGAAGGTGAGTTTCTGGGAGCAGGGGCCTCCCAGCCAGGCCCTCCCAGGCTGTGGTTCTGATCGAGCCTGCCTCCCCCACTCCCCTGCAGCCCATTGCAGCTGGCTCAGGCCAGTGGACTGGACCAGAGCTGAAATCCCGGAGCCCTTCATGAGTCCCAGACGCTTGGCAGGCCCTACAGCCAGGCCAAGGCACACACGTTTGTTCTAACTGTGGATCTGGTGTCTGTGGGCAGAGCATAGGCTGCGAGGGACTCAGGCCGTGTTTGGTCCAGCAGCAGAGACGTTGCCTCGGGGATGAGGCAGACGGCACCAGAGCTCCCCAGGGCCAGGGCAACAGGGGAAGAGGCAGCATGCCTGGGGCCTCCAGGAGGCAGACAGGCTGGGCCTGCGGCTGCGCTGACACCCACGTGCCTTTCCAAGGTGCTGACCTGCAGAGGAGCCAGGGGAGCCATTCGACGGGAGGAGACCCCATCCATTCCCTCCTCAAACTGCTCCGTGCAACCTGGGAATGACTCTGAACTCGTGTGCCCTTGAGGGTGGGAGCAGGGACTGCAGAGGCTCCTGGCTGGGGAAGGACGTCAGTGGCTCTGGTGGCAGATCGGTTAGAGCCCCGCGGTGGAGACAAGCTGCCGCCCAGAGAATCGTGCTGCCTCATGCTCCCAGCAGAGGCGGGCGTGCTGGTGGGAGGATTCCCCGTTTATTCCAGACACCCTCCGTGGGCTCATCTTTTCCACAACACAGCCCAGGAGGGAAGGAAATCGCAGTTCATGCTATAGACACGAAAGAGATCGTGACAGCTGCGATACGAATTCCTAGTTAGCCACCTTGCTGGTCCAGGAAAGACAGCAGAAACAGAATAAAGGAAAGCTAGAAAGCAAACAAAACAAAGCAATGTCAAGCCCGCAGTTGGCTGTTGTGAGCTTCTGTGGTGCCATTGTGAGCTGCGTGGTGCCGTTGTGAGCTTGTGTGGCGCCGTTGGGAGCTGCGCGGTGCCGTTGGGAGCTGTGCGGCGCTGTTGTGAGCTTGTGTGGTGCTGTTGGGAGCTGCGTGGTGCTGTTGGGAGCTGTGCGGCGCTGTTGGGAGCTGTGCGGCGCTGTTGTGAGCTTGTGTGGTGCTGTTGTGAGCTTGTGTGGTGCTATTGTGAGCTTGTGTAGTGCTATTGTGAGATTGCATTGCATTGTTGTGAGCTGCATGGTGCTGTTGGGAGCTGTGTGGTGCTTTTGTGAAGTGCATGGTTCTGTTGTGAGCTTCATGTTGCTGTTGTGAGCTTGTGTGCTGTTGTGAGCTTGTGTGGTGCTGTTGTGAGCTGTGTGGTATGAGCTTGTGTGGGGCTGTTGTGAGCTTGCATGGCATTGTTGTGAGCTGCGTGGTACTGTCGTGAGCTGTGTGGTGCTGTTGTGAGCTTGTGTGGTGCTGTCGTGAGCTGCGTGGTACTGTCGTGAGCTTGTGTGGTGCTGTCGTGAGCTGTGTGGTGCTGTTGTGAGCTTGTGTGGTGCTGTTGTGAGCTTGTGTGGTGTTATTGTGAGCTTGTGTGGTACTGTCATGAGCTGTGTGGTGTTGTCATGAGCTGTGTGGCGCTGTTGTGAGCTGTGTGTTGCTGTTGTGAGCTTGTGTGGTGGTGTGAGCTTGTGTCGTGCTGTTGTGAGCTGTGCGGTGTTGTGAGCATGTTTGGTGCTGTCACGAGCTATGTGGTGCTATTGTGAGCTGTGTGGCGCTGTTGTGAGCTTGTGTGGTGCAGTTGTGAGCTGTGTGGTGCTGTCGTGAGCTGTGTGGTGCTGTCGTGAGCTGTGTGGTGCAGTTGTGAGCTGTGTGGTGTTGTCGTGAGCTGTGTGGTGCAGTCGTGAGCTGTGTGGTGCAGTCGTGAGCTGTGTGGTGCAGTCGTGAGCTGTGTGGTGTTGTCGTGAGCTGTGTGGTGCTGTCGTGAGCTGTGTGGTGTTGTCGTGAGCTGTGTGGTGCTGTCGTGAGCTGTGTGGTGTTGTCGTGAGCTGTGTGGTGCAGTTGTGAGCTGTGTGGTGCTGTCGGGAGCTGTGTGGTGTTGTCGTGAGCTGTGTGGTGCAGTTGTGAGCTATGTGGCGCTGTCGGGAGCTGTGTGGCGCTGTTGTGAACTGTGTGGTGTTGTGAGCTTGTGTGGTGCTGTTGTGAGCTGCGTGGTGCTGTCGTGAGTTTGTGTGGTGTTGTGACTGCCCAGGGTGACGCAGCGTTGACCGATGATGAGGCACCTGATACAGATAAGTCCTAACATATTCCCTGGTGCAATTTACCAGAAAGGCTGAAAGGCTGGGCCGCACTGCAGGGTCCCTCACCAAGGGAAAATCTCCCCAGGGCATGGATGGGGTTTCCGGCTGTGTCACGTGGCTCCTGCCACCACTCAGTGAAGCCCTAAGGGTCCTCTGGCTTTAGAGTTTGATAATTTGCTCCGATTGCCTCTAACAGAGGGCCTGTCTCCATCCACCCCATCACCACAGGTGGGTCAGTCGCTCCAGGTGGGACAGACATCGGCTGCACAAGGACCACGGCAAATCTGCCCCCAGGACGCTTCCAAAGAGGGCAGTGGGGTCACTCAGTGCCCGTGAACGCTCAGGGTCACTCAACGTCTGTGAACGCTCAGGCACCATGCTGAGTAGCCACCAGGTCAGCAGCCCCGGGTGCGGCCCCCAGACAGGAAGGGTGGGCTCCTGCTTTAGCCTGGCATTGTCTTTGCTTCTGTTCTTCCTTCTGGTGACTTCCACCTTGGAACCTGGGAGCTGGAACGGTGCACACCCCAGTGTTGTCAGAAACATCCTCCAAAGCCTCCATACACTGCTCCCCTTGGAAGGACAGGAAGAGGCTCTATCTCCGACTCCCTGAGGGATCTCACCCCTGCTGGGCAGGTAAGTGGCAGACCTGGGACAGAAGACTGTGAAAAGTGGCAGAGGCCAGGAGCAGGGCAGGGAGCAGGGCAGGGGGCAGGGCAGGGGGCAGGGAGCAAGGCCGGGAGCAGGGCAGGGGGCAGACCAGGGGGCAAGGCCGGGAGCAGGGCCGGGAGCAGGGCCGGTGTCCGGCATTAAGTGGCAAACATGCTCACGGGAAGTGTAGCTCTGGGCACAGGACTCACAGCCAGTAAATGAGCCAAATCCCTCATTTACACCATTCACAAAACTGGATCCCACTGAGGTTAAAGCTCTAAGCAGAGAAACAAGAATTCCAACGTGACGGGAGAAAGAAGAGTGTCCGTATGGTCCTGCGGGCAGAGAGCATCTTCTTGCATATAACAGAAAAACTGGCACAAAAGAAAAGAACCATGAGTACGACAGCATCAATATGATGGGCGTGTAGAGAAGCCTCGAGACACGAGTAGCAGAGTGAGACCGACTGTTCGTAGGAAGGGGCTGGCACAGTGGGTGAATCCAATAGCACTTCACAGGTGCGAGAAGACAATTCCTCCGCTGTGGGGAGAACACACAGCTGTGAAGAAAATGGCCAAAGAAATATGAGCAAAACTTACAAAAGCAGAAATGCAAATTACCAAGAAGCATTTAAAAGCTGCACAATCTCACAACAGATCAGGGAACTGCAATGGAAAACAGTCTGATTTTTTTCCCATTAGATTAGAAGAAATGAAAACGTTTAATGTCAAACATTAGAGGAAATTGGTGCATAAATGGTTTTTTAAAAAGTCAGAATTCGTCATCTCAAAATAAATTCATCAAATTGATTACATTAAAATTGCACTGACTCTGTGATGCATCAGTTTCTTTTCTCAGCATTTACCCTAGGGAAGAATGGACGATGAGCAGGGGATGATGAGCAGGGAAGCAGCTGAAACATTGGCAAGGCAGAGACCACGGCAGAGGCCACGTCAGAGACCACAGTGGAGGCCATGTCAGAGACCATGGCAGACGTCATGACAGAGGTCATGCCAGAGATCCCCTGGGAGCAGAGGGAGTGCCCACCCGCAGGACGTGGGGGAGCAAGGCTGCAGCTGTGGGGAGCACTTGGGCACATCACAGCGTGGGCATGGCAGACGAAGACATGCAGGCCACACGCAGGAAGGCACAAACGCACCGGTCACAGTGTCAGGGGAGCACTGGGTGGTGTCACAAGGGATGTGAGCTTTTGTCTGTTGTGTGTCTGTATGTGTGTTTTAACAGTAAGATTGGGTTCGGGCAAAATCTAAGGGAATAAAAAGCAGGGGAGTGGCTGTGTGTGAATCTGGAGCACAGGTGGCCATGCAGTGACATTAAAATTAGGTCAAAGGAAAGACTAGAGCCAGGGGCGAAGGCGGGAGCGTGGTAGGAAGTGGGGACGGCCTGGCCAAGGCCCCGCCAGACCACAAAGCTCAGGCCCAGACCGCAGAAGGCCGATAAGAGCGTTCCGGAAATCAGCTCTGTCTCGGAAAGAGCCAGGCCCATGGGCTCCTGGCCGTGGGCAACCAAGGCTGAGTCAAAGCCACGTTCTCAAGAGAATCCAGTGCAATTATGCAGAGACTCATTTAAAATGACAAGTACTTTTTAAAAGTCACTCTCTGAAAATGACATTCAAACCAATTATCATTAAGGGAAGATGTAAGTTAGCTTTGTTTAAAAAAAAAAGAAGGTGGAGAAGAATAAAAATCTGTTTTTAGATACTTTGTATGTTGCAGTTTAGAAATACTCCTGCTGAATAAAACCTACAGGAAATGGAAGCAGAGGCGTGTGCAGCCAGCTCAGGAGGGAGGAGGTGAGCTTTGCTTTGCCTGAGTGCTGGTGAGATTTTGCCACCGATGCCGTGATGCATGGAGACCCTGGCTCAGTGAGTCCCCAGGGGAAGCCAGCAGCAGGAGGAAGCCTCAGATCGCAGTTTTTTTTTTTTTTTTTTTTTTTTTTTTTTTTTTTTTTTGGTGATAGAGTCTCGCTCTGTCCCCCCAGGCTGGAGTGCAGTGGCTCCATCTCGGCTCATTGCAACTTCCAACTCCCAGGTTCAAGCAATTCTCCTGCCTCAGCCTCCTGAGTAGCTGGGACTATAGCACCAACCACCACGCCTGGCTAACTTTTTTTAGAGACAGGGTTTCACCATGTTGCCCAGGCTGGTCTCTAACTTTGAGCTCAAGCAATCCGCCCGCCTCGGCCTCCCAAAGTGCTAGGATTACAGGCGTGAGCCACCGCACCCAGCCCAGCTGGTGTCTCATCAGACGTGCAGAGCTGCCTGCACCAAGTGGGACCTTTGCCCCTCCCCGGGGAGCCTACACTGCCGCCCGGCGGGGACAGTCCAGGGCCAGATGCCTGTGAAAGAGGGCGAGGCACGGCCCCAAAGCCTTGGCTGTCAGGATTCCAGGCCCAAGAGGAAGCGGCCGCCCATGTGCCGGGTGAGGTGATGTCTCGTGGCTGCTCAACAGGAGGCCCCGGCACGGATGGTCCTCGCCCTCACACGTGGGCTCAGTTACGTACACACATGTGCCTCATCACACACTGAGCAAACTCCACCGCGGTCAGCCTGCACGGGGACCAGCCCCCGAAGGCCCCTCACAAACACTTATGCCAGAGGCTAGGGGGGTACAGCAGGGTTACCTGCAGGCCCAGAAACCTCTCGGTGTGGCTCGTGTTAGGCCCCGTGGCTTCTTGCACTGAGGCCACGCTCCTGGCTGGGGCCTTGGGGTGAGTGTAGCGTAAATGGCCACCTGCAGGAGGAACCTGTTGGCTCCGTGGCCCAAGACTCTGTTCTTCCGAAAACTCACAGGCTGATTGTTGAGTGGTTGGTCCGTGCACCATCTGGGAGCTGGGGCTGCGGTGGGGGCCCGCGCACCTCTGGCCGTCCTCCTGCGCTCCAGCAGCCCCTTCCCGTCTCCTGTCCCTCTCCCCGCTCACTCCCAGCCCCACAGTCACACCCAGGCTCCCTTCCCAGCTCTGCTCCCACCAGCGGCACCTCACAGCCACGTCAGCTCTTTCTCCTTCGTGCCGAGCCTGTTGTCTACAGACTTCCTCAGGCTGTGGCCGCGGGGTTTCGCGGGCCGACGCTCACCACATCCTGTCCTTTGCCTGTTTTCTCCCTCCCAAGGGCAAGCGCCGCTGCCCCGGCCCCGAGCTCAGCCACAACCTGTGCTGCCGCCCACCCCACGGCCTCCCGTTCCCGCCACACCACGCTCCTCCCACCGCAGGGTCTCCCGGTCCCCACCCACACCACGCTCCTCCCACCCCACGGCCTCCGGGTCCCCCCCACACCACGCTCCTCCCACCCCACGGCCTCCGGGTCCCCCCCACACCACGCTCCTCCCACCCCACGGCCTCCCGGTCCCCCCCCACACCATGCTCCTCCCACCGCGGGGCCTCCGGGTCCCCCCACACCACGCTCCTCCCCCCACACCACGCTCCTCCCACCCCACGGCCTCCGGGTCCCCCCCACACCACGCTCCTCCCACCGCAGGGCCTCCGGGTCCCCCCCACACCACGCTCCTCCCACCCCACGGCCTCCCGGTCCCCCCCCACACCACGCTCCTCCCACTGCAGGGTCTCCGGGTCCCCCCACACCACGCTCCTCCCACCGCAGGGTCTCCGGGTCCCCCCACACCACGCTCCTCCCACCCCACGGCCTCCGGGTACCCCCACACCACGCTCCTCCCACCCCACGGCCTCCGGGTCCCCCCACACCACGCTCCTCCCACCCCACGGCCTCCGGGTCCCCCCACACCACGCTCCTCCCACCCCACGGCCTCCCGGTCCCCCCCCACACCACGCTCCTCCCACCGCGGGGCCTCCGGGTCCCCCCACACCATGCTTTTCCTTGGCAGCCTCAGCCTCATTCCTTTCCTCTAAACCTCCACACTCGGCCTCCCCTGCTGAGGCTCCCGGACGTTTCATGACCTTTTAACAGTGCGATGCTCCCTTCCGTTCCACGGGCCGGCCTTGTCCACGCCCTTCCCCGAGCTTGGCCGGTGCTGTTCCCCAGCCTGGGGCCGCCCTGCACCCTTGGCCACGTGTAGCTCCCTCCAAGGGTCCAACTACACGGTCCTGGCTCTTTCTCGAAGCCTCCCCTGCCCCTTCCTTCCCACGCAGGTCCCTTTCCTCTACACAGTTGGACGTGTTGTCCCGTGCCCTCCTTTCCCCGCATTTCCTCGTCTTTCCTCGTGGACAGTGAGCTTCGTGCGGAGGGGAGTGCGGGCCCTGCGGGTCCTGGTGCTGCTGAGCGCAGCACTCGTTCTGCGGTGGACACTCCAGGCGGCTTTCCCAGAGGAGGGGGCATGGCGGGAGCGGGCCTATGGGTTGGGCGTGGATCATAAAGCTCCCTTCTGCCCAGAAGCTTCAACTCTAGACGGGCGTTGGAGTTTGTTCCATTTGTACCAGCGACGTGGCGTTCCCTGCCTCTCCTGCTACGGGGTGGCTGCCTCCCCACGGCTTGCCCTATCCCTCCTGCCGCCCCTTCTGCCTTCCCCGCCTGCTCCCCGCTCGGTCCTCCCTGGCTTCTTGCTGCCCACGCCAACCATCACCTCTGGTCGCCCTCCATGGGCTGGACAGAGACTGGACGTGGTGTTTTTCTGTGTGAAATGTACCCTTTAAGATGTTCTATAAATATAAATAATTATCATGAAGACAGTTGGAATCATTTAATTGAAAAATAAAAATGATATTAATGATATTGTTCTAACCACCAACAATTTTTTTTAAACTTATGTAAGTAGAATTCTATTTTCAGAAAATGGAAAGATTAATTTGTGGCTCCGTTACCACAATAGTCTCTTGAAGTCTTGGGCCTGAGAAGGAAAAGTAGGTCATTCAAAATCTAGCACAATGATCTTGCAAGAGGCTAGGAATGGAAAAATTCAAGAAACATTTTAATCCAAACATCTTTTATTCTCGAATCAAAACAATGATTTCATGGAAGAGGCAGGAGAGGTATTGAGTCCTTGTTTGGTTCTTTTTTTCCACACATATTTATCGAATGGGCTCTGGGCCAGGCAATGTGTGTTACACAGTCTGGGCTCTTGACAGAACAGAGGGGACAAGACAATAAATATTGTGTGAAAAGGAGAACATGAGAAAAAACGGTGGGAGCAAAGAGAATGGAAACATGGACCTGGGGAGCCACAGAAAGCCCTCAGGGCCAGGGCTCCCCCATATCCTGACAGGTGCGGGGCCGGCATGGATGCCGCGGTGGGGAGGACGGTGCAGTGGGTGGGACTGAGGCCCAGAGCGCAGCCTCACGGCTGAGAAGAGGCCTGGAAGGAGGAGCTGGAGACACCCCACTTTCCGAGAATTTCCCTCTGAGCGTCCTGTGTTCCCTCTACGTGGAGATAATGCTGCCGTGTTTGCATGCAGGAGTCGCCTTCAGCAGTAAAGCACCTCCCTGTGTCTATGGAAGTGTCTTCCACGCTCACCTGATAGAGTTCGGAAGCAGAACACACAGCCCGTGCAGCCGTCCGCAAAGCCGCTTCTGTCTCAGCACCAGCTCATCAGGGCAGCCCAGCACTCGGGCAGCTCCGCCTTGGGGAGAGTCCACACAAATGTGCTTCACTTTTAAATACTCAACAGAGGAAGAGATCAGGACACTTCTGGAAGATTGGCTGGGTTGCGGCAGATGGTTTTGGTAAATGCCAGACCTTTAACTCAGTGAAACGGCAAAGTCGGGAAGAAGAACCCACTGGCAGTGTTTGGAGTCACCCTCAGCCATGGACATGAACTCAGGGACGGATGGTGCTGGCACCTTCATGAGCAGAGCTGGTCCCAAACAGCAGGAGAAATCGTTGGAAGGGTGACTTCCCCAGAGCTCCCGGGAATACTGGAATTCAGGCCTCTCACCCCAGCATTGCGTAAGGTGTATAATTAACTGAATATACACAACACACACAGACGCTTAAATCTGGGGACTTTCCTTTAACACTGAAGATATCTGGTTACTCACTGCAGATATCCTCGCACCATCCCAGAGGTGACCAATGCCCTATTTTCCTTCTGGGGTGACATGAGTTCTTGGGGGCACTTCCCTCTGGGCTCAGGTATTCTTATTTCTAAGGCTCCACTTTCTGCTCCCATCTTCAGACGCACCCAGGGAAACTCTCTGGGCTTTGTCGTAAATGAATGGCCTCTCTCCTTTATGACCCTGGTCTCACCCTCCTGCCTTCCAGGTGGCCATGGGATGCCCGTCCTCTTTCTCACCCAGACTCTCTCTCAGGCCCCGGTGTGAGCTGCATCTTCTGAGGCCGCCGTCTCCCTGCTCCTGTGTGATTTGCTGCTTCTCCTGTTGTCTGGGAGTCTCACTCTGTCACCCAGGCTGGAGTGCAGTGGCGTGATCTTGGCTCACTGCAGCCTCTGCCTCCTGGGTTCAAGTAATTCTCCTGCCTCAGCCTCCTGAGTAGCTGGGATTACAGGCACCCCACCATGCCCGGCTAATTTTTTTATTTTTAGTAGAGATGGGGTTTCACTGTGTTGGCCAGGCTGGTCTCAAACTCCTGACCTCAAGTGATCCGCTCGCCTTGGCCTCCCAAAGTGCTGGGATTGCAGGCGTGAGCCACCGTCCCTGGCCTCCCAAAGTTCTGGGATTGCAGGCGTGAGCCACCGTCCCTGGCCTCCCAAAGTGCTGGGATTGGAGGAGTGAGCCACTGCGCCCGGCCTCCCAAAGTGCTGGGATCACAGGCGTGAGCCACCGTGCCCGGCCACATTCAGCCTTTTTTTCAGTGATTCTCCCAAGGACTATGTTGCCCACATCAGTTCTCCACCAACCTCTGTTAGATCACTCAATCCTGTATTAAAATGGCGTGAATTACTGATGTCCCTTGCAGGTTGAGAGGCAGACACGCTTGGTGGTGCTGGGGGCGCCCATATGCGGAGTCAGACGTCCAGGATCTGAGTCCCGGCTCTTCCGTTCGTCAGCCAGAGGCCTCTGAGGGGTCTGCTTTGCCTTCGTGTGCCTTGGTCTCCCCATCTGTGAAACGGGGAGATGCTAGGACCCATCTCATAGGGTTTTCGAGGGGCTGAGTGAGTTAACACACAGAAGCATCAGACAGTTCCAGCCCACAGTTGGTGCTGGTCTCAACACTCTGACGGTCCAGAGCAGGGGTAGGCCAAGCTCCACCTGAAGTTGTGTTTTCAATCCACTAATTAATGCATAAAAATATGGCCCCTGCTTTTAGGTGCAGACACAGCTGTGGGTGCCAGTGACATGGTCACGAGGGCGGCTTGTCATTAGTGCGAGGGGACACTGGTGTCCGAGGAGGGCGGGCTGTGCCGGTCTGAGGGTGTCGGCCTGCGATGGAGGACACTCCTCTCTGATTATTTCAATGCATAGGCCTTAAGAGCCCCTTCCTGCTGGAACCCTCAAATCCCGGAACTCCTCTTTGCCTCTCGGAACAGCCTCAGCACCACCCGTGAGGCTGCACGTTTTACTCCTGAGCTGACCCTGAGAATGCTGCTGCCCCCCGTCGAGCCATGCGAGTCTCATCCTGTTTAAACTTCATTCTCCGAGAGGAAAATCTCTCCTGTGAGCCAGCGTTGAAGCCAGATGGTGCCAGCTACCCACACAGCAGGATGACGCGTCAGGACAGCCTCCCTTGTGGAGGCCGTTGGTCCCTGACAACGGCCACTTCCCAGAAACTCAGAATTAGAAACTTGTAAAATAAATGCTCCAAGTCAAATGTGTCACCCAAAATAGTTCCCATCAGATGCCTGTAACACGCATGGCCCTCGTTGCGTAGTATCAGTGTTAAATTGCCAACTGTCTCCCGGTGAGCTGCTCACGTCGGGGCTCCGTGCATTTGAAGCAGGTCTGTAGGTGTCCACCGGGCGTCTGCGCCACCTGGGTGTGGCTAATGTGCTGTTTGCAAATGGCCCAAAGGCTTCGAATATTCCACAGGTTATGTACACACTTTGTGAGAACACTCGTATAAAAATTGACAGCAAAGATGGAATTTAAATATAAATCAAACAGACCTACTAGTCTAATTACCAAAAAGGAGGGAGAGAGAGTTTCAGTGAGGATCCCAGGGGGAGTGAACCACGTGAGTCCCGCCTCTCAGGACGAGGAGGCCACGGTTTGGGACCATCTCTCTGGGCAGTGGTGCGGAGGGAGTGGGGGGGGTCCAGGCTGGTGGCCCGAGTCTCTCCCCTCTCCGCCACCTCATCTTGCAAACCCAGGGAGATGAGAAAGCATCTTTCATAGGGACTTGAGGAAGAGCCAGTGAGTCATCTGACCTACAGCCCTGAGAGGCCTTAGCACCTGCAGCTAGCTGCACAAGTAAGCTAGCACAAGGAAGCCTGTGGCCCTGAGCAGTCCTGGTGAATTCTTGGTAGCTCATTTCCTCCCTTAGTTGTTCATCGCAATGCCAGCAGCGTAACAGTTGTCAGTCGTTAACTGTCTTCTCCTGCTTAGGTTTTGCTTGCATTCAGAGGAAGACAAAATCAGGGGCTTGTGCCTGCCATGGGGTGTAGACTTTGAAAGAAAGAGAGTGAGGCCAGGAGTGTTCAGGCTGGCAGTGCCCTTTGGCTCCGACCTTTGTGGAGTTACTTTTGCTGCTCGATGATTTCAGAAACTGTGTGTCAAGCACATGTGCTTTCTCTGGGGAGAACTGAATGGGAGGCTTTGACTTAGGAAAGGGCAGCCCCTGGGTGGGGGTTCAGGGAGGCAGCCCCTGAGACCTGGCCCTCCCCACTTCTCACCAGTGGCAGCAAACGAGTTCTAAGTCATTTCTTAGCAGTGTCTTAGTCTGCTTTGTGTTGCTATAATAGAATGGGTAATTTATTCAGAAAAGAAATGTATTTCTCACCACCCTGAGGAAGTCCGCCATCAAGGGGCCTGCATTCGCTGCACCACCCCACAGCAGAAGGTGGGAGGGCCAGGCTCGCACTCGTAACAGACTCACACTTGCAATGCGGCAGCGTTAACCATTCACGCAGGAGGAGCCCTTGCCACCCGGTCTACCTCCTGAAGGTCCCACCTCTCAGCGCACTTGCACTGGAGGCCACCTTTCCAACCAGGGGTGTCCGCGCACACTCAGACATAGCAATGGGCTTGCACTGGAGGCCACCTTTCCAACCAGGGGTGTCTGGGCACACTCAGACGTAGCAATGGGGAAATAGCAACAGGTCACTGCTGCAGCAGATTCTGCACGTTTGCAGAGAATCATGCTCCTTCTTGGAAAGCGCTGCCACTTTTGGAGACAACGTGTAGCCTGTTCATTTAACAACTGAGGAGTGAGTTATAAAGGCAGTTTCATGGAGCCTCCAGGACCCGAGGTTTGTGGTTCTAGACCCCACAAAACTCACGTGGGAGCAGCTTCGTGGAGCCTCCGGGACCCGAGGTTTGTGGTTCCAGATCCCACAAAATTCACGTGGGAGAGGGAAGTCTCAGCCTCCTGTGGAGCCTCCAGGACCCGAGGCTTGTGGTTCCAGATCTCACAGAACTGGCGTGGGAGCAGGAAGTCTCAGCCTCCTCCCGCAAAGTGGTATCGTCCCGTTTACAGGGGACAGGGTGGGGAAGGCAACCTCACCAGACCTTTTCAAAGATGTGCTGGAGCAGGGCAAAAGCCCAAGGAGGCCGCTAGTAAAGTGCCCTCCAGCTCCTTGCCTCCCTTTCGGAATGTTCCCTAAACTGACGCAAGTGGAATCTGGATGTTTTTGCTTCCATTTCTGCAACTTCAAAAGTGAACTTTTCTCTTCTCACCTCACTTGTTTTTAAG
Organism: Homo sapiens; assembly: GCF_000001405.40. Lineage (NCBI taxonomy): Eukaryota > Metazoa > Chordata > Mammalia > Primates > Hominidae > Homo > Homo sapiens. The sequence continues at coordinate 170,081,457 of NC_000006.12, read as the reverse complement.
AAAAGGGAGCGAGCTGTGCTCTAGCCTGTGCGGCTGCTGTCATCTGCTCCAGGGGCGGCTGAGCATTTGCTCTGGGGGGTCCCTCCCTCCCGGCCTCTCTTTTATGTGACGTTCTCTCTGTGAACAGGTGTGAGGGCTGAGCTTCGGAAATGCGAGCTTCCAGCCTGGCTCCTGGACCAGGAGGGCCCTGCCAAGCTGCGGGTGGCAACTGCTGCTGAAGTCCTCCCAGTCCCTGCGGCTGCAGCTCCTCCCCTCCTCCTCCCCCTCCTCCTCTTCTCCCTCCTCCTCCTCCCCCTCCTCTTCCCCTCCCCGGCTGCTCCTGCCACCCAAGCACCAGCGCTGGCAAGAGGCTGCGGACATCGAAGGCAGGGAAGGCAGAGCCCACTGTGCTGGAAGAACAAACTCTGCGGACCCGTCTGGCCCGGGGGTCAGGAGGTCGCAGTGGGCGGGTGGGGCCCGGGCAGCAGATTGGGAACCCCTGCCCCTGCAGCATCGTTTAGACAAACAAGCAGATGGCAGGTGTCATGGGGACAAAGAGCCATCTGTGCAGCGAGGCCGCCCCACCGCCACTCACACGGACTTCATTAAAGCCTCGACGTCGGTCGCTGTGCTCCAGCCTGAGCCAACGGGACCCTCACGGGCTTCTGAGGAAGAGGCAGCCGCGCTCTGAGCTCTGCCCAGCCCTGAGCCTGCGCCAGGCCAGACACGGGCCGCAGGGCACTGTGCCTGTGGTGCCCACAACAGGGTTCCTGTTTGCTTTCAAAGGGCTGTCCATCCAGATGGTGTGGCCTCGGGGGTGGGGAAACAGGCAAGATTATGAGGTTGATGGAATTTCTCCTCGAAGGGGTCCCCCCCTTCCCCGCTCCTGACTCTGTCTCTCATCTGTCCATTGTCCCCTCCTTGGGTAGAGTCTCATGTGTCCGTGTCCACAGAAGCTGCCTGAGCAAAGGGAAGCAGTGCCCTCACCCCGTGCCCCCACGCCCGGCAGTGTGAGGCTGCTCCCAGGGTGCAGGCCTCCGGCAGGTCTGTGCTTACTCTGAGGAAACAGGGTCAGTGTCCACGTTCTGGGCAGCGCTTGGGAGGGGGCAGAAACTGTCTGGCGGCTGCCCTGACGTCCCAGCTGGGGCTGTACCTGTCTTTCACGAGTGGCTGCGGGGCTCTGGTGGAGATGAGAGAAGACACGCTCCAGATCTCACCTCAGCCAGAGATCTCGGTGTTTGGGTTTGGAAAGCGGGGTCAGGGGAGGTGCATCCTTCTGGTAGGAGGGACGATAGCAGAGGAGGAACACAGGACACTTGGCCTTTCTTCCCAGTGTCAGGGGCCAGAGCTGTCCCTGTCCACTCACACGTTTCTCTAGGTCTTGCCTCTAAAAAGAGAACACTGTTCTCCAAGTTCTCCGAGAATCCTCCCAGTTTGCACTTCTTGTGTCCTAAGACTGGCCAGGCATCTGCGTCAACTCCTCAACTTTCCTCCCTTTTCTAACTCCAACTTCTCTCAACAAACCAGCTGCCTCATCTGTTCAGGAGCTTCCTTGAGCTGTTCACAACTCCCTGTGGGGAAGGGTCATTGAACACTGGTGATGAAGGACCTTGGTGGTAAAGAACCATGGTGATGAAGGACCTTGGCGATGAAAGACCTTGGTGAAGGACCATGGTGATGAAGGACCTTGGTGATGAACGACCTTGGTGAAGGACCATGGTGATGAAGGACCTTGGTGAAGGACCATGGTGATGAAGGACCTTGGTGATGAACGACCTTGGTGAAGGACCATGGTGATGAAGGACCTTGGTGATGAATGACCTTGGTGAAGGACCATGGTGATGAAGGACCTTGGTGAAGGACCATGGTGATGAAGGACCTTGGTGATGAACGACCTTGGTGAAGGACCATGGTGATGAAGGACCTTGGTGTTGAACGACCTTGGTGAAGGACCATGGTGATGAAGGACCTTGGTGATGTAGGACATGGTGATGAAGAATCATGGTGATGAAAGACCTCTGTGATGAAGGACATGGTGATGAACGACCTTGGTGAAGGACATGGTGATGAAGGACTGTAGTGATGAAAGATCATGATCATGGTGATGAAGGACCTTGTTTGTAAAGAATCATTGATAATGAAAGACCATTGTGATGAAGGACTTGGTGGTAAAGAACTATTGATAGTGAAAGATCATGGTGATGAAAGATCATGGTGATGAAGGACCTCAGTAATGAAGGACATGGTGATGAAGGACACGGTGATGAAGGACATGGTGATGAAGGACATGGTGATGAAGGACCTCGGTGATGAAGGACATGGTGATGAAGGACATGGTGATGAAGGACATGGTGATGAAGGACCTCGGTGATGAAGGACATGGTGATGAAGGACATGGTGATGAAGGAACTCGGTGATGAAGGACATGGTGATCAAGGACATGGTGATGAAGGACACGGTGATGAAGGACACGGTGATGAAGGACCTCGGTGATGAAGGACATGGTGATGAAGGACCTTGGTGATGAAGGACATGGTGATGAAGGACACGGTGATGAAGGACACGGTGATGAAGGACACGGTGATGAAGGACACGGTGATGAAGGACCTTGGTGATGAAGGACATGGTGATGAAGGACCTTGGTGATGAAGGACATGGTGATGAAGGACCTTGGTGATGAAGGACATGGTGATGAAGGACATGGTGATGAAGGACCTTGGTGATGAAGGACATGGTGATGAAGGACATGGTGATGAAGGACCTTGGTGATGAAGGACATGGTGATGAAGGACCTCGATGATGAAGGACACGGTGATGAAGGACCTCGGTGATGAAGGACACGGTGATGAAGGACCTCGGTGATGAAGGACCTCGGTGATGAAGGACATGGTGATGAAGGACATGGTGATGAAGGACCTTGGTGATGAAGGACATGGTGATGAAGGACCTTCATTGAACATTGTTAATGAAGGATTATTGATAATGAAGAACCATTGGTGATGAAGGACCATTGTACGTTTCAAACTTCTTTGCATTGGTAGTTTTTAAAATATGACAAAAATGAGTTACTAGAGAAATGAAAAAATAGACAAAAAATATAAGATCAAAATTGTATTATTACACTCAATAGACATAAAGTATGTTTCAAATGGCATGATCAGAACAAAAATAAAACAGGAAAATAGAAACAAATTACATCAACTTTGCATATTGTTTGTTGAAAGAGTGCACATTTATGTTACAGAGAATTGTTAGACTGCCATGAACGGAGCTGCATTCCCTCCAATTTCGTATACTGAAGCTCTCATCCCCAAAGTAAGGGTATTAGGAGCTGGGGCCTTTAGGGGGTGATGAGGTTTAGATGAGGTTGTGAAGGTGGGGTCCCCATGATGGGATTAGTGCCCTTATAAGAAGAAGAACAACAACAGCCAGGCGTGGTGGTTCACGTCTTAATCCCAGCACTTTGGGTGGCTGAGGCAGGCAGATCAGGAGGTCAGGAGATCAAGAACATCCTGGCTAACACAGTGAAACCTCATCTCTACTAAAAATACAAAAATTTAGCCAGGTGTGGTGGCGGGCGCCTGTAGTCCCAGCTACTTGGGAGGCTGAGGCAGGAGAATTGCTTGAACATAGGGGGCGGAGGTTGCAGTGAGCCGAGATCACGCCGATGCACTCCGCCTGGGTGACAGAGCGAGACTCTGTCTCAGAAAACAAAAATAGAAGAAGAACAATTGTTCAGAGTGCCCTCCCTTCACCACCAGAGGACACAGCGAGAAGGCGGCCGTCTGGACGCCGAGAAGAGGGCCAGAAAACCAAACTGGCCGGCACCTTCATCTTGCACGTCCAGCCTCCAGAACTGTGAAAAATCAGGTTTTGTTGTTTAAGCCACCTAATGCACACAGTAAAAACGTTTTCCCGTTCCACAGCCATAACTGAACAAAATAGGAGTGAAATAGCAATTTACGCTTAAATGCCTTTTTGTGCAAAATTATACCATGTCGTGTTAATATTTACTATCTCTAATGGACAATGAGCTTATGCTTTGCTTCCCTATCTAGTTTCAGTTTTACTGATTCTGGCAGGGAAAATGTATATCGAAAATAGTGTTCTGCTTTGTTTTAATAATAGTCTCAGTAGAAAAACTAGTCTCATAAAGTTTGTTGATAGGAATGGAAGGAGAGATTTTAAAGACATTTTCAGCAGGCTCAGTATATTCACATGTAACTTTTATTTAAACTGAAGCAACAGATGCTCTATTTTCAAAATTCGTCTTCAATTCTTCATTAGTAGCCAGTTCCAATAATTTACATTCAAGTTGCAATTGAATTGAAATTAGCCAACGATGAATGAAATGGTTTCCAGATTTTATGCATTTTTGGATTATGGTTGACAGACCCCTCTTCTGGGGCCCTTGTGCAGGGTCCTCCCTTTGAGCCTGGTGCTCAGCGCACCCCCGACGTGGCTCCCATGCGGTTTGTGAGCACATCTCTGGCCACGTGCCGGAAGCCACAGCCACGGCAGATCACTGCCAATGCTCAGCCCTGCGCTTACCCTGCTGTGGGTTGAGCAACTGTCCGTGTCCCACACTCTGCAGAGCCCTGTGGGGAAGAAGAGAGGAGGGCAGAGGGAGATAGCAGCAGCTGCAGGTGGCCGGGCAGTTCCTCTCATCCTGTTCTTTCTACCTGGCTTCCCATATGAAGCATGGTGAGCCTTCGAGTATTCCTCACCTGGGCTGGCCCTGGCATCACTGTCACCTCCAGGCAAGCCTGTGACTCTCCACGTCCTTGTCCCTAACACAGGGTGACAGCACAGACTCTGCCGGGTGACGTGGAGATTGAGCAGAGGTGTGCAGCAGCCACGGGTCCCAGCAGGGAGCCCAGGGCAGGGTAGGAGCTGACAGGCCGGGCCACCCTTGCAGCCATGTCAGGAAGAGACTTTTTAGATGGATGGCTTGGGGTGATATCCACACGCGCCTCCCTCCATCCCTTCTCCGTCGCCCTGGCCTGGCCTGGCTGGAGGGCGGGCAGAGATGTGGGAGGCTTCAAAACCCAGGAGGTTTCTCAAGTTGTAAAAGCGTCCCAATGTATTTTCTCAAAGGGCATCATGAATGTGAGACCAGCAAATTGAGCTAGCAGCTAAAACAAACAAGCAAACAAACAAGCAACCTTTCACCCTCAAGCCCCAGCCAGAAAAAATGCAACAAAACACTTTGAGGCTGAGCTGAGAGGATTCCTGTTTTGTGTTTGTGCCCAGATCTGGCAGGCCTGGCAGCCACGGAGCCTCCTGAGTGGAGGGGAGAGCCTGGCAGCCGGGTGGGCGCGTTCACTCTCGTCCTGTCTCTTCTCAGCTCCATTTGCCTCCTTCTCAGCCTCCCCCTGTGGCCACCCATCAGTCCCTCCCTCCCTCCCGTCTTGCGTTCTCTCTCCAGGCAGCACGGAGCTCGTGGGAATCTCTGAGCCCAGTGGAAGGAGAGGCCGATTCTGTGAGGTCACCACGGCCTCCCCAGCACTCTGTGGCCTCTTCCCAACCACACGCGCAGAGCCTGGGACACTGGCCCTGTGCACGGTGTCTCCCCGGCTCCCTCGCCCTCTGACCTCCTGCAGCATGTGGCAATGAGGGCACCTGGAGGCTGGGGGCCATGGTGCGGGGGCCCCTTTTCCTCCAGCCCTCCCTTTCCTACATCCCTCCGGGCTCCTCCGGGCTATCCTGGGACAGCCTCATCCCTCACTTCTCCTGAACTCTTTCCACACTGCTGTGGGTTGAATTGTGTCCCTGACCCTGAAGTTCACACATTGAGGTCCTAACCCCCAATGTGGCTGGATTTGGAGCTAGGCCTTTGGGAGTGATTAGGTTACACGAGGTCATGAGGGTGGGGCTACCACAATAGGACTGGGGCTCTTTTCTTTCTCCCTCCCTGCCGGCTCTTCTCTCTCTCTCTCTCTCCCTCCCTCCCTCCCTCCCTCCTTTCCTCCCTTTCTCTGTTCCTCACCCTCCCTCTCTCCCCTTCTCTCTCTCTCTTCCTCTTTCTTTCTTGCCCCTCTCTCCCCTCCTTCCCTCTCCCCTTCTTTTTCTCCACTGTTTTCGGACACAGCCAGGAGGCCGTTGCCTGCATGCCAGGCCCAGAGCCCACCAGGCACGAAGTCTGCAGGAACTTGGATCTTGGACCTCCAGCCTCCAGGACTGTAAAAAAATAAATGTGTGTTGTTTACACCCCCAGTGTGTGGTGTTTTGTCAATAGCTTCTTATGTCAGCTGTCCTCAGTTAAGCCCTCCCGGGCCGCGTTTCCATGGGACAGTCCACGCTCCTCCCTGGCCCGGCCGCCAGAGTTCTGGAGAAGATGCTCTTGGAATCGGAACCGGGCACACACTGCCGGTCTGACAGGCAACATTCGGGAGCTGGTGCGGCTGCAGTGCACGAACACCCACACAGATGCATCCATGCCTGAACACACGTGTTCCGAGGTAGCGATGCAGGAGGGGCACACGTGTGTGTGACACGGAGGCTGCACACAGCAGTTTCTCAGTGTGGGTTTCTTGAATATTCACTGAATGAGTGAATGAGTGAATGAGAAAGCAAATCATAGATACAAGGTCATTATTGAGTCAAGGCCTCATCAACTTGAAATTTTTTCCAGTTTCTAGATTTTTTGTTCTTATCTCTTCTACAAATTTTTAAAAAACAAGTCCAAGTCTTTTATTGCTCAGTTTTTGAAAAACTAAAAGCCTTTTCCTATGTCCACCCGGCTCCCAGGCCCAGGCTGTCCCTCCTTCTCAGGTGTCTCTTAGCTTCCGAGGAATTAAGAGCATTTCCAGCCCATCCTGCAGGCCAAGCCCCAGCCCAGCCATCCTGTGGCACCAAACAGTCCCGACAGTGGCCACACGTCCCTGGGCGCTCTGTGCCCCTGCTTTGCCTCCTCCTCGGTCCACCAGCACTCATTTCTGTTTATTACCAAATAATACTCTATTGTCTGGATGGACCAGGTTTTGTTTCTCTGTTCCTGAGTTGATGGGCATTTGGGTTGTTGGCACCTTATGGCTATGATAGGCGACACTGCCACAGGCATCTGCATGCAAGGTTTTGTGTGGTCTACATTCTCATTTCTCGTGGTTCTATATTTGCAAGTTGAATTTCTGGGTCATATAGTTATTCTACATTTAGCTTTTGAGGAACTGCCAGACTGTTAGTATAGGGTTTTAAGCAGAGTATAATGTGACCCAATTTACAGCTTTGCTTCGTTTTTCAAAAAACAGCCACTATGGGTTCTGAGTCAGAAGTCTGGATGTGGAATGGCGGGGGGTGGTTTGCCCCTGCTCAGCTGCATCTGGGAACATCCCTGTCATGGAGGGCCCGGGGCTGCCTGCACCCTGCAGTGACTCACATGCAGGCTTCGTGGGCCGTTGACTGTGGGTGGCTCCCCGTGAGGCCAAGGAGGCTGCGCTTCTGACGGGTGGCTCTGGGCTCCAAGAGTGAGTGTTCTCTGATTTGTGTTTGCATGGTTGTGCTGCAGGTGGAGCGCAGGGTAGGCGGGAAGGCACGTGGGAAGGCTGCTGGCCTGGCAGCATGGCACAGGCGTGGCGGGGCTGGGACCACTCCTGAAGCCAGAGCTTGCAAGACTGCTCAGGGATTCTGTGTGGAATGTGAGGCGAAGAAAAATTCTGGGCTCATCTTGGGTTTGGACACCAGCAAGTGGTATGTCTTGGCATTTTCTGTTAACTGAGGTGGGAATGGCCAAGGACCCAGAATTAGACAGAGAATTGAGGTAGGCAAGGAACTAGAAGAAGAGAAAATTAAATTCACAATATGCAGAGTAAAGGAAATGATAAAACCAAGAGTAGAAATCCATAAAACGGAAGACACAAAAGGAGAAAACCAACAAAACCAAAAACTAGTTATTTGAAAGATTTGTAAACCTTGTTAACCTCTAGTCAGACTAACCAGGGACCAAAAAAGAAGACAAAATGCCAGGAAAGACAAAGGTAACATTGTTACAGATCCCACACATATGAAAAGGGTAATCCAGGAATACATGAACACCTTCCTATCAGACAGGGGAGGCTGCAGATTTCAAAGCAAAATCTATGGCCTGGGAGAAACGTGTCCATCAATCATGCCAATAAGTTAAACAACTTAGTTGAAATGGACAAATTCTTTGAAAGACACAAAGTACCAAAACTTACATGCTAAAAGAAAGAAAAAAAGAAAAACGTATTAAGGAAGTAAAATCGTAGGTAACATGAATAGCCCTATATCTATTAAGGGAATTAAAATTTTAATTAAAAACCTCCCACAGATAAAATTCCAGGCCAAAGGGCTTCACTGGTGAATTCTTCCAAATATCCAAAGAGAAATAATACAAACTTTATACAAAGTCTTCTGGAAAATTGAAGAGGAAGAAATACTTTCCACCTCATTCTATGAGGGCAGCATGACTATGACATAAAAACTAGACAAGGACATTGAAAGAAAATAAAACTTCACAAACACAGATGAAAATTTTAAACAAAATTTTATAAAATCACATCCAACAGTTTGTAAAAGTGATAATACACCATTAAGTGAGGTTTATCTCAGCAATGCAAAGGTAATTTAGTCAAGAGTAATCAGTATAATTTACCATATTAAAAAATTAAGAAAAAATAACCACATGATCATCTCAATGGATGTAGACAAAGCACATGATAAAATCCAACATCTATTTAATTAAAATATTCAGCAAATTGATGAAGGGTATCTGTGAAAAACCAACAACTGACATAATTAATGGTGAAAGATTGGATGTCTTCCCCCGAAGACTGGAATAAAGCAAGGGTCTCTGCTTTCCTACTTCTCTTGATCACATGGGATGCTCTCCTACTTCTATTTGTGATCACATGGGAGGCTTTCCTACTTCTACTCGTGATCACATGGGAGGCTCTCCTACTTCTACTCGTGATCGCATGGGATGCTCTCCTACTTCTACTCATGATTGCATGGGATGCTCTCCTACTTCTACTCGTGATCGCGTGGGATGCTTTCTTACTTCTACTCGTGATCACGTGGGATGCTTTCCAACTTGTACTCGTGATCATGTGGGATGCTTTCCTACTCCTACTCGTGATCACATGGGATGCTCTCCTACTTCTACTCGTGATCACATGGGAGGCTCTGGCCAATGCAAGAAGGAAAAAAAAATAGGAAAGAAAGAAAAGCCATCCAAATTGGGAAGAAGGAGAAGGTAAAACTGTTTTTATTCACAAGAGACGTTATTGTCTATGTAGAGAACATGATGGAATCTACAAAGAGCCACTAGAATCACTGAATGAGTTTGTCAACTTTGCAGGATAAAGGAACAATATCTAAATATCAGTTGTATTTCTATAGTTGCAACAAATGGTTAGAAATTTAAATTAAAGGCACAATACCACTTATATAAAAATGTAGCATAAATACCATTTACATAAAAATTTAGCATAAAAATGCAAACTACTTAATCACTCTGAGAAACGATGAGAAAGACTGAAACTTACAAAACATCACAGAGAGAAATTAAAGATCGCCTAAAGAAATGGAGAAATACATTGTGTCCATGAGTTAGAAGACAGAATTCTTTCAAACTGACTTATAGATTCAACCAAATCCAAGTAGACTTTTTTTTTTTTGTAGAAATTGACAATTGAGTTCTAGAATTCACATGGAAATGCAAAGGACCTAGAATAATCAAAACAACTTTGAAAAAGAAGAAAAAAGTTAGAGGACTCGACCCATTTTAAGACCTACCATTAAGTTACAGTAATCAAGAGAGAGTGACCGACAAATAAGTCATTAGAATATAATTAAGAGTTCAGAAATAAACGCATACACTTAAGGTCAATTGATTTTGACATGAAGTCCTTGCCCATGCCTATGTCCTGAACGGTATTGCCTAGGTTTTCTTCTAGGGTTTTTATGGTTTTAGGTCTGACATGTAAGTCTTTAATCCCTCGTGAATTGATTTTTGTATAAGGTGTAAGGAAGGGATCCAGTTTCAGCTTTCTACATATGGCTAGCCAGTTTTCCCAGCACCACTTATTAAATAGGGGATCCTTTCCCCATTTCTTCTTTTTCTCAGGTTCGTCAAAGATCAGATGGTTGTAGATATGCGGCATTATTTCTGAGGGCTCTGTACTGTTCCATTGGTCTATATCTCTGTTTTGGTACCAGTACCATGCTGTTTTGGTTACTGTAGCCTTGTAGTATAGTTTGAAGTCAGGTAGCGTGATGCCTCCAGCCTTGTTCTTTTGGCTTAGGATTGTCTTGGCAATGTAGGCTCTTTTTTGGTTCCATATGAATTTTAAAGTAGTTTTTTCCAATTCTGTGAAGAAAGTCATTTGTAGCTTGATGGGGATGGCACTGAATCTATAAATTACCTTGGGCAGTATGGCCATTTTCATGATATTGATTCTTCCTACCCATGAGCATGGAATGTTCTTCCATTTCTTTGTATCCTCTTTTATTTCATTGAGCAGTGGTTTGTAGTCCTCCTTGAAGAGGTCCTTTACATCCTTTGTAAGTTGGATTCCTAAGTATTTTATTCTCTTTGAAGCAATTGTGAATGGGAGTTCACTCATGATTTGGCTCTCTGTTTGTCTGTTATTGGTGTATAAGAATGCTTGTGATTTTTGCACATTGATTTTGTATCCTGAGACTTTGCTGAAGTTGCTTATCAGCTTAAGGAGATTTTGGGCTGAGATGATGGGGTTTTCTAGATATACAATCATGTCATCTGCAAACAGGGACAATTTGACTTCCTCTTTTCCTAATTGAATGCCCTTTATTCCCTTCTCCTGCCTGATTGCCCTGGCCAGATCTTCCAACACTATGTTGAATAGGAGTGGTGAGAGTTTTGACAAAGCTGCAAAGGCATTTGAATAGAGAAAGGACAGCAAATGGTTCTGAAAAAAATTGAGTATCCAAAAAATGTACATCAATCCAATACCTTGCACTATGTACATACATGAACTCAAAATGGATCAGAGACCTAAGTGTAAAACCTAAAACTGCAAAACTTTTACAAGAAACCACAAGAGAACTAGTTATTTGAAAGATTAGTAAACCTTGTTAACCTCTAGTCAGACTAACCAGGGACCAAAAAAAGAAGACAAAATGCCAGGAAAGACAAAGATAACATTGTTACAGATTCTACACATATGAAAAGGATAATCCAGGAATACATGAACACCTTCCTATCAGACAGTGGAGACTGTCTCTTTTTGTGACCTTGATTAAGCAAAGATTTCTTGGGTACAACACCAAAAGCGTAATTCATAAATTAAAAAATATGACAAATTGGAGTTCATCAAATTAAGAATTTCTGCTCTGTGAAATATGCCATTAAGAAAATGAGAAGGTAAGCTACAGTTTGAGAGAAAACATCTTCAAATCACACATTTTATAAAAGTTTTATATACAGAATATATGTGGAATATGCAACTCTTAAAACTCAGTGATGAGAAAAGAAGAAACCCAACGAAAGCAAGCAAAATATTTGAACAGACTCTGTCTAAAGAAGAGAAACAAATATCAAGCACACAAAAAGTTGCTCAGGAATCATTAGTCGTTATGCAAATGCAAATTGGAACCACAGTGAGAAACCACTACAGGCCTGTTAGAATAGCTAAAATTAGGGACTGACCACATCAAGTGCTGGCTGGGATGTGGAGGAACTGGAACTCTCATGTGCCACTAGTGAGAAAGTGAAATGACACACTTTGGAAAACATTGTGTCAGTGCCTCAAAAAGTTAAACATCAACCTACTATATGATCCAGCCATTCCGCTCCCAAGAAGTTACCCAAGAGAGGTTGAAGTCTATGTCTACAAAAGATCTATACATGAGTGATTATAGCAGCTTCCTTGGTAACAGCTAAAAGCTTGAGACAACTCACATGTTCATCAATAGGTGAATTGATAAACAGTGGTATATCCACACAATGGAATACAACTCAGTAAAAAAAAGAATCAGTGACTGATGCACGTGACAACATTGATGAATTGTAGCCAAATAAAAACAGAGCACCCACTGTATGACCCAGTTATATGAAATTCCATGGACTGTGAACTAATACACAGCCACAGAAAGTAGATTAGTGGTTGCCTGGGGATGGAGTGTGTGGGAAAAAGAGCGGGGAGGAGATATTAAAGGGGAAAAGTTGTGGGTAATTGATTTGTTCAAATTCCTGATTGTGGTGATAGATTCATAGGTATGTATATATATTAAAACTCATTGAATTTTATACTCTAAATATGTGTGGTTTATTGTATGTTACTTAATAAAAATCAGCTCAATAAAGCTGCTTTTTAAAGTGAATATCATAAAATTGAGGCTCAGGGAGTTTGAGCCAGTTGTGGAAAGTCACACAGCAAGCACGCAGTAGACCCAGATTGAATCTTAAAGATGAAGGACTGAGACCAGGGTGACCAGACTCCGCAGACGCCTCACTCCACGCCACCCTGCTGCAGCCCTAAGCTGCTAAACACCCAACAAAACCCTGCAAAACTGCAGAAAACAGTATTCAGATTTGCCACAGGTCTCATTAGGAGCCTCATCTCTCTCTGGTGTCCACCATGGGCCACTCTGCAGAGGGAAATCTCCCAGACAAGTAGCCCCACATGAGGCAGAACCATGGCCACAGCTGGGGGCTCCTCCATGGGCGAAAAGAGGCTGTGAAATTGGAAGCAGTTCTCAGGTGTCTCCAGTATGAACATCCCAAGGCTGTGGTAAGGAGGGACCACAAACCAGGGGCTCACACCGCGCAAGTGTGCTCTCCTGCCATCCTGGAGCCAGAGGTCCAAGACCAAGGTGCCAGCAGGGTTGGGCTCTGTGCGTCTCCCTGTTCTGGTGTGGCTGGCGATCCTCCATGGTTCCTGGCTGTGGCCTCTCACTTGCTCTCAGCCTCTGTCTCCCTGAACGCCTGTGTCTCCTCCTCCTCTTAGAAGGACACCATCTTACTGGACGAAGGGCCTGCCTATTCCAGGAAGACCTCATCTTAACCAGTGGCACCTGCAATGGCTTGTTTCCAAGTAAGATCCCATTCAGAGGTTTGAGAAGGATGTGGACTTTGTGGGGATGCTGCCCAATCTGGCACTGAGGCTCCAGGTGGAGCAGGGGTGCTCCTGACCTTCCTCGAGGCCACTGGGCCTTTGCAGTGCCCTCCCGGTGGAGCAGGGGTGCTCCTGACCTTCCTCGAGGCCACTGGGCCTTTGCAGTGCCCTCCCGGCCTCGTCTGACCTGAATGTCCAGGGCAGGGCCAGGCTCAAGCGGCCACTCTTAGGATGTCTGATGCTGAGGGGAACCCCCAGCAGCCCACACATGCGACATGGGATTTTTGTAGCCAGTGGGCAGACAAGACAGGAGAGGACACGATTCAAGCAGGTTGGCCTCTCGATGAGGTCTCAGGCTCACTAGGGAGCCCCTGTCCCATCTGCAGAGACAGACCAGCAGAACAAAGGCAGAGCCACATAGTGTGGTCACTCAGAAGCAGCGTCTGAAGCCGTGGCCGCAGGGTGGCCTTTGCCACAGTGGCCAGGGAGAGGTTGCTGGCCACGCAGGAGGTGTGGCTCATGCCAAGTGCTGCAAGGCTGTTGCTCTCTGTGCTCCCAAATCATATTCCCAGCACTGTTCCTAGGCCCCAGCTTTGACAATGCTTCTCTTTATTTGCAGTGGGGTTAGGTGGTGAAGCATGAAATTTTTCCTCTGGGAAGAATAAATGCTTCTGTGCTGGCGAAGAGCTTTGGGCCCATAGAAAAATGTGTGAGCTGAGCACCACCAGCCTCTGGTGTCTCTCCACTGACAAGCTTCTGCTACGCTGTTGAGGAAAACAACGTCAGAAACAAGACTTCTCCACTTCCACACCGTCCTCCACCCAGACACAAATCACATCGGCATGAGGGATGCCTCCAGCTGAGATGAGCTTCTGGACATTCCGGAGTGCACAGACCACGTGAGCCGGCTTCAGGAGGTGGACCTTCCCAGCGCAGGCTGTGGTACCAGCATTCATGAAGCCATCCCAGGGCTGTCCTGAAGGAGGCTCAAAGCCGCCCGTGTAAGTGCAGGGTGCAGCTGGAGTTTTGTCTGAGCCTCCCACCAGCCTGCGGCCCACCCTCTGCTGGCAGAGTACCCAAGCACCGCAACGCAGTCTCAGCTCTCCCAGCTGCAGGCGTAGGTCACGCGGCCGGCAGGAAAGGCAGCTCCCTCAGAATAGCCAAGCCGTGCACACATGGAGGGGCTGCACCAGAGCACTGAGAAAATCTCGTTTGCATGCAAAGCAGGGGGTTTAAGATCAGATGAGCCTCGTCGTACAATGTCCCAAACAAACAGGCACAGGGCACATGTGAGGGTGCAGCTTGTCAGCCTCATCCTTTCGTGGGGGGTTAAGTCACTCGTCAAAGGGCACATAGACACCTGGTGACTGAGCTCACAGGAAGACCAGGCCCTGGCCATTCGGAAGTGCCCTGAAGCAGGAATTGCGAGGATGGTGAGCAGGGGGCTCAGGAGGAGGGGCTGCCGCACTAAGAACACTCCCTTGCCCTGCAGGTCCAGGATGCTGACGCTCTGCAGGGTGTGGGAGTGGATACAGACTAGCCCCCGGGAGGGAGCTGTGAGGAGAAGAGAGGTCACCAGAAAAGTGCGGAGGGTGCAGGCCCCACGGAGTGCAAGAATCTGCTGTAGCCTGGTAGGATCCTGTGTGAGGAACACCCAGAGCAGAGAAACTCTGGGGAGGCAGGAGCTGATGCCAGCGAGTGAGGCTTGGAAGTGGGCAGTGGGGATGGGGGTGGATGGAGGAATGGAGGGTGAAGGTATAGATGACAGAAGGGTAGGAATGAGGATGGCTATAGGGTTGGAGATGGAGGCATGGGATGGTGGTAGTGATGGGGATGAATGGAGGGATGGGGGTGGATGGAGGGATGGGGGTGGATGGAGGGATGGGGGTGGATTGAGGAATGGGGTGGACAGAGGGATGGGATGGATGGAGGGATGAATAGATGGAAGGATAGGGTGGATGGAGGGATGGGGATGGATGGACGAATGGGACGGATGGAGGGATGGGGATGGATGGAGGAATGGGGTGGATGGAGGGTTGGGGTGGATGGAGGGATGGGGATGGATGGAGTAATGGGGTGGATGGAGGGAAGGGATGGAGGGATGGGATGGGATGGATGGAGGGATGAATGGATGGAGGGATAGGGTGGATGGAGGGATAGGGATGGATGGAGGAATGGGGTGGATGGAGGGATGGGGATGGATGGACGAATGGGACGGATGGAGGGATGGGGATGGATGGACGAATGGGACGGATGGAGGGATGGGGATGGATGGAGGAATGGGGTGGATGGAGGGTTGGGGTGGATGGAGGGATGGGATGGGATGGATGGAGGGATAGGGATAGGGTGGATGGAGGGATAGGGATGGATGGAGGAATGGGGTGGATGGAGGGATGGGGTGGATGGAGGGATGGGGATGGATGGAATGAGGTGGATGGAGGGATGGGATGCATGGAGGGATGGGGGTGGATGGAGGGATGCGGTGGATGGAGGGATGGGGTGGATGGGGGTATGGGATGGATGGGGGTATGGGGGTGGATGGAGGGATGGAGGTGGTTGGGGGATGGGGTGGATGGGGGATCAATGGATGGAGGGATAGGGTGGATGGAGGGATGGGGATGGATGGCGGAATGGGGTGGATGGAGAGATGGTATGGATGGAGGAATGGGGTGGATGGAGGGATGGGGTGGATGGAGGGATGGGGTGGATGGAGGAATGGGGTGGATGGAAGGATGGGGTGGATGGAGGGATGGGATGGATGGAGGAATGAATGCATGGAGGGATAGGGTGGATGGAGGGATGGGGATAGATAGAGGAATGGGGTGGATAGAGGGATGGGGTGGATGGAGGGATGGGGTGGATGGAGGGATGGGGTGGATGGAAGGATGGGGTGGATGGAGGGATGGGGTGGACGGAGGGATGGGATGGATGGGGGGATGGGGTGGATGGAGGGATGGGGTGGATGGAGGGATGGGGTGGACGGAGGGATGGGGTGGATGGAAGGATGGGGTGGATGGAGGGATGGGGTGGACGGAGGGATGGGGTGGATGGAGGGATGGGGTGGATGGAGGGATGGGATGGATGGGGGAATGGCGTGGATGGAGGGATGGGGTGGATGGAGGGATGGGGTGGATGGAGGGATGGCGTGGATGGAGGGATGGGGTGGATGGAGGGATGGGATGGATGGGGGAATGGCGTGGATGGAGGGATGGGGTGGATGGAGGGATGGGGTGGATGGAAGGATGGGGTGGATGGAGGGATGGGGTGGATGGAGGGATGGGATGGATGGGGGAATGGCGTGGATGGAGGGATGGGGTGGATGGAGGGATGGGATGGATGGAGGGATGGGGTGGATGGAGGGATGGGGTGGATGGAGGGATGGTATGGATGGAGGAATGGGGTGGATGGAGGGATGGGGTGGATGGAGGGATGGGGTGGATGGAGGAATGGGGTGGATGGAAGGATGGGGTGGATGGAGGGATGGGGTGGATGGAGGGATGGGGTGGATGGAGGGATGGGGTGGATGGAGGGATGGTATGGATGGAGGAATGGGGTGGATGGAGGGATGGGGTGGATGGAGGGATGGGGTGGATGGAGGAATGGGGTGGATGGAAGGATGGGGTGGATGGAGGGATGGGGTGGATGGAGGGATGGGATGGATGGGGGAATGGCGTGGATGGAGGGATGGGGTGGATGGAGGGATGGATGTGATGAGTGTAGGCACCAGGAGGGTGGTAGGACTTGGGGGTAGGATTCGCGATGGGTGTGGCCCATGCATTCTGCTGTACTCTAATTCTGTGGGAAGAGCAGGGCTGACGAACATTTTGGTGTGATGAACTGAGCGTTCAAGGCCGTCCTCTCCAAGTGCTCTTTCCCTTCCTCTAGTGGGGTCTGGAATCTGGCTGACCTCGTGTGCTGGGGATTAAGAACTGCCAATGTGGGCAGCCCAGGATCTCCTGGTGTTTCTCCTCCCAGTCTCCTGGCGAGGGCCTCCTGCATCCCCTCCCATCCGGACACCAGGGTCTGTGCTTGCTGTTTGTCGGGTTCATGCTTGAGATTCCAGAGTGAAATTTGATGCTGGCTTGGCTCGTGGGACGCTGTCTTCACCTGGAGCTTGGATGGTTCTGCTCAAGTCATTCTGTTTCTCCTTCAGTGGGTTTTCTAGTCTGTGAAATGGTGATGCGGATGTAACACTTCATGTTTCGTAGAATTTCTGACCAAACTTGGACCGGAAGAAGGATGGTGCTGCCTTGCAGGAAGGAGGCCCGTGTAGCACAGCTCCAAGGGGACCATGGATTCTTGGACTGGGACCCAAATCCTCTTCCAATAAAACAGGCGTGTGCAGTGACTGGCAGGGTCGGGTGCCCAAGGGCTTTGTGCTTGGAGCATCCGGTGGTCACAGTCCCCACTTGTGGCTCATGGTTCTGGTGGCCTAGGCCTCTTTATTAACATCTGCAAAATGTAGCTCACTTGTGTATAAAGCAGGGACAGTAAAATCCCACCTTACACAGTGAGTGGGGCCCTGAGATGGTGGGGTGCACAGCAGGCACTCAGCATTGGTGGCAACGTTTCCCACTCTCCTGGTTCCAGGTGTGCTCAGCGCTGACTCTCCTGACATCAGCTCCTCCCCACCCCACCACGACACCCCTGTCTCCAGACCTGCTCAGTCCAGGGCCTGAGGGCACTCGCTCCTCAGGGGGCTGCCATGGGCCTCGAGGGGTTAACGGACCATGACGTGGAAAAATACAGATGACGAGGGTGGAGGGTGGCCGGGCCGGGAAGCACATTAGCAGCTGTGGCGTGGAGATTGTTTTCCCATCCGTTAGGGGCGATGACAGTGGTGACACCCAGAGTTGCTTCCCAGGGAGGCCCCGCTCAGGGCAATGTCTGGGCTGGACTCAGCCCCCTTTTATCCCCTTTCTACATGAGCAGCCTGCCGGCTTTCCACTCTGCGGCAGCTCCCAGTACATCTGTCGGGGGAGTGTTGCCTTCGAAGCTCAGCTCCACGGTTTGGGTGGGAGATGCATGTGGCCAGGTCTTTGCAGACACCACCGAGGCCTGGTTCCCTGCCCTGCAGACCTTTGCCTGGGCTCCACCTGGGCCTGTGATCCACTGCCTAGGGCAGACTTTGGGGGATCAGCTTGGGGCACAGAGGATGGGAGGAACTAAGAGGGTCCTGGGTATGGTTTGAGGAGCCTGAGAGCTCAGGTCAAGAGGGTTCTAGAGGGCTGGCTGTCTCCCACCCGCCATCTGTCCACTGGTGGCCATAGTCCTGCAGCCCAGGACAGCCAGAGAGTTACCAGCTGCCTCTGGCCGGTGGGTTTCATTAGCTCTGCGCACACCAGCAGGCCCCAGGGGAGAAAGCACTCCTCTGCATCGTCTCCTCCAAAGACGTTATTCTGTTAGTCTGTGGCCCTGGGGGCTGGGGGAGTGTGAGCGTGGCTCCTCGGTAAGTGGTGCGGTTGCTGTGGCAGTCGGGGCGACAGTGACACGCTTAGTCCGTGCCGGGCACATCAGAGGCCGGAGCTGGGAGCTGGGAGGGAAGCCGCTGCAGGCCAGGCTGGTGACGGGCTCTCCTGAGGAATGGGCTTTGGCCCTCCCTCACGCCGGCCCTTCCCTGTGGGACAGAGTGAGGGCATTAGCAACTGCAGCTCAGAACAGAGGAAATGGAACTCAGAAAGCAGTGTGGCTGATGTGCACAGGGAGGGGTGTGTGGGGCCAGAGGAAGGTGCACCCCTGGGAGAGCAGCCACACGTGGGCACAGGGCGTTGCCCATCGCCTCACAGACCCCGGGATCTGCGCAGATCCCTCCAGGCTGGCTGGCTCTGTGGTGGGCAGATGGACGATCCCTTGGTTGAGACTGAACTGAGTCAGCATCAAAGCACAAGGGCTCTGTGAGGCTCCCGGGGACTGTGGAGGGGACTGCCAGTGGATGGAAGGGCATGAGGCCACCTTTGGGGCTGGCAAGATGCCCTCACCTGCACTCCAGGGCCTCTTTGGCAGGAGAGGAGGTGCAGTAAATGGAGAAAGGGCTCCTGAGGAGGCTCCTATGGCTCCAGCAGAGGGGGGGTGAGGAGCAGCACAGCCACCAGTGGGGCTCGGGCAGGTTTTCAGGGTGTCCTGTGGGAGGAGGATGGCTGGAATGGGGCCTGTACCCTGTCTGGGCTGCAGAGGGTTCCCGCTCAGGGCCACTGGGAAGCCCCTTGCCGAAGTCGGGCCACCAGAGCCTTGAGGGCTGAAAGTCCTAGGGGAGGCCGTTTAGTCCAACAGCAATCTAAAGAGGTGTGTTATTTTATTTTTGAACAATTTATACTTGGTTTTGATACTACACAAGTAAATAAATTGTCATGATAAAAGTAATTCAAAAAGTCTTAACATGCGAAGTAAGAGCTCCCAGACGATGGTCCTCTCGGGCTTGACTGCAATGAACAGTCAGGTTCCCATCATCCCAGAATGTTCCTGGGCAGCTATTTTAGGAATGCTGTTTCCTGTATGTGCTGTGGTGCGTCTCGGGTTTTTAAAGGAATTTACATGTGTGTATAACGATATGTTCCGGCATTTTTCTGTATCAGCACAGAAGATTTGTCTCTTCTTTTCTCACTGCTTAACCATTTCGTGGATGTGCTGGAACTTATTTCCCAGCCCCTAAGGTTATTTCCAGCTTTTTGGCACCACCAAAGAGGCGTCAGTGAACATCCTTGTTCATGTACAGGCCGGCCTTGGAGACACTGTGGGTTTGGTTCCAGACTACCCCAATAAAGCGAATATTGCAATAAAGCAAGTCATAGGAATTTTTTGTTTTCCTGGTGTATATGAAAGTTAAGTTTACACTATTTCAGCCTAAGTGTGCAATAGCATTATTTCTTTAAAAACAAAGTCGTTACCTTAATTTAAAAAATACCTTATTGCTAAAACAACAACAACAACATCAACAACAAAAACAAAAAGCAAAAAACAAAACGCTAATGATCATCAGAGCCTTCGGGGAGTCGTAGTCTTTTTGCTGGTGGAGGGCCTCACCTTGATGTTGACAGCTGCTGACTGATCAGGTGGGGGCTGCTGAAGGTGGGGGTGGCTGTGGTGGTGTCTTACGGCAACAATAACGTTTGCTGCACTGATCGACTCTTTCTTTCACTGAAGTTTTCTCCGTAAAACATGATGCTGTTTGACAGCATTTTACCCACTCTAGAACTTCTTGGACAACTGGAGTCCATCCTCTCAAACCCTGCTGCTGCTTTATCGACTAAGTTTATAGAATATTATAAATCCTTTGTGGTCAGTTCAGCAATCTTCACAACCTCTTCACCAGGAGTCAATTCTATCTCAAGAAACCACTTTCTTTGCTCATCCACAAAAACCAACTCCTCATCCGTTCAGGTCTTATCAAGAAATTGCAGCTATTCAGCCACATCTTCAGGTTCACTTCTAATTCTAGTTCACCTGCTATTTCCACTACACCTGCAGTAACTTCTAGCACTGAAGTCTAGAACCTCTCAAAGTCATCCACGAGGGTTGGAATCAACCTCTTCCAAACTCCTATTCATGTTGATGTGTCACCCTCCTCCCAAGAATCACGAACATTCTTAATGGCATCTAGAATGGTGAATCTTTTCCAGAAGGTTTTCAATTCACTTTGCCAAGATCATCAGAGGAATCACTATCTACGGAAGCTACGGCCGTATGAGATGCTTTTCTTCAATACTGAGATTGGAAAGTTGAGACGACTCCTTGATTCATGGGCTGCAGAATGGATGTTGTGCTAGCAGGTGTGAAAACACATTAATCTTGTACATCCGCATCAGAGGCCTCGGATGACAGGTACATAATCAGTGAGTACACCAGTATTTTAAAAAGATGTTTTTTTTTTTCTGAGCAGTAGCTCTCAATAGTGACCTTAAATGTTCAGGAAATCAGGCTGTAAACAGATACGCTGTCATTCCGGCTTCGTTGTTCCATGTATTGGGCGCAGGCAGAGTAGATTTAGCGTCATTCTTAGGGGCCCTAGGATTTTCAGAATGGAAAATGGGCGTTGGCCTCAACTTAAAGTCACCAGCTGCATTAGCCCCTAATAAGAGAGTCAGCTTGTCCTTTGAAACTTCCAAACCAGGCTCTTCTTCCAGTAGAAGCTGTTTTGTCTACAGTGAAGATCTGCTGTTTAGTGTAGCCACCTTCATCAGTGATCTTTGCCGGATCTCCTAGAGAACCTGCTGCAGCTTCTCCGTGAGCACCTGCTGCTGCACCTTGCATTTTTATGTGATGGGGACAGCTTCATTCCTTAAACCTTATGAACCAGCCTCTGCTGACTTCAAACTTTTCAGCCCTCATAGTATTGGAGAGAGTTGGGGCTTCGTTCTGGGTTAGGCTTTGGCCTAAGGGAATGTTGTGGCTGGTTTGATCATCTCTCCAGACCTTAAAACATTCTGCAGTAAGGTTGTTTCACATTCTTATCATTCATGCGTTCACTGGAATAGCACTTTTAATTTTCTTCAAGAACTTCTCTTTGTATCCGTAACTGGGCTGCTTGGTGCAAGAGGCCCAGCCTTTGTTCCGTCTCTGCTCTCAACACACTTTCCTCACCAGGTTTGATCATGTCTTGCTTTTGATTTAAAGTGAGAGATGTGACTCTTGCTTTCACTTGACATACAGGCCATTATAGGTGTATTCACTGGCCCAATTTCAATATAATCACAGCTCGGGGAACAGGGAGGCCCAACTAGAGGAGGAGAGACGGGGACGTGGCCAGTCCACGGAGCAGTCAGATCACACACAATGTTTATAGACTAAGTCCACCATCTTACATGGATGTGGTTTGTGGTGCCCCAAACAGGTGCAATAGAAACACGGAAGATCATGGCTCACAAATCACCATCAACTATTATCATAATGAAAAAAATTCAAATATTGCAGGGATTACTAAAATATGACACAGAGACACGAAGTGAGCACGCCCTATTGGAAAAACATCAACAGCAGATCTGCCGGCTGCAGGGTCGCCCAACCTTCCATCTTGAAAAACGCAGTATCTGGAAAGTGCCATAAAGTGAAGCTCAATTACATGAGCTGTGCCCGCATCACCCAGCGCCCCCCACGGCTGTGGCCGTGCCCGCATCACCCAGCGCTCCCCACGGCTGTTGAAGACTTTGTAAGAATTGCTGAGTTGAAGGGAACATGTGTGTTGGATATGTCCAGGCATCCTCCTGAGGGATTGTACCTGGTCTTCTCTTACAGAAGCCCACTGCCTTCCAGCGACACACACCGGACGGAGCAGGGACTGTTCACACCCTGGTGGAACCTGCTGGGGAGATTCTGAGCTCAGAGGATGGCTCAGGAGCATGAGGCACTGCAGACGGGCTGTCCTGGGCATTGGGGCCTATGGAGACCGGCCCCAAGGACTGGGCTGCGAGGACAGGCGATGAGGCAAGAGAGAGACAGACAGTGGCACGGGCCGACTTCTACCTCCATGCAAAGTTAGGATGAAGGTGAAGCAAAAAATCTGCAAAATCTCTTTTGTGCCGTAGAAACCTCGTTCTGGAAGGAGAGTGGCTGTGAGCAGTCACCTGAGAAGGGCCTGGGGATGCACTTCGCTCTGCATTCAGTCTCCCTGCCCCAGAACGGCCTGCAGAAGGCAGACCTCAGACCACGAGATGAAGGCCTGTATGGAGGGAGTCCCAGGCCCGGACAACGGCTCCTGGCGCGCCCTCTGCAAAGTGCAGTCCCTCAGGCAAGCCCGGCCTCCTGCGTGCAGCGTCCCTGCAGTCTCAGTGAGAACCTCTGACCTAGGCGTGGCTGTGTGCTGGCTCCTGGGCCCCAGGCACGCCAGCTGCACGAGGGTAGGCATTCCAGGGGACACCTCCGTCAAAGGACTGGGGAATAACTGTCTACTGCACACGGAAATTTGTGCAGATGGAGACCGTGTGGCGCGTAAGCACAAAGGCAAGAGGCCTCTCCACGCCCCTTCAGGGTTTGGGGCAGAAGGAAGCCCCAGTAGACAGGCCTTGAAGCAGGGAACCGGGATACTCCTGGGCTCCGGGTTAATCACAGGTGCGGCTCTGTTCAACCCACCCCTGAGGCTGCGTGCGCCCTTTCACTTGTGGGGCAAACACAACCCTCCCACCAATTTCTGTTGTCGGTGGTTTGAACACTGAGCTGCTCCTCTCCGGAAGGAGTTTAGATAGTCGCAGGCACCAGCAGGGAAGGGGACAGCGGAGGTGAAATGAGAGCTGGCGCGGGCTTGTGCCCGAGGAGGAACGGTGTGAGACAGGGCTGGGGGCGGGGCGGCCTGGGATGAGGACCTGGAGAGGTGAGTCCTTGGAGAGAAGATCCAGGTGTGTCACTGGAGCCGTCCCAGGAGGGACTGTGGCGCCCGAGATGCGGCTGGCATCCGTCTGTTGGGGTCTGAGCTGTGGCGGCCACAGGGCCTGGAGAGGCTGCTGAGGGTGAGTGGGTGGATGTCCTGGGTTCCTCCACGTGGAGCTCAGCTTGGAGGCAAGAGCCAGGATGTGGGAAAGGGAGGCATTTGTTACTCATTTGGTATTCGGATGAAATTGATTATGAGAATTTCCAGTTTGGAATCAGATGAGGACGTGGTCGGGGAGGGACCCTGGAGGCCCTGAAGCTCTGCCTCTGGGAGTGGGAGTGGGGGAGGGGGAAAGGGGGGAGGGGAGGGAGGAAGAAGAGGGGAGAGGAGAAGGGGGGAAGGGAAAGGGGAGGGGGAGGGAGAGGAATGAGGAGGGGAGGGGGAAGGGAAAGGGGGAGGGGGAGGGAGAGGGAATGGGGAGGGGAGGGGGAAGGGAAAGGGGGAGGGGGAGGGCAGGGTGGCCTCCGGGCTGCCTGCAGCTGCAGGTTCCTCGGAATCTGAGCCAGGCCCACAGGCCTGCCTTCGAGGCCACCGAACAAGTGCTGTAACCAGGGGACAGGCTTTCCTCCCTCACGACTGAACTGAACTCACTTCCACTGCTTGCTTGTTTTGTTAACATTTTAGCTGTTTTAAACTGTAACTGGAAGATCAAAAAGAGTTTAGGGGAAAATCCACGGCACCTGGACCAGCCCTCCTGGCACTGCCCTCGCAGTGCGGTTTCACAGGGGCTACTGGGAGGTGCGTCTCCCTGCCTGGACCGAGACCGGGACCAAACAGAGAAGCCTGCAGGGCCAGGAGTTCTATGGAGATGGCTCCTCCCAGACGGCAGTGGGGACCCTCAGGGTTGGCCACAGGCTTTGGGTATGTGCCACGTGTTCCCAAGGGCAGGCTGGCCATGGGCTGTACAGGGTTCCACGTGGGCCACAGTAGAGGGTGTACAGAAGTACTGGTTTGAGTGGACGTTGGATGTTTGGCTGATGTGTGCCAATGTTGGTTCTTCCCCACCAAAAATGCGCCAACAGTGATGTCTGCAGATAAGATGAGATTCTCCATGTGGTGTTCAGGCCGTTTTCGTGAGGAATAAGTGAAAAGCGCCTCACACATGCTGGGTGAGCTGCCATTTGGCTTCAAGACAGTTTGGCTCTTGGGGGCAGGACTGTAGGTGTGGGGGAAAGATGGCCCTTCACGCAGGGTGGATTTGCAAATCCCATTCTGGTTACAAGGCCCCTTCCTGCCTCTTAAGAAAAAGAATAATAAGTAGTGAGGAAAGCGGTAAAATCTTTCCTTATGATAAAGTTCCACACAGTCATCAACCTGGTTAATAAAACATCAGTTTAGGGGCCAGGAGATCTCCTTCAGAGCTAGCAACCCCCCTACACCAACAGAGCCTGGGTTTCTGAGGACAGAAAGAGATGAGGGGGAGACCCGGGGCGGCTCAGGGCCCTGGGACGGCTGCTTTGTCAGCCTGCTGACTTTCTCTCACTGGACAGGGAAAGGCAATGTCCTATCCTAAGGCCATGCTGATGATGGGGTGAGGCTGCCTTCCTGAGCCCCACCCTCCACATCTGACCACACCTAACTCCAAACCTCTACCCACACTGCTGCCTGGCTCTGCGGGGCCGTCACCGGGCGTCGGACGGACAATCCCAGCCTCACCCCTGCACAACCTGCTCTCCCCACTGCCTGGCTCTGTGGGGTGAGTAAACCGCAGGACTCTGAGCCTCACTTGCCCTTCTGGAAAGCAGCAGTGGGAGGGTTCCCTCATGTTTAAGCTCCTCCCACGGTTTTTGTGACAGTCACACGTGGTGTCAGACATCGGAGTGTGTGCATAAACGCAAATCGAGGCTGCTCTTGCTGCTGTTAGGACAAGGTTTTGGTCCTGAATGCTCTGCACTTTTGATTCTGTGAATGAAATAATCCACTTTAAGGATTATCTGTAGTGAAGCCCTTCGTACCCTGAACATTTTTGTGTTCTTCTGGCAGCACCAGGCTGCTGCCTCAGCCCAGGGAGGGAAAACGCGTTTTAATAATAGCCTGGGGCATATACTGTTAGGCGCTTGCACCGGCTGCCAAAGAGCATCTCAGGGAGCGTCCTGAAGCCAGCGACACCCGCCTCCGTTGCCTGGTGCATGGTGGCCAGTGTCTCTTTTCCTGTTGGTGGGACGGTGGTTGCCTGGCGCGTGGTGGTCAGTGTCTCTTCTCCTGTTTGTGGACGGTGGTTGGCTGGTGCATGGTGGTCAGTGTCTCTTTTCCTGTTTGTGGACGGTGGTTGCCTGGTGCGTGGTGGCCAGTGTATCTTTTCCTGTTGGTGGGACGGTGGTTGCCTGGCGCGTGGTGGTCAGTGTCTCTTCTCCTGTTTGTGGACGGTGGTTGGCTGGTGCATGGTGGTCAGTGTCTCTTTTCCTGTTTGTGGACGGTGGTTGCCTGGTGCGTGGTGGCCAGTGTCTCTTTTCCTGTTGGTGGGACGGTGGTTGCCTGGCGCGTGGTGGTCAGTGTCTCTTCTCCTGTTTGTGGACGGTGGTTGGCTGGTGCATGGTGGTCAGTGTCTCTTTTCCTGTTTGTGGACGGTGGTTGCCTGGTGCATGGTGGTCATTGTCTCTTTTCCTGTTTGTGGACGGTGGTTGCCTGGCGCGTGGTGGTCAGTGTCTCTTCTCCTGTTTGTGGACGGTGGTTGGCTGGCGCGTGGTGGTCAGTGTCTCTTTTCCTGTTTGTGGACGGTGGTTGCCTGGCGCGTGGTGGTCAGTGTGTCTTCTGTTTGTGGATGGTGGTTGCCTGGCGCGTGGTGGCCAGTGTCTCTTTTCCTGTTTGTGGACAGTGGTTGGCTGGTGCATGGTGGTCAGTGTCTCTTTTCCTGTTTGTGGGATGGTGGTTGCCTGGCGCGTGGTGGTCAGTGTCTCTTCTCCTGTTTGTGGACGGTGGTTGCCTGGCGCGTGGTGGTCAGTGTCTCTTTTCCTGTTTGTGGGATGGTGGTTGCGTGGCACGTGGTGGTCAGTGTCTCTTTTCCTGTTTGTGGGATGGTGGTTGCCTGGCACGTGGTGGTCAGTGTCTCTTTTCCTATTTGTGGGATGGTGGTTGCCTGGCACGTGGTGGTCAGTGTCTCTTTTCCTGTTTGTGGATGGTGGTTGGCTGGTGTGTGGTGGCCAGTGTCTCTTTTCCTGTTTGTGGACAGTGTTTGGCTGGTGCATGGTGGTCAGTGTCTCTTTTCCTGTTTGTGGGACGGTGGTTGCCTGGTGTGTGGTGGTCAGTGTCTCTTCTCCTGTTTGTGGACGGTGGTTGGCACTTACTGCATTTTGGGATGTGTTCTTCCTTTCTTTGGTTCTGAAACATTCACAGGCATATCTGTCTCTTTGTTTATGCTCTGCTCTTGGCAGACCTGCACTGGTGTGTAAGTTCTGGGAGAGGAGATGGCATTCTCAGGGTGCTGTGCTCCACGGGGCAGACTCATCCATGCGTGAGGGCTGGAGAGGAGGCCACACCCAAGGCACCTCTCAGGCACATGAGGATGGACGGGAAGTGCTTTGCTCGCAAGCAAACAAACCTACCCTCGCAGACTTGGGTTCTTCTGCCGCCCCCTCCTGAAACCACCCCTCCAAGATGCCGCCTCTGGCCCCTACCGCGTTCCTGGAGCTGAAAGTTGTTCCTGTCCTTCTGGACAGAGCTTTAGAAATTGAAATGGGAAGAGAGAAAACCTGGCTTGGTTGTCCGCAGCCTGCAAAGGATGGTTTGGAATATGCGGGAGCCGGCTCCGCACTGGGCAGGCACCCACCCTCTGCATCCGGGACCCTCAGCCGGACCGAGGTCAGAGGGAACCTCAATTCATTCTGTGCCAACTCACCCCTGGGGTCCTGGGCACATGTTTATTTTTATTTTTATTTTTATTTATTTTATTTTTATTATTTATTTTTATGTATTTATTTTTTATTTTATTTTTATCTTTCACCATTATCATTATAACTATTATCATCATCTTAGTTGAAATATGAAAAAAGCAAGAACTGTCCTTTTCATTAATATTTTGAAACTCGATGGTTCCCGTTGTAAAGTGTGCACTGAGTGAATGGGACTAGGCAATGCCACAACTTCCATCCCTCTCACTGGTTACTTTTGTTCAAAAATTACAATAATGTGGAGAATTCTTTCCCATGTGCCCGGAAGGCTACGGCTCTCGTGTCTCTCTTCCCTTCCTGCTGCACATGGGGAGAACGAAGGGGCTGCCACTTGGGGCTGAGGAGCAGAGGAGCAGAGGAGCTGGGAGCAGCACAGCCACGGCCGCAGTGAGATCATCTCCCCTCTCTGCCTGGCTGGAGCTGTGGGGACTCCTCCTGCTGCCCTGGCACTCCCCACGGGGCTTCCCTGGCTGCCCGGCCTCTGCCCCAGCTGGAGCCCTCTTTGTATCCATGCCTGCATGGTGCCGCCCTTGGGCTTTGCTGAATGCCACCTGCGTCTGCCTGCATCCCGAAGCCAGGCCTGCCACGTTCCGCCACGTTCCCGTGTGGACACCAGCGCTTGCAAATGCAGCTGGGTCTGTCCCCCTTTCCTGATACAGTTTGTGCTTGGTGGGGTGGGAAGACCTGTACCTGGGCTGACGACGTGGGACCTCTCCTGTGACACACCCACAGGCAGCCGGCCCCACTGTTGGGGGTCCTTGGACACCTGTCCCAATGCTGGCGCTATGTAAGGAAGGGGTGAATGGCAGTTCTTGGGGCCATCACGTGCCTGATCTTTCTCATTTTATGAAGATGTGGGGAGAATGAACAATGTTCTGTCTGTGAGAGTGCCCCACGGTCTCCAGGACACTGTACTTTTTATGTTTCCCACAGGACACTGTGAACGCCATCAACACACAGCCCGGGGTCGCTGTCTGGGACGTGCCCATTAAGTCACGATAAACGGTTTTTACTAAAAGCTTAGGCACCAATAGAGGCCTGCTGAGGGCGGTGGAGAGGACACCAGAGTGGGTATGTGGAGGTGATGATTTCACGAATTAACCGACTAATCTAACATCCAGGGAACAGGATTTCCACATAAACTAGCTCTTCTCTAAGACACTGAAGTCTGGGAGAAGCCACAGTGACTCTTTGGGAGCACCATGAAGAGCCAGGACAGGGAGAGATGGAGAGAGGGAGGGAGAAAGGGAGGGATAGAGGGGGGAGGGGGAGGGGAGGGACAGAGGGAGGGGGAGGGGGAGGGAGAGAGGGAGGGAGAGGGGGAGGGAGAGAGAGGGAGGGGGAGGGAGGGGGAGGGGGAGGGAGGGGGAGGGAGAGGGGGAGGCGGAGGGGGGAGGGGGAGGGAGAGAGGGAGGGAGAGAGGGAGGGAGAGAGGGAGAGGGAGGGAGGGAGAGAGGGAGGGAGAGGGAAGGAGAGATGGAGGGAGATAGGGAGGGAGAGGGAGGGAGAGAGGGAGGGAGAGGGAGGGAGAGAGGGAGGGAGAGAGGGAGGGAGGGTGGGAGGGAGAGAGGGAGGGAGACAGAGAGAGAGATGGAGGGAGAGAGGGAGGGAGAGAGGGTGGGAGGGAGATAGACAGAGACAGAGACAGAAAGAGACAGAAGGAGAGAGAGGGAGGGATAGAGGGTGGGAGGGAGATAGACAGAGACAGAGACAGAAAGAGACAGAAGGAGAGAGAGGGACAGAGAGAGAAAGCTCTAAAGGATGTCCTGCTCAGAGTAGTGAAGAAATAAAAAAAGTGGAAAAAGTTGGGAGAGAAAGCCCCAAAGAGAATGGGGTGGGAGGGAGAGAAATAAATTCCACTTTTGCTTAAAGTTCTTAAAAAATAAAAATTCCTGAGAGTATTTAGGGTGATAATTGCCAAGCTAATTATTTTTGTTAAAGTCAAGTTGGTTTTCTAACACTATGAAATACAATAGACCAAACTATTTTACCCACATTCTTGATGAAACATCGTCTGTTTAAACATTCCCTCTTCTAGCCATGATGGGGTGATGAGGACTGGCTTTGCGCCCCTGCTTTAAACAACTCAGGACCGGAATCCACGCGGCTTCTGGGCAGCAGGCAGCACAGGGCAGGGGCCCTCAGGGAGGTTCCAGCCAGGAGGGGACAAGCTGTTGACTTCCCGCCCGGAGGTCACAGTGCAGGAAGGGGTTCGACCCATTTGGGGGACAGAGGTCACAGTTCGGAGAGGACAGAGGCTAAATTTTCATTGTCAAGAATGGCGAGCTCCAAGGGCGGGTCCAGGGGTCCGAGGTGGGTCCCCAGGCTGGGTGCAAACTGAGGAAATAGCTCAGGGTTGAGGAAGAAGCTCCAGGGGTCAGCAGAGCCAGTGGGGACCCAGGCAGGGCTGGAATGGTCAGTGCTCCCGTCAACCCAGTGAAAGGGCCTCACGGTGCCCAAGGCCAAGCAGAAGCCTCAGTGGGCGCCCCCCACCCTGACACATCGGGCCCCATCTGGAGACTCGATCGTGACAGTGGACATGCTGTTGGCATCTGGTGGGCAGAGGCCAGGGATGCGTGGAACACATGCTGTGCTCAAGACCCCCTGAAATGAAGGGTTATCCAGCCCAGAGCGTCCACTGTGCCAACGCGGAGAAACCCCGGCCTGCATCAGCGCAGGCTTGGCCTACAGAGTGATGGTCTCTCGCTGCTAATTCTTGGTGACACCCTCTGTGGCTGTAGCACTGCCCTCTGAGCTCCTAGTACCTGCTCCTGTCTCCCTGGAGGGTCCGTGTGTTGCTCTGGGAGCGTGGCCACAGTCGCACCATCCATGCAGTTCAGCTGCGCCTCTGCTGTGTGTTCCTGTGTTGGGCCTGAATTTGAAGTTTGGAGGCAGTGTCTTCTGCTGACCATGTTCCTGGGAGAAGGCCTCTGGTCCCGCCTGGGGGTCACTGCCTCCTGTGATGGTTGAGATGCAACTTGAGGCTGTGATTGGTGGCTCTTAAGGAATTCTCAAGGGCAGTTTTGACTCTATGAGATTATTACCTGCGATTATTTTATACCTAACCCCCTAGTAAACATGGATTCTGAAGGAGTCGAGCATTTATTCGGTACCAGGTTACAGCTGGATGCCTTGATGGGTGCTTGCAGGGTGTGTGGGAAACGGACATGAGGTCTGCTCCCTCCCGGACATAGACTCCAGCAGGGCCCCATGGGCCACCCTGTGCTAAAGCAGAAATTATGCCTCAGGAAGGAGAGACTTGAGGAGGGGCGGCGAGGCAGTGCCGGGGCAGGCGGTCATGGGCAGGTGTGTTCAGCAGCCTGGAGGGTGCAGGCAGGAGGGATGGGTTTTCTGGAGGAAACGAGGCCTCGGGACTCATCCTCTGCTTTGCTGAGCCTCTCCCTCATGCATCAGATCTAATGCCAGGGCCTGGCTTCCTCAGCCCTTGAGTTTCTGCGATGGCTTCTCAGAACCAAATGTGGCCATTTGTGCCATACACATGCGTGTGCCTCCAGCTCCATCTGTGACGGCCGCGGCGAAGAGGGGAGCTGTTTGACGACCTTTCTGCCATTTTCATGAGAGTCCTGCTTGCAGGACCAAAACACACAGGAAATGTGACCCGACATGCTTGGGAACACATTGGCCTCATCTGGAGGAACTGGCTGGAGCGGAGGGACAGCATCTGCTTGGAAAGGCTGGGCTTCACAGATGTCCAACAAAAACTGGGGGACGGCGGGACCCTTACAGCCCAAAGAACCCTGAGGAGCAGCCCCCTTTCGCACGTGGAGGGGCCGGGGGCTTGCAGAGTGTGACGCGTGGTGTTGGTGAGGAGGCACGTGCTGTGCAGCCGTGGCCCAGGGCAGGGCGAGGCTGACGCGGGAACCAGGGAGACTGGGATTGGTGATGTCTCTGCAGCTGGATCGTCGAGGACCCGGCTATTGCTCTGTGTTAAGCGGCCTCCTGGGGGCACGGCTGCGTGTTTTAGCTTAAGTGCACAAGGGTTCACTGGACAGCTCAGTAGGCTGGGCTCTGCGGGGACGTGGCCACCATGTTCACCGTGGGAGGTCCTGCTCCTCACCCGACGGATGCCTCTGGCACCAAACCCTCCCACCAGCCAGGCCTGCCGCGCAAAGCCTCCCAGGCAGGAGCTGAGTTAGGTTTTCAGCCAGGGCCCAGAGGCCCTGAAAAGCCCGGGCAGTTACGAAACAGCATTTACGTAAAGGATTGATTCAATTACACAGGGCAGGAAGCATCAGCCAAGTGGGTGAAACCCAAAATTCCACCCCGTCGAGAGGCTCCCTGAGCCTGGGCTGACCAAGAGCCACGAGCTCAGATGGAGCAGGTTCTGTGTCCAAATGTGGAGCCCAGCCAAGCTCCTGCACGCCTGAGGCTTTCCAGATGGGCAAGCACAGTCACAGTGCCGTGGTCTTGAGCAGCTGCAGGAGATCCGAGTGGCTTCCCCTCAGGATCCAGAGCCGCCCTCCCCAGCCTTCCTGATGCAGGGAAGAGAAGGCAAGGAGCTTCTGGGAACTCGCCTGACCCGGGTGCTCTGCTCGGACATCCAGGAAAATGCAACGTGGAACTGCTGGTTCCCGGGCACCCTAGCATCCACAGAGGACCCCGTAGAACTGGATGCCACCTGCCGACAGAACACGCTCTCATCCAGCAAACACCGAGCCCCACTGACGGGAAAGAATGAGTCAAAAGAAAGAAAGAAAGAAAGAAACACAAAACCACTGAGGGAATTCCTGGGAAGCAGAGCCAGACCAAGCCTGTCTATGGGGGTCCCCGGAAGGTCACCACCTCTCTGGTGATGACGAGGAGTGAGGATAAGCGCGACCCCATTGCCCACCTCAACCTGCATCTGGGTCTAGAAATCAAGGAGGAGGAACATGGTGTGGAGGGAGGCGCTGCTGCTGTTGAAGAGTTTTCAGTTTGGTGGGGATGAAATTGCATTCTGAGAACGAGGCCATGGACGGATTCCGCGTTCATTTTATGGAGAAATAAGCCAGTTAAAATCACTGTGATAGGTGTCATTTGTTAAGCACTTTAGAGGTACTAGATACTGGGTTAATCTCTTTACACACATCACCCTCTTCCAGCTTGCGATGACTCAATAAAGTAGGTGGTTTTATTGTCCCCATTTCACAGAGAAGAAAACGGAGACTCACAGATGTACAGGAACCTGTTTGAGCAACTCGGCCACTCTGATGCCCAAATCTCAGGAGCTCCGGGCCAGGCCACCTAGCTTGGGACTGCAGGCTTCCAGTCATCCCCAGTGCTCAGGGGACCCTCCACCCTGAGCTGAGCCTGGCCAGATGTGGGATTCCCGAAGATGTAAACAGCCTCTTCCTGGTGGTCACGCAGTCGGCCGCAGCCCTGGTTGAGTCACACGGGCAGAGCTGGAACATCACAGTCTCTTCCTCTTTTTGGAAGGAGGAGGGAGGCTGTGGCAGTGTCTCAGGGCCTGCTCTGCTCCTTCCCAAGTGTGAGCACAGAGAGCCCACACTGGCCCCCAGGACCTGCCCCCACCGTGCTCCCCGAGGACACCGAAGGTCCACCACCGGGACCAGTCCCCAGAGTCTTTGGTTGTAATTCGTCTTTATCACCTTAAGGGGCCTCAGTGGGGCTACTGCAATCCGTGGGTACTCATGGCCAATGTGCGGCCCCCATCTCCACTTCTGTGATGCAGCTCTTCTGGGAGCACAAGCTCCCTGAGCTTCCTCCTCACCCTAGGCTCTTTCTAGAAGCCCTGGCAGAGCCCTGGTATTAAATGTACACCTGTAAGAGAAAGACCAGAAGCCCGAGCTCTGTCTTAAACCTTTGCTCAGCTTTACAGCCCAGCCAAACTCAGACTGTTAATGAAGAAATCAGGTCAAAATTTTAATTGCATAAACTTACTGCCTTACGGGTCACATTGCTGGCAGTTTCTTTGGGAAAGGATTGAAATCATGCCTGTCCTTGGGCAGGACACGCAGAGCCTGTTCTCAAAGATGGCCGGAATGTTAGAGCGGAAAGGACAGTTCTTATCTACTGTCTTAGTCTGTTCCTGCTGCTATAACAAAATATCTGAGCCTGGGTAATTTATAAAGAACCAGAAGCTATTTCCTAGTGTTCTGGAGATGGGGAAGTCCAAGGTGGCGGCACTGGTGTCTGGTGAGGGCCTTCTTGCTAGGTGCTCAGTTACACGCTCCCTTCAACCTCCAGTCCTTCTGTGAGGGCACTGATCCCAGTCATGAGGGTGGGGCCTCCCAAAGCCACACCTTTTAATATTGTTGC
This sequence comes from Homo sapiens, assembly GCF_000001405.40. Classification (NCBI taxonomy): domain Eukaryota; kingdom Metazoa; phylum Chordata; class Mammalia; order Primates; family Hominidae; genus Homo; species Homo sapiens. Next base: position 170,047,897 of record NC_000006.12, on the reverse strand, counting down.
TTTGGAGATTAAGTTTCAACCTGAATTTCAGAAGGGCCGTCATCATTCAAATCACAGCAGCTACCAAACTGGCAAAGCTTTTCCTTTAGGAAAAATATTCCCATGGTTAGCAAAGACGTGGGCGGGCCTCTCCATCTGCTTCGGCTGGGATTGGAGCCCCCCTCTCTAGGATGTAATTTGTCAACACATTTTCCAAATTCTTAAAGTGTGCAAGTTTTTGCCCAGTGGAGTCACCGTAGAGTGAGGAGTTGGGGAGGGTGTAAGGAAATAATGAGGTACACAAAAATTTGGCTATGAGCTGTTCATTAAGAGGGAAAAATTGAAACAACAAAGGGAAAGATCTAAATAAATTATGGCACATTGATATGATAATATGGGGTCGTGAAAATGCTGAGTCCCCTGCATCAGGCTGGTGTGGTTCAGGAGCCAGCCCTCCATCAACTCTGTTGGCCTTAGGAGAGCTGGTAACCCCTCTGTGCCGCAGGCCCTCATTGGCCAAGTGGGGACAGAAATCACACCACCTCACAGGACAGTCAGTAAATACCCAGCCCTCACCCCATGCCCCACATGCACTGTGTGCTATTATTATCATGAACTGTCAATAAAAAGCAGCCCCTGAGGCTCGCATGTACTTCTGTGTTATAAAGACCACACACTCACCTACATTAGGAGATTGTACCCACAGGATCATACAGGCAGCTATAGGTCTACAGGTCCTATAGATCCCATAGGGCGAGGTCTGGAGCGGCACTCACAATCACTTCTGTGTGGAGGGCTTGGGGAGGTTTCTGAGGCTCCTCATGACACATATGTTTTTGTTTTTCTGCAATGGGCATCTTTTGCAATCAAAAACCAACATCAGCTCTTGTGAGAAACGTGAAACATACATCTAGATTCAGCCTCGTGGCTTCATGCCCATATTCAACACCCGCTTCAGGAAATCCCTCCTCAAAAAATCCAGAATTTCGTCGGCGGTGGTCTGCGGTGCTTCCTCTTACTCACGCAGCAATCGGCGTCCTGTCTCGTGTTGGCCACTATTTTCAGATTAAAGTTTTTTCCCTGAGCCACTTTAATAATTCGAAGCAAACTGAAAATACGGTGGTTTCTTCCTTCTTTTTCTTTTGGTTTATTTTCTTTCTGTTTTTCTTCCTCCCTCCCTCCTTCCCTTCCCTACTTCCAACTACGCACAGTTTTTCTATAATCACAAAATACTAACTGCGAGAAGGAATAGAGAAAGCATTTCTTTTCTCTGTGACCTGCGAACACAGGGCAGTGATGGATTGTGCACTGCCACGTTCCGAGGTGGAGACCAGCAGCCCTGCATTGACAGTAGTGACTTTCCTCATGCAACGAAGCCATGCAGAGACAGCTACAATGTGCTTATCATTTGGGGTGGCAGCTGGCTTCCGACTCTCACAGGTCTCCTCACCTGCAGCCGTGCGCACACCCCACAAAGAGCTGGCATCACAAAGTTAACTCAGAGCCCAGAGACGGGAGATGTCCAGGCCCAGTGGAAGGCTCCGGGGAAGGAGTGTTGTCTCCCTGTCAGAGAAGCACTTAGACAAGCACTTGGCTTAAAGTCAGAGTGGAGAACATTCTTCTTCATGCAAAGTTAAACGGGAGTGAAGCCCAGGGCAGTTCTCATTCGCTCAGATCTGCCAAGAAGCCGAAGTGCATGTAGAGCCTGTCCTGCCTCACAGAAGGCCCCGCACACCCACCACAGGCGACCACGCACCCCGTGCCGCCCACACCACCCACCACAGGCGACCACGCACCCCGTGCCGCCCACACCACCCACCGCAGGAGACCACGCACCCCGTGCCGCCCACACCACCCACCGCAGGAGACCACGCACCCCGTGCCGCCCACACCATCCACCGCAGGAGACCACGCACCCCGTGCCGCCCACACCATCCACTGCAGGTGACCATGCACCCTGTGCTGCCCACACATGCCCTAGGTAGACCTGTTGCCTGTGGCTGTAGAGGAGATGGAAGCCATGCATTCCTGAGACACACGTGGGCTTCCAGGGTTGCCAGGTGGAAATTAAAGCCGCATCACATGACCCTCATGTGGATGGGGACGTCTGAACCATCCACAGGGCTCAGGAACAGAAACCTGGTCAGGTGACCAAGAGCAGGCGGAGGCCACACTGAAAATGTTGAGTTTGGGTCTTGCACCAGCAGGCCCTCAGGGTCGTGGATGGGTATCACTCTTGATGCTCATGAATGAGTGTGTCCTTGCCAAAGTCCCGGCCATAACTGGGAGTCCAGTTCTGTGGGAAGTGCTGCCGACCTGTGTGTTAGGCAGAGTTTAAGAAACTGAACTCTGGGTGCCAGGCCAGAAAAGCCAAGAGACGTTGATCTAGGATTGCCTTCTTCTTTTGCTGTCCTGGGATTAAGGCACCAGAGAGCAGACCCTGGTCACAAAGCATCACAAAGACCAAGGTAACAACTCAGCCAAACTCCACCTGCCTCTGCCACTTGATGCCACCGGAGATTCTGTGTCACTTCGAGTTCCTGACTTTGCAGTGCTGGGAGTCTGGAGTTGGCCAGACAGCACCACACACATTTCTTCATTTTGCTGGCTTGCCAGCCGTGCTCAGGGTGCTTTCCCACTAGACCAGCAGGGATGACAAAGGTCCCACTGAGACAGAGAAGCCCACAGGTCCAAAGTCCTCAGAAGCAGCCGCAGTACCAGGCAGACCTGAAAGAAACGCTTCGAGGACCAGGAAGAAGTGATGGAGGAGAGAGGGAATGTGGGCTCTGTGGAACGGGGGTCTCCCATGTGTAGGTTCCCTGGAGCACAGGTCCTGGAACTTGGGGCTCCGTGGACACAGCTTCATGGATGCAGGTGCTGTGAACACAGGCTCTGTGGAACATAGGCCTCCCATGTGCAGGCTCCCTGGAGCACAGGTCCCTGAAACATGGGGCTCCGTGGACACAGCTTCGTGGATGCAGGTGCCATGAACACAGGCTCTGTGGAATGTGGGCCTCCCATTTGCTGGCTCCCTGAAGCCCAGGTCCCTGAAACGTGAGGATCCGTGGACACAGCTTCATGGATGCAGGTGCCGTGAGCACAGGCTCTGTGGAACGTGGGTCTCCAATTTGCCGGCTCCCTGGAGCATAGGTCCCTGAAACATGGGGATCCGTGGACACAGCTTCATGGATGCAGGTACTGTGAGCACAGGCTCTGTGGAATGTGAACCAGCCCTCTCACTTAGCCACAGTGGCCACCTTTCAGCTGGGGACATGCATCTGGCAGTAGGCTCTGGCATCCAAGTTTGGCTGTGTTTAGTTAGGACCACAGATATTTTCTCTTACCTGGTGTGAGCCAGGGCCACAGCTCAAGGGCTCCTGCACAAAGGGCTGGTTAGTGGTGTGCAGATCCGAGCTCAGGGACCCTCCTTTCCCAGTACAGTCTGGGTGTGCACCTCCAGGCGGCTTCCTTATCCTGAAATGAAGGCAGTGCTGCCAATTCATCATCACTGTGGCTATTTTGAGCTACTTGTTTTCTTGCAAAATAATGGTCAGTGTTTTCTGAGCCTGTTACATGCCAGGCATAGTGATAACAACTTTACACCTGATGTGTCACAGCCCCTGGTGGGCACATTCACTTGTACCTCCTTTGGGTAACTGGCCAGTGGAGATCCAGGCTCTCTCACAGGTCATAGGTCTGGGCCACATCAATGCTGTCTCCCCATCTATTCTTACCTGTGTGAAAGACGGCCCACCTGCCTCAAAACTGACTGTTCAGCCACTGACGCAGGCAGTGCTGTTAGGGCCACACAGTGTTCAAACTTAGACACTGCCATTTGGGATGAGGCACTGTGGAGACCGCCTCCTGTGTGGCGTTGCAGGGAGAAGGGAGCAGCCCCGTGTGGAGGGTCCTTCACACCCCAGCTCTGCCCTCATTGTAAATACTTCTCTGCAGGGACAAGTCTGTCCTGCACCGAGGGACACAAAAGCCTCTTCCACCTCAGCCTTTAGTCTAGTGGATCCGTACCAGACAGGTATGAGGTTATGCAGGGCTGCAGCAATTCTTCAGTGGCTGGGCTGTTGAGACTCTGAAGATGTGATCTGGGGCGAGGGGGACCGTGCCTGAATGTAAACGCCGGAGAAAACGGTGGCCTTTGATTCCTGACATGTGGATGCTGTGGCTGCAGTCCCTGATAGCGCCTGTCCTCACTTGAGGACAGCCAGTATCTCAGCCAGTGGGACCCTGTGTTCCAACTAGACTGCTGGCATTTTTCTGGATCTTGTTACTCTGGGACACCCGTTTAAAGAGGTGGCTGATATGACAAATGTGTTAATAACGGACGTCAGATTGTTCTGCCATCCCTGCACCAAGGACACACAAACAGCCATCTCCCTCTACAGGGAGCATTCGGCTAGACCACAAGTCTCTGAGGCCGGCTCAGAGTGGGGGTCGTTCGTTTCTGTTCCTCCAGCCAACAGGCTACCTGCCTGTGGCCAACTGAGCCGAACCGAGCCAAATCTTTTATGGATTTTGAGTAAATTTTCTTCTTGGGAAGAAATGGGTATGACTTTGAGTCATACCACGTGACGTCTAAAATTCGCAGATTATGAAAAGGGGATTTTTTTATCACAATATTTTGGCTGATTATAAAATCAAAGTAATGTAGCACTAACAAGAGAAACCGTGGCTGCGATTGCGCTCCTGAAGTTATAAATACAGAGTAAACACATCCTCTGAAAAGGAGTTTGGAAGAAGGAGACTCCAGTGCACAGTTTGCAAACCGGGAAGATGCAGCCTTTGGTGTAAACAAATGTACCTGGAGAACAAAGGGAACGTTCCGGTTTTATAGCAAAAGCTCCCACCCAGGTCTCAGTCAGGTCTGTGTATCCAAATGAAGGATTCAAACTTGCTTAGTTCTGATTGGTCAAGGCAGCTGAGTTCTGATTAGTTGATAACAGTCGGGTCTTGATTTGGCCAAAGCCAGTGAGCTCCGATTGGTTGGATTGGGTGAGCTCTGATTGGTTGGATCAGGTGAGCTCTGATTGGTTGGTTCAGGTGAGCCCAGAAAGTATCCCAGGTGCAAGGGTGCGGTTTTGGGGGGACTCTGTGTTTGTATGACCTATAGACAGCAAACGGCCGCTGGGCTCTATTTTAGCCACTCAGGATCCACCTTGAAGGACTGGCTCTTTCAGCTTCACCACTGTTCCCAGGAGTGGCCGTCTCTCATCCGGCGATACCTGGTCTTACACTGGGCTGAGAATCGCATTCACGCTTATTCTTATACTTTACGGTCTAAAATGCTTTGCTGTTAGCTCTTAGGTTTAAATCCCAGTCCTACTTATTAAACATGGAATTTGAGTAAGTAATTTACCTTTTTCAAGCCTCAATGTTCTTGTCTGAATAAAAAGGAAATGATAACACATCTGTCACTCGGGGCTGTTGGGAAGACATCCTGAAATCATTACTATGGCCACACTCTTGCATCCATTAGCTTCTAGTGTTTTGTGAACCAATTATATTCAAATCAAATTCTCCAGTGTGACTCAACAATCGCCATGTCCTATTCCATGTTTAGAAACATGACCTTTCCCTTCTGAATCTGCAAGGGAAACGGGGCTGTTTCCAGACAGTAACTGACCTTGAGCAGGGGCTGAAAACTGGCCCAGGGTCACACCTGTCCTGCCACAAGTCTGTAAGTGTATTAATCTGTTCTTGCACTCTTTATAAATGTCTAGAGGCTGGGTAATTTATAAAGAGAAGGGATTTCGTTGGCTCATGGTTCTGCAGGCTGTACAGGAAACATGGCCGGGGAGGTCTCAGGAAACTTACAGGCATGGCAGAAGGCAGAAGGCAACGGGGAAGCAGGCATGTCTCACATGCCCAGAGGAGGAGGATTAGAGATGATGGGGTAGGGGTGGTGGAGGTGCCACACACTTTTATAAACAATTAAATCTCACAAGCCCTCATTCACCATCACGAGAGCAGCACAGGAGAGAAATCCGCCCAATAATCCAATCACCTCCCACCAGACCCCACCTGCAACACTGGGGCTTACCATTTGACGTGAGATGTGGGTGGCTCAGAGCTGGGGTGCTTCGTTATCATCTTGCCAGCCAAGATGCTGCCCACCTATGGCAAACTGGGCTGAACTGAGCCAAATCAAGTAAAGTTTATTAGAATATAGCCCTGCTCTTCTGATCACAAACTGTCCCGGGTGGTTTTCATGTCACAGTGGCAGAGTGGAGTAGTGTGGCCGGCAAGGCCTGAAGTATTCACTTTCTGGGCTGTTACAGGAAAAGTTTGAGGGCTCCTGGCGCAGAGAAATGCTTCTCACACCTTCCTGGGCACAGGATTTACCTTGAGCCTGGCTGGAATGATGGTTTTGATTCCTGTACCTGCAGTGGGACCTGAGATCCTGTGTTACAAAAGGCCCCACATGCACGGGTGAAATTTTTGGTAGGAGAATGACAGACCCCTCTGCACCTGGCCAACGACGCTAGGGACAGCTAGCAGGAAAGTGGACCCCCCTGCCTACTGGGTCTGCACAGACCCCATCAGTAAAACACCTTCGTTCATTTTAAATTTCACTGGTGGCAAGAGAGGAGGCTCTGGGCTGATTAATCAGAGCAAAGAAAGAAACTTGTAGCCTTTGCTATTGTGCACAAAAAGAGTCAAACGCTAGAAAATATTTGAAGAGATTTATTCTGAGCCAGATATGAGTGACCATGGCCTGTGACACAGCCCTCTGGAGGTCCTGAGAACATGTGCCAAGGTGGTCGGGGGACAGCTTGGATTTATACACTTTAGGGAGCCATAAGACACCAATCCAAGACATTTGAGAAGTACATTGGTGAGTGGCTTGGTCCAGAAAGGTGGACAACGCAAAGCTGGCAGGGAGGGGAGGCTTCCAGGTGTCAGGTAAATTTAAAGGTTTTCTGGTTGACAATGGGTTGAGTTTGTCCAAAGACCTGAGATGCAGCAGAAAGGAACGTCTGGGTTAAGATAACGGTGTGGAGAGCAAGGTTTTGTCATGCAGATGAAGCTTTAGCTAGGAGGCTGCAGACAGAATAGGGTGCAAAATGTTGTTGTCAAAGTCTGTGCTGCTGTTAGTGAGGGGTACAATGAGACGTGTGTGACCCCCGCTTCCCGTCATGGCCTGAACCCACCTCTCAGGTTACATTTTAAGAGCCCTGGCTGAGGAGGAAGTCCATTCAGATGACTGGAGGGCCTCAGAGTTTTGTTTTTGGTTTACACTTTTCAAACAGAGATGTCTTTCTTCCTTTTGCCTTTCTTTTCTGAACAGCTGTGACTTCTGCTTGGACGTGGATCTGTGGCAGCCACACGCCTATGGTGGGACCAGTTCTTTCTTAGAAGCACAGTGTGTGACTGTCTTCTCCTGGGATCGAGGACAACTCCACGGCCTCTTCCCTTAAACAGGGATCTGATCCTCCCAGTAAACTTTCCTTCCTGTCGCGTGCTTGGGTACTCTATAAAAATGGAAGTTTAATCAATATTTTAACTTACATATTTATTTATAGACGCCTGGTTTCTCAAGGACTTCAACCTCTAAGTTCACAGTGGTGTTCCTGAGCACCCGGGCAGTCACTCCTGGCAGATGGTCCGAAGCTCAAGGCCAGGCTTGGGACATTCCGGCGGCCACCCTTCCCCACCTGGCTCTAACAGACTCCCGATGAAACCGTCTTTCTGCAGGGGGTGGAAGGGAATGGGGATGTTTTGATTCCTGGGGAGATGATAATTTGATTTTTCAAATCTTGAATATGGACATATGTGATAGGCAGTTAGCTAAGAAGATATTTATTATTCAAAAAGGAGAATCACTTTGTAACCTCACAGTGGGCAAGCAGTGGTAGCATTGTTCCCCCAGTGATGGAGGCCCACAGCCAGTGGTGACCACTAGTACTTCGTAAGCCCCAGACACAGTGCCCCAGCAAGGACATGGTGGACCAGCAAGAACACATAGGAACAGCAAGGACACGGTGGGCCAGCACGGACTCAGAGGGACAGCAGGGACACAGAGGGACAGCAGGGACACGGTGGGACAGCAGGGACACGGTGCACCAGCAGGGACATGGTGGGACAGCAGGGACACGGTGGGACAGCAGGGACACGGAGGGACAGCGGGGACACAGTGGGACAGCAGGGACATGGTGGGACAGCAGGGACACGGTGGGACAGCAGGGACACGGTGGGACAGCAGGGACACGGAGGGACAGCAGGGACACAGTGGGACAGCAGGGACATGGTGGGACAGCAGGGACACGGTGGGCCAGCGGGGACACAGCCAGCGGGGACACGGAGGGACAGCGGGGACACAGTGGGACAGCAGGGACATGGAGGGACAGCAGGGACACGGTGGGCCAGCAGGGACATGGTGGGACAGCAGGGACATGGAGGGACAGCAGGGACATCGCGCCCAGCAGGGACTCGGCATCACCTCTGTGGCATTCTTGCCGATAGTGCCTCACTTCAGTCCAATTGGACAGACCAGATAGTTGGCAAAATAACTGATCAAGTCTTCCAACGTGTCAAGGTTCGAAAGACAAGGGAGCAGCCACGGCCACAGGCAACTGGACGCAGGGGACCACCCTGATGGACCCTGGAGCAGAAGCCGGGCCCATGTGGAAACACCATGAGGTTTATCTGAAGTCTGCGTTTCATGAATAGCACTGTGTGAGTGTCCTGGTTCTGGCAGTCGTGCTGGGGCTAAGGGGCTAACTCAGGGAAGTTGGATATGGTGTGTCAGGAAGAGCTGTTATTTTTGTGACTCTACTGTAAGACTAAAATTAGTTAAAAGTACAAAGGTAAACAGAAAATAAAGAATGTGTCTGACATCGTTCAGAAGAGTTTGCACGTCAGCTAGAAACGGAATGACTTCTTCCCAGAGCCTGGCTGGGGTGGTGACTGGAGGTGGGCTCCCTCATACCTTTCCGAGGGTCGGCCTCCTGATTCATGCACACCAGATGCACAGGCCGTGAGCCAGAGTGTTTACTTCCTGGTTCCACTTGGTGTGCACGTGGGAATAACCCCCAGGGGTTTGTAGACGTCCAGTGAACTGAGCCCCCCTCAGACCCGCTGAGTCCATCCAGATCCTCTGGGATGGGAAGAAAGCATTTGGGTTTTTGTGAAAAAGAACATTGGCTTGTGGTATCATGTTTTATAAAAGACTTCTTCACTCTTTCAGAACATTTGCTACAGGATAACTTGCCAACTTATTTTCAGGAGTGTAACGTCTATGTAAAATTTTCCCAGGTTGGAGGCCACGAGGACCAGCCCTCTGCCACGCACAGATCTGAGAGCTCGCACTGTCCACAGTCAGAGGTGAGCTTGGGCCGGGCTTTCCTGGTCATCAGGGTGGTGTCCGTGCACATCCCCCAGCACAGCTGGGAAGCAGGACCCAAGTGCTCATCATGAATCTGACCTTCGCCCCCACTGCAGCCGTCATCCCAGGGAACACAGCAGTTACTGTAGCACTCATCCTCCTAACAGGACCTCCCCCCAGCAGCCCTGAGGGCAGGGATCCTCCTTGTTTCTGTCTCACACAGAGAAGGTGCTTAACACTGACCTTTATCTTTCAGCAAGTTTCTAAGCAGAGACATGCAGAGCTTTCTGCTTTCACATTTGAACTAGTGGGGTGGAGCCAAACCCCTGGTCTCTAGAAGGACATGCAGGTGTGCCAGGTGCCCAGGACAGCAGAATGTCCATGTTGTCCTCAGGGCCCTCGGTGGGAAGCACCCATGGCCAGCGCTGAGGGCACCGTGGTTGTCCCCATCCCTCACTGGCGTCTGGTTCACACGAGGATAACTCGAGCACCCATACCCCCACACCCTCCCCTGTGACAGTGTGGGAGGGTCCAGAAGTGTCCGGAAGCTGACTCTTGGTGGACATTCGGAGCACAGAGCATCTCGCCAGCTGTTTTGTGCTACCACGAAGGTGCCAAATGCCACGTCATGCTTTCAGAATGGAGTGTTTTAATTGAGATATTTAGCTAAGATAAACAAGACTTTTTGTCATGTCTCATTTGCTGGAAAATTAGCAGATTGAAAAGGCTTGGGGGATAGGCACATGAGAAGCATTGCAAAACTGAAACTGAGCCTTAGTAAGAGCTGAGACGTGGGTGTGATTGGAGCGGCCTCTGAGAGCGTGTCTGGGTGGGGGCTGCTGGTCCTGGGCCCTGGGAAGCAGGTCCAGGTTGGGGCTGCTGGTTCTGGGCCCTGGGAGGTGTGTCTGGGCAGAGGCTGCAGGTCCTGGGCCAGGTCAGGAGCTGGGATGTCCTGCTGGGACCCTCAGGCTCTGGCAGGTAGTCATGGTGAAAATGGCTTGACCCCGAACACCTGAAAGGTGATTCACTGCTGCTCTGGCAGAGGGGAGGGATAATCCTCTACTCTTAGCAGAGGATCCTGTGGGGCTGGGTCTCTTGGTGGAGATGCCTGGGAGATTTTGAGTGTCCCAGAGCACATGGGGCCGACTGAGAAAATTTCCAAGTGTTCCCTCACCTCACACTCAAAATGCTTGCATTTCAACATCAGAGTTAAACTCTAACAAAAATTAAACAGGCACACGTTTCCCCAGGGTGTTTTGTGAACCTTCAGAAGTTCTGGAAGGGACTGATGTTTTTGCCTGTGTGTTAGAGGAGCAAGGTGTGTGATATGGTCTGGATTTGTGTCCTGCCCAAATCTCGTGTTGAATTGTCATCCCCAGTGTGGGAGGAGGGCCTGGCGGGAGGGGACTGGATCACGGGGGCAGATTTCCCCCTTGCTGTTCTCATGATAGTGAGTTCTCGCTGGTTATTTAAAGGGGTGTGGCACCTCACCCTTTGCTGCCTCTTGTGTCCCGCTCTGGCCACAGGAGTCATGACACCTTCCCCTTTGCCTTCTGCCCAATCGTGAGTTTCCTGAGGCCTCCTCGGAAGCAGAAGCCTGTACAGCCTGTGAAACTATGAGACAATTAAACCTCTTTTCCTTATTTTCCTTATAAGTCACCCTTATAAGGCAGTTCTTTATAACAATGGGAGAATGCAATGATACAGAAAATTGGTACCAGGAGCGGGGCATTGCTATAAAGATCCCTGGAATGTGGAAGCTGCTTTGGAGCTGGGTAAAGGGCCGAGGTTGGAAGAGTGTGGAGGGCTCAGAAGAAGACAGGAAGATGAGGGAAAGTTTGGAACTTCCTAGAGACATGTTAAATTATTGTGATCAGAATGCTGATAGTCATATGGAAAATGAAGTCCAGGCTGAGGAGATCTCAGATGGAGATGAGGAACTTGTTGGGAACTGGAGTAAAGGTCACTCTTGCTATGCTTTAGCAAAGAGGCTGGAGGCATTGTGTGCCTGCTCTAGGGATCTGTGGAACTTTAAACTTGAGAGAGATGATTTAGGGTGTCTGGCAGATGAAATTTCTAAACAGCAAAGTGTTCAAGATTTGGCCTGGCTGCTTCTAAAAGCCTATGCTCATTTGCATAAACAAAGAAACGATCTGAAATTGGAACTTAAATTTAAAGGGAAAGCAAAGCATAAAATTTTGGAAAATTTGCAGCCCTGCCATGTGGTAGAAAAGAAAAACCCATTTTCTGGGAAGGAATTCAAGCTGGCTTGCAGAAATTTGCATAAGTAAACAAGAGCCAAATGTTGATAGCCAAGACAATGGAGAATATGCCTCAAAGGCATTTCAGAGAACTTCAGTGCAGCTCCTCTCATCACAGACTCAGAGGCCTAGGAGGGAAGAATGATTTTGCGGGCCAGGCCCAGGACCCCACCACCCTGCGCAGACTTGGGACACTGCTCCTTGTGTCCCAGCTGCTCCAGCTCCAGCCATGGCTAAAAAGGCCCCAGATACATCTCAGGCAGCTGCTCCAGAAGGCGCAAGCTGTAAGCCTTGGCAGCTTCCACGTGGTGTTAAGCCTGTGGGTGTGCAGAGGGCAAGAGTTGAGGCTTGGGAGCTCCTGCCTAGATTTCAGAGGATGTATGGAAGCTCCTGGATGTCCAGGCAGCAGCCTGCTGTAGGGGCAGAGCCCTCGTGGAGAACCTCTCCTAGGGCAGCGTGGAGGGGAAATGTGAAGCAGGGGATGCAAAAACCCTCACTGTGCTTCCTGTGAGGGCCTGGCAGAGCTACAGTCTGAAGTCAGTGCTCTCCCATCAGGAAGGAGTGCTGGTCAGTGTTTGTGCCCAAACCATAAAAGAGAGGGGTGACATCAAGTTGGTGGAAATCAGCATGGTCTCGTTTGAAGGGGCTGTATACTGTGTAGCCCTCAGGGAAGAAAGCCTAATGGTGCTTAGTGAGGGAGGGGGATCACGAAGCAAGTCTGACCTCCCCTCTGTCATGGCTGGGAACTCAGTTTTCAAGGTTTCTCAGAGGTCCCTTTGGCCAAGGGGAGGTCATTTCAGTTGGTTGCGGGCCTTAGAATTGTATTTTTATTCCTCATAGTCATATATTATTCCATGTAAATTGACAGTGGCTATGAGGAAGCTAAGGAAAGCCGGCAAGTACTAAAAAGAATTGCAGCAGTTCTGCAAATAAATCTCAGGATGTCTCTAAGTTGCATCCATTTAACAAGATGCCTACATAACATGTCAATCACTTAGCAAGATGCCTGCACAACATGTCAATCATTTAATAAGATGCCTACATAACACGTCAGTCATTTAGCAAGATGCCTCCATAACATGTCAAGATGTCCCTCACATCCAATGGACAAAAGGGGAAATAGAATGGTAGTCATAGCCATTTTGCTTTTTGCTGACTGTGAATATGAGCTGTCACACCATCAATGTGCTGTTTGGAAAGAGTTTCAGACATGTCTCAAAGTCCCTTGCACCGTTTGGGAACAAAATATGATCTCTAGAGAAGCAGATATTTAAACATCTGAATAAAAATATTCTAAACTTTGGATCATAAAAGTCATTTGGAGACATAGTACATGCAAGTAATTTGATTTTCTAACATACACTCAGTCCTTAAATAAAATAGAAAATAGTCGTTTGCTTCAAAAGTATTGATGAGCCATGGGTTTTTCTTACATTTACTTTGAAAGTGGAGTAAAGTGCATATAACACTTGCCAAATGAGGAAATTATAGGAATATTTTTAAAGATCATATGTAAATGGACCTTGTAATACATACTTCAACCATAGATAACTTTAAATACATTATTTATTACTTAAGATGTGTTTGTTTTCACATACTAATAAAAATCAATGAACATTCATTATCCATCCCAAGAGGTTATGGCCCTGAAGAGAGCCCGGGGTGAAAAACCCAGGCAGGCGGGTTAGGGCCTGGCTTGGGACGTTCTCAGTGGCAGACGCCATGGCGAGGTGGCGTGTCACATCTCCAGTGTGGTGATCTGTGCCAGCAGCCAGGGCTCTTGACTGGACTTCTTTGTTTAAAGCTGTATCCCTGCCCAACAGGCTGAGAAACTTTGCAGCCTGGGCACAAGCCTCTGCCTGCTCCCCGACCTCACCCTCCCTACATGCTGCAGATCTCGTGGACTGAATGGCGCCCCCCAGTCCTGCGCTGAAGTCCCAGCTCCCAGTGAGACTGTATTTGGACTCAGGGCCTTCGGGTGCAACAAGAGACCTGTGTCCAGACGTCCCTTCCCTCCCCTTCTCTCCAGGAGCCCTCGGGCAGGGTTGACTACACATTTGGGAACTAGAGGGATAGGTTCTTTCCCTCAGAAGCATGCGAACTGTTTCTTCCCCAATTTCAGTTTTGATTCTTGGAGGTGATTTGGGTGTGGAGGACTCTGAGACCACAGGTGCACTAGGTAGACTAGAGGAGGAGGGGCCAGTGGGGCCCCCCAGGAGGGTCAAGCATCTGCTTGGCAAAGACCCCTGGATGGAGCAGCCAGACCCAACTTCCAGGCCTCCTCTGCTGTAGATTTGGAAAGAGTGTGTCTGTTGCGGGCTGGGTCTGGGAAAGAGTGTGTCTGATGCAGGCTGGGCCTGAAGGACAGGTCACTTTGAGTGCAAATGGCTTGAGCAAAGGGCAGGGCAGAAAAGCAGGGCCAGGTGGCAGCTGGGAGCACTTGGTTTGTCTGGGACTCAAGAGAGAAGGGTGCCATGGAGGTGGGCTCGACACTCACCCGGGTGCTGATGGGCTCCACACCCAGGAGGAAAGAACTTCCCTGTGCTGGATACTTGAGTAGGGTATGAAAGCTCTGTGCTGCAGGAAGGATCGTGGGTGAGGGTGTGCCAGGCAGACTGGCCAAAATGGATGGGGATGAGGGGTTCCCTTGAGAGTTAGGGGTAGAAATTGGGAAAAGGGGTGATTTTAGGAGACAGTTCAGAGAGAGCAATGACCTGACTTCACAGTGGTTTGCATGGGAGCATGAGAGTGAGAAGAAGCCCAAAGTTTGGTTCTGGCTGCCTGGTGGATGGTGGTGCCAGCACCGAATCAAGGTGCCCAGGGGAAGAAGTGGGATTTGGAGGAATTCAGATCAAGTGTTGAAATGTGAGTTTTAAGTGCTGATGGAACATCTGGTGGAGATATTCACAAGAAGTTGGGAAGATACAGTTACAGAGGAAGATGGTACTGGTGGCAAACGCTACGGAAGTCAACTGCTGGTGTTCCCCAGTCTGACTTGGGCATGTCTCCCTCTGCCCCGGAGGAACCCTCCCAGCAAGCTGGGTGACCTGGGGTCTGACTCCTGCAGAGGAATTGCATGTCTGGTGGACACTGCCTCTGGTGATCTGAAAGATGCCATCTGTGTTTGAGCTTGGTGCAGCCTCAGTAGCTTAAACATTTGTCCCTGAGCACCTGTGGGTTTGTGGTGTAGGTAATGCCTCCGTGCTGTGTGTTTGTAGGACATGATGACTGGCCCAATCTCTTGTACTGTGCAGAGCCACATATCTGAAGTGTGGTGCCCAGGTCGGCCATGGTAGCTCCTGCTGAATGCATGCAGCAGAGACACCCTGAACACTCACTATCTCTTTCTGTGCATTTAAAACATTTGAGGCCTAAGAGACGGAAACACCCTGTTCTTTATGGGCTGGGGCCATGAATTTGCACGGACCCGTTTACGGAGAGGGAAAGGTTGGGGTCCTGGATACCAGCTGGCGCACGGGTCCAGATGGAGTGGTAGAGATGGAGAACTGGAGGGTGCCAGGGTGACAAGGCCCTGCCTGCAGCCTGCCCTGCAGAGCACTCTGGAAGGAGGAGGCACAGGCAGCAGGAGCAGCATCTCTTTTCTTCTTTCTTCCCCTGGGCACTTGTTCTAAATTGGGAGTGAGAAGAGAGGGAGAAATAGTGTGCAGACAGCCCTGGACGTGTGCTGTACCCTCAGGCGGAGCCACCCTCAGTGCTCCCTGCTCCTGCTCTGTTGCCTCTCTCCAGCTCACCCTGTTCCTAGAAGGGAGTGTCCAAGGGAAGAAGCAAATGTCTCATGTCTCATGAGCCCCTGGATCCCCCGACTGGGCTTTTCTGGCTAGTGCCATGAGCTGCCCCAGGAGATGGGAGCCACACTGGGACTCTGGCCCTAACGTGGGGCCACCTCTGGGCTGCTGCTTCTTGCCTGCCATGCAGTGGGGACAGGCTGAGGTCCAGGGGCCTTTCCGTGCTGATGTCATGGCCACACAGGGTTCCTGCCTGGCTTTCCACCAGCAGGTATGTGACCTGCCCTCCGAGTCTCCTCCCTGAGCCCGGCTTTTTCCTGGGCTCTGTGTCCTTGTTGGACATTTGGGGTGTTGGGGGAGATACAGACCGCAGAAATGGTGGGTCCTCTGGCCCAAACATTCCCTTACAAATTTAATCCTAATTCCAGCCACCTTATTCACTGGAGAAGCAGCAGGCCTCACCCCATGTCCTCTCCCACCTCTCCCAAACATCTGGTCTCCATTGAGCCCTGGGCGCTGTGAGCTGTCCCTGTTGGGTGTAGAGGAGGTGTAGATGTTAGTCCTCTCTGGTTTCGGGCTGCTGGTTATGAGGAGCTCATAGCTCGGGCTGGTTGGATGGGGGCACACAGGCCAGGCGCCCGGTGATGATGCCCAGTTCTCCCTGTGACCGTGGCCTGAGGTCTCCTGTGACGCCAGGCGCCTGTCACCCTAACTTATGACTGACTCATGGCTGCCTTTGCTGAAGGCGGAGAACTCTGGCCTCCCTGGCCCGTCTCTGTCCTGGGAACGCCTCAATGGATATGCCCCATAAATGCACTTTTATACACTTACTATGACTGGCAGTGATGATGTCATTTGTTAATAAGAATAACAATAAAAATGCCTGGAAATGGAGAAAAATGAACCACATAAGAAACCTGTTTCTGATTTCCAGAGCACCAGAGCCCAGCTGGGAGGTGACTGTCCAGATCTGGAGCATTCTGAGGACTTCAGAGGGCTGCCTGTGCATTGATGAAGAGCATAAGAAAGAAGACAATCCTTGCTGTTCTGGGGAGACCTCAGGGATGTTCCCAGGCCACATTTCCAGACACAAGACCACAGAACCCCAGCCAGGAGCGGCCACCAGCTTTTGCCGGGGGCTTCAAAAGCCCACGTCTGCATCCCGGCTGCGTCCCCGCAAGAACTGCGTGCTGCAGGCACCATCTGCGCCGAGCTGGGACTGAGCCGGCCTGGCTCCCCTCCCTTTCAGCAGGGCAGCCCCACAAAGGAGAGGGCCTGCCAGCCCCAGGTTTGTGTAAATATTTACTGGGCTGTTCAGGCTGCTGTGATTCGAGGCTGTTGCCACACCACAAAACAGACCAGAAAATGAGCTGGCACGTCCCCGAAAATGAGGCTGCTGAGGCACTGGGGCTGTAGGAGAAGGGCTTGCCATGGTCCCTGCCCTCAGGCTGCAGGGGGAGGGAGGGCTGGGCTCTGGGTTTGCTCAGGCAGCACAGCCTGGGGCTGCCCTGGGGAGGATGGCTCAGGCCTCCAGGAGAGGCCCAGGAGTGATGCAGTGGGGAGAAGGAGCAGCTCCAGGACAACAGGGCTGCCGCCCCCACATCCCTCCACCCCAGTCACCCCAGGCATCAGCACAGCAGCTCATTTTATCAGCACCTCTCACCTCTTTAGGGGACTAGGCACCAGGAAGCCGGTGGGGCACTGGACGCCTGATGTTCCTTGTCCAAGAAGCTCACTTCCTGTGGCTGCTGCGTCTTCTCTCAGGGAGGAGGCGTGAGGGCATTTTGCTTTAGGATATCGTATGTGGGATCCAGAAATTCTTACCCTTACCCTCTCACTACCACCAGAGACACAGTGGTGACAGTGGTGGTGCGGGGGTGTGCACAGGTGTCCACACATGTGAATACACATGCAAACACGTCTTCACATGTGAACATGTGCAGACACATGGATGTGTGCATTGCACTTGTGTGCACGTGTATGACTGTACCGTGTGTGTGGGCATATGTACTGTGTGGACATGTGTAGACACTTGTGTGTGCACATGAGTCCTTGTGTGTATTGGACAGTCAAGCGTGTTGCATTTTGAGAGTGGGGTCCTCGCTCACACCTTGCTGCATGATGGCCTGTGCCCACGTGGAAGCAGAGACCAGAGCAGCTTCCACAGTGAGGAGCTCAGAATGCTGTTCCTGAGAGGACAGGCATGGCACTCGCACCTTGACACGTACGTCTCCCTGTGATTTCAGGCAGTGCAGAGCTGGGAGCTGCAGACTCACTGGAGGCTCTGGGAAGCTCCAGGAAGGGATGTGGAAGCCAGGTGTTGAAGCGTTTTTCAAGCAAGTGACAGGGGCATGGGCCAGCTTGGTGGCCACAGGACCACAGGACTGCAGGACCTCGGGTGCAGGTCTTAAAGTGCCTTTCAAGCAGGTTACAGGGCATGGACAAGCTTGGCAGCCACAGGACTGCAGGACCTCGGGTGCAGGCGTGGACCAGCTTGGTGGCCACAGGGCTGCAGGACCTCAGGTGCAGGCGTGGACCAGCTTGGTGGCTGCATGACCTCGGGTGCAGGTGTGGACCAGCTTGGTGGCTGCAGGACTGCAGGACCTCAGGTGCAGGTGTGGACCAGCTTGGTGGCTGCAGGACCTTGGGTGCAGGCGTGGATCAGCTTGGCGGCTGCAGGACCTCGGGTGCAGGCGTGGACCAGCTTGGCGGCTGCAGGACCTCGGGTGCAGGCGTGGACTAGCTTGGTGGCTGCAGGGCTGCAGGACTGCAGGACCTCGGGTGCAAGTGTGGACCAGCTTGGCGGCTGCAGGACCTCAGGTGCAGGTGTGGACCAGCTTGGTGGCTGCAGGACCTCGGTTGCAGGTGTGGACCAGCTTGGCGGCTGCAGGACTGCAGGACCTCAGGTGCAGGTGGGCATTTCATTATCATCGCTGCTGTTTGCGAGATGATGCTTGGGGTGGTTCAAGCAGCTGCCGGGACATCATGAAGGAGGGATTCCACCTGTGCCAACCCCACCCGGCTGTGTCAGGATCACCTGGGGCTTTTAACAGTGCCCGGACTCCAGCCCAGACCAATGAGGCCTAAATTTCTGGTGATGCCCAGGTGTGAGCATTTAAAAATATATATATCTACAAGAGATTCCATTGTACGACTAAGATTGAAGGTCATTGTGGAATTTCCGTCAGGAAAATGGCCCTGAGTTTTACAGAGGTCACTTTGGGGTTGGTGCAGGGCATGGACCAGGCGGGAAGGGCTGTGGCAGAGGTGGGGCCGTCTGTCGGGCGGCACTGAACGCCCAGGCGGCTGCCTTCTCTTCTACATCCAGCCTCCTGCTGCAAGGACACAGAGGCCCAGGACCTCCTCCCAGCACCTGAGCACCACCCTGCTTTTGCCCATGGACACGGAAGTCTCCAGCTCCCAGGCCCCCTTTGACATCGTCAGGTGTGCCAGGCCTTGATTCATCTAGCCTAAAACACAGCGTTTAGCAACAGTTCACTTGAAATATAAACAAATTCCCAGTTAAAGGAGCTTCTGCCGATCAGAGGGTCTGAGGGATCCTGGGTTTCAGGTTGAAAGTTCTGGCTGGGCCTCTGCTCTGCCCTTCTCTGGCGGACAAACCCCACCCATTGCCTGGCTCCGCTGCTGGGCTTGCTCCAAAGTCCCCTTGGAGTCAAGGCCACTTCGAGGCTCCACACCTGTGCTCGGCTCTGCTGGCTGGGAGCAGCCTCTCTGGTGTCCTCTCTGTCTTGAAGTCACCTCCCACCTTCTCCGAGGTGGCCTGAGAGCAACCAGGCGGCTTCTTCCTGGTCCTGTCCCCACAGACAGCCACGCGCTCTGGGAAAGCAATGCACGGCCCAGGATGCCGTGCCCATGTGTACGCAGAACCCGGCCCTGGAGTGGCACAAGCTGGCTCGCTCTGTCCCCACCTCTCTCTGTCTCCATTTCTCCCTGTATCTCTCCATTCCTGTCTCTCTGTTTCATCTCTCCCTGTCTATCTCTCTCCATCTCCACCTCTCTGTATCTCTCCATCTCTGTCTGTCTTCATCTCTGTTTCTCTCCATCTCTGTTTCTGTCCGTCTCTGTATCTCTTCATCTATCTCTCTCTCTCCATCTCTGTCTCACTCTGTCTCTCTTCATCTCTGTCTCTGTATCTCTTCATCTCTGTCTATCCCCATCTCTATCTCTCTCCATCCCTGTCTTTGTCTCTCTCTGTCTCTCTCCATCTCTGTCTCTCTCCATCTCTCTCTGTATCTCTTCATCTCTGTCTCTCTCCATCTCTGTCTCTCTCCATCTCTATCTCTCTTCATGTCTCTCTGTCCGCCTCATCTCTGTCTCTCTCCATCTCTCTCTGTCTCACTCCATCTGTCTCTCTTCATCTCTGTCTCTGTCTGTCTCTGCCTCTCTCCATCTTTGTCTCTCTTCATCTCTGTCTCTCTCCGTCTCTCTCTGTCTGTCTCCATGTCTGTCTCTCTCTCCATCTCTCTCTGTCTCTGTCTCTCTCCATCTCTGTCTCTGTCCATCTCTGTATCTCTTCATCTCTGTCTCTCTCCATCTCTGTCTCTCCATCTCTGTGTCTCTGTCCCCATCTGTGTCTCTGTCCATCTCTGTCTCTCTGTCTCTGTCTGTATCTCTCTGTCTCCATCTCCATCTCCGTCTCCCCACCTCCCGCTCGCCAAGGCTGCTCCCCTCACCAACTCCCCTACACCATGGCTTCTCCCTGTCTCTGACTCAACAGGGACTGAGTGCAGCAAGGGCCCTGGGGGAGGTCTGGGCTTTCTACTGCCTTCTGGTTACAGCTTCTCCTCCCCCGTATCTGTCCTTCCTCCTGGCCTAATAAGTCCACATTTTATTTATGTGTGAGTACATGTGACAACCAATAACTAATGTCCCAATTGAAAAGGAAATATAACACAAACTTACCTTAGTTTGTATAATATCAACTTTCTGTCTCAATCCAGGTCTTGTCCAAAAAGTATTGATTGAGGCAAACCCCTGGTACAAAATAGAAATTTAGTGAAATTCAGCCCATTTCACTTATGTAACTCCATCAAGGGCCTATAATAATGGCACTTATGGCTGAATAATGAACAGTAATGTGCTTGGAATGTAAGCAGAATGTAAGCTACCCACTTGTACAATCTTTCCTAGGAAAGGCAACATCGAATCTTAAATTAAGTTCAAGTGCTAACAGACATGAGAGTTCTTGGTTAAACTGTGAAATGTACTTTGATGTAAGCCATCCTTCCTGCACATGGCCGAGAAGTTCACCTCTACTTTATAGCAAGGCTTCTTCAAAGAAAAGCCTTTCTTCAATGGAAAGACGTCCTTCAATTTACATGCTAGGACAGGCATGGATATTCATGGACGGGCTTCCTAAAGCAGATATATCCACCCATTTCTTAAAATATTTGCCTAGACAGTTAAGACCTTTGTATAGAGGCCTGGCTGGGATTAAGGAGCTCGCCTGAAGTGCCCAGAGTGGTGGAGGGTGTGGCTGGTCCCAGGGTCAGAACACTCATGCCTGTGTGACACACCCCAGCTGTGTGGCCTGGGTGTGTAGCTCACACTCTCTGAGCCTCCGTTCCTCCAAGGACAAAATACAATAGTCTGTCTTGTCTAGCACTGAGTTTGCAGAGGGGCCACCACCAATGCAGGCGAAGAGCCCGGCCTGGAGCCTGGCTGAGAGGGCAGGGATGGAAGACGTGATCGTGGGACAGTCACATGAGAGTGCTTTGGAAAGTTAAGGCACCACAGAATCTCCAGGTGTGCTCTTGCTACCAGGCCATGACCCGCCTGTCCACGCGCCTGCAGGGTGTGGGTACATGTATATTAAGTGTGCTGATGAGATCGCATGCACGCCCAGCAGGCCTCCCGCCCTCCAGGCACGTAGAAACCTGGGCACAGCGCCTGAACAGGCAGGTCCAGGAGCCAGGTGTTTGGCGCCAGGTGCGCGTCTGTGGAATTTGGCTCTACAGAGGTGACTCAGCAGCCAGGCACTCAGGGCCCCCCGGGTGCTGAAGCGGGGGCAGAGCCCGGGCCGCCCAGGCAGGTACTGTTGTCCAGACTTTCACCCAGGAATGCTTCTTCCAGCTTTTCTAAAAGGGACACTGGCATCGGTCCTATCCTAGAAATAAACAGCCAGGAAACCCTACCCCTGAGGCATCTCTGCCACAGGCCTCCTGGTCAAAGGCGGAGCCTCCCCAGCCCCGGGCCTGCCCTACCCACCTGAGGCTTCCCAGTCTGAGCTGGTCAGCTGGGTTAGCTCCCTGCACTCCCTCCCCAACCCCCTGGCCACGCCAGCAGGGTCAGGGGCCTCCAGCCTGAAAGGATGGGAAGTCAGAGAAGCAAAAACAAAACCCCAGATGTCATCTTATCACCACCACACAGCAGAACTGAGCCGGGTGGTGCACCTCGCAGCCTTGCAGCGATGGTCTCAGTGGCCCCTAGGACAGCAGGCCTGTGAGGTGCTATGAAGATCCCCATTCCCATGAGAAACCTGTGGCCCAGGCAAGCCTGGGGGCCAGGGACTCGCAGCTCCTTAGGGGCAGAGGTGTCGTGGTGCTGGGGCCAGGGGCGGCTTGTAGATGCCCTGAAGCAGGTGCCGCTGCATATGCAGGTTCAAAAGGGAAGACCCACAGCCCACGGTGGCATCATCGTCATTTGCTGGCATGTGGGTTAGAGGCCCATCAACATCAACATGCTCCCTCCCCACACCCATGCCCAGTGAGAAGGGGAGACCCACAGCCCACGCCTCCCGTTTGGTGGCACCGTCGGCTGGCGCACAGGTTAGAGGCCGTCCACATGCTCCCTCCCCATGCCCGTGCTCAGTGGACTCTTGAATGCGAGGTTAGGAGGTCGTAGGCAGATGCTGCTTACCAGCAAAGGGGACATGAAGGCTCAGGGCGCCCGCCTGCTTCCAGGCCTCTCCTCCGCTTGGGCTGTCTCCTCCCGGGCGTCTACTGGGACCTCGTCCTGGTTCCTTCCTCACTGGCTGCCCCTGCCTGTCTCCCGCCTTCTGACCCCTGTCCCAGGAAGTCTGGCTGTTCCCTGTGACCAGAGGGGATCCAGCTCCACAGACACAGTTGTTTGCCTTTCGTGGGTGGTGCCAGCATCTGCAGAGAACAAACATGCCCTGCAGTCTCTTCTTCGCTCTGCTGCCAGGCTAAGTATTTGTACAGAGGACAAGTGGTCTCGAATCGGTGGAGGCTGGAGTTCTTGACACTTCACTGTACACACAGATACGTCGAAAACTGGAGAACAAACCAACTTTGAACACTTATTAATGGACGACCTTGAAGATCAGGAACAGTTACCCTCTGAATGTGTTGTGCTTCTCCAAATTCAACCCACGAGCAAATGCCTGTCTTCAGGATCCGCTATGTGTCCTGGGCTAATGTTCCATCTGTTGTTCAGTGCTGACGCTACACCAGAGTTGGGTTTCTGCCATGAAGGAGGCTAGCGGTGCTATGCTGACCAGATGTTGGGTTTCTGCCATGAGGGAGGCTGGTGGTGCTGTGCTGACCAGATGAGCTGCTGTTGTTTTTTAACTATACAGTGACATTTATTCACAATTTGCAGTTACCAAAGCAAACATTTGTTATTTGCCCCCACATCACAGAGGACTATGTTATTTTTAATCTCCCTTATACAGTTGAAAAAATGAGGCTCAGACATTTACCCCAAATCATAGTTTATTAATGGCCACATCTTTTGGCCAACGCTCTGAGGTTCCTTTATGCCTCACTAACACAAAACGCACATCCTCAGGACCAGCTAGTGTGTTTGAAAGGTCAGTGTTTACTTTTTCTCCCAATTTTTTATTGTGGTAAATACAGGTAACAAAAAGTGTGCCGTCTTAACCATTTTTAAGTGTTCAGTTCAGTGGCATTAAATACATTCCTACATGCAGACACCACCATCATCTGTCTCCAGAACTCTTTTTGAGTAGGCGGTCTTATTGCAATTAAAAAATAATTTATAGATGAGAGAGCAAATAAACTGATTTTAAAACATGGCCCCCGGGGATCCCATCCAGTGCCTGGGATCAGGGGCACCCGGGCTCAGGGGCGGTCTCCTCCACCATGATGTCACCAGGCTCGGGGTGGACTCCTCCACCGTGAAGTCACAGGGCTCGGGGCGGTCTCCTCCACCCGTGACGTCACCGGGCTCAGGGTGGTCTCCTCCACCGTGAAGTCACAGGGCTCGGGGCGGTCTCCTCCACCCGTGACGTCACCAGGCTCAGGGTGGTCTCCTCCACCGTGACGTCACAGGGCTCGGGGTGGTCTCCCCCACCGTGACGTCACCAGGTTCGCGGTGGTCTCCTGCACTGTGACGTCACCAGCCTCGCGGGTGGTCTCCACCGTGACGTCACCGGGCTCACGGGTAGTCTCCTCCACCATGACGTCCCCGGCGTCTGATGCCTGCGCCTCCTACAGAGTGGGGTTCAGCCGGGCTGGGCAGGGTCCAACCTCAACACGTTTAAAGCTCCCTGTTCATGGCCGCAGGGAAGGGTCACTCATCCAGCCCAAGCAGGAGACGTGGGCTCCGTCTTGAGACCAGGGTGGCCGGTGGGCAGAGGCCCCGTCAGCGCTGCGTGAAGGGCTGGGAGGCCCCGCCAGGTCTGGGGAGGGGGCTGTGACCCTTATTGATGGGGCGTGGGGAGGCGCTTGCACGTCTGGGGCGCACACCCGGGGGACCCCACCTCCAGGGCCATCTGATCCCATCTGCAAGATGGAACCACACAGCCCAGGCGGCTGCGGCGCCCGGAAGGCGGCCCCACAGGCCTGTAGCTGAGGCGGGAAGGACGCGCCCGCCTGTTTCCTGCGGCCTGGGGCGGCCTCGGGCGGCCTCCATAGCACCCTCCCCGAGCGCCTCCCAGGATGCGCCTCCGCCCCACCCGGGGTCCCCTCGGCCACCGCCTGGGAGCCTGAGCTTGACCCTTTCCTCAGCTGTGGCCTCAGGACTCCGCTCCGTCGTCGTGCCCGCTGCGCTCCTCAGAAGCCCGTGGGTTCCCAGCGCCTCTGCGCCATCTCTCCTCAGCCCGCGCGGGAAGCGGCGCCGAGCATTGCCCGGCTGGCGAGACCTCCCGTGAGGCGCGAACGCGGCCTGAGGAGAGCCGGAGAAGGGCGCCACCTCCCACGGCAGAGCTGGGAGGGGGTGGAAGACAAAGGCGGGAAACGCCGCTCACCACCGAGCTGGGACGCACGGGAGGGCGGGCGCTGGAGACGGCCCGGCCAAGAGGCCCCACCTAGGGCGGCCGCCGGGATCCACGTGCGGGGCGGAGCGGCCCGGCAGCTCCAGACAGAGGGCGGCGGGAGCGAGGGGCTGAGGCCGGGGTTCCCGGCGCGCTAGCCTCGGGCGGTTCTGAGGGGTCAGGCCGGAGCAGCAGACCCGGGCCCAGGGCCTTTTGCGAGGCCTGGCTGCCCGGATCCCGATGCGGGTCCCGACCCACTTCAGGGAGGGGCATCCCGGGAGCCTCACGCCCGCAGGAGCAGCGGGAGACGCTCTGCGCTGGGATCGGAAACCCCAGCCCCGCAGCTGTGTCAGCCCCGGCTCCGCGCGGCCCAGAGAACCTGGCGCAGGCAGTTTCCTCACCTGAGGCCGGGAGAAGGATACCGGCCCTAACTTAGTCACGTGGCGGGTTTGAGGATTGAAATGTTTGAAGCAAAGTGACTGTTTTAGAAGGCGCTTTATAAATTTTTAAGTTTTTATGCTTAGCTGGAACAATATAAACTTTATTAAATTGTCAATCTCCAAATGCTTTCAATCTACAAAACAACAATTAACTGTGATCAACCTACTATTAATGTTATTTTGTAAAATGGGACGCAGAAGGAGGAGCAGCATTAAAGCCCCGTGGCCTGCACTGTTCTGGGAGCTCCTTCTGCAGGTCCGCGGCCAGGAAGTCCTGGCGACATTAGCACTTCGGCTGAAATCCGCCTTCCAGGAAGCGGCTCTGACCACCCCGCCAGAGGGACGGCCAGCCTTGCTGGGTCCCAGTGCACCGTCTACCACGGAGCTGCGGTCGCCGCACTGTGTGCTGACCGACCAACCAGAGTGGGTCACCGTGGCCCACCACACTAGCAAGGTGGAGACAGCAAAAGTGTGCGTCTAGTGTGGAGGGCTACAAACTACACTTTTCTGGCCCCCAGGGCAACAGTTTCCTGGACATGTGGAAAGATGGATGTGTGGATGGAGAGGTGACACACGCGCGGACGGAGAGGTGGACGTGTAGATGGAGAGGTGGACATGCCGGTGGAGAGGTGGAGGTAAGGATGATGCCCATATAGATAGTTGAAAGAACAAGCTCTGGTCAACGTTGCTGGTGCAGTCTTAGAGCTTGTGTGGTTGAGGGCCCGTGCTGGAAACCATGGCAGGCATCACCAGGGCATGATCTAGGGCCTTTCATGCATGTCTGAAGTGAGGGATCACAATTTCCACGCAAAGTGTGTTGATCTCACCAATACTATGGTATGCAGATGCTGCATTATAGGATACGCAGAACTAGTCTCAGGTTCCTAACCCACATATATCCTTTGCGAATTCTAGTTCAGATTCACTAGAGACATGTAATTATTTCCACAAATCTTCCCACAAACCTGTGCAATGTTACTGTTCTGTTATTTGGCAGATGAGGTCCAGAGAGCCTGGGACAGCTTCCTGTTCCTGAGTAGCCCCCGCAGATGTGAGGGAAGCACACACTGAACGGTGCTGTCCAGAGAGTCGATGGCCCTGGACACCCAGACCTTGCAGCACACTCCCAGTCCAGGCCAGAGGCAGCAGGGCTTGGACAGAGCCCACGGTCCTCTCCACACCCACGAGTGCTTTCAGTCCATCTCCCCAAACACACGACCCCTTTAGCAGCACTTTTTCCCTCTGTGGGCAGCCGGGATGGAGCCAATGGCTCCGAACTTCCACTTGACACTCAACTGGGTGGCAACAGGCAAGAGGCTGTGTGCTTTGGGAGGAAGAGTTTAAACCCAGCAGACGCCAATCTGTGAGGTGGAGACTGTCTCGCCCAAGCTGACCCAGGGCCTAATACTAATGAAGGGCCTTAATTTTTTATTTTCAGTACTTCATTCTCCACATGCAGTTTTACCTACTGTCACATAATGACACGAGTGAGAGACAGCATTTTTCTTTTCCGCATTTCTATAAAGGCACATGCTCTTATAAATGTTAGTCCCATTTCCAGACACACTGCCAATAAAATGGTGTGAATTACATATAAAAACATTAATATGCTGAGTGCAAATGTTTGAAATATATAACAATTTTAAGAAATTCTGATTCAGTGCTTTATTTTTTACTGTATTGTTAATAGTACTATCAACAGAAACACACATGCGCGTGTGCACACACAACCCTGGAAATTCCCAGACCACTCCTGATTTCCAGGAGACTTTCATAGTATCCTCACAGAGCAATGTTTTCCATAGGGGAGGCTTCTAATGGATGCTTCGTTGATGAGGAAAGGTAGGAAGAAAGGACGGGGGAGGCAGGGAGGAAGGGAGTGACTTAGCTGTCTTCATTGTGAAACTTCAGACTGGGCTCTGAGGGGCTCCTTGTCTCAGCTCCCATATCGGTAAGAGGGGGACCTGCCCTGCCTGATAGTGCCATCACTATGGTTGCTGGGACCATTGGCTCAATTGGGAGAAGGCGAGTTTTTATTTAATCTTCCTACAGGGCACTTTGGGGAGAAGGCAGTGGCCTGCAGTGATTTAGGGTGTGGGTTCTGGGTCGGACAGACCTGAATTAACTGACCTCCATCAGTGTAGGTGACATCTTCAGGCCTCAGCTTTCTCGCCTGTGAGTGAAGAATAAATGCGTAGGATATGATGAGTTAATAAATGTCAGTGGGCAGCACAGGAGTGTACTTCAGGTCAAAAAAAAGTTGTAGCTATTATTAAAGAGTAATGAACATGAAAATACTTGGAAAATGTACAAATGCTATGAAAATGTAATGTGTTATTATAGAATTACTAACTGTGACAGACTAGGCCTTCATCAGCACAGAGCATTGTCATTAACGGCAGAAATCCACCTGTGATTTGCAGGTGGCAAACCTCCTGCCCCTCAGCCTCCTACTCCGTCTCACTATCTGCACTCAACAAGCTGCCCCAACCCTGGGAGGGCAACTGAGCACCCCTCAGTGAACTATGCAGGTTGCCGTCCTCAGCACGTGGAAGCTGCTTTGGCGGGAGCTCCATAAGTGGTGAGGGGCAGTTGGGAGTGAACTGCAGGTGATGTGCTTTGGCCAGAGGCAGTGGGGGCCTCAGACACTTTAGGGTCAGGAAACTGTGGGATGGCGGTGCTGCTGGAGACCGCGTGAGTGAGAACAACACAGCTATAAGAAGGCGGCTGCCTGGTCTCCCAACAGCAGCAAACCAAACGGATCCAGGAAACTTCCTGTTAGGACCAAGTGCGTCATCCGCCTCCTGTGGACCAAAAGTCTCTGCTGACTAATGATAGCTGTTTGGGTGACCGCTGGCCCAGGAGAAAGAATTCGAAGCTCTTGCACCATATTCCTGGTCTGAGGGGCTTCTCCACAGGAGAACCCAGTGGGAAACAGCGCTGAGTGGGTTTGCCTTACAGAAGGCTCAGGGTTCTCTTGCTCCCTTGGCCATTGGTCCTTCATCTGCACAGGGGGGCCACACACTTCGTGAGCCCAAGGCTCCTGTGATCCCTGTACGCTTGGCGACTCACAGGAGACATTGAATCTGGACGGGCGAGTCCCTATCAGTTGGAATGAGGGGCCTGGCCCAGACAGCTCTGAAGCAGATCCACAGCTCCTCTCTCCTTCTCACAGTGTGTTTTCCCGCGGCCTATCCCACATTTGGTGAATGACACTGGGCACTGTCAACCACCGGAAACCTGGAGCCAGTCCAGCCTTCTCTTGTTCGCTGACTTCATGCCTTTGCCTTTGCACGTGTGTTTTCTAGGCGTCGGTGTAGAGCCCGCCCTGGGCGTGGGGGCACAGGGGCCCTGTCCCCACGGAGATCATGGTCTATGAAGGAAGCTAAATATAAAACAAACAGCCACACACAGAAATATATAATTGCACGTTGCCATAAATGTTGTGAGGCGAAGTATAGGGTATTGTAACAGGAGGACTTAATTTAGTTTTGGAGATTGGGCAAGGCCTTTCACAGAGGAGATGTTTACAGAGGAGCGAATCACTCACTGTTAAGAGTCTGGTGAAGAATTCAGGGCTGAGCATCGCAGGCAGGGGAGGACCATGAGGAAATGGCCTTAAAACAAGAAACAGCTTTGAGAATGAAGGCTCAGGCCGGGAAACTCAGGCGTGGGCCATGGTAGGCGGGTGCTGCTTTACTTCTTGGATGGTCCAGCTTAGCAGCTGCGATGAGGGAGGGGCCCTGGCTCCCAGGACCAAGCCAGCACAGGCAGGGGAGGGGCTTCACCTGGGGTGGGCTTGGGAGAAGTCTTTGAATGGCACTCCAGTGGCCACAGCCCCTGGACCCCTAGATTGTGGGCCTGGATGTTTCCACATCTCCTTTCAGTTTTATGTGTTCCCAAGACCTGCCCCTGTCCACATGGTGCCACTCCAATGTCTCCTCCCCTCGGCCCCACTGTCCATCCCTGGTCTGAACCACCCACACCCTCCTGCCTCCTCTCCCGGCTCCCAGTCTTGTCACCTGCATGGTATTTTACTGCTGCTATAGAGAGATATTCCAAACCCAATTGTATCTCTGCTCAACCTAAATTTCCCTTGACGGCTCCGCCTGGTGCTCAGGTCTTGCGTAAGTTACACAGAGCCCTCTGTGATCTGCCTCCACACTGTTCCGCTCGCCCTCACGTCTTCCCCACGAAGCCACCTCTCAGCCACATGGAATCTCTCACAGTTCCCAAATGTGAGAGGCCTCTCACCATTTGCCTGGCCTGGGCTGTTCCCTCCTGGAAGCCCTGCCCTCCATTCTCTCACCCTCCGGATTCGCCTCCCCCCTGTTCCGGGTTCTGAGTCCCTGGGCTCCCACCCTTCGTTTCTATTGGGCCCAAAGCCTGTGAATATACCAGGGATCAATTGCTACAGGCAGGTTCCCTGGCCTGCCTTCCCACCAGCCTATGAGACCCTGGAGGTAATGACCTACACCTTTGTTTCCATAACCTGCACCCAACACCACATGGGGGATCTCAAATGAAAAAAAAAAAAAAAAAAACATTGTGGATGAAAAAATGCTTTTCTATTCCTCTTGGACTCTTCATTCTTTAGGAAAACAAAGACGCAGTCTATGAGTCACGATATCTTGGACTTAGCGATGACAATTTATATGGTGTACAGCACAAATAGCTAAATGGGGGTAATCTGAGGAAAATAGAGCACTGGGTCTCTGAGGGAATTTCCTAAAAACCCCGAATTAGGGTTGCCATTTCAAGGAGTGATGAAATTTCTTTTTGGCAAAGTTGTTCTCTTAAACTTCCATTCTCAGCAATAAGCTTTGTTACAGAACAATGGCAGAACAAACCTTCAGTTCTGCTTTTTCAGCTGCTCAGTTTGCAGAAACCAAGGTCAGGCCTCCAATGGGACTTTTTAAGGAAAATGGCCTTCACCTCTTGGCTCACCATGGTCTAATCAACATTTTTTTCAGGACAAGAAATTGTTTGCAGCGAATGCCGACTGCACGTTTGCTTTGTGCCATGCATTGTTCTGAGTGCGTCGCAGGTATTATCTTATTTATTTCTCACAGGAGGCTAACCACACAAGTCATTTTGTCATCCCAATTTTACAAATGAGAAAACTGAAACCGCAGAGAAGTTGACTAACTTGCTCAAGGCCACACAGTTGGTAAGTGCTAGAGCCATAATTCAAACGCAGACTATCTTATCCACAATTAGCTACAATTCTGCCTTGTCATATTTTCTGTCAGGGTTTGATTTTCGATTTTGGTCCTGTGATTTTTAAAGTATTATTGTGATTCTTCTCCAGATGTCCAGAAGGTGCACTCCCTTGGTAGGGAAGAGAGGGCATTGGTATCCCCCAACTTCCCTCAGGGGCCTCTCACCAACAGCTTTTACAGGGGATGTGAAGAGTTTCTCTTTTCACTGGGGCTCTCAGTTCTAATAATCTTCCACACCATTTTGTGAACAAGGAGATGCCAAGCTGTGCCTTTCACTGGTGGAGAAGCTTCACAAGAGCCAAAGCCCCCCTGGCCCATCTTTCTCAATCCAGCCCACCATGTCTCATTTCAGCACATTCCCAAGTTCACAGGCACACAAACAAGAAGCCTTGGCAATGACTACACTGATACTACTCTGACCAGGAGCCCAGATTTATTCTCACCAGAGAGGAAGGGGAATGTCTCCTTCTCTAAGCTTAATGAGGTAGAATACATTCTTCTCCACTGTTACTGAGAGAAGAAGAGCTCTATTTCTCCAGTTACTAAAGAAGGAGAATTTCTCCTTCTCCAAAGTTACTGTGGTAGGAAAATCTCTCCTCCACAGTTACTGAGGTAGGAGAATCTCTCTTCCACAGTTACTCAGGTAGCAGCACTGTCCTCCACAGTTAACAAAGTAGAATCTATTCTCCACAGATACTGAGGCGGGAGACTCTCTCCTTTTCCACAGTTACTAAGGAAGAAAAGCTTTTCTTCCCCAGTTACTGAGGAAGGAGAATCGCTTTTCTCTACAATTACTGAGGTAGGAGAATCTCTTTTTATCCACAGTTACTGAGGTAGAAGAATCCATTCCTCCTTACATTTACTGAGACAAAAGAACCTTTCTTTCTCCAGTTGCCGTGGTAGGAGAATCTCCCCTTCTCCACAGTTACTAGGTTAGAGAATAGATCTTTCTCCAAAGTTACTGAGGAAGAAGAATCCATTATTTTTGACAATTACTTGGGTAGAAGAATCTTTTCTTCATAGTTGCTGAGATAGGAGAACCCATTCCTCTCCACATGTACTAAAGAAGAATGTATTTTTTTTCCACAGTAGCTGAAATAGAAGAATCTGTCCATTTGCACAGTTATGAGTTGGTAAAATCCATTATTGTCTATGGGTACCAATGTAGAGGAATGTCTCTTCCTCCTCAGTCTCCACAGTTACTCAGCTAGGAGAATTTATGCTTCTCTACATCTACCAAGAAGGTAAAAGAAGCCATTCTTCTCCATAGTTACTGACATAGGAAAATAAATTCTCTACCACAGTTATTGAGGTAGGAGAATCTCCTCTTTCATGCATTTACTGATTAGGGGAATTCATTCTTCAGTTTCTGAAGTTAAAAAAATCCATTCTTCTCCACAGTTACTCGAGTAGGAGAATTTACTCTTCATTGTAGATGTTGTGGTAGGATAATTCTTCCCTGCAATTACTGAGGTAGGAAAATCTCTTCTGCTCCCTTGCTGTGGTAGGAGAATCCTCTTTTTTTCCCAACAGTTAAGGGAAGATAATATTTTTCTGCACAGTTACTGAGTGAGGAGAATCTTTCCTTTTCTACAGTTAATGAGCTTGGAGATTACGTTTTTCTCTACAGTTACTGAGGTAAGAGAATCTATCTTCTTTCATTGTTACTGAGGTAGCAGCCTTTATCCTCTTCACAATAACCAAGGTAGGAGAATTCATTTTCACAATTACTGAAGGAAGAGAATCCATCCGTTTCCAGAGTTATTAAGACAGGAGAATCTATTCTTCTCCACAGTTACTGAGATAGAGGAATAAATTATTCACTACAGTTACTGAGGTAGGAGAATATCTTTTTTCACACAGTTACTAATTAGGAAAATTCATTCATCTACACAGTTACTGAAGGAGCTCTCTCCTTCCCAGTTACTGAGTTTTAAAGTAAGTCCTTCCTTCTCCAGTTACTCAGGTAGGAGAATTTATTCTTCTCCACATGTATTGAAGAGGGAGAATTCATTCTTCTCAACAGTTACTGTGATAAAAGAATCTCTCCTTCTGCAAAGTCACGAAGGAGGAGAATCCATTTTCCTCCACAGTTACTACAAGAGGATAATCTCTTCTTCACAGTTCTGAATTAGAAGAATCCATTCTTCTCCACCTGTACTGAGATAGAAGAATCTCTCTTCTTTTTACTGAAGTTATGGAGTTTGTTCTTCCCTATATTTACTGAGATAAAAGAATCATTCTTCTCCATAGTTACTGAGGTAAGAGAGTCCATTCTTCTTCACAGTTACTAAGGTAGGATCCATTCTTAACAGTTATTGAGGGAGAAGATCCTCTCCTTCTCTATAGTTACTGAAGTATCAGAATGTATCCTTCTCCACAATTCCTGAGGTAGAATAATAAAATCTTCATGATAGTTACTAAGGTAGGAAAATCTCTTCTCTGCAGTTACTAAGGTTGGTGAATTCATTCTTTTCTACAGTTATTAAAGGAGATCTCTTCTTCCCATAGTTGTTGAGGTTAAAAAAAATCCATTATTGTCCACTGTTACTGAGATAGGATAGGAAAGTCTCTCTTTCTCTACAATTAGTGAGGTAAGAGAATTCATTCTTCTCCATGGGTACTGAGGTAAAAAAAACCTTTCATCCTCCACAGATACAAAAGTAGCAGAATCTATTCTTCTTCTTAGTTATGGAGGTAGGGGAAGCCATTCTTCTCCACGTGTAGGTAGTGCAATCTCTACATGTCCACAATTACAGATATAGGGAAATTGGTTATTCTCCACAGTTACTGGGGTAGAAGAATCCAATATTCTTCACAGGTACTGAGGCAGGAGATCTTTTCTTCCTCCAAAGACAGTAGAATTTATCATTTTTTCACAATTGAGGAGGTAAGTGAATCAAATCTTTTCCAGTTACTGAAGTAGGAGAATACATGCATCTCAACAGTTTCTGAATGAGAATTCATTTTTTATCCACAGTTATAATGTAGGAGAATCTCTCCTCCACAACTATTGATGTGGAAGAATCCTTTCTTTCCCACAGTTCCTCTCATTGGAGAATCTATTCTCCACAGTTACTGAGGAGGAAAATCTCTCTTTATCCACAGTTATCGAAGTAGAAGAATCTGTTCCCCTCTATTTACTGAAGTAAGAGTTTCTTTACCTTCTCCACAGTCACTGAAATAGGAAAATTCATTTTTTCCAGTTATTGAGGTAGAAGAATCTTTCTCCACAGTTCCTGAGGTTAGAGAATGTCTTCTTCTCTACAGTTACCAAGGTAGGAGAATCCCTCTTTATCCACAGTTACCTTGGTAGGAAAATCCACTCTTCTCTGTAGGAGAATCTGTTCTTCTCCATAGTCCCTGAGATAGAGGAATACATTTTTCTCCACAGTTACTAAAGTAGGAAAATCTATTCTTCTTCACAGGTACTGAGGTAAATCAGTCTTTTTCCACAGTTACTGAGGTAGGAGAATTCATTTTTCTTCTCAATTACTGAAGTAAGAGAATCTCTTCTCTCATTGTTCAACAGATTTCACTGATGTAGTTCTAGGTCATTGATCCCTAGTGCAAATTGTGGCCTAGGCAGGTCATGATCTACAGTGTGTCATTGTGTCCTATGTGTGATCATTGGATATTTTAGCTCCATCACCAGGGATATGGATAATGTAATCATCGTGGATGACACAGGGCTGATGCTGATGCAGCCTCTTCACTGCAGAGTCAACTTGACTCATTTCCCTGGTGGACATCCTGGTGACTCTGGGACAGAAGCAAGGCACTAGCTTTTACACCAGTGGAGTTAATTCTGTGCTTTCAACTGCTGATTGTATTTCCATTACGTGGAAGGCTGAGAGTCCTCTTGCTGAAGACTGCATCTAGGAAAGGCTCACATGAGAGTCATTGGGAAGAAGGGTATACAAGGATCATTTGTAGACCTTGTCTCAAAGCAGGGTGCAAGACCACTGTTGTGTCCAAGACTTTGGTGTGCATCCTGATGGGCGCATTACACATTTCCACCTTTGTTCCCTGCATGCATGGCTTCATGACTGAGTTTGGCTAGTAAAATGTGAGCAAAAGGAATGTGTCACACATGTGGGTAGAAGCTTTGAGAGCGAACACATGGTTTCCCATGTTTTTACTTTCCTTCTGTTGTAACAACCAGCAATTTTCCAGTTAAAACTTCCTCAGCCTGAACTACTGAACAATATGCAGAAGAACTGTTACTGACTGGCATTGAAAGTGCAGCAGAAGCACAAAATAAGCCTATTTATTTTTGTTCTTTAAGATCTTGGAATTGTTTGTTAGCACAGCATAACTTAGCCCATCCTGACTGACACAATAAGCTCTTTAGATAGCTTCTTCTCTAGGATCCATGATTCCATGTGTCCAAGCATTTTATACACTTAAATCAACATGACTGCATGGGCAGGCATATAGCCTACATAATACCTGCATTGCAAGAAAACCTAAGTCTGAAATAAACCTAAGCCTACCCACTGAAAGTATAAGGCAAATAAAAACAATATTGGCCTTTCTGAAATGCAGGCTTTTGTTCTCTGGACAGCAAACAAGTGATTATCTCAATAATTAGTAAGACCTGTCAAAATTATTTTCTAAAGGAACAATACTATTTCACTTTATTCATATAAGTGGAATATCTCAAGGCAAAAAAAAGGAATCTTTTGCAGTTATGAAGGTCAAGGAAAGCTGATCTGGGATTATCTACTTATTCTTTCTTATTCTCTTCTAATTCATAGGTCACTTAGCTTTTCTTAAAGATACTCTTTTCAGATTGCCAGTGAAATTAAATCTACTTTATCTTTAGTCATAATCAATACTGTACTTACAAAGTTTCCAGATCATTTGTTAGCAGACCGCATAAGCTCAGAGAGCCCACTAGGCACTGGCTTGTTACAACAAGGACACAGCTGGGGCTGTGCTTTGCCAGGGACCCCTTCAGCAAGCCAAGCACAGGATTCACCTTTCAGAGGCTATTTTCCGACCTTCTGAACATGTGAGGTGCCTGGTCCTCACAAGTGTGTCCTCACATTCCCTCTCATGACTGAATCTGAGCACTTTTGCTTTCAGAACGAGGGGCCTAAGGAATCCAACCTGGGTGAATATTCTGGTATCTGTTTTGCATCTGATGTTGCCTGAGAGGCCACCTCAGCATCCCATGATGTGGACATTGGTCTAGGCCTCATTTTGTGATCCTTCCTGCCACCAGCCCGTTCCCTCTCTCACCATCAGTGACCATCTTCTGCCCCATAGCCACAGCTACACACGTAGACGATGGACTTGTTGGTTCTGTATTTACCTAAAGTTCCTTCCAAAGAGCACTGCAGTCTGAGTCTGAAGAACTCGAGGAGGCAGAGCTGTTCCTGTGTCTGTTGTGGGGCCAAGGTAGATGCTAGGTCTTCAACAACTTTGCTGTTTTTCCTAGCAGTGCTCCCATGTGTGTCTGGGCTTTGGAGCTCGACTGACTCTCCCTTGCCTCGGTTTTCAATAATGACCATATTCCTATGTAGACTCCTCCTCCTGTCTGTTCTCTGTCTTGGTGAATGATTATTTTTACCCAGTTGTGAAAGAAGGAAACTGAAAATTGTATTTCACATATGCCTTTCACTCATGGATCCTTCCTGCCTGCTTGTATCACAACC
The DNA here is from genome assembly GCF_000001405.40 of Homo sapiens. Classification (NCBI taxonomy): domain Eukaryota; kingdom Metazoa; phylum Chordata; class Mammalia; order Primates; family Hominidae; genus Homo; species Homo sapiens. The sequence continues at coordinate 170,012,050 of NC_000006.12, read as the reverse complement.
ATCAAAGCAGAAGAGAAGGACGCCTCCTAGAGAACTGTTTTCTCCTCGTCTCTCACTGACTCTGTTTATAGCCTCCTCGCTGGCCGTTGGGCCTCCACACTCCACAATGCGGCATTTCTAAGTATTTAATCTGCTCATTTAGCTGCTGCTTAGAATCAAGGGTAAAATAGGAACTTGGTGATGTGATGGATGAGGCCGGAACCCTTTGCGCTTCCCAGGCTTGCGTCTTCTCTCCGCATCCCAAATGCCGCTGCATACACATCCTCTTGCATCCTGGCTTCATTGCTCATCTGCTGGCAGTCAGATGCTGTCCTGTGCCATGCTCCCTCTGACCTTTTCATCCTGCTTTGGCCTGATGAAAGCTGCCGCTCTAGTTTTCACCACATATAAGGACAAGCAAGCCAAAGCCCTCTTCCCCACCACCTTGCAGTGTGGCCTGTAGTTTCTTTCCATTTGGCCTCTCTCCCCAGTTGGCATGGCCACTGTGTTGTTTGTCTCTCCGCCAGCAGCAAATTAGGAAGGTCCTTTGGAGAGACCTTTGTGGAAGGGAGCAGCTTCCTCCCTCAGGGAAGCCTCTTGTGCAGCCAGGACTTCGTGCTCCGGCCTGTGACCTCCCCACCGCCAGCCCCCGCTTGAAGGGAAGAGAGAGCTCCAGGGGGCAGACGCGCTGGCCCGGCTGTTGGCCAGGCCTGGCTGTCCTCACTGGGCAGGGCTATGGGAGTTCACGGAGGGAACCTGCAGTTCCTTTTTCTTTCTCACAGACACTCCTGCAGGCAGAGATAAGCAACTCAGGACACACTTGGACCTCCCAATCTCGGATCTCAGCCCGGTCCCAGCCCCGGCCTGGCATCTTCTCGGGCACCGCCTTAGGCCCTGTGCCTGTCCTCAGTTGCACTCATCACAGTTGTGGCTAAATAATCAATCATGCAAATTGCCAGTTGGTATCTGCTCCTCCATGAAGGCTGGGAGTTCGTCTTACTCAGCGCTGCATTCGGAGGCCTGGCACCCACAGATGTGCTGCCGGAGGTTGTTTCAGCTCCCGCCTGCCTCCTCCCTCCCTCCTCCTTCCCTCTGTCCTTATTCCCTCTCCTTTCCCTTTCAAAGTAATGGAATGGGGGAGCCTTGAGCTACATAGAGCAAGCCGTCAGGGAGCCCAGGCTCCAAGGTCCCAGCAGGGGCACCCCATCCCTGGTGCTGGGAGGTCAGACGAGACCCCAGGAGGCGCCAACCTTTGGCGGGATGCATGGAGACCCTCCCCAAGTCCCTCAGGGAATCCCCTCAGTGCCGCTTCTGCCTCATCTCACTGCCCTGACCATGCTGCAGGAGCCCACTTCCTCCCTCAGGCCCTGGGTGTGATGGGAAGCATCAGCAGGCAGCGCAGGGGAGTCGGACGCCTGGCAGATGATGACTCCTGCTCTAAAACCAAACACACTCCCCAGGAAAAAAGTACCCATTAGCTTCTTAATACAAAGGCAGTGCATCGTATTGATTCAAAATGAGAAAATATAAATACAAAAATACAGAATGAGGGGAAAATCTTGACTGCCAACACTTGGGTGCATATTCTTCCAACGTTCTTCTAGGAGTGTGTGTCGATATGTTTTTAAAGCAATTTACGACCATACCTTAGATCCTACTGTGTGTTCTAGTCTTTTCACTTGATTATATATGAGAAGCAACTTTATAGCTACATTTCTTTTAGAATAAACTTTAGAATTAGTCAAAGAGCCACTTATATTCCAGAAAAATCTATACAAAGTGTGTTGGGCAGGTTGTGTTCACTCTTTACACCATCCCAGCATACCAGTAATGGAAGTATTAATGGAGCAGACAACACATTGTGTGTGGTGTGCATGCATGTGCCATGGGCCCGGTATGTTTATGCATCCAACAATATTCCTCGAGTGATGTTTATGTATCAGACACTATTTTAGGAGCCTAGAAGACATCTCTCAATAAGAACCGCAATGTTCTTCTCATGGAGTTTCTATTCTGGGGGATGTGAATTCAACGATTTTTTGAACATAGAATACAGGTTACAAGAAAGGAACATGCTTGGTGCCAAAATATTTTTGATTACAGATAACTTTTAAACTATCAAAAATTTTAAAAGTCGGTGCCTTGTATTGCAACTGAAGGTAAGCCTTAAGATGCTGCACTCTGATTCACCTGTTCTGAGCATTCATTCAAATTTCTCCAAAATAGCTACATCTTTACCTAAGAGAAAGTGGCACATTAACCCCAATTTTAAAGAAATTTTTTTCTTCTTTTTTTTCTTGAGACGGAGTGTCACTCTGTCGCCCAGGCTGGAGTGCAGTGGCGAGATCTCGGTTTACTGCAAGCTCCGCCTCCCAGGTTCACGCCATTCTCCTGCCTCAGCCTCCCAAGTAGCTGGAACTACAGGCGCCCACTACCACACCCGGCTAATTTTTTGTATTTTTAGTAGAGATGGGGTTTCATCGTGTTAGCCAGGATGGTCTTGATCTCCTGACCTCGTGATCTGTCCACGCTGGCCTCCCAAAGTGCTGGGATTACAGGCGTGAGCCACCGTGCCCGGTCTTAAAGAAATTTTTATGGCCTGAATTCAATGCATTAACACAGATTTAATAAACTGTAAACCAAAAATAAAATTCCAAGCCCCGCCCCACCGCACCACACCATGCAATCATCTGAATGGACTTCCTCCTCCGCCAGGGTGCTCTTAAAATTTAACCTGAAAGACTGGTTCAGGCCATGATGGGAAGTGGGGGCCAGACAGGACTCATGATACCTCTCTGGCATTAACATCAAACAGACCTTAAGTCTGATAAGAGACATTTACAATCTATTCTTTCTGAAGCCTGTTACCTGAAGGCTTCCTCTGCACAATCAGAACTTTGGTTTCCACAAGAACTTTTCTTAACCCAGACGTTCCTTCCTATTGAACCCAGGTCTTTAGATAAACTCAACCAATTGTCAACCAGAAAAATTTTTAATTTACCTATAACCTGGAAACCTCCCTTCAATATACCAATTAGCTTCTTAATACAAAGGCAGTGTATACATATGGATTCAAAATGAGAATCAATTTGTATCAATTTATTGTCCTGCCTTTCTTGAACCAATGTATGTCTTAAATATATTTGATTGAAGTCTCATGTCTCTCTAAAATCTACAAAACTAAGCTGCGCCCCGACCACCTTGGGCACGTGTTCTCAGGACCTCCTGAGGGCTGTGTCACGGGCCATGGGCAATCACATTTGGCTCAGAATAAATCTCTTCAAATATTTTACAGAGTTTGACTTGTTTCGTTGACAAAACCTTACTTATATATCTAATACAAAATTGACAGCTCAAAGCAATAGCCCAGAGCCGGGGGTGGAGTTAGGTGGAGGTGAGTTTAACGGAAATGAGACCCGAGACATGTCCCCTGGGGAGTGGGCGGGAGTAGTGACACTCTGTCCCCACGCAGGAGAGTCCTGGGAGCTGAGGAGGGCTTCTGAGTGCCATGGTGTAGCTCATCTTCTTCAGGTACGCTGACGAGACAGCATGGCCACATGGTCTCCACGGCCTGTTCTGACTCTGAGTCTTCATTTCACTGGAAATTTCGTGCTGCAGGCGCGAGCTGCGCTTTGCTGCCCAGCTCTGATTCCCCATTGCCTCTCAGAGGCTGCTTGTGTCCAGAAACGCCAGTTTCGTAACACACCCTAAGCTCAGTCTCGTCCTCCTCTACCTCCACCAGCTGTGGCTGTTCTCTTTCAACCTTGATTCAGCTAACAGAGACTCTCCACCTTCCAGTGAGTTAACAAGGTCAATGGCTGCATCCTCCTTGAAATGGAAAGCCTCATAAACTCAGTTCCGCTGTGTGAAGGCAGCATTCAGTGGTTTCAGTTAAGGAGTTACCCTGGAGATCACATGCAGGGTCCCAGCATCTCCGGAGCTGCTGCCCTTCCTTCAAGGGTTCCAGGAAGGTGACCTTGAGAACCTGAGTGAACCCCTGGTCTCTCTGCAGCCCTGACCCTCCAGCAACCAAGTTAGCAGGCCTGGGGGACAGAGCAGTGGAGACAGGTTCCTAAGAGGCACCCTGTCCAGCCTGGAGTGTCCATGGTGACCAGAGAAGCCCAGCTGGCTGAGCGGTGCCAATACAGGATGTGCGTGGAGCTTCTTCCACACCAGCCCCATTTCTAGTAATGCACCACTTGAATGCGGTTGAACACATCTACACCAACTACCCCAGGTCTGCTGCCTTGGAGCCTGGGGCACCAGTCTGCGTCTCCTGGCGCCCCTGCGCCGCCCCCGGGCTCACGGGTCTGTGCAGATCTGGCTTTCTGAGCAGCTCGCTGTGCAGTGTAAATTAGCATTTTCCTATCCTAATCTGCATGGCACACACACACATTAGGAGATAAAAAAGGCTGAGGGAAAACAGGCCCCGCTTCTCGCGGACGCTTAATAAACAGTAATCAGTGGGAAGGAGGCTGAGGGGGCCCAGCTCATTATCCCTCTAAGGAGCAGGGCCAGTGGGGGGTGGGATGGAGTCCTGCGTCTGCTGCTATAAAGAAATCATTTGAGAAATTTCTAGGGTAACTGGGGTGAAAAATTACAAACAATGTCTATTTTGAGCATAAACTCTTGCTGCTTGGTTACCAGCCCCAGCAAACATCTTCAGGATGTTCTTTAAGACGAACAAAACAAAAAGACAAACAACAACAGCGTCTGTCCTGGCAGCCAGGAGGCCGGGCCCAGAGCCGCCCCAGGTGGCGGCTCTTTGTCATGCTAATGCCTGAGCCGCTTTTCAAGGTTTTCACCTGAGGCCTCGCTGCCCAGGGCTGCCTCGGTGGAGTAACCTAGGTAACTCCAGGAATGCTGCGCTCCGGGGTGCCGTGCTGACTTGGAGACCGGGCTCATTAAAACACCTGGCACATCGGCGTGGTTTTGACCATCTGCCTGTCACACTCATAAAAGTTTGATTTCTAACATCATGGCAGAGGACACCAGACTTGGTGAGTTTTCCTCCCCTGCCCTCACGGCCCTGCCTCGCGGCCTCTGTCTGCAGTATGATTCCAGAATGACCTCTGTGGGCAGCCGCTTCTTCAAATGCATGCATGTTTCAGCCATGCTGCAACCCACCCGGTCACAGAGGGTGTTCCTTCTGCAGAATGCAGGTTTTGTCTGATGTATGGCCTGTACTCTCAGGAGGAAGGGCTAAAGGGGTACGGGGTTTGGTGTCTTGGGAAGACTTCTTTTTGCCAGACTATGGTTAAATTCCAGCCCCTCCTGGTGCTGGGAAGCCTCCTCTGGACAGCGCTGGCTCCTTTGATTGGACTCATAAGCAGTTCCTGCAGCTGCCTGGGCTGCATACATTGCTCTAGCCCAGGGTTCCTCAGCCTCAGCAGTATTGACACTTGGAGCGGGATGACTCTGTTGCTGGAGACTGCTGTGCCTTGTAGATAGTTTCACAGCATCCCTGGCTGCATCCTACTCAGCACCAGCACAGAGAGCCAAAAATGTCTCCAGACATTGGCAAATGTGCCCCCAGAGCACAATTCCACCCTTGAGAGCTGCTGGTCTAGTCTGTTCTTTCAATTAAGTTTTGCACCACTGGGGCTTTCTGTCAGCACAGAGGAAATCTGATCAGGACCAGCTACATAATTCTCAGAGCCTGGTGCAAAATGAAAATGCAGGACCCCTTGTTCCGAGGTCATTAAGACTTTCAGGATGGTGAAGGCAGAGACCCAGGCAGGGCTCTGTGTGCTGGTGCAGCGGCGGGGTCAGCCCTGAAGCCACAATGTACCTTCTGCCTCAGTACAGCACTGTCCCTGTAGCGATCATCTAAGCAAGACCTGATCTTCAGGTTGAGACACCCAGGCCAGGGGGTCATGGGTCCCCTCTTACCTCTGACCCTGGTTTTGTGCTGTATGGTTTTGTCACCAAGGAAGAGCCCTGAGTTCTCTCCCACAGACCCACAGGGTGGGTCCTGGCCTCTGTAGGTCTCAGCCTAGCAAAGCGTTAGCAGTCTATGAAGCTTTGACCCCAGTGATATGGTATAGCTGTGTCTCCACCCAAATCTCATCTTGAATTGTAGTTCCCATCATCCCTATGGTGTTCTGGGAAGGACCCAATGGGAGGTAACTTAATCATGGGGGTGGTTACCCCCATGCTGCTGTTTTTGTGAAGTGAGTTCTCATAAGATCTGATGGTTTTATGAGGGGCTTTCCCCCTTTTGCTCAGCACTTCCTCTTCCTGCCATCATGTGAAAAAGGATGTGTTTGTTTCCCCTTCTGCCATGATTGTAAGTTTCCTAAGGCTTCCATAGCAATGCAAAACTGTGAGTCAATTAAACCTCTTTCATTTATAAATTACCCAGTCTCAAGTATGTCTTTATTAGGAGCATGAAAACAGACTAATATAGTAAACTTGTACTGCAGAGAGTGGGGTGCTGCTATAAGGATACACAAAAATGTGGAAGTGACTTTGGAATTGTGTAACAGGCAGTGGTTGGAACAGTTTGGAGAGCTCAAAAGAAGATAGGAAAATGTGGGAAAGTTTGGAACTTCTAGAGACTTCTTGAATAGCTTTGCCCAAAATGCTGATAGTGATATGGACAATGGAGTCCAGGCTGAGGTGATCTCAGGTGGAGATAAGGAACTTGTTGGGAATGGGAGTAAAGGTCACTCTTGCTATGCAAGGAGACTGGCAGCATTTTTCCCCTGCCCTAGAGATCTGTGACAATTTGAACTTGAAAGAGATGATTTAGGGTATCTGACAGAAGAAATTTCTAAGTGGTAAAGCATTCAAGAGGAAGCAGAGCATAAAAGTTTGGAAATTTTGCAGCCTGGTGATGTGATAGAAAAGGAAACCAGATTTTCTAGGGAGAAATTGAAGCCTGCTGTAGAAATTTGCATAAATAATGAGGAGCCAAATGTTTATCACCAAGAAAATGGGAAAAATGTCTCCAGGGCATGTCAGAGACCTTCATGGCAGCCTCTCCCATCACAGACCTGTAGGCCTAGGAGGGAAAAATGGTTTCCTGGGCTAGGCCCAGGGCCCTCCTGCTCTGTGCTGCCTCAGGACATGGTGCTCTGCTTTTCAGCTGCTTCAGCTCCAGCTGTCGCTAAAAGAGACCAATGTACAGCTTAGGCCATTGCTTCAGAGGGTATAAGCCCCAAGCCTTAGTGGCTTACACATGGTGTTGGTCCTGTGCATACACAGAAGTCAAGAATTGAGGTTTGAGAACCTCCTGTTAGATTTCAGGTGATGTGTGGAAATGCCTGGATGTTCGGGCAGAAGTTTGCTGCAGAGGTGGAGCCCTCTTGGAGAACCTCTGCTATGGCAGTGTGAAAGGGAAATGTAGGGTCGGAGGCCCCACACAGAGTCTCCACCGGGGCACTGCCTGGTGGAGCTCTGAGAAGAGGGCCACCCTCCTTCAGACCCCAGAATGATAGATCCACTGCCAGCTTGCACCGTGTGCCTGGAAAACCTACAGACACTCAATGCCAGCCATGAAAGAAGCTGGGGTTGGGGGCTGTACCCTGAAAAGCCACAGGGGCAGAGCTACCCATGGCCATGGGAGCCCACCTCTTACATCAGCATGACCTAGATGTGAGACATGGAGTCAAAGGAGACCATTTTGGAACTTTAAGTTTTAATGGCTGCCCTATTGGATTTCAGACTTGCATGGGGCCTATAGCCCCTTTGTTTTGGCCAGTTTCTTCCATTTGGAACAGAAACATTTACCCAGTGCCTGTGCCCCCATTGCATCTGAGAAGTAGCTAACTTGCTTTTGATTTTACAGGCTAATAGGCAGAAGGGGCTTGCCTTGTCTCAAGGAGACTTTGGATTTTGACTTTTGTGTTAATGCTGGAATGGGTTAAGACTTTGGGGGACTGTTGGGAAGGCATGATTGTGTTTTGAAATGTGAGGACATGAGATTTGGGAGGGGCCAGGGGTGGAATGATATGGTTTGGCTGTGTCCCCACCCAAACCTCATCTTGAGTTGTAGTTCCCATAATCCCCAGGTGTCATGGGAGAGACCCAGTGGGAGGTAATTGAATCATGGTGGTGGTTACCTCCATTCTCTTCTTGTGACAATGAGTGAGTTCTCACAAGATCTGATCGTTTTAGAAGGGGCTTTCCCCTCTTGTGCTTAGCACTTCTCCTTCCTGCTGCCATGTGAAGAAAGATGTATTTCCTTTCCCTTCTGCCATGATTGTAAGTTTCCTGAGGCCTCCCCAGCCAGGCTGAACTGTGAATCAGTTAAACCTTTTTCCCTTATAAATTACCCAGTCTCAGGTATGTCTTTATTAGCAGCATGAGAATGGACTAATACAGCAAGGTAGGGGCTGAGGGAAGCAGTCTTAGCCTCCCTGGCAGCTGTAACATCCCAGCTTTGCAAGGGTCATGAGGACAGGACAGCAAATGAGTCAGAAGCCATTCTGAATCCCTTCCCATCAGAATAGACATTCCCCCAAACTCAGATGAGCCATGACAGAGATAAAAGGGCAGCTCACAAGCTTCAGAAACTTCCACATCTCTAGGTCTAGGTCCAGGTTCAGGTAAGGCCAAAGCACTCTCCCATGCCTCTGTCAAGGGATGGGCAGATATTAGGCTGACAGACAAAAGTCATGATCAGTAGACAGGGCAAACAAAGCCATTGTTAAGGGTGGGCACAGGACTTCACACAGGGCAACTGTGACCCTGGAGACAAGGAAGCCATGAGTCTAATTGTCAATGGACTGTCCCATCCCTAATGGGGTCATTCATCTGGAGAGTCCCATTCATAGCAAAGCTGGGGTCGGCCAGGCCAGTCCTGGCAGATGGCTGAGTCCAGGCAGGTGTCTGCAAGACTGCGCTGGAGCAGACCTTCCAGCAGGGGCGCTGTGCCCTGGGAAGGCTGAGGCTCCAATCCCATCAGGACCAGAGAGACAGGGTGCAGGCCCTGTAGCATTGCAGCCACAGTACAGGGCACATGGCTGGCTACTGCAGGGAGGCTTCCTTTTCCTGTGCCTGTGATGCTGCACTGCCAGGCCTGGCCTCCTGCTCTGGAGTCTGCTGTGATGAGATAAATGTGGAATGAGGTGTGATATGGTTTGGCTGTGTCCCCACCTAAATCTCATCTTGAATTCCCATGTTATGGGAGGTTCCCAGTGGGAGGTAATTGAGTCATGTGGGCAGGTCTTTCCCATGCTATTCTTGTGATAATGAATAAGTCTCACAAGATCTGATGGTTTTATAAGGGGGAGTTTCCCTGCTTAAGCTCTCTTTTTTTGTCTGCCACCATGTGAAACATGCCTTTCACCTACCACCATGATTGTGAGGCCTCCCCAGCCATGTGAAACTGTAAGTCCATTAAACCTCTTTCTTTTGTAAATTGCCCAGTCTTGGGTATGTCTTTATCAGCAGTGTGAAAATGGACTAATACAGTAAATTAGTAGTACAGAGAGTGGGGTGATGCTGAAAAGATACCTGAAAATGTGGAAGCAACTTTCTAACTGGGTAACAGGCAGGGGTGGAACAGTTTGGTGGGCTCAGGAGAAGACAGAAAAATGTGAGAAAGTTTGGAACTTCCTAGAGAATTGTTGAATGGCTTTGCCCAAAATGCTGACAATGATATGGACAGTAAAGTCCACACTGAGGTGGTCTCAGAGGGAAATGAGGAACTTGTTGGGAACTGGAGCACAGGTGACTTAGCAAAGTGATTGGTGGCATTTTGCCCCTGCCCTAGAGATTTGTGGAACTCTGAACTTGAGAGAGATGATTTAGGGTATCTGACAGAAGAAATTTCTAAGCAGCAAAGCATTCAAGAGGTGACTTGAGTGCTGTTAGAGACATTCAGTTTTATAAGGAAAACAGAGCATAAAGTTCAGAAAATTTGTAGCCTGACAATGTGATACAAAAGAAAAACCCATTTTCTGAAGGGAAATAATTCAAGCTGGCTGCAGAAATTTGCATAAGTAACAAGGAGCCAAATGTTAATCCCCAAAACAATGGGGAAAATGTCTCTAGGGCATGTCAGAAGTCTTCACAGCAGCCCCTCCCATCACAGGCCTGGAGGCCTAGGAGGAAAAAGTGGTTTTGGGGCCCAGAGTCCCTGTGCTGTGTGCAGTCTAGGGACTTGGTGCCCTGCATCCCAGCTGCTCCAGCCATGGCTGAAAGGGGCCAACATAGAGCTCAGCCCATGGTTTCAGAGGGTGCAAGCCCCAAGCCTTGGCAGCTTCCACATGATGTTGAGCCTGCAAGTGCACAGAAGAATTGAGGTTTGGGAACCTCTGCCTAGATTTCAGAGGTTGTATAGAAATGCCTGGATGTCGAGGCAGAAATTTGCTGCAGGGATGGGCTCTCATGGAGAACCTCTGCTAGGACAGTGCAGAAGGGAAATGTGGGATTGGAACCCCCACACAGAGTCCCTACTGGGGCACTTCCTAGTGGAGCTGTGAGAAAAGGACGACCGTCCTCCAGACTCCAGGATGGTAGATCCACTGACAGCCTGCACTCTGTGCCTGGAAAAGCTGCAGACACTCAACACCAGCCCATGAAAGCAGCCAGGAGGGAGGCTGTACCCTGCAAAGCCACACAGGGGCAGAGTTGCCCAAGGCCATGGGAACCCACCTCTTCCATCAGCGTGATCTGGATGTGAGACATGGAGTCAAAGGAGATCATTTTGGAGCTTTAAGATTTTATTGCCCCACTGGATTTTGGACTTGCATGGGGCCTGTAGTCCCTTTGTTTTGGCGAATTTCTCCAATTTGAAATGACTGTATTTACCCAATGCCTGTACCCCTGTTGTATCTAGGAACTAACTAACTTACTTATGACTTTACAGGCTCATAGGCGAAAAGACTTTCCTTGTCTCAGATAAGATGTTGGACTGTGGACTTTTGAGTTAATACTGAAATGAGTTAAGACTTTGGGGGACTGTTGGGAAGGCATGATTGGTTTTGAAATATGAGGACATGAGATTTGGGAGGGGCCAAGGGCAGAATGACATGATTTGGCTGTGTCCCCACCCAGATCTCATCTTGAATTCCCAGGTATTTGAATTGTGGGGGCAGGCCTTTCCTGTGCTGTTCTGGTAATAGTGAATAAGTATCCCAAGACCTGATGGTTTCATAAGGGGGAGTTTCCCTCCACAAGCTCTCTCTTTGCCTGCTGCCATCCATGTAAGACGTGACCTGCTCTTCCTTGCCTTCCACCATGATTGTGAGGCTTCCCCAGCCACATAGAACTGTGAGTCCATTAAACCTGTTTCTTTTGTAAATTGTCCAGCCTTGGGTATGACTTTATTATCAGTATGAAAATGGACTAATACAAGGTGAGAAGGAGGGGATGGCTGGGGTCCCTGCCTAAGCCACTCCAGGCCCACTGCTGGGGATGGCAACATTGGGCTGCTGCAGTGCAGGTGGTCTTGGTGGGGGGTGAGAGTTGCATGGGGCAAGGGCCCCACCCATCCTCCTTCCCATCTTGCCAACCCTGGCCTCATTGGTTTTGTCACCTCTGGGAACCACCTAGGAGAGACAGCAAGGTTGCCTCCAGGGGGACAGCAGCAGGAACCCCCCCCCCCCCCCGCAACAGCGCAAGCAGAGGGACATGGGGCATTCGACATGGCCAGAGCTGTTGACTGTGGCCAGGCAGGTACACCCAGCAGGAATCCGGTGTGAGCCATGCCTCTGGCTGGAAGTGAGTTTGCTGTTCACAGATGGCCCTGGCTCCTCTGTTAGCATCTAAAGCTGGCAGCAGTATGTGCTTTTCTGAGACTCACTGCTTGAACTGCGTGCAGGGAGGAGGCTGGGCACTGGCGACCCAACTGGCCTGGTGCTCTGTGATGAGGATGAGAGATTCGGAGCCATCACCCAAAGGCAGAGCTTCCAAGGCTGTTCAGTGTTGACTTGGAGCCCGAGAAGCAGGAATGCCTTATCAGTAAAAAGAGTCAAAATCTGTAAAATATTTGAAGAGATTTATTCTGAGTCAAATATGAGTGACCACAGCCTGAGACACAGCCTGAGGAGGTCCTGAGAACATGTGTCCATTTTAGGGAGTTGTAAGGCATCGGTCAATACACATCAGGTGCACATTGCTTCAGTCTGGAAAGGCAGGACAATGGGAAGTCAAGGGGCAGTGGGGGGCTTCCAATCATAGGTGGATTCAAAGATTTTCTGATTGGCAATTGGTTGAAAGAGTTGTTATTATCTAAAAACTTAGAATCCATAGGAAGGCAGTGTCTGGACTAAGATAAGAGGTTGTGGAGACCAAGGTTTTCTCATGCAGACGAAGCCTCCAAGTAGCAGGCTGCAGAGAGAAGAGATTGTAAATGCTTCCTATTAGGCTTAAGGTCTGTGCTGATGTTCTTGCTGGTCAGCTTTTCTGAGTTCCAGCGTTTGGGGGTATAATGAGGCATCTGACCCCCACTTCCTGTCACGGTGTTCTTGCTGGTCAGCTTTTCCTGGGTTCCAGCGGTTGTGTGGTATAATGAGAAATGTCTGACCCCCACTTCCTGTCACGGCCTGAAGGAATTTTTCAGGTTAACTTCGGAATGCCCGTGGCTGAGAGAAGGGGCCCATTTAGAGCCTTGTGGGGGCTTAGAATCTTATTTTTGGTTTATACCTTGAGTCACTTCATTCTCAAGCTCAGCGATTCAGAATATGTTTTGGAAACATAAATGTTAAATGGGCTGAGTGTGTGGCAAGACCTTGTTACTTCACTCATCTTAAAGGCCCTGAAACATCCAGACTTTCTCTGGGCCACTTCAGAGCAAAGCACAGTGATTTGTACAAGCCTTAGGTAGAATACAAAGTTTACATTGGATGCACAAGAATACGAACAGTAGGAGTCTACCTTGCCTTCTAAAACACCAAGACCTTTGTTCATACAGAGACAGGGACTCAGAAGCTTGCCATGCACTGAGCTTTTTCAGAACACAAAAAGGGGCTACGCTTGTCACTTCTTTGAACACATTTTTTGTCTTTATTTTAAAAATGTATGATTTTTTTGTAATGTCCTCCTTATATCACAAGAATGCCCTGTAAAAATATTAGAAAATATGAAAAATATAGAACATGAGAAATCAACACCACCACAAGCCCGAGGTGGCCACTTTGGATGCTCCACACTGTCTTTTCCTCTTCCCTTCGTACCTAGCTTTGCATTCTCAGGAGCCCTGCATCCACCAAACAGAACTTCTGGGCCTCCTCCTGGTCTTATTTCCTGTTTCCTAAATTTCCATTTTGATTTCCAATTAAACTTTTAAAACTGCAGTGCCCTCACATTAGTCCTGTCTCAGCCCACTGGTGGCTGCACAGGCGTTGACTTGGCCCTCGCAAATCTCCATCCCATGGGTGAGGGAGCTGCTGGGGAGGAGGATGTGGAGGACACAGGGACCCAGCCTGCAGACGCACAGACTCGCTGGTCACAGCGGTCCTTTCCTGGGAGTCACATCTCATCCTGTGGCTGCAGGATCTCTCCAAGGCCACACTTTTGGCCTTGTCAGTTGAAACGTGCATTTGGAGAGGGGTGGTTTTGCAGCTGTGACCATTCTGGTTCACATCGTCTGTGGCCCAAGGAAGGAAGGACCCCACATCACTTTCTTCTGGGGGTCCCCAACACAGTACAAGGCCCTGGAGAGAAATACACCCTAGGAAAGATTTGATTCATGAATGAATAAAGAGATGAGTGAATTTTGCAAAAAAAAAAAAAAAAAAAAAAAAAAAGATTTTTGTATAGCTAAGACAAACTACTTTTCACTTCAGTTTGTCTAAGGTAAGGAGAAGGGGGAAGTAACTCAATTTCTGACAAACCTGACTCCACTAACACTCACCATCCACTTTCCTGTCTCGTTCTCTCACTCGTTAGAAAACTGTTTCCTGACTGCCTGCTCTAGATCGTTCCACACTTTCAAATAGACGAGGGGTTCATGTGCACCCAACCGTCCCCTCCATGGAATGGGCTGGCTCCAGGCAGATGTGTCCCGGTGGAGTGTCCAGAGCTTACCGAACGTCCCTGCACCAAGATGTTCCTGCCCCCAGGGGCTCCCTGAGGTGGGAGCCATCGGTGCCAGGCCTCTGGCCAGGGGCTGGGGGTTGTGAGTCACTCTTGTGGTGTTGCTGAGGAAGTGGAAGAGACAGGCAGAGCAGAGGCAGAAGAATCCATGCCTCATACACAAGTGTGGTTCCAGCCATGGAGAGTTCCAGCCTTCGAGAATTCCAGGCGGCTTGGGTAGGGCACCCACCTGCTCAGCACCTTGATGGTGAGGGAACCACTTTTCTGTCCAGCAAAAGTCTCTCCAGCCAAGAAGAGGTATCCTGGTTCCTGGGAGATGACTCGGCAATGTTGGGATGATGTTGCTGGTTCTCAAACTTCCTCAAAGTCTGTAGGCATGGCGAAGGCTCAGGAGACAGTGACCACAGCGTCTGGCTATAATGCCAGTCCAGAGACTTAGAAGAACCTCTAAAATTTATTTTGTTTCTCCCTGGGTACGTTTGGAAACACACTCCCAGCAAGTCACATGCACGCATTCACAAAGAGTGCTTCTTACGGTTGCTTGGAGATGCAGTTCATCTGTTGGAATTGGGTCACCCCAGGCCATGAGAGGGGAGGCTCCACAAGGAGCCAAGGACTGGGTGCTGTCCTGGCAGCCATCAGGCCTGCCTGGAAACACCAACCTCAGGGCAAGTGCCCAGTGCCCACTGCTCTCATCAGCACCCACTTCTTACCCTTGCCCAGTGGTGAGGTCCTCGGGGGCCAGGGTAATTCTTCAGTAGGACACCCCACAGCATGGATGATCTTAGCCATTTCTAGGTGTTCAGCTCCTTAGTGTTACGTAAATCCACACTGTTGTGCAGCTAGTCCAGAGCCTTTTCACCTCCGCCCCCATTAAACACTCAGTCCCTGCTGCTTCCCCTGCCCCCATACCCACCTTCCTGCTTTCCCTCTCTGGGATGTGACTCTTCTAGGGACCTCATGAAGTGGGGTCATGCAGGACTTGGCTTTCTGTGGCTGGCTTATTCCACTGAGCATGGTGCCCTCAAACGTCGTCCATGTTGTAGCATGTGTTGGAATTTCCTTCCTTTTGAGGCTGAGTGCTGTTCCACTGTGTGTACACACACACACAACACACACATACACACAACACACACACGCATACACCACACACAACACACATAACACACAACACAACACAACACACACACAACACATACACAACACACAACACACACACAACACATACACAACACACGACACACACACAACACAAAACACACACACTCATACACCACACACAACACACATACACACATGACACAACACACCACACACATACACAACACATACACAACACACACAACACATACACAACACACACACAACACACACACATTTTGTTTATCCGTTGATCTGTTGATGGACCCTTGGGTTGCTTCCACATTTTTACCATTGTAAATAATGCTGCTGGATTCTATGAATATCTCTTCATGACTCTGCCTTCAATTCTTTTGCATATACACCCAGAAGGGGGATTGCTGAACAATATGCTAATTTTATGTTTATTTTGTGAGGAATTGCCTTAGGGTTTTCCACAGCAGCTGCACCATTTGACCTTCCTGCTCACAGGGAACAAGGGTTCCAATTCCTCTTCACCTTTGCCAACAATTTTTAACTTTTGTTGATAGTGGTCACCCGACTGCATGTGAGGTGATATCTCATTATGTTTTTGATTAGCATTTCCCTCATGTTTAGTGGTGTTGAGCTTCCTTTCATGTATTTGCTGGCCATTTGTATACCAGCTTTAGAGAAATAGAGAAATGTCTACTCAAGTCCCTCGCCCGTTTCTAAATTGGGTCATTTGGTTTTTGTTATTGAATTTTAGGAGTCCTGTAAATGTTCTGGATATTAACCCCTTGCCAGATACACGATTTCCAAATATTTTCTCCCATCCATAGGTTGCCTTTCCTCTGTCAATTGTGTCCTTTGATGTACAGAAGTTTTAAAATTTTAATGTAGTTCCATTTGTCTATTTTTGCTTTTATTGTCTGTGCTTTTGGTGTCACAGGCAGGAAATTCGTGACAAATCCAATGTTATAAAACTTTCCTTTATGTTTTCTTTTAAGACATTTACAATGTTGGGTCTTGCATTTAGGTCTTCGACCTATTTTGAGTTAATTTTTGTTCATAGTGTAAGGTAAGTGTCTAGCTTCATTCTGTTGCATATGGACAGCCAGGTTTCCCAGCATCATTTGAAGAGGTCATCCTTTCCTCATGGAGTGGTCTTGATGCGTGAGTTAAAGTCATTTAGCCACAGATGTGCATTTCTGAGCCCTCTATTCTAGTCTGTTGCTCTATATATCTGTCTTTTTTTTCTGCCAGTACCACACCATTTGATTACTATATCTTTGTAGTAAGTTTTGAAATCAGAAAATGTGAGTCATCTTTCTTTTTTATTTTCAAGATTGTTTTGGCTAATCAGGGTCCCTTGAGACTTTATGTATGAATTTTAGGATTAATTTTTTTCATTTGCACAAAATGCCATTGGGATTTTGGTAGGGATTTTATAGAATTCCTAGAGACTGCTTTGCATGTTGTGAATATCTTAACAATACTAAGTGAACACAGGATGCCTTTCCATTTATTTGTGCCTTCTTCAATTTCGTTTAGAAATGTCCTGTAGTTTTCAATGTACAAGTCTTTCACCTCCTTGGTTAAGTTCGCTTTTAGGTATTTTATTCCTTTTCGATGTTCTTGAACCTGGATCCTTTTCCTGGTTTCCTTTTTGGATTATGCATTGTTCGTGTATAGAAACACAACTGATGTTTGTTGATTTTGTATCTTGAAACTTTGCCAAATTCATTTATGAGTTCCAACAATTTTCTTTGTGGGACAAGCATTCAGTAATTTCTTAGGCAAATATAAGACCTGCAGTGAGTGGTCCTGCTGGAAAGAATGGAAAACACTTACTGAGCATTTACTGTGTGCTGAGCTCCTTTACAGCATCTCTAGCCTCAAGTCAGGTCTAACAGCATTCCTTCTTTTTAGGTAGGCACTATCTCTTTGAGGGCCCCCATACCCTACAAAAGAGATGGCTTTCTCCATTTACAAAGGCGAACGCTGAGGTTCACTGTTAAGGCCTGGGAACAGCGGAGCAGGGAGGCACCGGGTGCTGGGTGTGGGTCTGGACTCTGTGCCTGCAGAGTTTGTGTTCTCTGCATTAGAGTCCTCGGCATAAACGAAGCCGCACACACACTCACTCGTGCATCTCTTTTGTTGTTGTTGTTGTTTTGTCTTTGTTCTTCCTTCTGAGTTATACAGAACCCTCCAACACATCTTTAAGCACCATCTGGAGCTTCAATTCAAACACATTTTTAAAAAAGATCTTTCAAATTATTTTGTCTGTAACTCCCAAAGGGCACCCCAATGGATCGATTGATGTTTCATCTGTTTTTAATACTGTAACATAAATAAAAGTTAATGCACTTTAGCACGCCACACAAGCCTGATTCAAAGAAACATCATTTACAGGCCTTGTTAGAGGCGTCTGCAGGGAGCCAGCAGGGAGCTAAGCCCACAGAATTCTGTTTGGGCCTGTGGCTCAGGGTCCTGACGGGGCCACAGGACGGCAGTGCTGTCAGGCTCCTGAGATGTTCTCTGAAGAGCTGGTCCCCAGGAGAGGCTGTGACCACGGGGCTCGGAAGGCCACCAGGGCAGGTGCACCCACATGGATGCTCAGTTGGAAAGGCTGGTGGAGGAGTGGCTCCCTCCTTCAAAACACGTTTGTGGTTGAGCTTCACCGCGCAGGCTGGTGCCCTTGTCCACAAAGGCCCCTGCTCCTGGATCACCCCACAGGGCCCAGAGCCTTCAGCACCTGGGCTGAGCCACCACTCAGGGTCACACCCATGGCTGGAGCTTCTGGCCACAGACACTGGGTGATGCGGCCTTCTAGTCTCCCACCCAGCAGTGAAGGGCAGGGGCTTGGAGGGGCCTGCAGCTCCATCCCCAGCTGCTTGGCATGCATTGTCCTATCGGCAAACCCACCGAGCTTAAAGCAGCTGCCGCCCCCACTCTCAGCACCACTTTGCTTTGTCCCGGCTGGCCCCGGGGGACTGTTCCCCTTCATGTTCAGAGTTAGGGCACGGTCAGGCCGTGGAGACAGCTCAGAGGCTAATGCCAAGGGGCCACACCAGGACAGCTTAGCTCGAGCCGGCACAGAGGGGCAAGCAGGGATACAGACAGACACCTTATCCGCATGGGAACGTACTGTCACTCCCAGAACTGTCCATTTGCTGACAAACCCATGTTTTCTCCATTTTAAACAGCACTGTCAGGATCAGGGGGATTTCACCAGGATGTGGCCCAGCCCAGGGCTGCAACCTGGTCAGGCTGGGCTGTGGGACTCACAGGAAAGAGAGAAAACCATGGGGCACAAGGCCAGGGTGAGGGAGTGGCTGTGGGACTCGGGTCCTCGGCCTCCAGGGGTCGTTTCTGAGACAGTCGGGTCCTTGGGTGGTGAAGCTTCAGACGCCTGCTCCATTTTACTTAAGAAGACCTTGATGGGGGCACCGGGCGCGGTGGCTCACGCCTGTACTTGCAGCACTTTGGGAGGCCAAGGTGGGCAGGTCATGAGGACAGGCGTTCAAGACCGGCCTGATCAACATGGTGAAACCCCATCTCTACTAAAAATACAAAAATTAGCTGGGCTTGGTGGTGTGTGTCTGTGGTCTCAGCTATTTGGGAGGCTGAGGCAGGAGAATCGCTTGAACCCAGGAGGCAGAGGTTGCAGTGAGCCGAGATCACACCATTGCACTCCAGCCTGGGCAACAGGGCGAGACTCTGTCTCAAAAACAAACAAACAAACAAACAAAAAACCTTGAGGGAAGGTGTGGAGCTATTGGCCCAGGATTGCACAATCGACCTGGGCCATGCTGGACCGGCTCAGCATTCTCAGGCACAGAAGCTCCGGCCGGTCCCCTGGTCCAAGGCTTCAGAACCTAGGAGCAACCCTGACCTCTGACCTCAGGCATGTGACAGGTTGTCTAGGACTGCGCCCTGGCAACGGGGCTGCAGACAAGACTGGCAGGGATGGCCTAGAGGCAGGGCGGCCTCAGACCAGCCCCACTCTCTGCAGCTCAGAAGGAGCAGAGGCCTCTCCCACACCACCCGGCACACCCGGAACCCCTGGGGCAGAGGGCCCACCTGCTTGGCCCATGGCCCGCCTGGCCGGGTGCTGGAGGGAGCCGCTGTCCTTCACCTTGGCCTCTGCATCTCTTCCACAGGGAGAGGCCATCAGGATAGCAAATCACCAGAGGGAAAGTAGGTCATTTCTGCTTCCTCACCCTGGCTGGGGCCTGGCAGAGAAAACACCCTGAGCGGCCTCTGTAGAGGGGGGCCTGTCCCGCGGCTCTGCCGGCCATGCCTGTGGGGCTGCCCCCGAGATCTGGGACAGGCACCTCAGTCTGGGACAGGAAGCCACCCGCCCGCTGCAGGCACCGCAGAAGGCTTTCCTCGTACTTCCTGTCCTGGACGGGCTGCGGGGAGGAGGCTAAGGGTGTACGTCTCACTGGGAAGCTCAACTCTATGCCCTTTGTATCTGAGGATGTCTTTACTTAGGGTGATAAATTATGCATTCAGCATTCTGCGTGAATTCACAGAGCTCATTCCCCCATCCTTCCTGCATTTCCCAGATCCCTGGTGACTTGGGCCTGATCAGTGTTCTGAGAGGCGTGTGGGGCACAGAGGAAGGGTGGGGTGGTACCTCAGAAACCTGCAGAAACTGGAACACTGGATTAGCCTGGGTTCTCCAGAGAAACAGAACGAAGTGGACATATACATAGACAATAAGGAGCTGGTTCACTGAGTCATGGAGGCAAAGTCCAAGATATGCCAGTGGCAACCCAGAGAGCTGCCGGCGTCAGTTCTCATCCCAGTTCTGTCTCTCAACCCTTTTGTCGTATTCAGGTCATCAACTGTTCAGACGAGGCCCACCACACCTTCCTCACGCTCAGGTTCAAACATCAGTCTCCCCCAGCAACACCCTCACAGACACACCAAGGCCCACACCTTTCTCATGCTCAGGTTCAAATGTCAGTCTCCCGCAACAACACCCTCACAGACACACTGGAATAATGCTTGACCAAGTATCTGGGCACCTCTTGGCCCGGTCAAGTTGACACAAAAATTTCACCCCCCTAAACACCACAGCAAGGAGTATGGGCTTTCCCTGGATCCTTCTTTCCTCACACTTGGAGAATCAGCTCATTGAGCTCCATAGAAAACTCTATTGGGACTTTGATTTGAATTGGGCTGAGTCTATAGATTCAAACTGGCTAAAATTGTCATTTCCTATCTATGAACATGATATATCTCTCCATTAATTTACACCATATAGGTGAGTATCTTTTACTCCTTGAAATAGGAAAGCTTATCTTAAAGAAAGCTAAATATAGAATGTTGGTAATTTGACCATATTTAAATTATAAACTTTTCTTCATCAAAAAACATCTTAAAAATTTCAGACTGGGAGATTTTGGAATACACGCAACTAAAAATGATAGATACCAAAGATCTTTTTTACAGACCTCTTCTGCAACGGAGTCCTTTCTTCTTGCTGCTGCAACAAATTTCCATGAATTTAGTGGCTTTAAAGAACACAAATTTATTTCCTTCCAGTTCTCAAGGTCAGAAATCCCGCCCAAGTCTTTGTGAGCGAAAATCCAGAAGTGGGCAGGGCTGGTTCCTTCTGGAGGCTCCTGGGAGAAACCCTCTCTGTGCTCTACCCCAGCCTCTGTCTGGTCTGTGCCTGGCCTTCTGGCCAGCCCGACCCTCCACCTCCCTCTTTTCCTTTTTATGGATGCCCGTGAGGACATCAGGCCCCCTGAATCATGTGGCAACACCTCCCTGCTCAGTGTCCTCGATTTAATGGCATTTGCACGGCCCCTCTTGCCACACAGGTGACACATTTCAGGTTCTGAGAATGGGCGTGGGCACCTTGTGGGCCGCTGTCCTGCAGACCTCACACCCACGAGGACCCTGAACAGCCCTGCAGGGTGATTGCAGAGGACACAGAAGGTGTTTCACAAATGAACTGGGCACCCACATGCGCTGCTCAGCCTGAGGCCCCATCCGACACCCATGGGACCTGCAGGAACAGAAAGTCTGGGTGTCCTGGTGTCAGGAGGGATGTGGGGCCATTTGCCTCCAAACCTTGAGGTCCGCGGTAGACTGGGCAGCCGCACTGGAAAGGACTTGGCACTCCTGCCTGGAGGGGGGCCAACCCTCACCCCTAACCCTGCGACTGCACCCGAAATCCCAGGGAAAGCGGGCAGGGCTACGTGGGCTGTGGAGGAGGCTCTGAGGCGGCTCTGAGTGGAGAGGGCCGCGCAGACTCAGGCACGATCCCCAGGCAGGGCCAATGCCTGGGTGGACCAGGAGTCATAGATGGGTGGACTTCAGGGGCTCAGCCTCCGTCCAGAGTAGCAAGTCCCAGGAGATTGCAGGCAACTGCCATCTCACACAATGGCAAATGGCTATAAAGAGAGTTAAATAGAATGTGAGAGCTAAAACCATATAAAAGGGAAAGTGAGGAAATAAAAGAGGCCAACATCTTGGCGGCGCTGCAGCTCCTGAGGTCGCCCGGTGCTTCCCGTGCCCTCGGAGCGCCTCCCACTGTGTGGGCTGAGATCGTCAGAGGTGCAGTTGTATGATGAAGAAAACACTCAGTGAGAATGCCGCTGTTACCCAGTGGCACTCTCAGTCGATGTGAGCAGAAAGCACACTGGTCCACAGACCTCTCTGGCGTTAACAAGAGGTCACTACACTCGGCTCCACTTCAAGTCACTGCCACAATCCACATAAACGGGAAGCTCCAAGGGGTAACCAGCGTGCAAGACGGGAGCCCATCACGTGAAGGGGCCTCATCCTTTATTTCCTGTAAAGCACACTCAGAAACCGACAATGCAAATCATCTTCCTGACAGGCCACACATGACATACAGACACGTGTTTATATTTTAAGGTAAGAAATGATCATTTTTACTTTATTCTAATAAGAGCTTCAGTTTTCCTTTAAATCATGCAGATAGCAAACTATTCAAAGCAGAGGGTGATAGGGGATTTCCGCTCCATCCAATCGTCCGTTTACTTCGATCTGGTTGACTGTGGGGTCTCATACTTGTGTGTGTTGTGTGTGTATGTGTGTGCATGTGAGTTTTATTGTGTGTACCTGTGTGTATGCATGTGTGTTGTGTATGCCCGTGTGTAATGTATATGCATATGCGTGTGTGCTCATGAGTGTTGTGTGTTGTGTACGTGTGTACATATGAGTGTGTTGTGTGTGCCTGTGTGTAATGTATATGCATATGTGTGTTTGCATTCTTGTGTGTGTTGTATGTGTGTAATGTATATGCACGTATGTGCTTGTGTGTGTCATGTGTGTGTGTATGTGTGTGTATGAGTTTTATTGTGTGTGCCTGTGTGTACTGTATAGGCATATGTGTGTATGTGAGGCTTGTGAGTGTGTATTATTGGAACACATGCATGTGTGTGAACATACAGGGGTGCATTTTGTGGACCGGGGACCACTGCGTGCAGAGCATTTCTGGGTGCTGAGGCATAGCACCAGAGGTCAGGGCCTGAGACCAGACACCCACAGAGGGGCCGACGGGCTGGCTGGCCTGAGCAGGTGCCAGGGGCCTGGTTTGGGGCTGGCCTGTTGGAGGTTAGAACCCAGCAGTAGCAGCTGAGGAAAGGGCGGGGAGACATCGGCTATTTGTGGCACTTCGCGTGGGGAGACAGAGTGCAGCCTGCTGGCCCTCGACACCATGAGAAAGGAACCACTCCGCACCTGCAGGTCCTGTGGAGGCTGCAGAGGTCCACGGGGCAGGTCCTTCTCTCAATTCATGTGTAATTTAAATGTGCCGCAGACACACACAAGGGTGGCCACAGGTCTGTGCGGATCAGAGAGGATGGGCTGCAGCACCAGCTGAGGACACGGCCAGGCCAGGAGGGCCGCGCACAGCCTGCCAGATCCAGGAACCTCTGGGTTAGCATCTCCAGACCAGCCTGGTGCTGGCTCCTTTGCTGACATGCACGTCCCAGCCCCACAGGGCTCATCCCGCCCAGCCAGGAGGTGGCCCGATGTGAACCCAAGAGTGTGATGGTGCCCGGCTGAGGGGGCCGTGGGAGGGGGAGGCCACTGGGTTGTGGGGAGGCTGAGCCTGGGGGAGCAGGACGGAGGCTGGCACCGGGTCGATCTTCAGGTGAGGAAGCCCTGGTCACAGGTCCAGTGCAAATCGGGGACCAGGGAGGCTGAGGCCATGAAGGAGGTGCCCGGTGTGCACATGGGAATGAATGAGGGAAGCTGTGCCAGGCATCGGTGCCAGTCAAACACTTGTTTTTCAGTGTAAATGTTCACAGAATTATGACGATGTGGTCTTGGAAGAGCAGGTCCCCCCGGACCCACCCTGTCGCTGGACATCACGGCCACTGTCCCCTCGGACCCACCCTGTCGCTGGACATGGCGGCCACTGTCCCTCCGGACCCATCCTGTCGCTGGACATGGCAGCCGCTGTCCCCTCGGACCCACCCTGTCGCTGGACATGGCGGCCACTGTCCCTCCGGACCCACCCTGTCGCTGGACATGGCAGCCGCTGTCCCCTCGGACCCACCCTGTCGCTGGACATGGCGGCCGCTGTCCCCCCGGACCCACCCTGTCGCTGGACATGGCGGCCGCTGTCCCCTCAGACCCACCCTGTCGCTGGACATGGCGGCCGCTGTCCCCTCGGACCCACCCTGTCGCTGGACATGGCGGCCACTGTCCCTCCGGACCCATCCTGTCGCTGGACATGGCAGCCGCTGTCCCCTCGGACCCACCCTGTCGCTGGACATGGCGGCCGCTGTCCCCCCGGACCCACCCTGTCGCTGGACATGGCGGCCGCTGTCCCCTCAGACCCACCCTGTCGCTGGACATGGCGGCCGCTGTCCCCTCGGACCCACCCTGTCGCTGGACATGGCGGCCGCTGTCCCCCCGGACCCATCCTGTCGCTGGACATGGCGGCCGCTGTCCCCTCGGACCCACCCTGTCGCTGGACATGGCGGCCGCTGTCCCCTCGGACCCACCCTGTCGCTGGACATGGCGGCCACTGTCCCCTCGGACCCACCCTGTCGCTGGACATGGCGGCCGCTGTCCCCTCGGACCCATCCTGTCGCTGGACATGGCGGCCACTGTCCCCTCGGACCCACCCTGTCGCTGGACATGGCGGCCGCTGTCCCCTCGGACCCACCCTGTCGCTGGACATGGCGGCCGCTGTCCCCCCGGACCCATCCTGTCGCTGGACATGGCGGCCGCTGTCCCCTCGGACCCACCCTGTCGCTGGACATGGCGGCCGCTGTCCCCTCGGACCCATCCTGTCGCTGGACATGGCGGCCGCTGTCCCCTCGGACCCACCCTGTCGCTGGACATGGCGGCCGCTGTCCCCCCGGACCCATCCTGTCGCTGGACATGGCGGCCGCTGTCCCCTCGGACCCACCCTGTCGCTGGACACCCCGTCTCTGAACACCCTGTCGCTGGACACTGGCCATTGTCCCAGAGCTCGCTGTGCTCAAGCTGCTCCCCAGGGGCTTCTCCAAGCCTTCGTCCCGCGGGTCCCTGAGCCTTCCTTCCCTCCGAGGCCCTGGGTGACCGGCTCTTCTCTCTGGCCAGCCCTTGTTGACGTCTGTCTCGTGACCTCACCTCGCAGAAGTGGCTCTCATGCCTGCTCCCCAGGGCACCCCCTGTGCAGAGCCCTGGCTCTGCGTCTCCCCAGCCGGGAACCTCGCCCTGGTGGTTCAGGGGCCCCCCAGACCCTCGGCACCACTCGTCCTCCCCCGACTGCCCATCCCCCAGGTGTGGGCCTCGGCAGGTGTGGGCCTCGGCAGGTGTGGGCCTCGGCAGGTGTGGGCCTCGGTGATAATGGGTGGGCCTGGGCAGGTGTGGGCCTCGGCAGGTGTGGGTCTCAGCAGGTGTGGGCCTCAGTGATAGTGGGTGGGCGGCCCTGGCTAGGGGGCGTGGCTCAGAGATGGCGGGGTCGCGGCCGGGGTGCCCGGGCCCGTGCTGCAATCCCTGCTCTCATCTGAGGAGCCTGTCCTGGAGAGGAGGAAGCGTGGGAATGCCCAGTGCTGCCTGGGGCAGGCGGCCACGGCTCTCCCCGGGGCTCTCGGCCTCGACTGAGCAGGCGGGTAAGACGGTCCATGAAAGCATGGCCCTGGGCCCTCGTGGACAGCCACTCCCAGTCCTCGCAGCCCCCGCATCTTTGTCAGACGTGCCCTGTGATGTCCTGTGCATGTTTCCTTGTGGCCGGCGCCTTTGGGTACATGTCGTGGGGAGCGGGTTCCGTCTTCATCTCTCGCCGGCTGCGGTCACAGCCTCTGCTGGAAAACCTCTCTGGACTCTGGCAGGTGCAGGCCGAGAGGGTGGCAGGAGGGACGGGGCCTCGGGATGGACAGCGGCCCTGGCTTCCTGCAGCTGAAGGAACCCCCAGAGAGCAGCAAGGGGTGGCTGGAGCAGAGGGCGGCGGCCCCAGGCCTCACCACAGCTGGGTGTCCTTGCATATAGGCATACACGGTGCAGGGGCTGTGGCAGCCTCAGGATCTGGACTCGCCGCCCGTGGATGCCACCACTGCCAGGCTGAGAGGGAGCTTAAACATTCACTCTCTTTTTCCAGAGTGTTCAGATCTGAAGTTTGAAATTCTTTCCTGCAGGTGTGGCCCTGACAGGGGCAGGTGGCGTCAGTCTGTTCTGCCTGAGACAGAGGTGGCCATTCCCGCGTGGGTCCCCGCCGCACACCTGTAGTGTCTGCCTCTTGAGGGGCACGTGGAGGACCCCGTCCTGTCAGAAAAGCTCTATAATGATGACCACCTGGCTCGCCCCTCTTCAGAATCTATTGTGGACTTTTGTCTTTGGTTTCCACCAAATGACTGTGATGGTGCTTCTGGCCACTGCATTATAGGTCATGCATGTCCTGCGGTGTCCCAGCACAAGTGGTTTTGTGCTGTCCCATAGGCCACGCTGTTTGAGGCTGAGCTGAGAGCTTAGAGGCCCCGCACTGCCCTGCCCTGTCTTCTGCTCATACCCTGACCCCAGCCTCCATCAACAACACCGAAGCTTCTACATGGAAAACCCAGCCAGGGTCTGAGTGCTTCTCCCCACACATCACTGCCATCCGCCCGGGGTCTCTCGCCGAGCTACTGCAAGCCCCACTGCCCTGTGCACTGGCCAGCACCACTTCCAGCACAGTCGGATTTGTGGGTCTGCAGCACCAAGCTCTCCATGGCATCTCCCCTCACTCAGAGTGGAAGCATGCAGGAAAACGTGCACGTGGGAAGGAAGACGCCTGCTTGGTGGTGGTAGCCGTGGTTTGAGACTTCCACATGAGAATCAGGGTCAGGGCTGCTCAGGAGCAGCCGGGCACGGGTCTGGGCTCGGGGAGAGGCGCGGGCTGTGGTCTCTCTGATGCGTGGCTGGTTTGCACGGCGGAGGCTGCATGGGGACTCCAGGGTGAGGAAGGACGGAAAGGCCGCCGTCTGTGTCACATCCATTCGCTGCCTTTGTGTCCTGGAGGGTGCGTGGAGCCGTTTCTGAGCTGCTGTTCAGTCCCTTGTGTATCAGGGATTTGCTGATCCCCACTCAGGCCAGGACCGTGTCAGGCGCCCATGGCCACAGCCTGAGCAGGATGGACCTGCCGGCACCGCTGGGACGGAGCCCCTGCCCCAGGCTGAGAAGCAAGTGGAAGGTTCCGGCAGAGCAGGCGCCAAGCCCTCACCCTGGCCTCTCCACAGTCCCGCACGGGCAGAGCCAGCGAGCCGGGCAGAGCCAACGAGCCAGGCACGAGCCTGGTTCTCTGAAAAAGCGCAAAGTGTACAGCCTCTTTAAATCTGAAATAACATAGACATAAGGGTGCTTATCTCTACTTGATTCAAATGGGGTAAGAGTCAGGAAATGTCCTCTCAGAAACGTGCAGCTCCTATGCCTGCCACTTAGCAGTGGCCCCGGCGCTGAGGGCCTTGAATCCCTGTCCAGCTGGGGAGGCGCCGCCCTGAGCTGCATGTGAGGAAGGATTGGCAGCTGTCCCAGGCCCTGCGACTAGGGGCGGCAGGTCCTAAGTCCTGGTCCGTGTACCAAACCTGACTCGTCTGGGCCACACGCCTCTCTAAGGAGGAGGCCTCCTGGAGAGGTGGCCAGGGTCTCCCACCGCCCAGAGGCCTACAGCACACAGGACACGTGGGAGCGGAGAGGCGGCCAGCGTCTCCCACCGCCCAGGGGCCTACAGCACACAGGACACGTGGGAGCAGAGAGGCGGCTCAGTGACTCCATTCGGGGCTTAGGGGAGTGAGGCCGTGGCCGCCTGCCAGGCCGAGCCACCTTCTCCCTCAGCCTGAGAGATCCCTGCAGCAGACACTGCTCCCAGTCTCAGGGGACCCAGCAGACAGCATCCGGAAGCCAGCCAGAAAGGCAGGGAAAACAGGTCCCATTTTAGGTGAGGCGGCTGAGGCTCAGAGAGGGTGCAGGAACTGCCTGAAGCCAACCAGCAACAGCAGCCATTCCCCGGGGCTGGGACCCCACCTGCCCTGACCACTGTCTGCCTGTGGCCTGCAGGAGGGAGGGGCTTCCCTCGTTCACATGGGTGGGGGCAGTGGCCGCCCCACACTCTTTCTAGGGGCTGTAAAGGCATTAAGCCTTTTCGAGTGGGCCACGCCGGCCACTCGAATGCACTTTATGTTCCAACGAGGTGACCACGTCCACAACCCAACCAAATGACAGAGGCAAACCTTCGCGGAGTGTCTGCTAAAATCAGGCAGACGGGGCCACTCGGCCGCTGCCCAAGGAACCCAGGGGCCCTCGTCACCCTGGAGCTGCTCAGATCTGGACGAGCAGGGTACCGCGGGGCACTTCCTGAAACCTGGGGACAGCTCTTCCTGAGAATGAAAATGAAAATATCACACAAGGGCCTGAAGCCTCAAACTTCAGCCCAGCATATTCAAATCAAAGA
Organism: Homo sapiens; assembly: GCF_000001405.40. NCBI lineage: Eukaryota > Metazoa > Chordata > Mammalia > Primates > Hominidae > Homo > Homo sapiens. Next base: position 169,984,071 of record NC_000006.12, on the reverse strand, counting down.
GCTGACCAGGTGGGCTAAAAGCAGCTCATCTTGGGAGATGGGTCTGAACTCACCGCCATGTTCCTCCCAGACAAGGGACAAAAGGAGGCAGAAGGAGCTCAGGTCAACACAGAGGGGGTCCTGAAAGACGAAGCCCTCTGGCTGGCACGGGCCTCCTGCCTTGGCGATCTGGAAAGCTGGGGGAGCCTTCTAAGACTCAGCAAGTGGGTAAACTGAGGCCTGGACTCTCAGACCAGGAGAGTCTCCCCTCGCGGTCTCCCTGGAGTGACCTCATGGTGTCCCCTTGTGATCTCCTCTACAGTGATCTCACGGTCTCCCCTGGAGTGACCTTGCGGCCCTTCCTCAGGTGCCTTGTGGTTTTTCCTTGTGGTCTTCCATCATTGCACGTGTGCTGCATGACGGGCCATTGATGTACCTACATTCAGCTTCCACCAGGACTGTCTGCAAGTTTGCATCTACGGCGTCTGCCTCTAACGCTGGGTCAGCATTGTCCTGCTTGCTGCGGTCCCGTCAGCTCAGGCACTGTCACCAGAGAGTGGCCTCCATGAGACTGAGTTTGGAACATCCCAGGAGTTCCCCCACCCCGTCCTATTAACTGGGCCTTCAGGAGAGATTTTCAAAGACTTTGAATGCCAGGATTCTTACTGCTAGGGGCCAGTCAGCTGGACTCCGCTCCCCCTGAAGCCTCCACAGCAAACCAGAGTTCCCGGCGTCCTTCCTGGAGGAGACCCATGGGGGCGATGGCGCCACGTGCCGACCCCGGCTGACCTGACCTGACCTGACTCTGTCCTGCGTAGCATGGGCCACGCCGGCCACTCAAATGCACTTTATGTTCCAACGAGGTGATCACGTCCACAACCCAACCAAAGCCAAAGCCATTTCTTGCTGAGTTCCCACCTTGGGGCCACAGAGCACAGCTGTGGAGGCCACCCCTGCCTTGCTGAGGGGATCCGAGCCTTCCAGGAGGGGCTGGGCAGGGCCACAGGCTGCAGGGATCCCGAGGCTTTGGGGGGATGCAGGTGCAGCCGCTCACCTGGGCCAGTAGCTGCGTCCCCCAGTTCTGCCAGTGTGACTGGGGACTTGAAGTACATTTGAATCAAGTAGAGATAAGCACCCTTATGTCTATGTTATTTCAGATTTAAAGAGGCTGTACACTTTGCGCTTTTTCAGAGAACCAGGCTCGTGCCTGGCTCGCTGGCTCTGCCCGTGCGGGACTGTGGAGAGGCCAGGGTGGGGGCTTGGCACCCGCTCTGCCGGAGCCTTCCACTTGCTTCTCAGCCTGGGGCAGGGGCTCTGTCCCAGCGGTGCCGGCAGGTCCATCCTGCTCAGGCTGTGGCCATGGGCGCCTGACACGGTCCTGGCCTGAGTGGGGATCAGCAAATCCCTGATACACAAGGGACTGAACAGCAGCTCAGAAACGGCTCCACGCCAATGTGTATGTGATCTGTTATGTGATGGGGCTGTCTGTATCTTGGGCTCCCTGTGTATGTGGGAAGCTTGTCTGTGCCACTGCCCCTGGGGCACTCGCTGCCTCTAGAGTTCTGTGTGCCCTCATGTGCTACGCTGAGCACTATCTACCCTGAGTGAATTTGGAGTGGCAAAGGCTTTAAAGCACAGCTGGGACTATATCGGAGCAGGGCCACTCTCAGATCCATCTGAGAAAGGCGATTGCCAACCCTTGGTCGTCACCATCACACACAGCATGTTATAGACACACAGAAAACCCTGTGTGTGCCCGGGATGGAGGGGAGAACGTCCCAGTGTTTCTCTCTCTCTCTGTCTCTGTCTCTCCCCCCTCCCTCCTTTCCTTCCCGTGTCCTTCCTTGTTTCTCACGGGAACCTCACCAGGAGCCTCCATCTGCCCTGCCCATCACTAGTGGGGGCTCTGCCTTAGGCCTGAGCATGGACCCCACGGGGGTGGGAGGCACTGTGGCCCCTGCAGACACCTCTGTGTGTGGGGAGTCAATAGCTGCACCCCCTTATACACGAGGTTATTCCTATGTGGGAGTGTGGCCCCAACGTGGCCAAATTTTTCCAAGAGAAGCAAGAAATCCAGGTTTGATCTGAAATGAACCCATGTTTCAGTCCTGGCCAGTGATTCAAATCAGAACATCTATAGCTCAGGCTAAAGCACCCTGTGAGTGATCCAGATTCCCAGGTGATGTGACTGAGCCAGATTCCCAGGTGATGTGACTGAGCCAGGTTCCCAGGTGATGTGACTGAGCCAGGTTCCCAGGTGATGTGACTTAGCTGGGTTCCCAGGTGATGTGACAGAGCGGGGTTCCCAGGTGATGTGACTGAGCCGGGTTCCCAGGTGATGTGACTGAGCCGGATTCCCAGGTGAGCATCTCCTCTAAGCCAGCAGGCTCTCCGTGAGGAAACTCACACCTTCGCCTTGTTGGACAAGAGGATGGAACAGGCTTGCACGTCCACCTTCAAGGGCAATATTACAGAAGTTGACCTGTTGTGAAGCAGAGCATGAGAAACAGGCTGGAGACCAGCAGGGCTGTGCCCAGAAGGACTGCAAGGCAAAGCAGGCAGTGAGGACACTGAGACCCTCCAGCCTCGGTGAGCAGTGAGGACCCTGAGCCCCCTCCAGGTTCAGTGAGCTTTGAGGACCCTGAGCCCCCTCCAGCCTCAGTGAGCAGTGAGGATCCTGAGCCCCCTCCAGGTTCAGTGAGCAGTGAGGACCCTGAGCCCCCTCCAGGTTCAGTGACATGGGAGCTGCGGGAAGCCCCAGCGGCTGCTGGATGAGGGTCCTGTGGGGACCGTCCTGCTGCCCACCCCAGAGGGGCGAGTGCGTTTGTGGTAGCTGCTTGCTTTGGGTGTGTGGGGGCTGCCACACTTCTGCTTCCCAATCTCCTCAAACGTCAGACGTCTTGTGTGGCTCCCACCACTCAGAACAAGGCGGGAAGAGCGTTTGGGAAACCCAGTCCCAAAGGAGCAAAGCTGATGCAGCACAAACACCAGAAATGGAAGCCACAGGGTGCCCAGCTCGCACAATATGAAGCTGTCAGTGGGCAAGAGGCTTTTAGAGTTGATTTCTGGGAACTGAATTGTTCAGTTAGAGCAAATGCATTTCCATGTGAATCAATGTGGCTGTGTTTCCTTCTGAAAGATGTTACCAGCCTCTGTTCCACCAACAGAGCGCCAGCACCCCATCCACCCTGCTCCTTTCCGCCAGTCTCATGGGTGAGATGTATTCTGCTGCCTTTCTAACTGGGCGTTTCCCAGGACAAGCGAGGCTGGCCATTTGAGTTGTTGTATTCATGTTTCTCCGGAGTCCTGGGTCTCCCCGTCTTTCCATTTTGTGGGTTTCCGTGCCGTGTGGGCGGCTATCTTGGGTCGTACGCTGTGAATATCTTCTTCCAGGCTCCCCTTCCCTTTTCCTTATGGCAGATGTTGTCATAGAAAAGTTTTGTTATTTGGGGGCTTCAGAGTTTCTTGCATTGCTTAGGAAATTTTTCTACCTCCCAGTTACAAAAATATTCTCCTATTTTCTTCTATTGCATTTTAGAACTTTTAAATAGGAAGCATAGTATAGTGAACCTATCTGGTTCCAGCAAGCACCAATTCAGGCGAGGGATTCAGAATGAATGTAGAATGTCACACACTGTGACTAAAGACACAGCCTTTCTGAGGACACCCAGAAAGCAAGGGTCAGTGAAGAGAAAGTCCCCAGCTATCCCATTATGCTAGGCAAGTCCCACACCTCACATTATTTCTTCCATAAATAACCCCCTACATGTCTAAAAAGATAAGCTGTGTTTAGCAAACCATAACCACAGTCCCACTGTCGTGTTTAAAAAGCTATCAATCATTCCATCAGATCAATCAAACTGTCAACTTCACAGTCAGCCTTCACAGGCCCTAGTTATCCACGAGCACCCACCGCTAACTGCAGCGTGTTGGAATCAGTGTGCGTGCGTCTGGACCCTGCGGTGGGATGCTGGGGTTCTCCCGTCTCCCCCTTTCCATGTGATTTACCTGCAACGACATGGCCGTCTGTCCTGCAGAGCCTGCCACCTCCGGGACCGTGCTGGCTGTGTCTGGGCATCATTCAGCTCAGCACTCTGCGGCCTGTGCTTCCTGTAGCTGGTAGCTGGCTCTGGACGCTGTGTCAGATCCAAGTTTGATCATTCACCCTGGCTTGAGGGTCTACCTTTATGTGGGGTATAATCTGCCATTGGTGACATTGCTTTGATTCATTGATCAGGAGGTGCAAAAGGGCAGTATTCTCATGCCATCATTCCCCACTTGGCAGCTGGAAGACTCATCCAAAGAGAACCTTTCCCTCGTTTGTACCGTATTAGTAGTACAGTTCACCTAAAAAAGACAAGATTAATGTTAGATCCTGTTTATTTACCTGTTTTTTAAAAGACATTTGATTCACTGGCATCCTGCAAGAATAATCATATATGTGTGTGTGTATATGATTTAAAGAATTCTTTTATAGGATAAATTACTTACAGAAGTCCCTTCTAACACATGTATGTTTTACAATCACCTGTTTGCATTAATTATATTTATTAATGGTGCTTTGTCAGTATTGACTTGTTCAGATTACCGAATAGCAGTGATCAAAAGGTATCAATTATAAGTTTAGTATTGTTGTGAACCCACCGATCTCAACATTTCCGCATGTTTAATCCCCGTAGCTACCGTCCTTGCAGGTGTTAAAATTATCCCAGGAGCCTGCCGTGGGGTCTGTAAAGGTGACGCCTCTTCTCTGTCTGGATCCTGGGAGGCTTTGCGCACTTGCGTGCCCTCTGGCTGAGAAGGCATCTAGGCTCTGCTTGTACCCAGAGACCACCGCCTCCCCAGGGGGCTTCTCTACTAGTTTGACAGTTTGGCAGTTTGTGTGTTTGGCAGTTTAAGATGACTAGAATTTAGTTCCGTGTGTAGAGTGAGCCAGGGTCAATGCAGTCACATCTCAGAGCCCAGCGTGGTGCTCAGTGTTCCCACGGAGGCCCTGACTCGGAGGCTGACGGTGTGGCACGGATGATCTCAGAACCCTGGCAGGGCAGCACCGGGCCCACAGGAAACGGTGGCTGAGCCAGCACGCGGGACACTCCCGTCCAGAGCCACTTGCTCCCACAGCCCACACTGCAGGCCAGAGCTGCCATCCAAGCCCAGCTGCCTTCCGCATGCTGCACAGATGAAGCCATGGGGAAGCACGCACATCATTTGCGAGCTGGAAAGTATGTCAGTCACTTTCTTGTGAGTAACAGGCAGCCGGAAGGCCTTGTTTTGACATGTTTAGATCTGATGAACAACGGGAATAGCGGGCGGCTCAGGGCAGGCTGCCCAGCTGTGTGTTCTGCAACTCTGACTCGCGGGAGCCACTTTCTGGGCCAACAGGCCACATATGCAACAGAACCGCCTTCCCTTCGTTCCCGCGGGGAGCCCGGGGGCTCAGTGAGAGTGGCGGGTCCCGCTGCCATCCACCTGCTCAGAGATGCTCTGGGGCCACCTTACCTGGGAGGTTCCGTAGGGTTTTCTTTCACATGGTTTTTCCTAAAGACCCCCTCTGTCAAGGGGATCTAGCAGTAGTTCGATGGAAATAGTATTTCACAAAAAAGTTTACTTATTCCTCATAAATTTAAATTTCCATTAATTAACCAAAGCTTGATACCTCTCAAAAAGTACTCTTAATAAGTAGGAATGGATTAATCCTTTAATAGTAAGAATAATGCAAGGGAGCTCCTGGAGGGAAAGCTACTTCCCATATTCAACTGTAATTACTATATGCCAGCTTTTTCCTCTGCCATCCTCAGCTCTAATGAACACGAAGAACAGGGTTATGTCAGACACGCAGTTATTTATGGAGTGACTATTCACCGAGTTCCCACTTCTGTTAGGGCGCTCTGGGTGCAGCTGACCCGGGGCTGGGCACTTGGGACTCTCACGGACTCCGCTGTGGAGCCTGGATCTCCACGGGGGGAGTTACGGGTTCAAAGAAGGTGCCTTCATGCTGCAGGCACCGGGAAGCCCCAAATGCCCCTGCTTGTAACACCCAAGTCCCATCCAAAAGGAGCATCCATTTGGGGTGCCCTGTGGCAGGTACGGCTGGGGCATGGCTATGCCAGGGAAGCCATGGCTCCCTGTGTGGGCTGCCCCTCTGCTTGGGTCCTGTTCCACATTAACCTCACTAAAATGCAAACTCCATCATGTTTCTCCTCTGCTGAAGCTGCCCTGTGGTTTCCGAAGGCATGAAATCCAGACCTTCAGGTCCCCCAACCCTGGCCGCCTCCTTTGCCCACCTCCATCGGCCACCTGAACAGAATGACTCCTGCGAGGAGAGGTGCGTGTCCACATCTCTAACTCCAGTATTTCACTCGCCCTGTTCCTTGCACATTGCACGTCCTTCTGGTCTTCTTTCTGAAACCCTCTGGCCCTTCTTCTCCCGGCCCCAGGCTCTTTAGAGCACACTGTGGTGCCACCTCCCGCCCGGCGTGCGGAGTCTGTCACTCACTCCAGCTGCAACCACGGGGCACGTGCCTGCCTCCCTGCACCCGGGGAGCCTGAGAGGCCGGGCGCTCCTTCCAGTTCATCTTTCTTGCTGATCCCTGGGCCCTGCAACAGTGCCTGTCACATAGTATGAAATTTTTTTTTTTGAGACGGAGTCTCACTCTGTCTCCCAGGCCGGAGTGCAGTGGCGCAATCTCGGCTCACTGCAAGCTCCACCTCCCAGGTTCACGCCATTCTCCTGCCTCAGCGTCCTGAGTAACTGGGACTACAGGTGTCCGCCACGACGCCTGGCTAAATTTTTGTATTTTTAGTAGAGACGGGGTTTCACCATGTTAGCCAGGATGGTCTGGATCTCCTGACCTCGTGATCTGCCCGCCTTGGCCTCCCAAAGTGCTGGGATTACAGGTGTGAGCCACCGTGCCTGGCCCATAGTATGAATTTTTAAAATGTTGACTGAATGAAAGAAAGGAGGAGGGACAGAGGGAGGAGACCAGGGAGGTCCGAGTCACACTCGTGTTAATCAGATGCTTCCGATCTGCATGCTGTAGGACGTGGCAGCCGATTTACCGTAACCACCACCGGAAGGCACCTCGCTCCTGACTCCCGAGCCCTGAGTCCATCGCAGGGATGAGCGGAGATGAAGTCATCGGCCAGACTCAGAAGCTGACATGTTCCCCGCCCGGCACCACCACACCCCAAACACTACAGCCGGTGTCTTCCTTTTCTGAAGGAAACATTTGCAATCAGCACAGTGAAAGGGAAAGGATAAAGTCCCCCGGGGAAGAAGTGTGACCAGGGAGGAGGAGGGAGGAGACCACTGGGACTGCCCCCCCCGGCCCCCCCTGTGCCCGGCCGGTCCTTCCTCCCGTTTCCATAGCACCTGGTTCAGGCATCGCTGTGGGCACTTTCTCACTTGGCCCCATAATTCACACTTGCTTATTCACTTCCTCCACTAGATAAAAATCATGCTGGGGCACGGCCGGCTTCCCAGCACCGTGTCCTATTGTTCAGAGCATGGGGTTATGCAGGGCAAGGTGGATATTCTCCTTGTCAGTGGAGCCAGTGGAGAAGCGGGGAGGCCCCCCTGCCTCAAGGTGCTGCCGTCTTCAGCTGGGGACCTGTCCTCCCTCTGCCGCAGCAGGGCCTCCCAGGGACAGGTTGTGGATATGGAAGCCGCACTGAGCATGGACTCCTGGAAGGCTCCGGTCCCTGGGCCCTGCAGGAGGGTCTTTCACTGCAGAGCTTCTGATGACATCGGATGGGCTCTGAGATCCCCGTGAAGACCACACGGCCCTCTCGCTGTCGACTGAGCTGTGGAGGGTGCACGGGCACAACTCACACTGTTCTCTTTTGGCTTAAAATTATTGACATGCACATCCAGGCTGGAGTGAAGGGTGCCAAGCAGGAAGGAAGGGAAACAGCCCAGGGTTGATGGATAGGCTCTGCTGGTCCTAGGAAAAGGTGTTTATGAAACTGACCCAGAAAAAGAACCCAGCATGAAGATGCTCAAAAACATGTGTTGGGTGCAGAACATGACTGCAATCTGGAGTGTGTACCCTCCTGTGTGCATGTGTGAACCCGGGGGCAGAGTGTGTACCCTCCTGCATGCATGTGTGAACCTGGGGGCGGAGTGTGCACCGTCCTGTGTGCATGTGTGAACCTGGGGGCGGAGTGTGCACCGTCCTGTGTGCATGTGTGAACCTGGGGGCGGAGTGTGCACCCTCCTGTGTGCATGCGAGAACCCGGGGGCCATGAGAGGGTATGTGCAGAACATCACTGCAATCCAGACTGGACACCCTTCTGTGTGCATGTGAGAACCCGGGGACCATGTGAGGGTATTTGCAGTAAAACCCAACTAGATAAAAGCAGCACGTGAGTGACAGCTGAGTCTACTGTGGTCACTCTTCCCCTGGGCCTGGAAAGTGGTGCCTCTGCTCAGGTGCACTGAAGGCTGGGGGCCAACCAGGCATCCGCCCTGCCCTGAGGAGAAGCGTGCTGTCCGAGGCTGGGGGCCAACCAGGCGTCCGCCCTGCCCTGAGGAGAAGCGTGCTGTCCGGGAGGGCCCTGTGGGCACCAGAGGAGGCTGAAGAGTCTCTGAGCACATCCTTCAGAAATGTCAGCTCCGGGACGACCACATTCTTAGGGCAATCCCATGGGGACCGAGACCGGCTTCTCCTAAGTGATAGGCACAGGTGCTGGGGAATGGCAGGCCCCAGGTCTGCAGAACACTCACAGCCTCGACTGAGGGGCAGGCGTGGCCTTGGCTGCTGCCCCTCAGCTGTGGCTCCTTTCCGAGTCACTGGGTGCTCCCCAGCTTGTCCTCCCTCCCCCACCCCAGGTCCAGTATGCTCGATGTGGAAGAGGAGTCAGGCAGAGACCTGGGCTCCTTCTGCCCTTCAGGAGCTACAGGGCCCTGTCCATCACAGATTTTCCCAATATCATATCTTTGGTTCCAGAGTTGTTTGTTTTTATGCTTCGACAGCAGCCAAGGTTTCTGCCTGTTGGTGTTGAGTGAAGTTGCCAGATGGACATCTTCAGACACAACCACACCTATTCCTCTTGTCATCATCTTCTGTTTCGAGTTCCTACTCCTCACCCTGGCACCCAGGGCCACAGCACTGTAGAGGATGGTGACTGGTGACATCCCTCACATCCTCCAGAAGACCAAGAGAAGCCCCATGTGCTGGCAGAGGCTGGCAGGGCAAGAGACAGATGAAGAGAGCAGGTGGAACAGTGCATCCTCACGGACGGCCGAACAGACCAGCCCAGACACCCGAGGCTTGCAGGAATGCCTTGTCCACATGCAAACACGACGCCGTCACATCTGTCCCATCTGCTGTGGAATGATGTACATTCAGTTTTAATCTCACAGCACATTATTATACCTGAAAAATGCATATAAAGCATTACCTTTATAGCATAAGAAGGAAGCTCAACAGACATTTCCACTAATAGAAAGTAAATCTATAAAAACAGTTACAAATAATTAGCAGGATATGATGGCCACAGCCATCCCTCTGTTAAATGTTGCGAAGCAGATAAACCACGTCTCAACAAAGACAGATTTTCTCCTTGACCTGACCAACATGGAAAGGTAACTGGGAGGAGGAAGTGTTTCCTCAGCTCTGACTCAATATTTAACCATGGATGGTGAATTCGTTAAAGACAATTTAAATAGCAGACAAAACCATTTCAATACAGCCAGGCGCCAGTGTTCCGTGCCTTGAAAATAAGAACAAGACATACAGGTGCAATAGAACAAAGAAATGTTGTCCAGAGAGCGCACAGATGTGGAGGAGAAATGGTGGGAGGTGCTGCACAACCATATACGAGTCCACCCACTCAGCTGAGTCAGGCCCCTTCAGTGTCCACACAGTGGGCGACCCAAACTCCGGGTAAATAGGCTGTGTAGATGTGGAGTTCTCCACATAAACCTAGGGTGAAAACACAGATAACCGTGATAAAAGGACAAGGGAAAATATGCATGCAAAAGAGGAGGGTGTGTACTCCACATAGTGACACTGTGCACACCCTCATGGTAGCACACCATGTCTACAGTGACATAGGTGCAGGCACTATCTACAGTGACATGGGTGCAGCCACCCTCCACAGTGACATGGGCGCACCCACCCTCCACAGTGACATGGGCGCACCACCCTCCACAGTGACATGGGTGTACCACCCTGCACAGTGACATGGGCGCAGGCACCCTCCACAGTGACATGGGCGCATCCACCCTCAGCAGTGACACGGGCTCACCCACCCTCCGCAGTGACATGGGCGCAGGCACCCTCCACAGTGACATGGGCGCACCCACCCTGCACAGTGACATGGGCGCAGGCACCCTCCACAGTGACATGGGCGCACCCACCCTCCACAGTGACATGGGCGCACCACCCTCCACAGTGACATGGGCTCACCCACCCTCCACAGTGACATGGGCGCACCACCCTCCACAGTGACATGGGCGCACCACCCTCCACAGTGACATGGGTGTACCACCCTGCACAGTGACATGGGCGCAGGCACCCTCCACAGTGACATGGGCGCACCCACCCTGCACAGTGACATGGGCGCAGCCACCCTCCACAGTGACATGGGCGCAGCCACCCTGCACAGTGACATGGGAGCACCCACCCTGCACAGTGACATGGGTGCACCACCCTCCACAGTGACATGGGCGCACCCACCCTGCACAGTGACATGGGCGCACCCACCCTCCACAGTGACATGGGCTCACCCACCCTGCACACTGACATGGGCGCAGCCACCCTCCACAGTGACATGGGCGCACCCACCCTGCACAGTGACATGGGCGCAGCCACCCTCCACAGTGACATGGGCGCACCCACCCTGCACAGTGACATGGGCGCAGGCACCCTCCACAGTGACATGGGTGCACCCACCCTGCACAGTGACATGGGCGCACCCACCCTGCACAGTGACATGGGCGCACCCACCCTCCACAGTGACATGGGCACAGCCATCCTCCACAGTCACATGAACACAGCCAGCCTGCAGTGGGACACAGCCAGAGCCCTGGTCTCTGGTGCTTGTGTCTGGCTGCCTGCTGCCCAAGATTGCTCTGACGTTTGGGAACAGTGGCCTCACCTGCTGCACACACAGTTGTGTCAAGAACAGCACTGTCCTCCTGCCCCATCCTGAATTGGTAAAAGGTACCTGCTCCCACTGTCCCAGGATCACTGGCAAGTGCAGACCCCGAGTGTGCAGACTTGGGTGGCTCACCTGTCTTCCCCACCATGCCTCTCTAAGGCCTGAGATGCAAGTCCAGCAATGGAGTGTTTTCCATGGGCCCAGAGGCTTGTGTGTGGTCACCAGAAGCTCATTATCCTCAGAAGGCCCTGGGCACTCTGTTCTTCTCCAAATGCATGCACTCATTGTCTTGTAATTAAAAACAGCGATTTTTTTCCAGAGGGCAGGACACCCCGCATTCATCTTTCTTTTCTTCTTGAAATAAGCTTTGAGGATGGACGCCCACAGCCCAGGGTGGAGGCAGCCCTTTCCCATGGTGGCCACTGACCTGCAGGCAGCACCTTCAGGTGGTTCTCTCATTTCCACATAAAACAAGCTATGTGCCAAAGACAGTGGGAAGAAGGCCCAGAGCACCCCTTCTGCAGCCCGGGAACGGGGTGGGGAGAGCTGCCTCTGTGTGCGTAGTCTTCCCTGAGGGTCCTAGCCTCCCCCCACTGCCTGGGTCAGACCCTGGGCCTCTGGACTAGGCGCTTATCTGTAAACCATGACGAGAGAGACTTCACTTCACAGGGGTGCCGTGCGGAGTCCCTGAGATGAGGGGGCAGTTGCCCAGACCTAGGCCGTGGCCCGGCAATCGCTTGAAGAAAGTCTGTTTGGGGCAGGGAAGGCAGTGAGCGAGGAACGCACCCACTGCACGAGAGTCCTGGGTGACCCAGACCGAGGCTGTGGTACTTGGGGGCTCCTGGCAACACTAGGGCTGTTACCCACCTACAAGGCCAGTGAATCCAAGGCATTTCCCTCCAGGCTGGGCTCTTCTGGGGGTAGATGTGGTGAGACTTGGCGTATGTGGCATGGAGCCCGGAGTCTGGCAAACGTTGCCTTCATCTTCACGGTTACATCCTTGTCTCATTCACTATCTGATCATCATTCTCCTCAGCACTGACATGTGGTCGCACTAAACCTCAAAATAAATCATGACCTAGCCAAGGGGTCTCAACCAAGGCCAGTGACAAGCAGGACCCGGGCGCTGGGCTCTGCAGGAAGCCAGTGAGGTCTGTCATCCCTCAGTAGCAGGCAGGGGCTCCAGCGTCCCAGGCGGCTTCAAGCTGCACCAAATCAATTATTCAAAGGGCGCTTGCGGGCGCTGCGGGCATGATGGAGGCACAGCAGAGAGACAGTGGAGACAGACACGGTGGAGAGACATGGCGGAGCCCAAGGAAAAGCCAAGGAGCCGGGGTCTAGGGAGGGCGAGGCCCCAGGTGCAGTGGGAACGCCGGGACCTGGGAGTGCCCTAAGCCTGGGCACAAAGGCCGGGTGGGCAAGGCTGTCAGAGTGGACAGAGACCAGGATCCCGGCCTGGAGATTGGGTCCTGCGGGGCAAGCAAGCAGTCTAGGTGACTCCTCCTGGGATGGCCCATTCTGTTCAGACATAGGCCGAAAATCAAGGAGGCGCAGCCCCCACAGGAACCCGGGGCGTGTACCGGGGTCAACGGCGCCCTGCGGACACACATGAAGGGCTCCCGGGGCTGCGTGCTCCAGGCCCCAGGATGGATGTACCTCTGGGCAGGCGGGCACTTGGCCAGACGGCTTCTGCGGGTGTAGGGAGCACAGGACACCCTCGCCCCTCACCGCACAAGCCCTGTTCGGAACTGGGGCCAAGGAGGCATGCTCCTGGGTTGCCGGGTCTCTGTGCTCCTGGGGCGGCCTGGTCTCTGTGCTCCTGGGGCGGCCGGGTCTCTGTGATCCCGGGGTTGCCGGGGCTCTGTGGTGAGCAGTGGGGCAAGTCCCCTGTCACCAGCCCCCGGGGCGTCTGGTGGTCCCTAAACTGCCCACTGCTGCTGCCCTGTGCCTGAGGGCTGCAGCCTGCATGCTCCTGTGCCCCAGCTGCTGGCCAAGCAGGGATGACCTGGAAACAAAGTTGCTGCTACTCAGGAGCCGCTCTGAGTGCTTTCCGGCCCTACCACACGGGTTCCAGTGCCGCTGCCCCAGGCCCTGCCTCAAGCCAGTGCTCACACCCCCAGGGCACAAACATCAGGGCCGCTGGTGCCCTAGCAGCCATGCATGAGTGCCTATGCCCCAGACCTGGGCCTGCCCACATGCTGGCCACTCCCTCCACAGCCCGGTGAGCCTGCCCCTCACTGCTCCGTCCTGGCCGCAGGCCACCGTACTGCCTGGGAAACCCACTGACCACCCAGGCTCCAGATCAGAAGGACGGCCCCGGGCTGCGCCACATGCATCCTGGCAGCCATCTGGGTGAGGCTGCGCACGGCTGGGAGCAATAAACTGGGTGCAGCTGCGGGAACTGGCCCTCCTGCCTCTGCAGGCACAGGAGGCCCCGGGCCCGTGGAGCAGCATTTGCCAAAACTACCCACCGACCCAGCAGCTAAGAACAGGCATTTTCTTCCTCAGGGCAGCCAGGGCTGTGACAGGCATTTCTCACTGGGGGGCCCAGTGGCCTGAGGTGTTTCTTCTTGGGTTTCAGGGCTAATGACAGGCATTCCTTGTTCAGGGACTTAGGGCTATGCAGATGTTTCTTGCTGGAAGACCTTGCGTTCCTTCTGGGATATCCAGGGCTAATGACAGGGTCTCTTGGTGGATCCGGGGCTACGGGAGATGCTTCTTATTGGAAGGTGCAGTGCTCATGACACTTTTCTGCTGAGCGATCCAGGGTCTAGACCACGTGCTTCTTTTCAGAATCTATGTCTGTGACAGACAGGTTGTGTTGGAGGATTCAGGCTACCACAGAAGTGCTCACCAGGGAGATCCAGGGCTAATGACGTCTCTGTTTTTAGGTGTACTCTTCCCTCCCCTAAAAATCTTCCCACAAGGAGGGCAAGAGCCCAGTGACTTGCCAAGCACTCCCCCTGGGCCCAGGAACCAACTGACCAGCACAGCCAGGCCACAGCCCAGCCTCCTTCTACCTCTCACTGATGGTGCCTTCCACCCCAGGAAAACCAGTCGCTTGAGACACAGTTCATCCTGACGAGGCCGTGTGGGACTGGGCCTCTGTCGGATGGGGATGTGCTGGGGGAGCCTGCACCCAGGGGCGCATGCACTGCCACAGCCATGGCCTTTCTGCGTCCGGAAGCCTCTCGCCTGGACCGGCCACGGCTCCTGAGAACCATATGCTGGCTCCATGCCCTTGATCTTGGGGTGCTTGGGAGGGAGGAGAGGAAAGGGGCAGAGAGGAGAGAGTGTGCAGCCCAGGTCCAGAGAAGACTGTGGGAGCAGTGGGGAAAGACGGAGGGGCTTCAGCAGAAAGACGCAGGTGGAGAAACTGCCGGGGAGGGCAGCTTTGCTGGGCCAGCTCCACCACTGACGCTGCGGCCGACGCCCTGGCCAGGTGCCCTTGGCTACTCTGCAGGGGCAGTGCCAGCTATGGTTTCTCACTTCAACTGCTCAGTAGCAGGGAAACATGATTTATGGGGAGAATTCCCCAGAGGCTTAAAAAAAAAAAAACAGAAAAAGAGAACGGACAAGGTCTTTGACCAGCGAGCAAGGAGACTCATTTGGCACAGAAATCAGTAACTCAGAAACAGGCCTGCAACCCTGGATCAAGGGAATCCAATACAATCTCCTCTTTCTGGCTCAACAGAAAATAGAACAAACTCGGGGCCACTAAAACGGAGTGTGCCCCAGCATGCTCAGCCTTCTCCCGGCTGACTGCGCTGGTCCCAGGGTTACCTGTGTGAGCCACGCTCTCCAGCTCTCAGCCGCAGGTTCCTGAGTCCCTGGGGCCACCTCAGGCTCCTCCAGAGACTCCACTCTCCCTTTAGGACAGGGCCTGGCAGCCGTTGTTCCTAAAATCCCAGCTTTTCCTCGTCCAAACCATTAACCTTGCTGTCCTTTATTAGGGCTCTTGGTCTTGCTGGTCATGCAATAGAAGGGAGGGCTGGGCAAAGGTGGCACCCAGAGCCCAGAGCTGGAGCTGATGCCCAGAGCAGGTCTCATGGTAAGAGTCCAGGGACAGTGCCCACGGGGGACGGGGATCCACCAGGCACTCTGTCCTCATACGCTTACTTGAGATTAAAAGAACGGGGACAGCATCCTGCCACTGAACCTGGGCTGTGACCACCGAGACCGCACAGGTGGTGACAGAAAGAATCTGCAGAATGAGCTCCTGGTGCCCGTCTTCTGTTGGAGGAAGGCGGGCACCACAGCCACTGCCCTCCAAGCTACAGCAGGAGCAGGACATCACCATCCTGGACACACACTGCCATTTTAAGTTCCCCTTGATTAAAAAACCACCTAAATCTGCCCCAAAACATCAGCCTAACAGCTAATGTCAGCATAAACAGAAACACTGCAACACTAAGGTAAACTCCCCTCTGACTAGAGACATCCCAACCCTGCAATAAACTTTCCCTCACATAGAAACAATCCAAGCCTGTGATAAGCTCCTTAATATTCTAAACCCTAAATATTGTTAGTCTGTAAGAGAGAATGCTCCTGACTGAAATCAGCCAGAAGCCCCTCTCAGGTTTATTCTCCAAAATAAACCTGTCTTGGACTGTCGAACCACTTTTCATGATTCTTTCTTCTTTCTTTAACTCTTACACCAAGTTACAGCCAGGAGCAGGAGACCAGGTCCCTGGGAGGAAACTGACCAGACCCGGTTCAGAAAGAAGGATGGATGGCAGGTGGCAGGTGATTCATTTTACGATGATGATGATTTTTTACAGACACGATCTCACTCTGTGGCCCAGGCTGAAGTGCAGGGGCAGGATCATAGCTCACTGCAGCCTCGATCTCCTGGGCTCAAGCCATTCTCCCACCTCAGCCGGCCGAGTAGCTGGGACTACAGATGCATGCCACCACATGTGGTTAATTTTTTAATTTTTTGTAGAGATGGGGTCTTGCTATGTTGCCCAGGCTGGTCTTGAACCCCTGGCCTTAAGCAATCCTCCCACCTTGGCCTCTGAAAGTACTGGGATTGCAGATGTGAGTCACGTCACAGTGCCCAGAGATGAGTAAGTGAGAAATGACTGCTCACCTATCACCCAGATACTTCTGTCCTGCATATGAAACCCTCTTCTGCACATTTCACGACACATTTGCGAGGTCATCCCCCATCGCTGGGAGCTTTGTTAGCCGCAGGTGCGTATTCATCTTTGCACCATGACACTGACAACATAGTCACTCATCTTCTTTGAGAAAAAACCAATCTGTTTGTATCCAAAAAACCGCAAGAAGCCATCGGTACCTCTTTCAAGATTCATTTTTAGTATTTCTGTACCCAAACCCCCCGATGAAGAAACAGCACATGGCACACAGCAGCCTGGCCCAGGGTTAAGGTGAGGCATGAACCCGGCCCAGGGCTAAGGTGAGGCGTGAACCCGGCCCAGGGCTAAGGTGAGGCGTGAACCCGGCCCAGGGCTAAGGTGAGGCGTGAACCCGGCCCAGGGCTAAGGTGAGGCGTGAACCCGGCCCAGGGCTAAGGTGAGGCGTGAACCCGGCCCAGGGCTAAGGTGAGGCGTGAACCCGGCCCAGGGCTAAGGTGAGGCGTGAACCCGGCCCAGGGCTAAGGTGAGGCGTGAACCCGGCCCAGGGCTAAGGTGAGGCGTGAACCCGGCCCAGGGCTAAGGTGAGGCGTGAACCCGGCCCAGGGCTAAGGTGAGGCGTGAACCCGGCCCAGGGCTAAGGTGAGGCGTGAACCCGGCCCAGGGCTAAGGTGAGGCGTGAACCCGGCCCAGGGCTAAAGTGAGGCATGCTTTCATTAGTCCCGTCAGGAGCTCTTGGCTCCTCTGTGACTGCAAATCATTTGCACCCACCTGCGAGTCTCTCCTTCTCAGGATGCACCCTCATGATACATGGAGCAAACACAATAAGCCCTGATCTCATGGGGCTGCTTGGAAACGGGCTGAGGTATCGCACCCCGAGTCACAAGCTTGCGGGAAATGCAGGCACCCATGACCCAGTGCCAGCATGCTCTAGTGGTGTGGGGATTTTGCATAACATAAGGTGAAGCTGTGAGCAGAAGAGGGGCCTGTTGGGTTCTCTGCATCTTTAAGGACTGGGCCTGGCCCACTGACTGCTTCACAGGAGAAGGCAGCATTTCCTGGGGACACAGAGAATCTCATAAAGACACTTCTCTCCCAGGGTTAAAGCAGCTGTGCGGTGCTTTGTACCATGGTCAAGCTCATGCTCCATGGAGGGAACAGGACACGCGGTGGGAATCACGTGGTCCCCTCCTGTGAGTCGATGTTTACTGTGAAGCCTCAGGGGTGAGAGGAGCAGCCAGCTGTGAGTCTTCTCTGGGTGGAGAGCACATGCCGACAGACCAAAACCCAGCACTGGCCCATGGGGAGCTTCCTGTCACAGGGGAGCTGAGGTTTCATTCCAGCGCAAAGAGAACATCTACCAAGGAAAGAGGCTCATGATCCCACTCACACAGAAAAACGTGCCCCTCGGGTGCACACGGGCAGTGGGTTGTGGGGCAGGGGAGCAGGAACACGATCCCATCCACACGGAGGAACGAGCCCCTTGGGAGCACATGGGCAGCAGGTCGCAGGGGAGGGGAACAGGAAGCAGGGGCTCCCTTTGGAGGCTCCTGGAGTCATCCAGGGCTGATGTGAGGAAGCGTCCGCAGAGCTCAGAGAAAGGTGGAGGCTGCAGAGCCAGGAGTAGAAGCTTCCAGGCATTTTTTGGAAATGGGATTAACAGGACTTGGTGAGGCCTGAAATATGTGAGTGGTGGGGCCAACAGAAAGACCGAGGGGAAAAGACGGGCCTCCCAGGACTCTCAGGTTGCTGCTTGAAAATCGGGGTGCAAGGCACTGCCCCTGCTGAGACGAGAACTCCATGCAGGAGTCATCACGTGCCACTGCCACAGAGCACCACGTTCACACCCAGCTCAGTGGAGAGACTTACAGAGCATGAGGGACTTGCCCAAACATCACACGGCTCACCCACCGTGAAGCCAGGACCCTGTCTTCGATCTGCTGACTTCCTGTCCGCCAGCACTATGCGCTCCAGAGGCACTCTGCAGGGTCAGGGCTAGGAAAGGCCACTGTCCGTGATGTCGGCCATTCCTCACCAGGCCCAGCCAGAGCAATGGCCGGGCTCGAAGAGGAGCGTTTCCACGGATGGAGGCTCGGCGGACAGTGCCCCTCTCCACTACGAACTGACAGGCAGGTGTAGAGCAGCGCTGGTTCTCTCTTGGGTCCTCGTCCATCTTCGTGAGTGGCTGTTGCCTGTGATGCCATTTCCATCCATGAACTCCCTGGCCTGTTTTCCTGTGCTTTTCATTCCTCTTCTCCCTGCTGATGGTGGGAGTGTTAAAGGTCATGCCCTACACCTCAAAAAGGGCAAAACTTTCTACTCCCCAGAGTGACTGTACATTTTAACCTTTGCACTCAAGCCAATTCTCAACAACACTGTCTACACGCCCTGCAGCCAATGCGGCCATCCAAACACAGATGGAAGATCTTCAAACTCCTGCCAGGTATAATGCATGCCAGCTTCTCCATCACCTGACAAATACCGCCCATGCTCAGCATCTGCACGCCTGGGCTCACCTCCCCTGAACACCATGTCTTCCCACTGCCTGTTTAATCTGAGCTTTTTCTTCTCCACGAATAATGCCACCTCCTCAGTTTTTACAGTCTCATTAGTGTATAATTAAAGTGTGATAAACAGCGTGCAATTGAAGTATTATCAGCCTAACATATGTATACAGCCAAGAAACCAGTACCACAACCTAAATAGCAAATCTTTTCCTCTCCCCCAAATCTCTTCCTGCCCCTGCAGGCTCCTGTGGGGTGTCTGAGCCCCTCACCAGGCTGCCCACAGGCCCTGGTCCTCCCCATGTGACCCCTTCCCAGGGCTGCCAAGTGTCCTTATGACGGGCAGAGGGCACGGAACAGCATGAGCCGGGAGTGTCCCCAAAGCAAAAGCCACAGTCTTTTTAATCTAATCTCAGACTGGATGCCCCACACCCTGTGCCCTGCTGTTGGTGAGAAGTGCACCATCAGCACAGACCATGCTCAAGCAAGGGGTGGGTCACACCCCTTACTCCTTGGCTCAAGCTCTTATCTCTGCTACCCTCACCCCTGCTCACCCTCAGCCCTGCAGATGCAAGCTCAGATCATCGACTCTTCCAAGTCCTCAGGTGGACAACTTGGAAGCTCTGGCCAGCTTAGAGTTTTTCCTTTCCTTATTAGGGCCATTTCTTATCTCCCTTCCATCAAACACGTCCTTCCATGGGCCACCCACGATGCTATCTCAGCACCAAAATGCTGCAGGCACTGGCCGGACATGCAGAGCTGGCTTGGATTCTGGAGATGCCCTGATCCCTGGGGTCTCTTCCAAATGCTGGTAGGAGGTTTGGAAACCACCACCCAATTCATCTTACCGAGCCTCCTAATTTCCAGGCTTCTAAGCTGCCCTATTCAATCATACGTTGCATTAGAGCTTCATTGTTATGAATTCTTATTCATTCATTACTTGTCTGTATTAATGCCATCTGCCTTATATTTTTAAAGTTCTTAGAAACCAAAATACCCTCCTGGTGTTGATTTAACCATGTGCAGTGTCCACAGGGCACAGTTACAATTATATGCATAATAAATTATTCTGATGATAATTATTCTTCGAACCCAGTAATGATTTAAGGACCACCTGGTTTGGGATTACCTTTCAAGCTTCTTTACTACTTTAAAATGACCCCAAAGGCCTAAGCTGTGGTAAACCGGAGCTGAGGACAAAAATTACAGAGCCATCGCACTCCTTCACAGGAACCGTGGAGGCACTTGGTGCACGGCCCTGCACCTGTGCCCAGAGGAACCTGGAGGCGCTCCGAGCACAGCCCCGCACCTGTGCTCGGAGGAACCGTGGAGGCGCACGCACGCGCACGGCCCCACACCTGTGCCCGGAGGAACCATGGAGGCGCAAGCACGCGCACGGCCCCGCACCTGTGCCCGGAGGACCCGTGGAGGCGCACGCACGCGCACGGCCCCGCACCCGTGCCCGGAGGAACCCTGGAGGAGCACGCACGCGCGCAGCTCCCGCACCTGTGCCCGGAGGAACCGTGGAGGCGCACGCGCGCGCACGGCCCCGCACCTGTGCCCAGAGACCGGGAAGGGAGGGCCTCCAGCCATGCAGGCTGCACGGGTCGTCGTGCTAGACTTCACCTTTTGTCCTGGCTGAGGTCAGGGAAGTCGCTGTGATGTTCCTTTTAGAAAACTTAGCCGAGGGCTGCGCATGCTCACAGATGGCGAAGCAGTGAGAATAACAGGACTCACAGTTCTCTCTGATAACAAAGGAATGACAGAGCTAATCGCTGCGATTCCTAAGAAGTGAGGAATTAATTATGACATACGAATCTTCACCTGCCATTACTTCAAGAACAGAATTAAAGTAGGCTTCCTCTCCTGCACAGTGGTGGGATTCTTCGGTCTGTCTCCCTGGCACCGGGGCGTGATGCTGGACAAGGTCGAGGGGTTGCGGCTGCTGAGGCTGCTCCGGGAGCTCCTGAGGTCCTATGCTGGGCCCTCCCAAGTGCCCCTGCTCACGGCAGACAGAGGGAACTTCCTGCCCCAAGAGAGGGGCGTCAGGCTGGACCGTGGCCCCTGCTCCTGCAGCTCCTAGGCCCAAGCCAGTGGGCCGCCCCACCTGTGTTCGCCTGTGGTCTGGCGGAAGCTGGCCACGTTTCCTTCCCTCCCTGTCACCGGTCACCAAGGGCCACGGGACAGAATTGGTGGTTTGGCTGCGGTTGGTGAGCTGGGTCCGTGTGCCCGGGCTCCCTCGCTGCGTCTCTCTCTTCCGCGAGAACACAACGCACCTCCCTGGCCTCACACACCCAAACTTGGCCCCTACCACAGCTGAGTCGCAGCAGAAAAGGCCATGTTGAAATAAAACCCTGGAGAGGAAGACTGCGAAGGCCAGGTGGGCTGCGGAAGCTGAGGTTTCCTGCGCCCCAGTGGATTCTGCCCACAGCGTGGAGCTTGGTGGCTGAGCCCAGAGCAGCGGAGAGGAGAAGGGGCCGAAATGTGGAGCCCGAGGTGGCTGCAGCAGGCTGGGGGCGCCCGGGGACTCGCTCGGGGCAGCGCAGCCCCTTTCCCGGGCCCTGGGCGCGGACCCTCTGCACACGCAGTCACAGGCCCCAGCCCCACTGTGGCCGAGGACCAGGCAGGCCCCAAGCTCTTCCTCCATGGATTTAGTAATTCGTTTTCAGGGCAAGCTGGAAACAGGACATGAGCCAGGCAAGGCCGCGCTCCTCTCCACTGGCCTCCCCGCGCTGTGGAACTCGCTTGCTCTTACATAGAAAAGTGAGTTTCCTGGTGAAAAGCTGAAAGCACAACGGATCTGGGCGTGGGTTTTGCCGCTTTCTCCTGAAGGAAGCCACGGACGTCTTGGCCTCTTTGAAACCTGTACATGAAATTTGTTTTCTGGGGCAGGCGCCCTCTGCAAGAATCTTACTTCCCTTCAGCCCACCGAGATGGCTGCGGCGTCCCGGGCGCTGAGATGGGGGAGCCCTGAGGGCGTCTCACCGGGAGGAGGCCGTGGGCCCAGCGCGAAGCCGACCCGACATTCCCCCATGAGCCCGGGAGGCATCGCCACATCACTGGGTGGAAGGCGCCCCGCCGCCGGCGCAGGCCCAGACCCCGGGGAACGCGAGAGCCACGAACCTGGGCCAGGAGCCGCCGAGACCAGCCCCGGCCGCCCCAGCGCTCCTCCCGCCCGGGCGCGATGCGGTGAGAATGGCCCCGGGCGGGAACGTCCCCTGTCGGGGCGGCCATGGGAGGCACTGGGGTCCCTGCTCTGCGGCCGCCCCGGTGAGGAGGCGCCCCGGCCACCCCGAAACCCGGGAGAGGCGATGCTGGCGGTGACACCGTCACCCACCGCGAGGACCCGTCCCTCCTCCTGGGGCTGCGCCGGCGCCGGGAAGCTCCCGCGACCCCCGCTCTGTCCGGCTCAGGCTCAGGAGGGCGCCCTCGGGTGTCCGGGAGCCGCATCCTCACCTCCAGAGCGATGGTGGCAGGACAGGCCCACGGTCCTCGTTCGCCCCGGGGGTGCCTGGCGGGGAAGGCGCCCGAGATGCTGAGACCCCCGAGAGCACAGGCAGAACTCAGAGGAGGCTTCTGAGGGAAAATCTCAAATTCACCTCCTTGAAGAACCGACTGTCCAGTATGGGCCCTTAGCCACATGTGGCTACTTAAATTAATTTAAAGTGAACAGAATTAAAACTCCGCTCCTCAGTTGCAGTGGTTGTGTCCCAGCACTCACGTGGCTGTGGCGACCCTCAGTGCTAAGAATCGTCTCCACACCCCGGAAAGTTCCATGGGACAGGGCAGGTCTAGGAGTTGCTGGGTGGTAATCACAGACACATGTGAGAGGCACATGCACACACACACACACACACATACAAACACACACGTAAACACACACATGCACAGACACTTCCCCCTGGCAGTCATCCTGAAGAAGGGGCTGGCTCGCTATGGCGCTAAGCCTAGAACTCAGTGTCTCCTGGAGGTACAGCTTCAGCTCCAGAGAGGAGCCCTGTGTGTCTGCAGTGGAGGCCAGAGGAGTTGGCAGCCGCAGTACAGCGTTCCAAGGATGGAGGGTTTGGGAGGGGCTGCTTCACTTGCATGGGGCTCACCAGGGTCCACGGCTGGGGGTATTGGGAGCACTGAGGCAGAGAGAGTCACGGCCCAGCACCATGGAGCCCACATCCTCCAGGGGAACCCAGGATGGGGACTGAAATGACCAATCCCCATGAGGGCGCTCAGGGACTCATCTGCACCTCCCTTAGCCCCTGGACAGAGCTGCCGAGAAAGGCATCAGTCAGAGCCACGCAGGCCTCCTGAGCCGAGTGCTGGTAGAGAGGGGTGGCCTTCAGGAGGAAGACTGGAGGAGAGGGAGTTTTCTAAAAGGAATGCAGTGTCATTGCCACAGAGAGCCCTGATGGATGTCACACTGCCTCCCCACAGTGTCTGCTGCCTGGCTGGACAAGCCCAGCGCTCCAGCTTGGAGGCTCCTCCCAGCTTAGCAGTGGGGATTCCAGCCGGGAGAAGGCGCCTATATTTAAAACTAAAGTGAATAATGGAGACATTTTCTATTCAGGCTTAAAAAAATAAATTTACAAAAGACATGGAGTTAGGCCCTGGTCCTTCTCTGAAGGGAGGTCATCCGGCCAAGGCCCCACCCAGTCGCCCTAGTGACTCAGGGATCCAGCTTGGCTTCCCTGAAGGAAGGGCCCAGCGGCCAGCATGGCACCCAGGGTGGGGAACAGCGCAGGGCTCCTCACGGGCTCAGGCAGGCGCCACTCTCACCAGCACTGGGATTGCTAAGCCTCACAGAGAAAAGTACCATGGTTCTTTTTTAACTTCGCAGGAGTTAAATGTAACCGCATTTCTTGCCATGGTTAATTATTTCTCCATGTTTCCTAATTACCAACGGACTCTGCTTGCCATCAACTCCTAAATTAATTCTGATTATTTGGATGAGTGATAACAGGATTTCTGTTGCTCCTAATACTAAAACCAATCATTTGAAATTCAAAAGCACAGACATTTTTTCAAGAGCCTTTTCAGAACCTTATTGGGAGTGGGCACTCAATAAATGTTTGCCAAATTGATTTAAACCCTAGACTGAACTCCGTTAATAGCATTTTAGGACATTCATCTCGCCACTGAGCAGGTGCTCCTGCCAGCCCCTGGGAGGCCCTGAGGGCTCTGACTGGCCTGGGGCCTCCTGCTGCTTGGGCTCCCATGTGGCCTCAGGCCCTTGCGTCTGACCTTACCCCTGGCCCACGGAAGCAGAGCTTCTTCCCTGGAGTAATGAGTCCAGGCTCTGCTGATGAGCTGAGAGCTGAGAATGTCTCAAGGTTGGTGTCCAGAGGCTGCATCTTGGCTTTTTCCCTCAAGGTCAGAGGAGGGGAAATGATTGGGCACCAAGATTGGTGTCTGAGCACCCGCTCTCCTCCATGGGGCAGCAGATGGACCTCCGCAGTGCCCTCCAGCCGTGAAATGCCCAGGACCTCTGAGGCAGGCCTGGCCCCTGGGACTTGACCAATCCAGATGCAGGGCCTGTGGGTCCTAAGAGAGCCACCCGAGGCCCTGTCGCCGGCATCCACTGCAGGAGGCAAGACCCCAACATCGCCACCTTCCACAGCACACACAGCCCACTTGCTTAGCTCCCTGTTGCATTAAAAGATTTTCACAGAAATGACTTCCTCCAAGCTCAGATGCCGCTCTTTCCCCCTTTCCTGGAGGCTTTCTTGTTCTGTGCTCTTGAAACAGCTGCAGATCCTAGTGGCTTTGAGACACAGAGGCGGCCCGGCAGATTTATCATTCACTGCTAGCTCGTTAGACATTGTCAAAAAGCATGATCTGGCCCAGCATGAATGTTTTAACGGTGCCAGGGGGAGAGGAGGGAGGAGGGGAAGCCGAGGGCAGGGCTGGAAAATCGGGGAGGGGAGGAAGGAGGGGAAGCTGAGGGCAGGGCTCGAAAACCCGGAAGAACCGGGGTGGCGGGAGGGGGACCACCCCGCAGGCAGGAGGTGTGCGTCACAGACATGCTGGGGCTGCACGGCACTGTCCCAACCACAGGTGGTGTTCTGGAGGAAAACGCTACTTCTGCGTCTGACGGCCAAAGTGCCCTTGTTGCTACTGATCCGCTTACTGAGTGGAGTTCGTAAACACCAAGTACCAGGTGCTTCTTTCAGCAGGAAACAGGCCATCTGCTAGTGACTCAGAGGACGGAAGAGAATGTTCTTGAACGTCTTTCATGCTCAGGTACCATGCAGGTATAGGGCAGGTGCTCTGCTGGTGTGTTCACGCTTTGACTTACTTGTCTGAACCATCCTCCGGGAAGAGTTTTTCTTCCAACTTGCAGAGGAGGGGACTCAGCACAGCCAAGTCTCAGTGGCTCCCAAAGCCACGGATTAATGATCAGCAAATCTGAGGTTTGGCCCAAGTATTTAAAATAACCCTAATTTATTGCAGTGAAATTCACAACTGTAACGTGGAGCATGTGGAAGTGAACGGTTCGGTGTGTCCCACCTCCATCTAGTCCAGAACGCTTCCCCGACTCCAGAGGAGGCTCTGAACTCCCTGCACAGTTTCTCCTCACCCCCTGATCCTCCAGGCTGGCAAGTAGCAACCTACTTTGCCTCCATAGATTTGCCTGTCCTGGGCATTTTGTATGAATGGAACCACACAACACGTGGTCCTGTGTATCTGGCTTCTTCCACAAGCTTAACGTCTTCAAGGTTCATGCATGTTGTCAAGGTCTTACAAGTACTTCTTCACTGTTGTTTAGGGCCGAGTAATATTCCATCTCATGGATGGACCGCATTTTGCTCGTCCATCTGTTGATGGACATTTGGGCTGTTCCCACCTTCTGGCCACTGTAACGAATGATATTATGAACATGTATGAACAAGTATTTGCTGGAGTCTGTGTCTTCAGTTGTAGGAGTGGAGCTGCTGGATCGCATGCTAAGTCCATTTGCTGTAATGAACTCTTGGGGAGCCCCTCTATCGTTTCCACAATGGTTCTCACGAGCAATGCTCAAGGGTCCCAAATTTCTCTGGATCCTTTTGCCATAACGTCTTATTTTTTTTTTCATTCTCTTTCTTCCTGTCTTTCTGCCATCCTAGTGGTTGTGAGTGACCCAGGTTTTTTTTTTTCTTTATGTCAGTTGGCCTGATTCTATGACTCAGAATTTCTGTTGACTTTGGTTCCTGCTTAAAATTGAAAGGGGCTATCATCGACTTCAATTTCTCTAGCAAAAGTTAGAATAAAGATTACTGCGTTTATATTACAAGTGCAAAGAACCAATTATCTGTGACATTTTTTTCTTTCTGGAAAACTATCTCAACGAATAATCTCAAGCCTCTCACTGCCCCCAAGTTCCACCAAAAACAAAACCACTTTCAACCACTGAGGAGCCAACCTGAGCCGGCCATTGCATCTGTGGCGGCCTCCCTGGGGAGGGGCAGTGGCAGCCGGGAGGGTGCAGGATCGGGCTGGCGAAATAATCTCAGGGGAGGGCCGTAGGGTGCAGGGAGGACCGGAGGGTGCAGTGAGGACCGTGCTGGCAGAATGATCTTGGGGGAGGTGCAGAGGCGCCACGGGGATGTGCCGGCTCAGCCAGCCAAGGGCAAGGAGGCTCAGGGGGGTGAAAAGGAAGGAAGGAGGCCTCAGGCAGGGAGGCCCGTGTCCAGGTGCTGCGCCAGGACCCACCGCAGGCTCAGGCCGCAGAGGCACGGGACCCCGAGGGCCATGGTGAGAGAAGTAGGCACTCAGACCCCACCACAAGGGACACGGGGCCCAGGAGGGCCGTGTCTCATTCCCCAGCCACTGACCACAGTGCCTGGGTGCAGCCTCCAGCCCAGGCTGCCCTTCGCTTTCTCCCAAAGGTGCCACCTGCCCAGGCCTGCTTCTCCCGTGAGACATCAGGACCCGCGATGGCTCAGCGACTACTGTGAGAAGCAGCAGAGCCCAGAGGCGAACCAGCAGCCACAAACCCAGGTCCCATGGCCCTCAGATGCAGACCCCAGCCCCCAACCATAACCCTCTCAGATGCAGGGTCTAGCCCCCCACCACAACCCTCTCAGATACAGGGCCCAGCCCCCCACCACACCCCCTCAGATGCAGGGCTGCAGCCCCCCACCACACCCCCTCAAATGCAGGGCCCAGCCACCCACCACACCCCCTCAGATGCAGGGCCCAGTCCCCCACCAGAACCCTCTCAGATGCAGGCCCCAGCCCCCCACCACACCCCCTCAGATGCAGGGCCCAGCCCCCCACCACACCCCCTCAGATGCAGGGCCCAGCCCCCCACCACACCCCCTCAGATGCAGGCCCCAGCCCCCCACCAGAACCCCCTCAGATGCAGGCCCCAGCCCCCCACCACACGCCCTCAGATGCAGGCCCCAGCCCCCCACCACACCCCCTCAGATGCAAGGTCCCATAACTCCCTAGACACGGGCCCCAGCCCCCTATTCCCCCCCAGACATGGGGACCCCAGCCCCAGAAGGTGCCTGTTCAAAGGGAGCTCCGGGGTCCCGCTGGGCACCTGGGTGTGCTCCTGGACGCTGCCTCTGGGCACCACAGGGAAGGTGTTGAGGATGGACAATGCATGGGGCCAGTGGTCCAAGAGGAAGGACCCGTCCACTGGGGCCCAGGGCAGGTGCCAGGCTCAAGCGCAGAAGGCCTCTGATCCCAAGGAGGCAGCGCCGGCACTTTTGGAAATGGAGCAACATTTGGAATGCTTTAGGACTTTCTGTCCAGTAGGATTTGAGAGCAACTTTTAGTAGAATGAAAAAGAAGAGAGTGTTGTGAGGCGCTGCCTTGTAGCTTCCCGGCCGTCTGCCTGTTGAGTCTGTGTTCTCGAGTTCAGGATGAGATTTTCTCAAAGGCGGCACATGCAGCTGTAGCTACTTAGCGTCCTGATTTCAGACGAAGAAAATGCAGGGACGACTGAAAACACAAAACGGATACCACATTTGAATTCGGTGGCATGACCTGCAAAAGCGGACCCCAGCGTCCCCTCCTGCCGGAAGCAACTGAACACAGGTGAAGTGGGCGTGGCTCAGCAAGGCCTGGCTGGTAGGGTCGGCTGAGGCCGGAGGTCAGCAGCCCTGTTGGTTGCTGGCTGGGTATGGGTGCCTTGAGGAGGTTGCCATTAGCTCTGGGTGATGCTGGTGGGGCTTCAGAGACCCTGGTCCGCTGCTGAGTGAGGTCCGGACCCTCAGGACAGCCAAATTTGTTTCCATCCTGCATCAACACTTGCCACCCAAAACTCTGCTCTTGTGTCCTCAGCCCCAGCCCACCCAATCCTGAGGGCTGAGGTGGCCCTCCCCTCCACGCCCCCTCACCTGAAAGCCTCCTTGGGGCCTTGGCAGCAGCAGCCAGCTCTGTGGGAGGGAAAAGGAGGCTTGTCCAAGTGAAAGCCAAACACACAGCCACCCCCCCTTCACCCAAGTTCCCTGTGAATTTGCGTCTTTCTGCAAAACTCTACCCAAATCGTGTATGTGGAGCAAGACTACTGCCGGCCCCTCCCTCCCTCACCCTGGAGGCTGCAGTTCACGTTAGCACAGTGAACACTCTTCCGTGATTGCACTAAAGAAACTTGCTTGTCGTTTTTAACCCAGCACTTCCCAAACTTACTCGCATGGAGCTCTTTTCTTGCAAAACGCGTATTAACATTTGGTGGAACACTTGTACTCCTGAAAGCACAGCAGCGGCAATTCTCGTCTATAAATGGTTTTGAATTTAACAAATGCCATTCAACGAGGTTTTTCTTAACAGATTTATTGAGATATACTTTAAATGCATACAATTCTGTGTTTTTAACATACGAAAAGAAATCAAGCTGTTATTAGCAGTTACTTCCTGCTTCCTCTTCTCTCCTCCCCTGGCAACCCTAATCCACTTTTATTTCTACAGGTTTTCACTTTCTGTACATTTCACATAAACAGAACAATGCAACATTGGTCTTTTGTGGCTCTTTCACTTAATTTTTTCAGGTTCATGCATGTAGCATGTGTTTGTAATTCATTCTTTCTTTTCCTTTTTTAAATAATTCATAGATTCACACATCATTTCTTTGTAATGGCTGAATAATATTCCATTGCGTGTGTTTGTGTGTGCATTTGTGTTTTTGTATTTTTGTGTGTTTTATGTGTTTGTGTCTTTGTATTTTTATGTGTTTTTTTTGTTTTTTGTTTGTGTGTGTGTATGTATGTTTGTATGTTTGTGTTTGTATGTTTGTGTGTATGTGTTTGTGTGTGTGTGTTTGTGTTTTTGTATTTTTGTGTATGTTGGGTGTGTTTGTGTTTGTGTGTGTGTGTGTCCCACCTTATGTCCTTTCATCAGTTGATGGGCATTTGGGTAGTTTCCATTTTGGGCTATTTTGAATAGTTCCCTATGACATTCTTTGTTTTAGTATGTGCTCTTCTTAGACACAGAGCCAATAGGATGCATGTACAGAGAGAAAGATAAGAAGGGGATTTTTTAGCGGAATTAGCTCATGCAATTTTGGAGGCTGAGAAGTCCCATGACAGGTCATCTGCAAGCTGGAGAACCAGGGAAGCTGGTAGAGTGGTTCAGTCCAAGTCTGAAGTCTTCAGAATCAAGAAAGCTGATGGTGTAACTCTCAATCTGACACCAAAGGCTCAAGAGCCCAGGGGGTCACTGTGTTAAGTCCCAGAGTCCAAAGGTCAGAGAACCAGGGGTTCTGACATCCAGGGCAAGAGAAGAAGGGGTCCCAGCTCCCCAAGAGAAAACAAGAATTCAGTCTTCCTCTACCTTTGTTCCATCCAGGCCTTTAGCCCAGATCATTGAGGGCAGATCAATGCAGGTGGACCTTCCCCACTCAGTCCAACAACTCACACCTCAGTCTCCCCCAGAAACACCCTCACAGACATACCTTGGACAGATCAATCATTCTAATCAAATGCCAATCTTCCTAGGTTTCTCTTTTGGCAGAAGAGGGATGGGCTCAGTGCCTCCTGGAGTACTGAGGATGATCAATGGCCTCCCAGCTACCTGGGCATCTCTTGATCCAGTCAGGTTGACACTTATAATCAACCATCACAAGTCCACCCCTTGTCAACTTGGCACCCACATGCATCTCCTTAAACCATATTTAATCTCTTAAAAAGATAATGACAAGGTCATAGTTCCACCTAGCATGATACAATTCGTACAATAAAAACACACTAATTCCTTCCCCAGAGGAGGAAGTGAAGTCCTTGAGTGACATTTACTCCTCTCCTGTAACTTAAACACTATGGTGTAAAATTAACAATACTTAAATACTGATGCAAACTCAATACATCTCATATGATAAAGGAGTAAGATAGAAAAGAAGAAAAATTTGCCTAATATATGTATATTTACATGCAAACATATTCGTAGCAACACAGGGAGAAAACACTCATGGCAGTGGCAGCCTTTGATTCTGTAACTGGTCCCGTGGGTGTAGCTGGTGCTCCTAATGACCTTCTACCACCTGCTGTGTTCTGTTTGCCTGCAGCAAGACCTCAGCTGGTTGCCGTGCTGTACCTGGCAGGGTGACCCAAACCTTCATACCTGAAAGGCCTGGGACATTCATAGCCTGCCTGGATTGGGTTGTGGTCATTTCCCATTGACCAGAATCACAGGCATGGTAACACCAAGAGATGCCCTAGAGGATCTCCTATTTCTCCCTTGTGAAGGAGTAGGCCAATTTCTTCTTGGTATCAGGTCAGACAGCCAACACTTTGACTCCCTTCTTAGCATGACTCTGAGGCATGAGAAGCCCAAAGTGGTCAGATAGCATCTTAACTTCCAGTTCAGTTGAATTATTGTTGTATCTCCTGGTGGTAGCATTTCTCCCTATGGAAGGAAGACCTCTAGGCCAGCAGAGCATAAAGTTGGAAATAGGAAGTAATAACTCCTCTAGCAGGTCACTAGGGGTGATGGATGGTGAGTGGTGGTCAGAAGCAGTGCTGTATGGAGTATCATGAAAGGCCAGAGAACCTGGAGTTCTGACATCCAAGGGCAGAAGAGAGAGCAAGAATTCGCCCTTCCTGGCTCAGTGCCTACCAAATCATTGAAAATAATTCTTTGCCAACCATCTGGGTATTCCTAATCCATTAAAGTTGACACCCAAATCATCTCATTCCTGTACATGTTTTTGTGTGGAAATATGTTTTCATTTCTCTTAGATGTTCACTTAGGATTGCTGGGTCAAGTGATAACTATGTGTTTAACGTCCAAAGAACTGCCAGATATTTTCCAAAGTGGCTGCACCGGTTTACATTTCCATCAGCAAGGAGGGCTCCAATTTCCCAACATCCTTGCCAAGACTTGTTATTGTCTGTCTTTTTAAATACAGCCATTCTGATGTGTGTGAGGTGGTATCTCATTGTGGCTTTGATGTACATTTCCCTAATGACTAATGATGCGGAGTATCTTTTCATGTACTTATTGTCCACTTCCATATCTTCTTTGGAGAAAATGCCACTCAAATCCTTTGCCCATTTTGTAATTGGGGATTTTGTTTTTCTTATTGAATTGTAAGAGTTCTTAATATATTCTAGATACATGTCTCTCATCAGATCTATGATTTGCAAATATTTTCTCCCATTGCGTATGTTGTCTTTTTACTTCTTTGATGTCATCTATTGAAGCAAAAAAGTTTTTCATTTTGGTGAAATCCAATTTACCTATATTTTTTCTTTTGGTGTTTAAGAATGCATTGCCTAATCTAAGGTCTTGAATAGTTATTGCTATGTTTCCCTCAAGGGCTTTATGGTTTTAGCTGTCACATTAGAATGTTAATTAATTTTGAGTTAATGTTTGTGCATAGCGTTAGGTAAGCATCCAGCTTCATACTTTGGCATGTGGATGTCCAGTTGTCCCCAGCACCATTTATTGAAAGACTGTTCTTTTCCCTACTGAATTATCTTGGTGTATCAAAGACCAATTGAACAAAGGATATATTTCTGGAATCACAGTTCTATTCTATTCATCTATGTCTATCTTTGTGCCAATACAAGTACTTAGTACTGTAGCTTTGTAGTAAGTTGAAATCAGCACATGTGAGTCCTCTAATTTTGTTCTTCTTTTTCAATAGAGTTTTTGAGGACCCTCAGTCTTTAATTCTTTGGTCACCAGATGGCCTAGGTCTTGTTATGCCTCATGACAGATTCAGAAACCTGTATTTTGTTTTCTCTTTTTTTGTTCTTATTCTGTATCTGAAGGTGGTTCATAGTCTATCTCTTCTTGTATATCTTGTTCCCAAATCATATTAGTGTTCATTGTTGAGGCTCTCACAGTGCAATCTTCACCCTTACCCAACAAGAGCTATAGACATCAGGTGACTCCAAAGATGGTGAGTTCACCTAGAAAATAAGGATTCAGACTCTTTTACCTACCAGGCACCCAAGGAGATACATGTCTATCCAATTATTTTATCTCTCCAATTATTTTATCTCTCCAATGTTCCTGTTTGAGGCCTGGAATGGCACCACAAACCTTAGATGATGATGACTAGCAGACAAAACTATACAGAATTAGAGTATAGTGTATTTGATCCTTTGTATCAAACATCCCAGTGTGAGATCCTCTCAACCCTGTAGTAAACTGAGGCTGTGTTTTTAGACCATGGATAAAGAGCATTAATAATACTGTTTTGTGAGACAAGGAAGGTGCTGTGGCTGTTTTCGACAACCAGTAGAATTGGTACCCTCCGCAACTGTTCCAGTTATCTAATGCTATGTAACAAACCATCACAAAACTTGGTGGCTTAAAACAATAACATAAATTCTGCTCACAAATCTGCAGTTTGGGCAGGGCTCACTGGGGACAGCTCATCTCTGCTTCACTTGGCCTGGTCTGGGGAAGCTCTGAAGCTGGGAGCTGAAGTCACCCACAGACTCACTCATGCCCTGTGTCTAGTGGTTGATGGGGAGAAGGTTCAGTAGCTGCAGCTACCCAGGCATTTCTCTCTATACACAACCTTTCCATGTGGTCTCTCAGGCAAGGAAGCTTCTGGATTTGTTGCAGGTTGACTTGGAGCTCCCAAGGGACATGTTCTGAGAGAGACTGCTGAAAAGAATTACATCTCTTTTATTACCCAGCCACAGAAGTCACACACAATTCTACTACATTCTATGTGTTACCAACAAGTCACTAAGTCCAGCCCATATTCAGAGGGAGGGGAGTTAGATTCCATCTTTTGATGAGAGCTGTCCAGGGATGTGTGGACATGTTTTAGAACAACCCCAACTACCTGCATGACTCCATGATACCACACTTTAGCTAAGACAGAGTGTCCTTGATGTGAATATGATAGCTTTCTTATGGTAATTTTACATTGGGACAGAATGACTAAAATAAAAAAAGGGCTGATTAGGATCAGGATTATGTAGACCAAGAAGAGACTTGGCTAATAGGGTCAGGATGATGAAAAGCGTCTGTAGGTCATTCACAGCCAGAAATGTGGAAAGATGTGGAGGGGCAGAAGCTGCTGCAGTTGAGCCAGCGAGGATCCTGCAGGAAGAAGATCAGCATGGATGCCCCAGTTGTCAAAATATTGAAATGTTTCCCTACTAGATGAGAAAAATCTGCTTATGGGTACAAGTCACCCAATAATGCCACCTGGTGGCACCAAGGGGAGAGGTGACAAGGCCTGAGGTGGCAACACAGGAACAGGCTGGCAGCATGAGGAATGGACATCTCGCCCTTCATATTCAAGTGCATGCTGGCCATGTGGCCTCATGGCTGTTCACCAGGGAAAGAGCTGGATGCCATTCCTGATGTCAAATCAGACTTCAGATAGAACACCACTTGGCTACTGTCAATCTTGTCAAACAAAAATAAATCACACCAGCAATTTTCTAAAAATAAGATTTGGAAAATTTTAAAGTGATTTGATGAACAACTATGCCACAACTTATGTCATTTGATAAGCAGTTTTATGAAATACATATATACATAGGCACATATATATACACACATTATATAAATGTCACCCTGAAGCTCACCTGCCAGGTCTCTTTATGGGAGTGCAGAGATTCAGCTGGATTTGTTGCAGGTTCTCCTTAAGTCCCAAGGTTTATTCAGAAGAAGTTGGAAGTTCTCAAAGGAGGTGAATGGTGAAATAGTTAATGGTCAACCTGTGGCTAAGCTAAATTCCTACAAATGATTTATTGCTTCAAGCAAAATTTGCTTAATTGAGGTATAATTTATGTGTAAGAGAATTCATCAATTTTCACTGTAGTGTTACAAATTGGCAAATGTAACTTTATAGTCATGAAATCACCACTACAATCAACATATGGAACATTTCCGTCATTTCCCGAATTTCCTTCTGTCCCTTTACAGCCACTGTCCCCCCAACCTCCAACCCTGGCGCTGGCAACACTCCTCTGTCTGTCGCTGTGGTTTTGCCTTTTCTAAATTTTATATAAATGGAACCATATAGTATGTACTCATTTGCATCTGGCTTCTTTCACTTAGGATGTTTTCAAGATGTATTCACATTATTGCATCATATATGAGCAGTTCATTCCTTTTATTATTATTTCTTTGCAGAATAGAATTCATTTTTTTAATATATGCCACAATTTATTTATCTACTCACTAGTTGAGAGTCACTTAAGTTACTTCCACTTCTTGGATATTATTAGTAAAACTGCAGCTATGACCATTTGAGTACAAGATATTGTGTGAACATAAGTTTTCACTTCCCTTATGTACGTACTTAGGAGTGAGATTGGCAGGTTGTGTGTTTTCAGTTTATTTTTTAAATTGCCAAGTGTCTTCCAAAGTGTCTGTACCACTTTGCATTTTCATCAGTAACGTATGAAAACTTCAGTTACTCCACATTTTCACCAACACTTTGTAGTGTCAGATTTTTTTCAAATTTGACCATTCCTAGTGTAGTGATACCTCATTGCGGATTTAATTTGAATTTTCTTAATCACCAATGAAGTCAACATCTTTCTGTATGCTTATTCCCATTCTAGCTCCCTTAGTGAAGTGTCTGTTCAAATCTTTTACTCAGTTTTTTAAAAAACTAGGTTGTTTATCTAATTATTTGTGAGTAGTAAGAGTTCTTCAAGTATTATGGATATAAATCTTATGTTTAAAATGTGTATTTCTCAAATACTTTCTACTAGTCTATAGTCTAGTCTATGGCTTTTAAAAAACACTATTTTCTTAACTGTCTTTCACAGGGTAGTAGTTTCAGTTTTTATGAAGCCTAATTTATCAAAAATTTCTTCATGAATCATGCTTTTAGTGTCATATCTAAGAAATATTTGCCTAAATCATGGTCATAAACATTTCCTTCTATTTTTTAGAAGTTTTATAGTTTTAGCTCTTAAAGTTTTTGACATATTATGAGTTGACTTTTGTGCATGGTGTGAAGTAACTGTTTAAGTTTATTTTCTTGTATATGGCTAGCCAATTATCCCAGAACTATTTTTTGGAAAATTATTCTTCCCCATTGAATTACACTGGTATCATCATCAAAAATCAATTAACCATAAACCTAAGTTTATTTGTGGACTTTCTATTCTGCTTGGTTGGTTTATGTATTTATTCTTACACCAATACCACACTATCTTGATTATGGTAGCTTTTTAGCAGGTTTTGAAATCAGGTGGTGTAAATCCACCTGCTTTGTTCTTTTTCAAAATTGTTTTGGCTATTCTAGGTTATGTTTACTACCATATAAATGGTAAAATCAGCTTATCAACTTCCATAAAAAAGATTTGCTGATATTTTAATAGAGATTGCATTCAATCTGTAAATCAATTGGAAGAATTTTCATCTTAGCAATAGTGAGTCACCCAATCCATGAACATGGAATGTCCCCCATTTTACTGGGATATTTAAAACTTAGTAATATTTTGTAGCTTTTAGGGTATATGCCTTGCACTTCTTTTGTTACATTTGTTTCTTCTACATATTTTATTCTTATTGGTGATTTTGCAAGTGTGATTTTTTAAAATTTCATTTTTGGATTTTTACTTATTAGTATATTGATCTACAGTTTTATTTTCCTGTAATATTTTTGTCTGGCTTCAGTATTAGAGTAATGTTGGCCTCAAAGAATGAGTTAGAAAGCATTCTCTCTGCTTCTATCTTCAGGAAGAGTTTGTAGATAAGTGGTGTAATTCATTTTTTAAATGTTCAGTAGAATTTACCAGTGAAATCATCTGAGCCTGCTTTCTGTTTTGAAAGTTTTCAATTATTGATTCAATCTTTTAAATAGATATAGACCTATTCAGAATTTCTGCTTCTTCTTGTGTGAGTTTTGTCAGCTTGTGTCTTTCAAAGAGTTGGTTCATTTTATTTAGGTTATGAAATTCATGGGCCCAGAGTTGTTCATAATATTCCTTCATTATTCTTCTAACGTCCATGGGATTTCCAATGATGTCCTCTCTTTCATTTCTAAGTTAGTAATTTATACATTCTCCCTTTTTTTATTGGTTAGCCTGGCTAGAGACTTATTGATTTTATTGGTCTTTTCAAAGTACCAGCTTTTGGTTTTGTTGATTTTATTTATTGATTTCCGGTTTTCAATTTTATTGATTTCTGCTCTTATTTTTACTATTTCATTTCTTTTCCTTACTTTGGATTTAATTTGGTCTTGTTTTTTCTACTTTGCTAAGGTGGAAACAGTTTATTGATTTTAGAAATTTCTTCTTTTCTAATATATGCATTCAATGCTATAAATTTCCCCCAAGCACTGCCCCCACACCCAATTTTTTTTTAGACAGAATCTCACTGTCATGCAGGCTAGAATGCAGTGGCATGATCTCAGCTCACTGGATCCTCCACCTCCCGGGTTCAAGAGATTCTCCTGCCTCAGCCTCTCGAGTAGCTGGTACTACAGGCAAACACCACCACATCTGGCAAATTTTGTATTTTTAGTAGAGATGGGATTTTGCCATGTTGGCCAGGCTGGTCTTGAACTCCTGACCTCAAGTGATCTGCCCACCTCAGCCTCCCAAAATGCTGGGATTACAGGCATGACCCACTGCCCTTGGCCCCTAAGCACTGTTTCTGAAGCGTCTCACAAATTTTGATGAGTTGTGTTTACATTTAGTTCAAAATATTTTTATTTCTCTTGACATTTTGTTTTCTACTCATGTGTTATTAAGAAATGTGCTGTCAGATCTCCAAGTAGTTAGGGATTTTCCAGCTATCTTTCTCATACAGATTTCTAGTTTAATTTGATTGTGGTCTGAAAGCAGACATTGGGTGGTTTATATACTTTCAAAATTTATGGTCCAGAATGTGGTTTATCTTGGTGAATGTTTCCTGTGAGCTTCAGAAGAATGTGTATTTTGCTCTTCTTGGAAAAAAATAGTCTGTAGATGTCAAGTATATCCAGTTAATTGAGGATGCTGTTGAGTTTGAGTATATTTTTACAGATTTTCTGCCTTGTGGATCTGCCTGTTTCTGATAGAGGGGTATTGAATTCTGCACCTATAATAGTGGACTCATCAATTTCTCCTTGCAGTTTTATAAGTTTTTGCCTCTTGTATTTTGATGCTATGTTGTTAGACATATACATATTAAGGATTATTATGCCTTCTTGGAGAACTTACCCCTTTATTATTATGTAATTCCCCTCTTTTATCCCTGATAATTTTCCTTGTTCTGGAATCAGCTCTGTCTGTAATTAACATAGCTACTCCTGCTCTTTTCGTGTTAGTATAGTATATATTTCTCCATCCTTTTACATGTGTGTGTGTCCATATTTAAAGTGGGACTCTTGTAGACAACATATAATTGGGTCTTATTTTTTGATCCACTCTGACGAACTCAGTCTTTTGATTGGTGCACTTAGACCACTGGTGTTTAAAGTGATTAGTGATATACTTGGATTAATATCTATCATATTTGTTACCATTTTCTACTTTTTTTGCCATTGTTTGTTACTATTTTTGTCTTCCACATTTTTCTGCTTTTTATACTTTGAATTGAGCATTTTATGTGATTCCATTTTCCTTCTTTACTTCACCTATCAATATTTACCTTTTATAACTTTTTTTTATTGGTTGTCCTGGAGTTTGGATCATACACTTGCAACTGATCCAAGTCCACTTTCAAGTATCACTATACCACTTTGGGGGTAGTGCAAATGTCTTATAGTAACAAAACAATCCTAATTCTTCCCTTCTATTCCTTGTATCATTGTTGTCATTCATTTCAATTATACATAAGCATATATAGA
The DNA here is from genome assembly GCF_000001405.40 of Homo sapiens. Taxonomy (NCBI): domain Eukaryota; kingdom Metazoa; phylum Chordata; class Mammalia; order Primates; family Hominidae; genus Homo; species Homo sapiens. The sequence goes on along the minus strand of NC_000006.12, from coordinate 169,946,194 downwards.
GACAGATATAGGTATAAGCATACGTAATTGAGTACGTTGTTACTATTATTATTTTGAACAAACTGTTGTCTGCTAGGCCAATTAAGAATAAGAAAAATGGCCAGGTGTGGTGGCTCATGTCTGTTATCCTAGTGCTTTGAGAGACCAAAGCAAGAGGATCACTTGAGGCCGGGAGTTTGAGACCAGTGTGGGCAACATAGCAAGACCCCACCTCTAAAAAAAATTAGCCAGCTATGGTGGCATGCACTTGTAGTTCTAGCTACTCAGAAGGCTGAGGTGGGTGGACTGTTTGAGCCTAGGAGTTTGAGGCTGCAGCGAGCTATGATTCTGCCACTGCACTTCAGCCTGGGTGACAGAAGACCCTGTCTCTAATTTTAAAAAAATAAGAATAAATACAATATTTATATTATCTTCACTTATTCATTCTCCACTGCTCTTTCTTTGTAGATCTAGTTTCTGATCTATTTTTTTTCATCTTTCTAAAACAGTTCTTTTCATAATTCTTGCAAGGTGGGTCTACAGACAAAAAAAATCCCATTTTTTGTTTATCTGAAAAAGACTCTATTTCTCCTTCATTTTTGAAGGATAATTTTGCTGGGTACAGTATTATAGATTGGTGGGGGTCTTTTTCCTCTCAGTATTAAATATTTCATTCTACTCTCTTCTTGTTTGCATGCTCATATAGTTTGGATATTTTCTGCCCTCCCAAAAGCTCATGTAACTGAGGCCTGGTGGGAGGTGATTGGATCATGGGGGTGGATCCTTCATGAATGGTTTAGTGCCACCCCCTTGGTGCTGTCTTCATGAGAGTGAGTTCTTGTGAGATCTGGTTATTTAAAAGTGTGTGGCACCTCCTTCTCCCTTGCTCTTGCTTCCACCACGTGACACACCTGCCCCTCCTTTGCCTTCTGCCGTGAGTCAAAGCTCCTTGAAGCTTCCCCAGGAGCTGAATAGATACCACGGCCATGCTTGCACAACCTGCAGAACTTTGAGCCAATTAAACCTCTCTTCTTTATAAATTACACAGTCTCAAGTATTTATTTATAGCAATGCAAGAAGAGCTTAACACACATGGTGTCTGATATGGTTTGTTTCTTTGTCCCCACCCAAATCTTATCTCGAATTGTAATCCCCATGTGTCAAGAGAGGGACTTGGTGGGAGGTGGTTGGTTCATGGGGCAGGTTTCACCCATGCTGTTCTTGTGATAGTGAGTTCTCACGGGATCTGATGTTTTACACGTGTTTGACACTTCATCCTTCACACACACTCTCTATCCTGCCACCATGGGAAGAAGATGCTTGCTTCTCCTTCCGCCATGATGTAAGTTTCCTGAGAGCTCCCCAGCCATGTGGAACTGTGAGTCAATTAAACCTCTTTCCTTTATTAATTATGTAGTCTCAGCTATTTCTTCATAGCTGTGTGAAAATGGACTAATACTGTGTCTGAGAAAAAAAGGGATGTCATTTTTATCTTTGCTCCTCTATAGGTAAAGTTTTTGTTCCCTCTGGCTTATTTATCTTGGATTTCCTGCAGTTTTAATATGATATGCCTCTGTGTAGTTTTTGGCATTTATCCTGCTTGGTATTCTGTAAACTTCCTGGATGTGACATTAATTTAGAAAACTTCTTAGTCATCATTGCTTCAAATACTGCCTGTGTTCCTTTCTTTTCCTTCTGGTGTCCCATTATGCAGATGTTTTTCTCATTGCCCTTTTGTAGTTGTCCCCCAGTTCTTGAATAGTATCTCCTGTTTTTCATGGTCTTTTTCACTTTGCTTTTTCAGTTTTGAACTTTCTATCATCATAGTGTCAAGCTCAAGTATTCTTTCCTCAGATGTGTTCAGTCTATTGATGAGCCTGCCAAAGACCTTATTCATTTCTGCTAGTGCTGTTGATTTCTAGGACTTAAAAAAATAATCTTAGTATTCTCATCTCTCTGCTTACATTTTTCACATATTCTTTGCATGTTGTCTTTTTTTCCACTAAAGCTCTTAGCATATTAATTATAGTTTAAAAACTTCCTGGTCTAACAATTTCAACACTCCTGCTACATCAACTTTGGTTTTAATGCTTGCTCTTTCTCTTCAAACTGTGTTTTTGCCTTTTAGTATGCCTTGTAATTTTTTTGAACTCTGGATATGATGCACTGGGTGAAAGGAACTGCTGTAAACAGAGGCCTCTAGGGATGTGACTGAGTTGTGTGGGAGGGGAACTGTTCTACAGTCCTGTGATTAGGTCTCGGTCTTAGTGAGCCTGTGCCCCTGGTCTGTGAACTTCACAAATATTTCCTCTCTTAGGTGGGACAGGATGACTGGATTGGGCTGGAGCTGGATATTTACCTCCCCCCAGGTCGGTTTGGCTCTGATAAAACCCCTGCAGGTGGGGCTTGGTTAGCTGGTTTCTTGTTAAGGAGAACAGAATGCTCAAGTATCTCTCAGAATGGTTCCTTTTTGCCTCCCTCTGCCAGAACCATGAGGGGACATTTCTCCAATATTCAGTGGGTGAACCTGGAGAAGCTCCAGGAGGCAACACTCACAACAGTGTGGGGCCCCTGTGAGCTGCTCCCAATGCTCAGGCTTGTCCACGCTAAGCCTCCACCGATTCCTCAATTTCAGTTCAGGTCTCCCTGCCCCAGCACTGGTTCCCACAGAAGTTTTGGCTCATGCGTTTCTGCTCCAGCAAGCTGTGATTCTCTGTATTTGCCTGTTTCTCCAATTTTTGGGGAAACACTTTACACTGTGACCTCACTTCTCCGACAGATCTAAGAAGAGTTGTGGATTTTCCGTTTGTTCATCTTTACACTTGTGGTTAGGATGGAGTGGTGACTTCCAAACTCCTCACATGCTGACTGAAAACCAAATGTCAGCTTCTTAATTATTTTTAAATTTTTGCTGATACACTATTTGCTTATTAGCTCTATTTTTTTAAGTGGTGGCTCCAGGATTTACAATGTTCACCTTTTGTGTATCACAGTCCACTTTTTAATAATAACATCCAAGCTCAGGTTAGAAGAAAGAGCCTTGCAAGAGCGTCCTTTATTCTAATACCTCATGCCTTTGTGGTTTTGTTCTCATACGTTTCATCTCCATAGATGCTGTAACCCCTAGAATACATTGTGATTATTATTCCTTTAAATAGCCAATTATCTTTTAAAATCTCAATTTAATTTTATTTTCATTGACACTATTACAGATAGAGTGACCAGAACCATATTAACATCAATTATCTTCTTAAAAGATTAAAAGGAAGAGAAACATTTTTCTTATTTACTACATATGTACTATGTCTGGCCTTCTTTATTTGTGTAGATTAGTTTTCATCTGACATCACACTCCTTCTGCCTGAAGAGTTCCCTTCTGTGTTCTCATATTGCAGGTGTGCTGGGTTCTGTCAGTGTTTATTTATTCCACTTCCAGTTCTGAATGGCCTTTTCCCTGGATAAAGAATTCCAGTCTAACTGCCCACCTTGCTCCTTAAGGATGCATCTTCACCGATGTCTGGACTGCGCCGTCTTTATGGTTTGTCTGTCATCATCCTCATCCTCATCTCTCTACCTGCTTTTTCTCTGGCTGCTTGAAGGGTTCACACTTTGTCACTGGTTTTCAGCAATTTGATTCTGGTGTCCCTTGCTGTGGTTTTCTTTCTGTTTAGTCTGCTCTTGGTTTATTGAACAACTTGGATCTGTAAGCTTTTGTTTTAATCATATTTGGAAAATTTATAGCTATCATTTTGTTAAATACTGTCTATCTTTGTTTCTCTTTCTCTCTCCCCCTATCTCTATCTCTATTTATACAGCTGCAGATGCAGATACCCACATACACATACCTGTGTCTCCTACTGGTTTCTGTGGAGAACCCTGACTGACATAGTGTGAGAAGAGGTACTTTGCATTTTATGTCCTTCTGTACTTTTTAAATTTCTTAAAGGTTATATTAATATTGAATTTATTTTAAATTACTTTAAACTTGAATTAGAAGTTTTAATTTAAAATTTAAATTGTTATTTTTTGAAATTTTTACTTTCAAATTGAAAAAAAATTAAAAATTATATAGCCAGCTTTCATTTTAAGTAACAGCATACTGCATCTGCACCCGAGTAGCCGGCCCTAAATGTTCCATGGAATATTAGTGCCACGTCCTTCCAGAAAAGTGAGGGCAGGTGATTTCACGGTCAAAACAAAATTTAGTAAGCACTGGATTTAACCAGGAAGTAAAACCTGTTGACCTTCAATTAATGTCTTTACCACATTAACCATCAACTAGCCTGGGCATCCCAAGCTTCCACTCCTTCTTGAGCTAGCAGCAGAGACAAGTCCTGGATTCTCACTCGAAGGATGTCTAGAATCAGTCATTCATTGAAAAGTCTACGTTAGTTTGGAACTTCAGATACGTCTTTTCCTTGTGTTGTGTGATACCTGTCAGGTGGAGTAAAGAAGCAAAGGTGTTGAGCCGAGGAAGCGAAAGTTAAAACCGCACGTCCCCACTTTCTAATTCTGTGACATTTGGAATTTCACTCACTCTCTCCAACCTGGGTTTCCTTGTCTGTAAAGTGGGTGTAACAGAATCTTCTTCACGGGTGTGCGGTGCAGACTGGTCATTTCGTGCTAAAGCATCTGCCACACCGTGGGCATTTTGTAAGTGGCGGCGGTGGAAGCCATGGGGTGTCGCCAAAAGAACACTCTGCATTTTCTTTCAAAAGACAGTAAAATCTACTCAATGAGTGTCACTTTTCACCCGTCAGCTTCTCTGCCTCTCTGGGCACCATCTTCTCCCTGTTCTTCTGAAAGCTCTTGATTCTGCTCTTACTCTTTACGGTTGGCTTTGCTTGTGTAAAAGATGGAACCCTCTGAGAGCCCTTTTGTGGACCAGTGGGTTGAGACTCCTTTAACTGCTGTTACTTCTTATCTCCAGCCAGGGCCCTTCCCACAGGGCTGGTCAGGCGATGGCCACACTCACCCCCCACGCCTGGCCTCTACCTTCCAGGGCCGGTGCATCCCTGGACCAGCCTCCCTCCCTCCCTGGGTTGGCCTGAGGCCGTCTCCCTCCCTGTACCTCTGGCCAGCCAAGGCCATTCCAGAGACAGCCGTGCTGGGGAGAGCTTAGGCTGTAAATCACCTTCCTCCTGTCCTGCCTGTCCTGGGCTCAGCTCCATCTGCCCCTAAAAACACAAGGTGCTGATTTTCATGAGGCCCCTCTTGTCATCGCAGGCTGTGATTTACAGACGTGCCCTCCTGTCTTCCCGGGAATGCCTGGGTCATCTTACAGGAGCCTGGAGCCTGGTTTGCAGGGTCGGAAAAGGCCTCCCTCTGCTCCCCGCATCCTCCATGGTGTCAGCATTGCTCCCTTGCTTTTTTTTTTTTTTTTTGGTTGTTGTTCTCTGGACAAACAAATCAAATGGACAGGTCTGGAAAAGACATCTGCGGCGGGTGTCTTTGCAGACTTCCCGGGAGCCCTGCTCTGGCCGAGTGCTGCCCTGCGGGGGTTACCAGCGCAGTCCCGGTGAACAGACCTCCAGACAACAGCAACTGGAACCCCCAGGGTGGGGCCACTCCTCAGGGGCAATGACAAACCAGCCTCGGCCCAGGCTCTGACCCCGGGCCCCTCCAGCCGCATCTGGGAGGACGAGGGAGGGGCGAGAGGCAGAACGCCCTGAGCAGCTGCGTGCCATTGTCATCACAGCCTGGTTGTCACCGGTGCCTGGAGTCACGTTCCTGGGGCTCAGCCACTCACCAGCTCTGCACCCTGCCATAAGGGGTTGAACTGTGCCCCCCAAATTCATGTGTTAGAGTCCAAACCCCCAGTACTTCAGCCTGGGGCCTCTTTTGGAAATAGGGTCATTTCCAAAATGACCATCTCAGCAAGGACATCCCTGGCCATGCTGGGATGTGGTAACTCATTAGTAAGCTGTGAAATAAATTGAGAGGATTGGGACCAGTGGACATGTTTGTTTTGTTTGGTTTTTGTTTTATAGAATAAAATCGGAAGAAGATACCAGAATGTGTCCCACGTGGCCAGGCCAGGGCGGTTCTGCACAGCTCCTAGGATCGGCAGGTATGTGTCTGCACCCGTGTGTGATCCCCAAGAAGGACGCGTTTCCTGCTGTGAAGCTGCCGCTCCGAAGTCCTGTCTCTCAGGTGCCCGTCAGCAGTGGCTGCTCCATTCTCCCAGCGTTCGTCCCCGTCCCGGTTGCGGCCCGTGCTCATCCCTGTCCTGGTTTCGGCCTGCGCGCTCTGAGTAGATCTTGCCTGTCTTTTGGGTACCATTTCCCGGGACCTGGGCCATGTCCGCAGGACCTGCAGTGTTGGAATCTCAGCTGTGCCTGTTCCAACAGCACCGCTCTTCGCCCAGAGCCACCAGTGTGTCCACTGCAGAGAGAAGCCCCACACCCCTTCCTGGCTGCCCATCCCACCTCACGCAGCTCTGTGGACCCCGAGTGTCCGCTGTGCACCAGCTCTGGGACACTGGAGGCCGGCGATGCGCTCCCAGATGGGCTTGGCCACAGGACTGTCTCTGCAGCGGGTGCCCTTACAATCACCAGGAATGGCCTGCCTGCCGCCCTGCCCAGTGGATCCTCCACACGCCGAATGCTCTCCCACCTTCCCACCGCTTCAGCACCCAAAGCTGAGACGAAGCAGGGACCCCTCTTAGGAGTCTTATCCCCCACCCCCAAGCATGAAAATAAAGGAAAATCTTGAGTTCTTTCAAGAGAAATTTCAGGTACCCAGCTCGCCCTGAGAAGTAAATGAACAACTTCACAAACAAGAAGGTAACAGTAGCTTAAAACAATAGCCAAGGAAGCAGCAGTCACGAGACGTTTAGCTCCTGGTAGAAACTAGAGACCCTCTTCATGATGTGCCCGAGTCGCTTTTCAGAAACCCAGACCAAATGCGTCCCCTGCTCGCAGACCTCGGAAAAGGTGCAGTTGAGGCAGAACTCTGAGCCCATTCCTTGTTCTAAATTTCTGCCTGAGGGGCCTGGGGGAGGCCACGCCCATGAGCCAGACCTAATGTTTTCTTCTGCGGATCCCTAAAGTTTAGACAAAGCTTTGCCTCCTCAATCAACTGCAAATCAGAAAATCTTTGAATCCACCTGTGACCTGTGGGCTGCCTTTCCAAATCGAACCAACGGACAGCCCTCATGTGCTGATGATATATGACTTTGCGGGTCACCCATGACCCCCACCTTTGAGACCTCACCTTTAGGCCACTGGGCAGGTCGGGACTGAGGCACCAGCTGCCTGAGTCTCCCGGCTCAGCGCCCTGCAAATTAGTGCCTTCCTTTCTCCCACTGCAAACCCCATGTGAGCATCTGGCCTTGCTGCGTGGGGAGAGTGGACCCCAGTCAGGTCCAGCGGCAGAGCCCCGGTGTCTGTCTTCTCTGCCGAGAGCCCCCGTCCGTCTTCACCGCCGAGAGCCTCCATCCCCTGCCTGCCCCACCGGCTCCCATGCTCTCACTCCTCCAGCAGTTCCCCCCTTCTCTGCTTCTGAAGGTGATTTGCTGTGCTTCTAGGGTGTGTTCCCACATATTCATTAGGTACAAATCCTACCTCAGCAAGCGTCAAACCCTACCTGAGCCCCTGCAGTGCTTCCGAGAAGGGAAGGACTTGTGGAATCCCGGGCCTGAGGCTGGCCTGATGGGGCAGGCGTCGCCCTCCCTGTCCGGAGCCCGGTGGCCTCTCACACCGGCGTACTGTGTCTGCAGAGCCAGCTTCACCCCTCCCCAGGCTCTCCCTCCCCAGGGCCCAGCATAGGGCTTTGGGAAAGGATGCTGGGCCAGTGTTTTCGGAGAGAGCAGATGAGAGCTCCACACTGGAGACTCAACACCTTCACTGTGTGATAAAGGCAGGGCTGGCCCTGGACAGAGGGGCTGCCGGGTGGGGCTACTGAGAGGGCTGGGGCGGGGGTGGCAGGTGCCGGTCTCCGCTCTGCTGCCTAAGTCAGGTCACCTTGCGACTCCTAAAGACTCAGGGCTAGATGGTGGGGGCAGGAGCGGGGAAGGGTGCTTCCTGGAAAAAGCACTGGGTCCTGGAGATCCCAGCAAAAGAGTGGACAGAGGAAGCCTATGCCTGTTAACGGAGGAGGCGGCGGGCTACATGCTTCTGCAGAACAATAGGAAAACAAGCCCTGTCGGCAGGAGCCAGGCCTTTCATCTGGCAGGGGGCAGGTGAGGGAGGAGGCTGCGTCCCAGGCTCAGAAGCTTCCACTTTCTGCCTTCCTTGAGGTGGTGTCTTGCTCCCAAGGGACCCAGGAAGATGAGAATTTCACAGGGAAGGAACTCAGAGCTGGCAAAGAAGGAGGGTGTGGGGCACAGACAGGGCAGGCAGGAGGCTTCAGGCAGCAAGCCCAGCCCAGGCCGCACGGACACCCTCGCAGATGGAGCATGCAGAGACCAGACCACGTCCACACAGAACCCAACCTGGCACGGTGGTCTGGGCTTTGTAGCCCCCCAGAGTCCCTGCTGCTCCAGGCCTGCAGGGTCTGCCTCAGCCGCCCCCTTGAAGTGAGCACCCTTCACCCTGGGGCCTGGCCCTATGTGGGGCCGGCGGGCAGGTGGGACCGGAGGCAGGTCTGGAGCCCCAGCCTCTGTCCTGTGCTCTCCACACCTCGTGCTTCTGCACAGGGCTCGGCAGGGTCCAAAGGATTCCAGTGTGGTCTGTCAGGCGCGTTGTCTGGGTCAGGGCCCCCAGCACACTTTTAGTTTGATTTGTAACTTTAAACGTTTGAACACAGGGCACATGGGCTTCTCTTTCCCTGGCCCGCACAGTATCTGGAAGGTCAGCTCAGAGTCCGGCACAATCATTCTCTATGAGAACTTTGTGGTCAGACAATATGGCTCAAAGGCAGCCTCCTGCCGTGTGGGCGCTCACCGAGCTGCCCTGACCTCGGTTCCCTAACCTGGAAAACGGCAGAGAGACCCTGCAGAGACGTGCCCTGACCTCGGTTCCCTAACCTGGAAAACGGCAGAGAGACCCTGCAGAGACGTGCCCTGACCTCGGTTCCCTAACCTGGAAAACGGCAGAGAGACCCTGCAGAGACGTGGGGCAGGAGTCACAGGCGACGCAGAGCCCGATGGGCCGCGGCACTGGGCTGGGTTGGGCAGTGCCCCCGAATTCATTTCCCTGGAGCCTCAGGATGTCACTGTAGTCGGAGAGAGGGTCTTTGCAGATATGGCCAAGTTAAGGTGAGGTCATTAGGATGGGTCTGGTCCAACGGCTGGTGTCCTTAGGGGAAGAGGGAAATTTGAACATAGACACGGGGAAACGCCACGTGAAGACGGAGGCTGGGGCTGGGGGGCAGCGTCTGCAGGCCGAGGAAGGAGTCGCCAGGAGGGCTGCAGGGCCGAGTCTCCCCGGATTCTTTGGAGGGGCCGCGCCTGGCCCGCCCGGCCTTGGCTCTCAGACATCCGGGCTCTAGGACCGTGGGAGGCCGCATCCCTGCTGGTCCAGCCGCTGGGTTTCTGGGGCTTCGTTTCAGCAGCTCGGCATGTAAGAGCCGCAGCTCCTCTTCACTGCCCACCCTCAGGCTATGTGGAAACCCCACTCTCTTAGGACTAGGCAGACCCTTTGCTTTCTAAACTAGCGAGAACGCCATTCCCTGGGTCTGGCAGCTCCCCTGCACTGTGCCGACACCCAACGCTCACTCAAGGTCCGGGCCAGCTCGTCCTCACTGTGCCGTGGAGACCCCTGGACCTGCCAGGTCCCACAGCCGCTTACCGGCCAAGTCGGTGGAGACCAGAGACCATCGCTGCTGTTTGTGCCTCACACGGTTTTGAATCTCCAGGGACCAAGTGACTTCCGGGAAGGTGCGGTGAGATCTGGACTCACTGCTGATTCCCTGAGATGTGGGCCGAGGTTCAGCTGCTCCTTGAACCTGTGAGGTACAGGCCAGGGGTGAATGTGAGTTGGCCAGAAACAGTTCCCCGAGGATACCAAAAAGCTAGTAATAAAATGAAAATAAGTGCAGCTGGCAGCTCCTAGGTGCCACCCTGCCCTGACCCAGTTCCCTTGGCCTCAGCAGCACCCTGGAGGATGGGAAAAGGCTGGCAGCGTGATGGGGAGGCCCCGGAATCCCCTTCTGCATCAGGCCTGCTCCTGCCAAGCACGCACCCGCACCCCACAGCCTGGGGGCAGGCAGGCCTGGGCTGCATTAACCCTGTTACCCAGGGGACCCCCGGGCACTCTCCTGGGTGGAGCCCACGGGGCACTTGACTTGGTTTTTGCAAAAAGACCTGCCAGTCTCTGCGTTGGCTCCTCCCTTTCACTCTCTCCTCTGGGTACATCTCCAGGCCAGGGGGTCCCAACTCCAGAGAGCACGGGGCAGTAAGAGGGCAAGTGTGGGGACGGCGTGAGTCCACTGTGCAGGTCGGAGGTGGCCCCAGCCTGAGGAATACTGCGCACCCTCCCTAGCAAGGACCACAGTGTGGTATGTTTGCTCGGCTCCAGAAAACATAAATCAAATCCAAGAGGAGGAAGACCTGAGTGGTATTTACCGCTCAAACCCGATCTTTTTTGAACTCAGCTGCCTCCCTCACTGAACGGGGATTGTGCGGTCAGCCTGGGTGCAAGCCAGGGTCAGCAGACATACATCCCTGCCCACAGTGCCCTGCAGTTGAGCGTGAAATTCCACCACAGCTTCCCGGGGCCTGGTTGGTCGGGAAGACTCACATCCCGGCCTCTCTTCCTGTCGTAAAATCACCCCTGCGTGGTGTTGGCATATTTGCTGTCCAGCTCAGCAGGGGCGGGCCCCTGGAGCTGCCACGGATCAGCCACCTGCCCCTCCAGGCCTCCTAGCTCAACAGGTTGTGGGTGCCACTGGGACTCATAGCTCCCGGGACACTGGGGCTACCCGTGCCTACTTGGACAAAGCTGTTAAAAGCCCAAGCCCCCACGGCTGCTCCGGCTCAACGTGGGCTCCCTCGTGTCAGCCCTGCTGATGCTGACCTGGCTTTATTTCCATCAACAGACCCAACACCCAATCACAACACAGTGAAAGAAGAGCTGGCGAGGAAAACCGTGTTTGCTTGCACCAATGTCCTGGACTTCTTCGCTGAAACCTAAGTGGACGCTGAGGAGAACGCCCCCCACGTCCTCAGGGACCGAGCCACTTCCAGGCCTCGCCAAGAAGAAGGGCTGCTTTCCACAGGTTTCTTTTGTGGAAATGCCCTGTCCAGCCTTGAGACTCACGCAGGGAGTGTGCGAGTGTGTGCCCGGGGAGTGTTCATACCCCTCCGGCTTCAGAAAACAAAGAAAAATCACCTTTACCTACTGCTTTTGGTGTTCAGGCATATCTGAAATTCATTGTTATGATTATGATGGGTTGGAGAGGTCATCGTTTCAGGATATGACAGAGTTTAGTAACACAGACCATGAGGTTCTCTCAGCTTTGTGGGACTCAAGGGTGCCACACTGCCATGTGTTTGAAGGCTACCGCGAGGTCCCCGGAGCTCAGGAAGAACCGCGTCCCTCTGGGGAGGAAATGCAATTTGCTCTTGCTTAGGGGCCTGTGTTCGTACCCACATATCACAGGGACACGGTGGGGCTGTGAGGCAAGGGCACATTTCACGCAAGAGATGCACCACGACCGTGAACCAGCAGCGGACGCAGGACGTGCGCCAAGACAAACACGGCCCAGGCTGCCGGGCAGTCTGCCCAGGGCAAAGCCTGATTACCAGATGGGGCCAGGAGGAAACGGGCGGACCCGGCTGCTGTCCCGTGGGCCTGGTCATCGTCCACAGTGCAGCCAGGGCTCGCCCGTACACTCCGTGCATATTGTCTGGAATTCACTTCTGGCTGCTACTAAAGCGGGGTCGCCGTTTATCCGCACGGAGGAAGGCCATGAGAAGCCACACATCAGTGTGGATTTACATCCCACGTTCCCTAAAGGAGACAGCGCGGAGCGCTTGAGGCCAGGACAGGCACCCGCACACAGCCCGTCTGCCGGCCTCGCTTCCTCCAAGGGGGTGCCGGCCTGACCCCGTTCTCTTCCAGGCTGCTGAGACCAGCATCCGAGCCAGCCCAGGCCATAAACAAAGCCACAGCCAAAGGTGCTTCAGCAGCAGATGCCCATCCCCCAGCTTGGGACTGCAAGCCTGGGGTCAAGGTGCCAGCAGAGGAGGGTCCACTGAGGCCTCTTCCTGGCTCACAGAGGCACCTTCTCACTGAGCTTGGCAAGGCCGAGGAGGAAGCCAGCACTCCCTTTTCTCTTCTTGCAGGGACACCTGTGCCATCCTGAGGCCTCCACCCACAGGACTCCATCCAACCTCAGCACCTCCCAAAGACCCCACCCTAACACCGTCACAGGGGGCTTAGGACTTCAGTGCATGGATCCTGGGGGATCCATTTCAGTCCACAGCAGCCATAAGCCAAAGACTTCCTTCCGAATTCTTACCTGGTTAAGCGAGAGGCTCCTCTGGGCGTTGTTGCTGCCCTAATGGGGCTGGTGGGCCACAGACGGCAACAGGCCAGGTAGCAGGATCCCCAGGTCCAGCAGTCCTCGCCGCATCTGCTGCTCCAGCAGCTCCTCCACTCTTCCTAGGGCCTGAGCCTACGCTGTGAGGGACCTCGCATGCAAAACAGAGGAGGTTGTAGGGGGTTGTGGGGGGCGGGGACGAGGGATCTTTGTGATCAGAGTAGAAGACGGGCAGGTGAGGAGTTAAATAGGCCGCCAACCAGAGGCAGGTGTGAGCAGTTAAACAGGCCCAACCAGAGGCAGGTGTGAGCAGTTAAACAGGCCCAACCAGAGGCAGGTGTGAGCGTCACCTGCTGCTGAACACCTGCTGTGAGCCTTGGGAGCCCCAGACAGGGTCCCTGACTCTGTAGCTGGTGTTCCCCTCCCTCCCCCGCGAGTCCTACAAACCAGGCTTAATTCCAGTGAGTGTTTGTGCTCAAACCTCCCCATTTGCCTCAGAAGAAGGAGGGAGTCGCGAGCCCAGAGGACAAGGAGAGCTCAGGGGTCCGCATCAGAATTAATGAAGGCTTGGGGGCCTCCATTCACTCCCTCAACAAACACTGAGTACTTTAGGAAAAGGCCTCATGCTTGATGTGTGGATCTGAGAGTGTTTTATATTTTTCTCAGGTTTCTAAGTATCGTTTCAAAACCTCACACAAAATTTTTTAGGCTAAAGTTTCAGGAGTTGCCAAATTACAGCACAAGCAAATTCCAAACATACCGGTGGAAAATAACCCACAGAGGTAGATGTTCTCTTTAGAGCTGAGATCAGAAATTGCTCTGCTGTAAAACTTCAACCACAAATAATAACGTCGCTGTTAAAAATAAGCATCATTATCTATGGAGTCTGAGAGGGGAACGCTGAGAGGAAGGGTCGGCCAGCCGTGTGCAGCAGGACCAGGAGGCCCTGCGAGCCCCAGATCACGTCTACCGCGCGTGTGTGCACTGATCCACCCACACAGGCGTTCAGGGCCCTACCTGGCCAATCGCGTGAAAGGCTGGCTCAGAAGGCGGTAAACTCTGTCAGGTCAAAATGAGTAATAACATTTCTAAAGCGACAAGGCTACAAAGGAAGCTGGACTCACCGGATCCCGGGAGGTTTGCGAGGCCCAGCGAAGGGCGTGGGCTGGGAGGCCCCATGAAGGAGTCATGGAGCCAATACGGGGCTCACCACCCCGCAAGCGGCGCCCCGGAGCCCCTGCTGGTCCCAAATCTCTGACCTCAACCCTCAGTTCTTGTCCTCTGACCTGAGACTCTGACCAGAAACCATGAGTGCGTGACCTCAGGCAGCCTGAGAGGTAATTCCACAGCTTCTAGTTGGGTGAGCACATCCCCTTAGCAGGGTCAGAAAGTCCCGGAAGGGAGACAGGGGTGTAGACAGCCAGAGAAGAAAATTCTCTGGCTGATTTGGTAATCGGTCAACTGGACTTGAAGCAATGAGCTTTGTAAGAGTTTTGATATTTTAATTTTTAAAGGCATCTGAAGTTTATGAGCATCTGAAGTATAAATTTGTGAGCTTATCAAAATGCTTAAGAATTTTAAAGTTTTAAAAAGATTAAGCTTTTCATCAGTGTTTAAATACTTAAGGCAATGGTTCCCAGTCAGGGGTAACCTTGGTACTGTGGGGAGATAATTTTTATTGTCACAACTGGGAGGTGCTGCTGGCCTCTTAAGACCCTGTTGTAGGACAGCCTCCATAACAAAGAATTACCCGCTCAAAACATCCACAGTGCTGGGGCTGAGAAACTCGGATTTAAGGAAGTCACCTTTGAGTCAAGCAGCCTGTTTGTAAATATTGTCTAATTGCCTGAGAAGATCTTATTCATTAGATTTACAGTTTTCCCTTGCTAGGGGTTTGAAGTACTTACGAAAATCAGATATGTTAAATTTATGATGATGGTTTGAAAAACAACGTCTGAAGAAATTTTATCAAATAACTGGTCCAAAATACGTATTTAAATTTAATCTGCAAAATGTATACACTGAGTATTAAAGAAACAGGAAATGTGTGTTTTTAGTCTTCACATCAAAATTGCTCTATTAATGAACAAATAAAAGATTAAGTTACACCTGCAGGCTTAAGAGAAATGGTTTTACAATGTACACTTGATGCACGTCACTAAAATAAGCAAAAGCCTTTGCAGGAGAGCAGGCAAGGCAGCCCTTTGTCGCAGAGCTGGAAAGAGGACGTCTGCAGGGCACAGTTTGCGCTGCTGACCCCGCGAGGCAAGGGCAGTGGCAGCCGCCTCTAAAAGCTTGTGTGGGAGCAGCACGGGGGAATGCAGAGCACATGCAGAACCGGTGCCCCATGAGCACGACTCATGGCGATCCTCAGTGTCTTGACAATACCTTTGGGGAAGCTGCTGAGAGTGGGGCAGGAGCAAGGGGACAGCAGCACCCCTCCCTGTGTGGGCCCCCAGGATGTCCTTGGGAGGACACATAGTGGCCAGAGCCAGCCTGAGCTTGAATTTTCACCAGCCCTGTGACCCCAACCCTGTCCACTCACCAGACCTTGCTTTAGCCCCAAAAGCTGGGCGTCATTGTCTGGACTTCATGGTGGAGGACAGTGAGCCCACTGACCTATCCATCCTCACCCCACCGCTGACGTGTCCAGCTGGCGAAGGCAGATCTGTTCTATTCTGGCCCGAATCTCTTCCCATGCTAGGCTGTGTAAGATTGGGGGTGTCAAAAATCAACAACCATTCTCATTCTCTTGGGATCTCCCCGGAGCCTTTGGCCAGACACCAGGAGGCACTAGAGGGTTTAAGAATTTGCAAGACAGTTGACTCCCTTGGTCACACTGGGGTTCAGCCAGGCCTAGAATCCTGTGGGGGATCTCCCCCAGCAAGGCCTTTTACTTTCAGCACTGACTCTGATGGTTGTAGATAATTAAATCTTGCTACTTCAGGGAGGTAACTGGTGCCAGAATATTCCCTTGCTATAACGCAGTTCACCTGCAATGCTGAACCCAACATCTTTCAAAATTTCAATTCACATTTGCAGAATTAAAATCTTCAAAAGAAATATAAAATGTGAAGATACATAAAGTATTATCCAAAAAGAGAGAGAGAGTCATTGCTGCTATTCAGATATCAAGGTGTAATAAGCCTTTCAGCATTTCACAAAAGATAGGAACAGATGCCATTGTAATTCTTGTTCAGGAGGGCACAAGGACCAGCGCCCAGCTCTGTGACCAGAAGTGGGTTAAATTTCCACCCACTCTACAATAAGCACACAATAAGTATTTATTATATGTCTAATACATGTAATGGATATTAGGGATTTTTAGTAAATCCCTAATTAAGTTAAGTATTTATGAAGGGTAATGATTTCAGAGCAACAGTGATAGAAGAGTGTTTCCCAATCATTATCTCCCTGAAGAAAGGAAAACTCTTTATGGTCCTTGTAATGGACACCAGGGGTGAGAAAAGTGAAGAGGGGATCAGAAGAGAGAGGAGAATCCATCATAGTTAATGTTAATGAGGACCAGGACAGAGGGGGCCACAGACCTGGAAAGGAGGTGGCTTCCATGTGTTACTGCTTCCCTATCAGCCGTGATTTCTCACCCATATTAGTCTAGACTTCACCTCCAGAACAATCCTCCAACCCCCATTTCACCAAAACATGCTGGAAAAAGTAACTCCATATTCAAAGAATTGATACAGACTTTTAAGTCCTTAGCTTTTTTTGCTTGTCTGCTATATTAGCCACAGTTGACAACTCCATCCTCACTGTTGACCTCCACATCCTCACTGTTGACCTCCCACCCTCACTGTTGACTCCCCACCCTCCCTGTGGGCTTCATCATCCTCACTGTTGACCTCCATCTTCTCACTGTTGACCACCCTGTCCTCCCTGTTGACATTCCCATCCTCACTGTTGACCTCCCCATCCTCACTGTTGACCTCCCCATCCTCACTGTTGACTCCTCATCCTCCCTGTTGGCTTCATCATCCTCATTGTTGACCTCCCCATCCTCACTGTTGACTCCCCATCCTCACTGTTGACTCCTCATCCTCCCTGTTGGCTTCATCATCCTCACTGTTGACCTCCCCATCCTCACTGTTGACTCCCCATTCTCACTGTTGACCTCCCCATCCACACTGTTAACCTCCCCATCCTCACTGTTGACTCCCCATCCTCCCTGTTGGCTTCATCATCCTCACTGTTGACCTCCACATTCTCACTGTTGGCCAACCTGTCCTCCCTGTTGACCTCACTATCCTCACCTCCTCACCGTCGACCTCACCATTCTCACTGTTGTCCTCCCCATCCTCACTGTTGACTCCCCATCCTCCCTTTTAACCTCACCATTCTCACTGGACCTCTCATCCTCACCGTTGACCTCCCCATCCTCACTGTTGGACTTCCCCATCCTCACTGTTGACCTCCCCATCCTCACTATTGACCTCCTATCCTCTCTGTTGACCTCCTCATCCTCACTGTTGATTCCCCATCCTCCCTGTTGGCCTTGTCGTCCTCACTGCTGAACATCTCTTTCTCACTATTGACCTCCCATCTTCACTGCTGACCACCCCATCCTCACTGTTGACCATTTGCTTCTCACTGCTGACTGGCCCAGTCTCCTGGAACCACTCATTATCACTGAGGCCCAGTGAGGATGGGTTCTGCTTCTGAGCCTTTTCATTCCTTTCATCTTCACGTCCTTCACATCCACCCCTTTGCTTTACCCATGCTTGACACTTCCCACCTCAATGGCCACCGCTGCAAAAATGAACTAACCACCTTTCACTCTAAATTTGCTCTCATTCTGATTTCATTCTGTCAATCAGTGGCAATAACCACCAGGTACCCCATCTCCAGGTAGGAACCTGGGAATTATCCTCAACCCATGCTTCTCATTTGATCTCATACCCTGTTCATTTGACACAGCTGATGGGAGCAGATGGAGCTGAAGCAATGAATTGTATTGAGAAGAGTAGGGTTTGAGGGATGCGATGCAGTGTCACTAGCCGTAAAGAACAAGTGGGCAGAAAGAATATAGTGATATGTTTGAGCCTTTGTAAGACCCACCTCACCTTCCTGAAATACAGGAAGTACACCGTAAATAAAGCTGAACATTTTTTTCTGTTTTATAGTGTTGCTGTGGCCCCTCCATTGTCATGTATATATAAATTATTGTTCTTATCAGTGCTAAATGTAGAATGGACCCATCAAGTTACATTTGCCCCTTTTGGATCTAAGACTGACAGCTCATTAGGCTGGACACAAATGAGTGTGTCCCTTCACTCTAGGAACAATACCAACACCTTAGGAGAAAAGGCAATGCATGGACTTAGATAAAATATTATGTAAGCCTTTTACTTACTCTAGGGTTGAAAATCACTTCTCTCTACCTCCATATTCCTCAAGTTAAAAAACCTACGTGCAATGTCCAGTTAACCTCTGAACAGTTAATTATTTCAATTCCTATACTACTGAAACAATATTAACTAATACACATATATGATGATCAGTATCTGTGCATAAAGTTGTCAATCTGGGAAAGCTTTCTCTAAGAAAAGGGGAAAAAGTTAAGCCTGGAAATTCACCTCTGAGAGACGTTGTCTGTTGTTTCTCTCTTCCCTTCCCTTGGGCTCCTCCACCATGTTTCTGTCGACCAACAGGACGTGCTGAACACGGACTTTACAAGGAACACCCACTGTGCATTTCACTTCTTCCTCCTGTTAAACTACAGTGGATCCACTCTTGACCAGGGGCCACTTGGCTGGTAAATGAGATATCGCAGCTCACTCATAAGTGATGTTATGTATTAACACTCTGGTTTTCCAGGAAAACATTTAGGATATATGTGGAACCTTAGAAGGAAGAAGCCTGGGAGTTTCCAGTCTATGTTGTTGCTATTAACCATCATTAACAAGCATTTGTTAATCATCAACAAAAGGTTGATGGCGGTAACAAAAGGAGACTAGGTGGTAATGTAACTACTTCATGAGTTTTTGAGGGAGGTTTTGATAAATTGAGTCCCAAGAGAATGAGCCCAAATCATGAGTCAGAACATGGCGTTTCTGTACGTTGTGGGTACAGCCAGTGATCCCACCTCCTGATGGCACAAAGCCTGGTAGGAGACAAGGGCTGTGCTACCTGCAGCTTTTCCCTTCTGCCTTCCTTTGCAGTTGATGGAAATCTCTGATTTTTCTTCCAACACCCAGAAGAATCACCCATTGTGGGGTGAGTGGAAAGCTCGTCATTGCCACATGTTTGGCACAGCACCCAAGTTCACACCACCTGCCTCTGTCACCCACCAGCTTCCTGGGCCACCCACACTCACTCCATGCCCCATCCTATTGCTTCCTAGGATGCCCTGGCATCTGTGATCTTTCATACACAACAATCATCTTTGAATGTGGCATTCACCTGTGACTTGCTTCCAACTAATAGAACATGTCAAAAGGGATGGGATGTCCTTTGTATGACTTAAGTTATGTAAAATTGCAACATCGGTCTTGCTACAACATTCTCTGCCTTGATGGTTTTAATGAAAACAGCCAAGAAAGAGGCCCACATGGGAAAGAACTGGAAGCAGCCTTCAGACAACCAGCCAGAAACCCAGGTCCTCAGCCCGGCCCCTGCCAGGGCCGGAACACTGCCAAGGCAATGAGCTCGGAAGCAAGACCCCTTCCAGTTGAGCTGCCAGATGGGAGCACATTCCTGGAAGGCACCTTGATGGCAGCCCTGCAGAGGATCCAGTGAGCTGTGCCCAGATTCCTGTCCCACAGAGCCTATGCAATAACAAATGTGCATTTTAAGGCCCTAGATTTGTGACAACATTGTTACATAGCGATGGATAACCAGTACCATGTGTAATAATCACGCCCTGCACAGAGCTTGCCTTGGAGGCTGCACACCAGTTTCAGACACGTCGCCAGCTCCTCCTCTGACACTGGCTCTGGGTGCACAGCATGCCTCTCTCACATCATCCTCTGTCCTTTTGGCACATGTTTTGTTTTCCTAAACATCCTTTCATCACTGAGAACCAAATATCATGAACAAGAGTCATGGGCTCTGTGAAGGGACAAGACCCCATGGACCACACTGAGCTGCTCGTCTCAGAAGGTGATGGGGCAGAGTCATGCTGCCCCGTGAGTGAGACAGGATTCCTATCTCCGACATGACCTCCAAGCATCCTAGCAACTTGGAGACTTGGGATTCTAAAGCCAAATTTGACCTTGACCTAGGCAAGATGTGACAATAAAATGAAGAAGAAGGTTTTGTCTTTAACTTCATACTTTGGTCCTAAAGAACATGAGGTCCTGGGACAGGCAGAGTCATACTGACCATCTGTGAACACCTGGCACTTAATTCAATTCCTTGAGCATAGCAGATGCCCCAAATTGCCATCTTATTGAATAATTGAACTTCAAAAGTTTGTTGGCCATCATTCGATCAAACATAAGACTTTCCAAAAACAGCATTTTGAAAGACAATACTCATTTGAACACTTGCCTTTATCTTTATTTGAAATAAATAACCTCATTACTTAGTCACTTCAGCTAAACAATGATGTATTTGGGCACCTTCCATATGCCTGGAACTGGGCCTGTCACTGGGGGCAGAAGAGGAACAAGTTATGTTGTTCTCTTCAGGAGGGCATGGGCTACAGGGAAAGTGTGAGTGTGTGAGTGTAAGTGTGTGAATGTGTGTGCATGTATTGTATGGTGTAATTGTGTGTACATGTGGAAATGAGTGTGTGTGGTTGTGAATGAATGTGTGACTGTTTATCCTGTGAGAATGTGTACGTGTGTTAATGTATGTGAGTATATGAGTGTAATGTATGTGAGGAGATGCATGTGAGCTATTGTGTGTGACTATGTGTGTGCATGCACACATATATGTGTGTGAAAGCACAAAGAAGCCAGTACCGGGTGGGGTAGGGTGCTGAGGAGTGTGAGCGGAGTGCCCCATGTGGCTAGGTCAGGTGTGGTCCCAGCAGGCTGCTGGGGAAGTTCTGTGTAGCTGATGGGTAGGCAGTCGGAGAAGTGATTAGTGGCGAGTGCTTGGTGTGTGAGGCAGTGACACAAAGTCTATTGCTCTGTTGTCTCTTTACCAAATGCCAGACAGCAGCAGCTGAAGGGTAAGAGAAGCAGGACCCAGCTTCGAGGGGAATGGGTAGGGCGTCAGTTTCCAGCAAGCATCTTAGAGCCCAGGGTGGGCTCAGGCTTCACACTCAGATCTCAGATTCTGGGTTGGACAAATGAGATACAAAATGTTCTGTGCCAACTGAGCTAACATGGTGGGTATGAGAAATGCCCTGATGCCTGGGGAAGAAGTGATACCTTCACACTGGGAGATCAGCATCACGATTCAAACCCTCTCCCTCCCTTCCATGAGGGTCTTCCCATGCAGGAGACCTGGACCTCTTGGAGGAACCAATGGTGGCTCCTGCTCTGGAGTTAGAAAGGCAGAACCATCAGCTGAGACCACAGGCATTGGAATCAGATAGGTCTGGGTTTGCATCCCAACTCTGCTATGGGATGGATTTTCTTTCCACTTTCTCACTTGTGAAATTAAAATCAACCTCAAGGGAATGGAAGTTTGGGGAATGATATATGTAAACATCTTGATAAAGAGCCAGGGTCATAGTTAGCTCTAACAATAGTTGTCACCAACATCATCACCACGATTCCTTTCATAGAGCCCTTGTGTCACCCAAAGCACTTCTGCTGCCTGGGCTGTGATCCTCTTCGGTCTGAAGCAAAGCAAATGAAGGGTTGAGTTTATGAGGGCCTCTAAGATGCAAGACAGAGTCTTTGGGGCAATGGGAACTCAGAGCCTAGGAATTTTTCCAATGAGGGACAGCTGCATGAGAAAGGAAGACTGAGCAGAAAGACTGTGGGCAGGGGTCAGATAAAACTGCCCTCCAGTTCCAGCTCCCACACCTTAGAGCTGTGTGGTCTAGGCTAGCAAGGTGCCTGACTTTCTTATGATTCTGTTCCTCAAACTAGACAACTGTGGCAGTAACACTTTGGGAGGAAGACTATCACATGGTAGAACAGCTTGGCTTCAATCCTGCTTCTCACCTGGTGATGACAGTGATGACAAAGATATTGATGACAGTGAATGTGATGAGAATGATGATGATGGTGATGATAATGGTGGTGATGACAACTATGGAAAAGTCACTTGGCTTCTCTAGATTTTGGCTTCATCATCTATGAAATGGAAACAATAAACAAGATCTTTGGCATCTTCTAGAGTTTCAGAAGAATTAAAATACTCCATGTAATGTGTTTAACACAGAACCTAATGTAAATGCTCAAAACTGTTATTAGCATTGGTAATGTTGATGATGGTAGTGGTGATGGTGGTAATGGTGGTGGTGATGATGACAAAGATAGTGATGACAGTGAATGTGGTGATGATGGTGATGGTGATGACAAAGACAGTGATGAATGTGATGATGGTGACAGTGATGACAAAGATACTGATGACAGTGAATGTGATGATGATGATGACGGTGATGGTGAAGGTGATGATGGTGATGGTGATGCCAAAGACAGTGATGAATGTGGTGATGATGGTGATGGTGGTGGTGATGGTAATGACAGTGAATGTGATGATGGTGATGGTGATAATGATAGTGTTAATGGTGGTGACAAAGATAGTGATGACAGTGAATGTGGTGATGACGATGATGGTGATGGTGATGACAAAGACAGTGATGAATGGGATGATGATGGTGATGACAGTGAATGTGATGATGGTGATGGTGATAATGATAGTGATGACAGTGAATGTGATGAGGATGATGGTGATGGTGATGATGGTGATGACAAAGACAGTGATGAATGGGATGATGATGGTGATGGTGATGACAAAGATACTGATGACAGTAAATGTGGTGATCATGATGACGGTGATGGTGATGGTGATGATGGTGATGGTGATGACAAAGATAGTGATGACAGTGAATGTGGTGATGATGGTGATGGTGGTGGTGATGGCGATAACAGCAAATGTGATGATGATGATGAGTGATGGTGATAATGATGGTGATGGCAATGGTGATGACAAAGATAGTGATGACAGTGAATGTGGTGATGATGGTGATGGCGGTGGTGATGGTGATGACAGTGAATGTGATGATGATGATGGTGATGGTGATAATGATGGTGATGGTGATAATGATGGGGATGGCAATGGTGATGACAAAGATAGTGATGACAGTGAATGTGATGATGACGATGGTGATGGTGGTGACATGTAAAGCTCTCTTACTTGGCCTCTCCTTACCCAGTTTTCTTCATTACATGTTCTCTTTGGTTCCTCTGTGATCCAAGGACCTGGTGTCAATGGTATTCTGGAATCTTCACCACTTAGGGGCGTTCCTCTAGTGTCCATGTACCCCTGCTCCCCTCAGTAAGGCTGTGTGCTGACCAAGACTCATGTCCCAGACGGTCTATGCCTGTTGCAATTATGTAAATCAATCATTACCAGTTAGACCCATAGAAAGCACCAAGTACTTTCTTTGTGTAAAACATTGCTATATGAGTACGTGAAGGAAAAGTAGTTGTTTCTATGACAGCTAATATCATTGTCCTGGAATGACTCTTTTAAAGTGAGTGCATAAAAAACGTTGTGTGATGAGGTGTTGGGGAGGCACCCGCAAGCCCCTGGGCCTGCACACTGAGGACACGGAAGGCTCCGCACTCAGGCTGTTCTGTGAGCACCCCGTGTTGAGTCCACTTCACAGGGAAACTGGAGAACCCAGTCATGCACCATTGCAGCGGTTTGTGCAGAGAGAATGGTGCGAAACATCAATAACAACAGAGTCAGTACTGGCTCTCTCTTAAAACATTTGAAAGCAAGTGTCCATGTTTTCAGAGAAATTAAGATATCGTAAAACTTGTGTCAGAGTTGTCTTAAAACTTAAACTGACTCTGAGCAATCAGAGGCCTCTAGTTGTTAGACGAATGACTTCCTGCCTCCGGGTTAACTGAGCAGGATCAAATCCCGGCCAACAAAGGGGCTGTGCCGTGTCTGGGACCCCCCTCTCTCTGGAGGAGCCAGGCCCGTGATGCGGCTTCCTGAGCAGAGGACTGCCCTGGGATGAGACTAATTTCCGGACCTCCGGAGCAGCGCTGCGGGTGAGCGCCCGTGTCCTGGGAGCGGACCCGGCCACGCTCCTGCACCCGAGGGCTCCTGTCCATGGCACTCCTCTCTCTGAGTCCCTGGAGGCTGCCTTCCTCCTCCTCCCAGGCAGCCCGTCGCTGGGAACATGGACTCCGAGAGCAGCCTGACCAATGACCCTGGGTGACAGATTAAACAAATGTGTAAAAGTTAGCCACAAAACAAACTTCCTGGGCCCTGATCCGAGCCTTTCCCTCCCCCCACAGCCCCTGTGGCATCAGTATCACTCTCCCTGAGGGACCCACTCGTGCCTCTGCCAGGCCAGGACTCAGAGTGGATCAGAGGACCCCGCCTGGGCCCGTCCTGCTTCCAGGGGGGCATGGGGAAGCCTCTGTGGGGCTCTTCTCTTGGGGCCCATCCACCTCCCTGAAGGCTGCCACTCCCACCTCCTAAGCCGGACACCAGCCCACAGGGCGTGAGCTCCTCAACCTCAGTCTCCCCACCAGCAGCCTGGCACTGTGGGCCTTCCTCCTTCACAGGGCTCTCCTGAGACGGTGCCCGGGAGGTGCTCAGAGCGTGCCTGGGGCCCAGCAGCATGTGTGCCAGCCTCGCTCTGCCACCAAGAATGGCTTGGAAAGCCACAAAGGCCTCCGGGGTTCCGGGGCTTGCAAGAGCCCCTCCTCTCAGGGCTGCTCCTGCAGTGGTGGTTTCAGCGGAGAAAGCCACCGCCAGCCCCTCCTCCACCCTGTCTGTCACTCACCAGATGCTTGGCCACACACTTCATATTCATTTCCCGGTTTGACTCTCTTACCAAGCCTCGGAGGGAAACTCTAAAATCCTTATTTTATCATAGCTCAACCAAAATCACACAGCCAGAACGTGGTGGCTTCTTCAGAGCCGTCAGGACTGAAATAATGAACTAATAAGACCCGCCTGTGAGCTGCAGATGAATTCACCATCAATTGCCCATCGGCAAATGGCAGCGTCCTCGCTGGCTTTCCCCACACTTTCATGGGATGCTTAATTTCGTAGGAAGTGCCGGCTGCACAGGGCCTAACCCTGGGGTCAAGGGAGCCCACGCGAGAAGCCTCTCAGCAAACAGCCATGTCATCACTGCCGCTCACAGCCACGTCATCACTGCTGCTCACAGCCACATCATCACTGCTGCTGACGGCCACGTCATCACTGCCACTCACAGCCGTGTCATCACTGCCACTCACAGCCATGTTATTGCTGCCGCTGACGGCCACGTTGTCACTGCCGCTCACAGCCATGTTCTCACTGCCACTAATGGCCACGTTATCACTGACACTTATGGCCACATTATCACTGTTGCTGACGGCCACGTTGTCACTGCCGCTGACGGCCACGTTGTCACTGCCACTGACGGCCATGTTGTCACTGCCACTCACGGCCAGCAGCATCCCTGCGCTTCCAGGTGCTTTCTGGGCACAAACGGTTTACTCGTTCCCTTTTCTCTCAGATTGAGGAAGTTCCCAGGAGAAGGGGTCTTTAGCAGGGCTATAAATTTGACATTGCAATAGAAAGTCCTAGCTAGGGGACCTGTGACTCATGAAATTAGATGCTCTTATCTGTGAGTCTGTCCAGGGTCAGGAGGAAAGGTAAGCCCCACACACCAGACACTACCACCCGATGCCTCCCTGCTTGGGACAGTTGTAAATGCTGAAGCCACACCCCATGTCTGCATTTCTAAAGTACGTGTATGGCGGGGGCAGGGGGCAGGTAGTGCAGGCCTGGAGCGGGTCTACATGCACACACATGCTCTGAACACATGTTCATCAAATCCCCAAAGCCACAGGAGCTGTAAGTGTTCGTATGATGCA
This sequence comes from Homo sapiens, assembly GCF_000001405.40. Taxonomy (NCBI): domain Eukaryota; kingdom Metazoa; phylum Chordata; class Mammalia; order Primates; family Hominidae; genus Homo; species Homo sapiens. The sequence continues at coordinate 169,920,815 of NC_000006.12, read as the reverse complement.
AACAGTTCCCCTCCCCACATTACGTGGCCCTCCCAAAGCGCACACACATTTATCTGTCACCTGCCATGTGCAGAGTATGCAGAGATGAGAAAGACGTGGCCTTGTCTGGCATTGCTGACAATCTGAAGACCACTCAGGCTGACAGGCTCCAGCCACACAACCTCTATTCATGTGCAAAGGACAATTTACAACGTGGAATTGATCTCCTCTTTGACCAGGTTTGACAGACCTTGGTACAGGTTCATGTCCTTCTGAAAATACTGGACAGAGCTACCTGCCAACAAATTCCTGCAAAAGTCCATCGATTCAAAGGCAGGACACGTGATCACAAACCTTTGCATATAGCATTTGCCTTCATGGGTTATGTGGATAGAACCTCCCAGGGCTTGGTAGAGTTTTCAATGTTCATCCACATGCACATCCTGGTGTCAACCAGGATGAAGGTTTTGATGACAGCCACCAACTCTGGTAGCAAAAGCTGGGAAAAGAGTAGCTGATAGAAAAAAAAATAAGAGTTTCATTCAATCCACACTGGATTAAGTTATCTTAAGAGGGATCTAGCTTCAGGTTGGTCCACATATTGTGACATTCTAGCTTGACTTTATGTCAAAATAGTTCCATCCTAAATCTTGTGTAAAAATAAAAAGTCAACGATTTTTAAAGCTACTTTGTTGGCACCATTCTCATCTTGGTCATCGAGGAATTCCGATAGTAACAACAAAATGCTTCCCTGTGTTCAGTGTTTAATGACCAAAGCCAAACTTAGAGATTTAAAATACGAAATTCATTCTCTTCTTACACCAGGAAATGATGCAGTTCAGTTCAAAACAAATACAGAATGCTGGCATTGCCCTCTCTTCCAGGCACTGCTGCCTTGGGCGGAAGGAGATTCAGAGAGGTAAGAAACCATTTCTTTTTTTTTTCTTGTTTTTTTGAGACAGAATCCTGCTCTGTCCCCCAGGCTGGAGTGCAGTGGCACGATCTCGGCTCGCTGCAAGCTCCGCCTCCCGGGTTCACGCCATTCTCCTGCCTCAGCCCCCCGAGTAGCTGGGACTACAGGCACCTGCCACCACGCGCGGTTAATTTTTTGTATTTTTTGGTAGAGACGGAGTTTCACCGTGTTAGCCAGGATGGTCTCGATCTCCTGACCTCATGATCAGCTGGCCTCGGCCTCCCAAAGTGCTGGGATTACAGCCGTGAGCCATGGTGCCCGGCCGAAACGATTTCTTAAGATGAAGAGCCCACGATTAGAAAGGAGGACAAAAATAGAGCCCATCTATTCAATATGGCATCACACGCGGCACGTGTGACAGACGCATGAGAAAGGAGCTGAGCAGCCCAAGTGAGAGAGGCCCCATCAGCACACCCTGGTCCCGCGGCCCTCTGGGCTGTTCCAAAGGCGAGTCCATGAAACGGTGGGTGCGGAGGGAAGTGGTGCCTTAGAATCGTCTGCTCAGGGAGGACTCCCGGCTGCTGTGGAATGCATACGCACTGTGTGTACGCACAAACACATGTCGGACAGCCACAATGTGATGAGCACCAGAGGCAGCAGACACAGAAAGAGCCCTTGTCTTACAGCCGTTTACTCCCTAGGCCTGGTCAATATTTCTACTTGCGCAAGATATCTACTCATGGACTACAGATTGCTATACACACACACTTACACACACGCCTGCACACACGTATACACATACATGCCTGCACACATGCACACACATGCACACATGCACACGTACACACACGTGCCTGCACACACGCACACACACACACGTGCCTGCACACATATATACACATACACATGCCTGCACACATATATACACATACACGTGCCTGCACACACGCAAACACACGCACACGTGCCTGCACACATGTATACACACATGTGACTGCACACACACACACACACCTGCCTGCACACACGTACACACACGCACACACACGTGCCTGCACACATGTATACACATGTGACTGCACACACACGTACACACACCTGCCTGCACACATGTACACACATGCACACACACGTGCCTGCACACACCTACACACACGCACACACACATGCCTGCACACACGCTTCGTCATTGGCTGCCACGTGGCTTCCCTAACAGGCTATGACCTCATACTCTCACGCCACACACCCCATTGTGAGTCTAGAAGCCCTCCAACCCACCTAGACCTCAACATTTCTCTGGCTGTTAACTCCACTTTTTCCTAAAATCTCGGAACGAGAATGCTCTCCTCTGGGATTCCAGCCCTGACCTCCTCACTTTGACTGACTCAGACCCTCCTGTGTCTTGGGCTAGCAGGCACAGCTGTGTGTTTCAATGACACACGCTATGATCTGCATCAGCGTTCCTGTCTCTGCCTCCTGGCCACCGTCCAGGACACAGACTGCGCTTTCTCCCCTCTGTGCCCCTGGCCTGTCCCGGTCTATGTTTCCATTAAACATCCAAGAGCACGCATGGGTGTCTGCACCATCGCTCCGTCACCTGCCAGCCGGAACAGGGAGCTGCAGTCTTCAAGGTCAGGGTTCTTCTGGAACCCTCTGGACAGCCTGGTCAGGCAGATGACACCCCACAGACCACAGGGCTCAGAGAGCCTGGTCAGGCAGATGTTACCCCATAGACCACAGGGCTCGGGTCACTGGTCACACAGAGGTCACACCAGGTCAGCTTCCTGCAGGAGGACAGGTTGTTTCCTTGGGGTCCTTGGTCTCTCTCGAGTGATTTGAGCCTCCTGCTTCATGGAGCTCTACTCCCAGTCTGATTGGGACAACAGAGGAGACCTGTGAAATTACCTTGTAAATGGCAAACTGGAATCAAATGTCAGATAAATTGCTCACCGTTACCAGGCACAGAACATTTATTTTGTAATTTCTGACGATTTAGGTTATTTAAGTGCTGCTTGCCTATAATACCAACCTGCAACTGAACACAGATTGGCATCATGAGCTCTGGGTTTAATCTGTTCTGGCCCTGGCAGGGGAGGGGCAGCTTGTGGTCATCAAAGCTGTTTGACTTGCCCTGGCCCAGAAGCCAGGATAACCTCTACTGGCCTATGTAAGAGCAGCTTGAATATAGTCCACTTTCAGGGACACATGTGCATGCACATACATGTACATATGCACCCACCATGCACACATGCAAATACACTTGCACACATGAACATGCAAATACATAACACACAGATGCACATGGGCACAGGCAAACCTGTGCACACATGTACACACAAATATATGCACATATGTGCACACAGGCATGCACATATGTGCACATGCAAACACTCGTGCCCATAGGCACATAGTCATGTGCACAATGCACATATGCCCACACATGCACACAAAACACATGTGCACCTAAATACAAACATGCACATATGTGCACACAGGCATGCAAAACACATGCACATAAAACACACGTTGTCACACCTGCACAGGCAAACACATGTCCCCATAAGCACAGTCACATGCACACAGGCACTCATACAGGCACACATGTGTGCAGGCATGTGTATGCATGCCCTTATGCATGTGTGTGCATGCATGCAAACATACATACACATGCACACCAAATGCCCATGCAAACACACATGTACCCATGCACACACACAGGCACACACGTATGCAGGCACATGCACACAAATACCCATGCAAACACACATGTACCCATGCACACACACAGGCACACAAGTGTGCAGCCACATGCACACAAATACCCATGGAAACACACATGTACACATGCATACACACAGGCGCACACACGAGCAAACACATGCATACATGTGTATATGCAAAGGCACACACACATGCCTATACACAGGCACATGTACGGCTCCTGATCCACATTGGGTTTTGCCTCTTTTGCTGTAACCTCAGGGACTTCTCTAAATGTCCTCACCAGTGATTGTGATTTGGAATCTAAAATACCACACTATGAATTCCTAAGCACAGAGAGTATGTCAGGTTGTCAGGCTAAGTAGGATCCCCACCATATCACCAGCAATGAAATGTGGGCTACCCATGGAGGGTGGGCACCTTTCACTTCTTCCTTTGCTGTTTCTGTCTCAGAAGAGGTAGTTTAAAACCTGAGTTTTGTGCTTATCATTTGTTTTTATAAAATTTTTCTTTCCTCTATTTTGAAGAGTAAGTAAAAGGAGGTGATTTTTGGTGAGTTAAGAGTTGATTAATTTAACTTCAGGTAGTCTGCACTCTGAGCTTTGAAGTGTGGTGATGAACGAGTGATGTTGCCAATTCCTGGACTTGCTCCAGTCCTTGGATCTTGTTATGATTCACAGGCCCAGTGTCAGGCAAACCCATTATCTTTCCGAGGGCTGTTTGTCTCCAGCCCTCCATGCGCCAGGCAAACGGCTTTATCTGGGCCTCCCAGAGATTGACCTGGCTGACTCCTGCTGGAACAAATGGCAGCTCCTTTCCAAACTCAGCATAAATGCGCACATGTAAGGCAAGGAAGGAGCATGTGATAGCGCCAGGATTTCATGACAGACGGTGCAAGGTGAGCGTGCGTGTTACACAGCGCCAGCGTGACCAGCAAGCCCGTTGCAGGACGACACCTATAAATGCTGCCGCTGACCGCTGGCGATGTGCCATCTTGGCCTTGCTTTTAAGACAAGGCTGTTCATGGCCGGCACTTGGAGAACAAAATTTAGTTGCAATTAACAGAATTCGGCCACAGCAGGAGGGGCCAGGAAGGAAGGTGGGGCTAACTGAATTCCACAACATCCATTTTCCATACAGTTCACAGCCATTAAGATGGGCTCAAACCAAGGCCATTTGGTTGATTAAGTGAAAAGCCACCCATTCCTGTGGGGAAAGCACCGGATATTTACTTAAAACAGTTAACCCTGATTTCAGCTCAGTTCTTTGTTGACTGTTCATCTTTAGAGGTGTCATTTAATCTCTCTGAACTTCAACTCTTTAACCAACAGGGTTGCTGAGGGCACCAGATGGAACCACGCGCACGACTGATGGGGTGTTTCACAAACGTGTTCATTTTGGAAAACTGATCAAGATGTAGCACTGCACACTATTGAGAACACAGCAGTGGCACTCGTTGTGGCTTGGAAATAAATACTAACACCTCAGAAAGATTCACATTTCTCCTTATTCCACTGAGCTCAGTGGTGATCAAAGTGGGCATTTTTTAATCATCTGCATTAAATAATCATCAATTTTATTATGTGCACAGTGGTTGTTTTCATTACTCATAAGTTAATCTATGGAAATGGGATTTTAAAAACCTGGACCACCTGGAAAGCCCTAATAAAGCACGGTAGCAGCTTCCCTTTCTTTTTGCACAAGAAGCATTAATACAAGAATTACGTGACGGTAAAGGAAGGCAGTAATTTAAAAGTTCCCCAGCACGCCGCCAAATAAAGCCTAGGAAAACACTTCCCACTGAAGAGTAGTTTTTCTCAAAGGCCGAGAAGACAGGAAAACCTGACAATGCTCTGCCCTCTTCCTAAGCCAGGCAGGCGAGATGCCAGAGGAACAGGGATCTGGGTCCTCCCTGGGAAGGGCAAAGAATGTCCAGACACCAGCAAGAGCGGGCATTGTCCCAGGCTGGTCCTGGCACACAGTTGCTCTTATATAACTTGAGACACCGTTTCTGAAACATTTTGGCCTGAGCCCTGCTAACCAAGCCGCACCAATGCCTGAAGCTCTCCATCGTGACCCCCCACAGAGCAGAGCTGGGGCCACAGTACCTCATGTCACTGCCTACCTGCCCCTGATTCCCTGCTACGAGGCGTGTCCAGGACAGGCCGGCCGAGCAGCCCGCAGACCTCATCTCATTGCAGGTCTTGTTTTTCCCCACAGTAAAATAGCCGTATTGCTCTTTTCCTAATAAGTAATTTTTAAAGCACATTTTTGGTATAAAAATTCCAACCGCCCAGCCAGGCACAGTGGCTCATGCCTGTAATCCCAGCACTTTGGGAGGCTGAGGCGGGTGGATCACGAAGGAGTTCAAGACCAGCCTGGCCAAGATAGTGAAACTCCATCTCTACGAAAAATACAAAAAAATCAGCAGGGCATGGTGGTGAGTGCCTGTAATCCCAGTTACTCAGGAGGCTAAGGCAGAGAATTGCTTGAACCTGGGAGGTGGAGGTTGCAGTGAGCAGAGATCACACCACAGCACTCCAGCCTGCGCGACAGAGCAAGACTCCATCTCAAAAAAAAAAAAATTCCAACCTTCCTTTAAAGAAAGAAAAATCACTAAAAACCCAGAACCCTGCAGTGCCCACAGTTAAAATGTTGGTGACTGTCATTTTATACATCTGCACACACCAATTATTACATCAATGGGATGGGATCACATGTGAAGTTTTTCTCAGGGCCAGTCTTTTCTAAAAGCCTTTTTGAGTGGGCAAAGGACATGAACAGACTCTTCTTTAAAAAATATACATGCAGCCAACAAACATATGAAGAAAAGCTCAACATCATTGATCATTACAGAAATGCAAATCAGAACCACAATGAGATAACATCTCATGCCAGTCAGAATGGCTATTACTAAAAAGTCAAAACATAACATACTGGCAAGGTTGGGGAGAAAAAGGAACACTTTTACACTGTTGGTGGGAGTGTACACTAGTTCAACCATTGTGGAAGACAGTGCGGCAATTCCTCAAAAACCTAAAGACAGAAATGCCATTCGACCCAGCAACCTCATTACTGGGTATATATCCAAAGGAATATAAATCATTCTATTATAGAGATACATGCGTGCTATGTTCATTGCAGCACTATTTACAATAGCAAAGACACGGAATCAACCTAAATGCCCTTCAATGATAGACTAGATAAAGAAAACATGCTACACGTACACCATGGAATACTATGCAGCCATAAAAAGGAAGGAGATCCTGTCCTTTGCAGGGACATGGATGGAGCTGGAAGTCATCATCCTCAGCAAACTAACACAGGAACAGAAAACCAAATACTGCATGTTCTCACTTATAAGGGGGAGCTGAATGATGAGAACACAGGGTCACATGGCAGGGAACAACACACACTGGAGACTGTGGGGGGTGGGGGAGGGGAAAGGAGAGCATCAGGAAGAATCGCTAATGGATGCTGGGCTTGATACCTAGGTGATGAGATGATCTATGCAGCAACCCATCATGGCACATGTTTACCTATGTAACAAGCCTGCACATCCTGCACATGTACCCCCAAACTTAAAATTTTTAAAAAAGAAAATGCCTGTTAACCCACAAAAAAAAACAAAAAATAAAAAATAATACAATATAAAAGGCTTTTTTGGCCAGCTGCTTCCTGCCCCTCCCTTCCCCTCCTCTCCCCCACCCCAGATATAAACCACAAGGCATGTGTCCTTCCGAGCGTCTCCCACTCCAGTGAATCCTGTGCAATTATCTGTGCTCATACATGAGGCAATCATGTCACTGTTTCAGATACAGGATCTCACCACCACATAATTTTTACTGCCTCTTTTCCTTTCCTCACTCAAGAAAATGGTTCCAAGGAGCTGGTACAGATGCATGGTGTCTGAAACAGCCACAGAACCATCCACAGATGAGCCACAACCAGTCAGCCACCACTTGGCTTAGTCTCTGAGGGGAGGGCAGATAGTGCGGTAAACACCCATCTGTCTGCCAGGCCACGTGCATCTTTCCTCATGCACCCATGTTCTCCCCTGCAGAATGCAGTGCAGTGCAGACTCCTGGAGAGAAGCTGCTGAAGTGACGAGTGTGTTTTCAATTTCAGTCGATTCTACCGGATTCCTTCCCCAAAAGCCTGCATCGACTCACACAACCACACAGCGACAAACTCAAGTGACTTCAGAACATAGAAATTACCCAGTGGAACATGCATAGCATAAGATCAAGAAGAGGTGAAAAACCCTTAACCTGCTGTGGGAATCACATTGTTGGTTCTGGTGTTTTATTCTAGGACGATTGCACACATAAGGGAAGAGAGAGCATGAGTAATTATGTTGCGTCATGGGGAAGCAGCATTTTGGGCACGGAAAGAAGAAACAGAAGATACAGTATGTTAAGTCTTGAATTTGAAAATGCATTTCTCAGGTCTATCTGTTGAAAGAAGCTAGAAATAAGGCCACCCTATTAAGAACACACATTCCTAGAGCCTGCGTTGGAACCTAAACTTCCTTTCCACGAAAAGAAGCCAGGACTCCAGAAAGTGGCTAATTCCAGGTCCAGGGTAGAAAATGCTCCACATGAGCCTGGAACATCCTGTCAGGTCAAAGATTCCCAATGAAACGGGAAAGGTTCCCTCGTCCCCTTCACAGATGTGCGATGGGGGAGTGGCTCGCTTCTTCAGTGTCCCACTGCGCAAACCTCAAGGGGAGCAGACAGATGGGCAGGCTTGGGGCTCCGACTCCACGGCAGTGTCCAGGGGGGAATGTTCACAGGGGTAGCCCCAGTGGGCGTGTGTTCCAGGGTGCTCTGTTAGCTTTCTGTCTATGGGCGGCTTGTGTTAACGACCTCAATTAGACCCTGGCCTTATCACAAGGACAGAGGGCTTTCCGTATCCTGGAGTTTCTTGCCCTGGTGTACCAGAAGAATCGGATCACACGTGGGCTTGGAGAATGAGTGTAGGGTTTTATTGAGTAGACGTAGCTCTCAGCAGATGGGGGAGCCAGAAGGGAGGTGGTTTTCCCTGGAGTCCGGCCGCTGACGCTCCTCCGACCTCTCAGGCCGAACTCCGCGTCATTCCACAGTCGATGGCCTGCTGGTGCCTGGCAGCGTGCTCTTCTGCCCGCGTGCTCTCGACGACCCACCGCTTGTGTCTTCTTCCACCGACGGGTTCCTCACGACGTCCAGCTGCTTCTCTGTGTCTGCCCACTAGGGTCTTGGTTTTCACAGGCTCAGGATGGGGGTGTAGGGGGCCAGGGTGGTCTTGGAAAGTGCAACATTTGAGCAGGAAGGCCAGAGTGCCTGTCCTCACCTAGGTCCGTGGGGGTGGCCAGGGGCCACTCCCTCCTCTGCCCAGCACTCCCATATCACCAAGACGGTTGCAGGAATAGCAAACCTGCAGAGCCCCCCGCCCAGGCCTACAAATGTGTTCAAATCTGTGAGTCTGCAGTGAGTTCTCACGGGAAGAAACCTGACGGCACTGTGGCCACAGCAAGCCCCGCTGAGACCGGCCCATCTCCAGATGCCAGCACCCTGCTCGTGCCACCTGGCCTGGGCTGCACCTCAGCAGCCGTGTGCTGCCCACATCAGCAGCGTCGGGAACTTAGGACCCCCAGGCCAGTGTCCCTGCGGCCAGTGTTTGGGTGGACAAGAGCGTGGAGATCTCCCTCCCCTAGCGAGCCTGACCAGCTGACTCTGGGGCCAGGCTGAGGGGGGCTGTGCCTGAAACTTTCCTGCCGCCAAGAGCCTCTTGTCCCACCCTGCTTCTCCACAGCCTTGCCGGCCTCTTGGGAGCCCTTTCCAAGCTCCTCACTTGTCCACAAACTTCTCGGCATCAACTAAGGAAGTGACCAACTACGGAATGTTCCAGAGAAGCAGTGCCTACGATTTTCTCCCGCCCTTCTGTTTCTTTTGCCCTAAAATGGAGGAAATTTCTGAAATTGATCAGGAAACCAACTCAAGTGAGAGCATGGGACCTCCTTCTCCCTGCCCAGCAAAAGGCAGGCCCGGAACGAACCAACCTGAGTGACCTCCCCTTAATTCCGTCTCCCCTCTGCCCTTCCCCAGCATTTAGGAGATCCTAGACATCCTTCAAGCGTCTGAACACAGGAATGGATCTCAAAGTCAATCGGTGTTGTGCAGAATTTAAAAGCATCTGCTTTGGAGTCAGGAAAAAGACAAGGATTTCTACTATCACCATTTGTATTCAAAATCACCCAGCACGCACATTATGTTTAAGATACAAGCCTTAAGAATCGAAAAGGAAGAAGCAAACATTCATTGCTTGCAGACAATATGATTGCCTATGTAAAACTAAAGACCTCAGAAAAGTTATTATAAATACATAGTCTACAAGGTGCCTGCTCTAAGATCAATGTATAAAAATAAATTGCACACATACAGCAGCAACAAGACTTAGAAAACATGACTTTAAAAAAAATACAATTTATGGCTGGGTGTGGTGGCTCACGCTTGTAATCCCAGCCCTTTGGGAGGCCAAGGCGGGTGGATCACCTGAGGTCAGGAGTTCAAGACCAGGCTGGCCAACATGGTGAAAGCCCATCTATGTTGAAAATTAGCCAGGCGTGGTGGCACACACCTGTAATCCCAGCTACTCGGGAGGCTGAGGCAGGAGAATCCCTTGAACCTGAGAAGCTGAGGTTGCAGTGAGCCAAGATCACGCCATTGCACTTCAGCCTAGGCGACAGAGCAAGACTCCTTCTCAAACAAACACACAAACAAAAATTTATAACGGCAACAAAAACTATGTGACCCAGAAATAAATCCTTAGAAAGTTGCATAAGACCTAACGCAGAAAATTATAAAATTTTGTCAAAAGACATAACAGGAAACCTAAGCAAATGGAGAGAGAGCTCGTGTTTATAGCCAGAGACACAGAGAAGCTCAACCTGATGCAGGTGACTGTTTTCCTTAAATTGGCCTCTGGATTTGGTGCAGTTGTAATCATAATCCTAACAGGGGTTTTCATGAAATTAGAAAAAATAATTCTACAATCTGTATGGAAGAACAACGTGCCAGACATATCTAAGAAACTCCCAAAAAGTGTAATTCCTGTCAAAACTTATTATGAAGGTAAGGCAGCATGACATCGGCCCAGCAATGAGCAAACTGACCAGGGGAACAAGGCAGAGTCCAAAAGCAGCCCCGCGTGTGCGTGCACAGACCCTTTGCCAGTGGAAGTGTGATGCTGCCGGCTGGGGAGGGCTCATGTGAAAAGGTCCAATGAGATCACATCCTTACGCCTTACACATTAATCAACTCCACGTAAGTCACGACTTAAATGTGAAAAACCTTTTGAATTTTAGAATGAGAAAAACATCTGAGTTTAGGAAGGGAAATTATTTCTTAAACACACACAAAAAATGCTAATCATCAAAAAGATGGATAAGTGGAACGACATTAAAATTGAGAACTCCTGTGCGGCAAAAGATGAAAAGGATTAGACATGAACTAGCTGCTGTTTGCAACCACATAACAAAATATTAACATCCAGAATATATTAAAAATTCATTGGTTCAAAATAATCCCGGCAGGAGGGGTAAGTGGACAGAGGAACAGACAAAACAAGGGTCCACATGCAGGTGATTGCGCAGCCAGCTCTGGTCCAGGGATTCACTGTGATGTTTTCTTTCCTTTTGAATATGTATAAATATGCCCATCATAAAAGTATTAAAAATTTTAAAAAAAAAAACAAAATAAGAAAAAGACAGATGATCAGGCAGAAAATCAACAACAGGTGACTCCAGTGCCGTTTGCAATGGCAAAGTCCTGGGAACAACGTCAGAGTCCACTGGCAGGAGGAGGAAGTAGGGAGCTGTGATGTGGTCCATCGTGGAGTAGTACACAGTGGTGAAGATGAACAAACTACAGCCATGAGGAGTTAAATCGGTGACTCATGAAATGTGACAAGCTCTGGACGAGAACAGGTAGTGTGATACCATTTTTCAAAGCTGAAAACCAACCAAAACAACGACATGTTGTTCAGCAAATACACAAATGTGATAAACATTTTTTAAAGCAATGAGATCATGGCACCAAGTCCAGGCGTGGGTCCCTGGTGTGGGACCCAGCGGGGCTCAGGCAGGCAGGCAGGCATGGGGGTGCCAGTCCTGTCCTATCCTCAGAGGGAGGGTTTCCTGGGGCCTTCATCGCGATGTGCAAACATGTGTGTTACAGCATTCCTTTGCGTCAAATATGATATTTGCAAATAAAATAAAGACAATTATTGTAATGACACACAGAATCCCAGAGTCTTTCTTAAAGTAAAACCAGGTAAAATTTTCTTAAAAGTAGACCAATTATATTTATAAATGGGACATTTTAGTCTTAGGAAAAGATAATCATTCTACAAATGGGTCATTGTCGCTTGAGAGAAAGTGTGAGCACAGCCCATGTGGGGTCACGGGGTGGCTGGACAGACGCGCAGACACATGCTCTGCCAGCCTGCAGAGCACGGCCCCTTGCCAGGGTGGAGTTCCAGTGTTTGTGAAATGTTAGAGTATAAAATTTCCTAAATGACTGTTCCTGTGGAAGCACATCAAGATATACGCGTGAAACTAGAACCATGTGCTAAGTGTCTTCATTTTTCAAGTCAGCAACCTGGCAATGGCTGAGACCACAGTCCTTGTTGCCTCCAGGGTGCAACCTGCTCTGGGCTGTCACAGTCCCTGGGGACTTCAACTCAGAAGATCCCTCAACTTTCTGGAAGGTTCCCCTCTCAGAAGATGACTTGGTCCCATCTCCATTGCTTGCGTTCAGACCTGTTTGCTGTGTGTCCACATCTGCAATGGCCCTCCCGGCGAGAAAGCTGCGGTGGACTGGGAAGGACATGTCATGTGTGGGATTGCTGCATTCCTGCAGTCAGGCGATGCTTACAAAAATGACAGCAATTGTGAAGTTTAACTGACCAAGTGTTCGGAGCATAAAACTGAGTTTTAGCGCAATAGTCAACCAATCTCTACAGATCCCTGCTCAGCACAGACTCAGGGCCAGAGAAGATGTCCAATGTGCCCCGGTCCCCAGGGCCCCTGGCGATGGCCAGCCCTGCCCCACCCCTTGCTGCTTGGCTCAAGAGTGGCCACCACGGCTTATCCTCTGTCCTCCATCTCCCAAGGCACCTGGGGCACCCTGCACTGTGTTCCCTGAGCACCAGGTGGGGTCTCCCAAGACACTGCCCCCTGTTTCTCCTAATGTCCTGCACAAGGTCCAGTTCCCATCCCCTGCTCCCGTCTCCCCAGCCTCACTCCCTGACCCCTTCCAGTCGGGAAGCAGGTTCACATCCAAACACACTGCACCCCAGAACACTTGCCCCCAGGTGGCCAGACACCCTCCACTCTCAGTCAAGGAGGCCCCTGAGGATGGCGTTGTCTTTCATCAGGCAGACACGAGAAGGAAAAGCCCGCCAATACCCTCTGAGAGCCTGTCATGCCCCTTCCTCCACTGCTTCCTGCTGCCCTGGCCCAGCCTGGGTTCAGCTGGGATCTTGCACAGCAGATGCTCCTGACTCACATCTAAATGTCCGAGCCCATCACCCCATGCCAGATCCATGGCCCCCAGAGGCCCTCCCCTCTACCCTTGAAAGAAAGTCCACATCCCTCAACCTCCAAGAGCCCCAGGCCAGACCGGGCCATCCTTCCTGGCACACATCCCCCTGAGCCCTGTGCCCCTGGCCTGCAGCTGAGCTCATGTCTCCCCATGGGCAGATGTCTCCTTCTCACCTTTGTGCAGCAAAGCCTCCACGTGCAAGCATGTCTGTGCCACACAGAGACCACTAAGATGAAGCCAGAGAACAGTGTTTCCTTTAGTTTGTGTGTGTGCACACGTGTGCATGGACATGTTTAGGCAGATGTGCGTGTGTGCATGTGCAGGTGTGTGTGTAGATGTGTGTGCCTGTGTGTATGCATGTGTGGTGCAGGTGTGTGCACGTGTGCATGTGTGTGCAGGTGTGTGTGTGCAGGTACGCAGGTGTGTGCTCATGTGTGCAGGTGTGTGCATGTGCCTGTGTGTACAGGGGTGTGTTTGTGCAGGCGTATGTGCATGTGTACACAGGTATGCAAGTGTGTGCACATGTGCACATGGATGTGTGTGTGGGTGTGCAGGTGTGTGCGTGTGCAAGTGCGTGCTATGTGGGCTGGACGTCTTCCCTGCCTCCCCTCCCCTGGAACTTTGGGCTGCTGTGGGAAGCTCCAGGTTTCCTGTCTCTGTAGGATGGTTGGCCTGGCTTGAGCCCAGACCGGGGGACCTTCCCAAAGCCTTTCCTTCCCTGCACATCCTCTGCGGGAGGACAGCGTCTCTGACCCAGTGGAGGGGACAGCCCAGCTCACCCGCAGAGATGGTATGGTCTGCCCAGGGTGCATTTGAAGGTGCAGGCTCTAGAGCCACCTTGGAGCAGGGCTTGGAAACAACACCAAAGCCTCTCTGTGGAGGGTGGGGAATGCAGCGGGCCAGGCCCCCACATGCTGTCCCAGAGGACTTCTTCCTAATAACTCCTGACTCCCGGCTTGGGGTGTCTGCTGTGCAGCTTTTCCACCCAGAAACGCATCTGCCAACACCGAGGCCACAGCCTGGCCCTTGCCTGTCTTCTTCCTGACCCCAGGTCAATCAGCTGGACAGAGCCGCTGCAGAGCATTCAAATTCATCACTGAGGGACTAGGAGTCATTGGTGCGGAAGTCAGAGTCTGTTAGCCCTGTTGACAACATCCTCAGGATAGAAGGTGCAGGGGGCAAAACCGTGGTGTGGTGTGTGCATTGTGTGCACCCATCTGTGCCTTCCCTGCCACCGTCAGCTCCACCGTGGTGTGGTGTGTGCGTCGTGTGCGCCCATCTGTGCCTTCCCTGCCACCGTCAGCTCCACCGTGGTGTGGTGTGTGCATTGTGTGCGCCCATCTGTGCCTTCCCTGCCACCGTCAGCTCCACCGTGGTGTGGTGTGTGCATTGTGTGCGCTCATCTGTGCCTTCTCTGTGGTGTGTGCGTCGTGCGCATGTTGGCTTCTCTGGCTGGAGGTTCCTCTCCAGGATGGCGCGAGCAGTGTGTGCTCACCATGGCTTTTCCAACACCTAGGAGAGCTCCCGGAACCTGAATGGGGATGAAAAGTGAGTCTTGGAGCAAGGAAAAAAGTGTGTCCCCCATGAGAGAAACAGCGGCAAGCAGCATCAGAGCACGGCTCCCTTCCCTTCTCTCCTTCTGCTCTTTAGATTTCAAAGGAATTGGCCCCATGGGGTGTGGGAGAAAATGAACCTCTTTTACCATGGAAGTTGCCTAAAGTACTCTGCCTGATTTTCAAAGCTAACCATTCTGTCAACAACTAGAACAAGGCCAGGAGGTGGGACAGAGCCTCACATCCCCCAAATTGAAAAGAAGAAGAGCTTCAACAGAGTGACCAGCACAGACCCCCATGCCGTGGGCTTCCCGGGCAGCTGAGTGACCAGTGCAGACCCCACACCCCGGGTTTCCAGGGCAACTGAGTGACCAGCACAGACCCTCACATCCTGGGCTTCCCGGGCACATGAGTGACCAGCGCAGACACTCACACCCTGGGTTCCCAGGAAGCTGAGTGACCAGCACAGACCCCCACATCCTGGGCTTCCCGGGCACATGAGTGACCAGCACAGACCCGATGCCAGGGGCTTACCAGCCAGGCTGCCAGAACCCACCATCTGCCATCAGCTGCACACACAAACCTTTTCCACTGGCAATATTTCAAGGCCTTCTTTTTCTTTCCTCAGCACGGAAACCATCAGGAAAATGTTCTGAGTCATGGGGTGATGACCTCAAAGTGTGTTTGTCTCGGTTTGCAGCCTGTTTGGGTGAGCACCAAGATAAACTGCAAATTGGCTAAAGCTGCTAATAAGCAGGCACTCTGCCGTCATCACTGTAAGGATGAGGTGTGTTCAGAATCCGCGGCCCCCGTGCCCCACACTCCTTCAGCAGGTCACCGACTGAACTAGCTCCATACACAGGTCCTGCGGCTTCTGGTGAGCGGCACTGCCCTGGATGCTGGTTTAGGGCACGCCCGGCATGTGCCAGGCAACCTTTTGAGGCCTGTCCACTAACAACCCTGGCAGTCAGGTGTGGTCTCACGGTCCCGTTTTGCAGATGAAGACACTGAGGCCCAGAAAGCACCACTTGTCCTCAGATCAGACACTTGGCAGGTGGCAGAGCCCACGTCAGACACAAACTCACCACCAGGCTGGCCCACTATAGCCAGGTCCCAGAGGAGGCTGCCCGCCCAGCACTGAAGCCCTCCCCTCACCAATTGCATGCTGGTGCTGGCCCTGCCCCTCCTGCAGCTCCAGCCCACTCTGACCATGCAGTGCATTCTAGACCTAATTGGAGTAGGGCCCAAGGCAACCCCACCGTCTGTAGTGTAGACATCTGAGGTCCTTGTTTTAATCCCCAGGAAGAGGTGCACTGAGGAGGAGGAGGAGTAACCTTCGTCATTTTATTTCCCGCTATTGCCAAGCGCGGCCTGGAGACAGTTGCCACGGGGGACGGGGAGGGCCGCCTGCCTGGTGCCCCTGCAGGAGGAGGTGGGCGCAGGCCTGTATTTTAAGCAACGGTGTAGTGGGGCTCCTTGTTACAGCAGCCTCCCTTCACCCTGACTAATAAATGGAACTGGAATTCAAAACAGGGAACTTGTTCATTAAATTCCTGTTAAGAAATTCAGTATAACAAACTCACGATTATCCTGAACCCAAAAGGCCCCAGGGCCTGAGTCATCAGATTTCTCTCCTGTGTGGAATCAAGGCTTGCTTTGATGGACGGCCGAGCGCTCACGAGAACCATTTGTGTCTTATTCCTGGGGCTGGAACATGGCAGTGTCCATGACCATGTTTGAGGCAGCCTTTTCTATTTGCACTAATTTCCTGTTGCTGAATAACAAATTTCCATGAGCACAGGCGCTGAGAGTAGCACCAACCCTCAGCTCAGTTTCCACAGGTCAGTGGCCTGGGCATGTTGCAACTTCACTTTCGGGTCTTAGCAGGCTGAATTCATGGCACCGGCCAGGGCTGTGAGACTTCTATGGGCTGAGGGCCACTTTTCAGCTCCCAATTGCTGGGGGAATTTTCTTCTGGAAGTTGCAGGACAGAGGTCTCTATGCTCCTTCCTACTCTTAGCTCCTGGAGGCCGCCTGCCTGCAGGTGGAGAAAATCGTTTTTAGAGGGTCCGTGTGATTAGGCCGGGTCCCCCAATTATCTCCCTACCGTAAGGTCAACTGCTTTGGGATCTTAACCCCATAACAAGCCCTCCCAGCCGCCCTGGAATCCTGGTGAACAGCTGGGAGGAAGTGTGTGCACACCAGGGCGGCAGTCATGGGCCATCTCAGAATTCCTCCAGCTGCTCCACTCAAGAAACACTTCCATTCACAAGTTAACACTCCACAGTGCCCCCCAGTAATGTTCTGAAGGAATTATCAACCCCCCCAGGAAAACAGACTCAAAAGAGATGTGGTGTACGAAGGCTGCCCCGCAAAGAGAAGGGTTCAGGGCTGGCAGAACCTCCCCCTGCCCCTCACTCCATGGCCACACTGATGTGGCTTCAGCTTAGGCCATTTTCTCTCTTCATTGATTCAATTACTCATCTATTCAATGATTATTTATTGAGCCCACGACATGCCAGGCACCGCTCCAGGGACTACGGGAACTGCAGTTTAAAAGACGTAAGTCCTCACTGTCATGGGGACCTCTGCGTGGGACACGGATGCCTGGATGAATGGGAGGCACTCACAGTGAAGCTAACGGGGCCCAGGGAAGGACCAAGCCTGAGGGAGTAGAAAGGGGTCAGGAGGTGCAGCGTCGCTAACCAGACAGAGGCCACTGATGCTTCAACATCCGCCCCCACCCGACGATCACAGCATGTCCGGAATACGGTGGCGCAGTCGGAGTTCACAGCTTGCCCGCTACGTGCCGGGCCTCAGGCTAAGGGCTTATTACATTACTTCTGTTCATCCTTTGAGATGCCTCCTACCTTTGTACCACATTACAGACTGGAAGAACAACTCAGAGCCTGAGCGCCTTGGGAAACCCACGTGGGGAGAGCTGCCACGACCACACGGGTTCAGCTTCAGACCTGACATCTCCTCCTGGCTCCTACCAGAGCCTGGAGTCATCAAAGATTCAAAGGTGCTGAGTAAAACCATGCCCTTGTTTTGGAACATGTCCACCCAGGGCTTCTATATAAAATGCTTATCGAGCCAGGATATGTATGTGACTAAAACCTTCTAGTCTGTGTTTCTACAATGCCTTAAGTGGATGAAGTAAGGCCCCTAACAAAGTGGCCCCAGAGCTGGGAACTACGGGTCCTGCACGGAGCTGGCTGCGGGGACCTCTGTGGCCAAGCATTGCAATGGGGCAGCGGCACAAAGGCCCTGGGGTGGGAGTGCGTTTGTGGTGTCCCGGCCGAAGAAAAGGCCAGTGTAGCTGTAGAAGGGGATGGGCAGCAAGGGCCACACCCTGAGGGCTTTGCAGGCCTCCTACTGGGTTGAATTTTACGCTATTTATTTATTTATAGAATCCGTGCCACCCCTCTTGCCTGGGAGATGAGGAACCCTGGGAAGCAGGCAAGCCAGGCCTACTGTTTGGATGGATGGCAGCAAGTGGCCTCAGGGCGACTGGGGAAGGCCCAGAGGACCCGGTCTTGGTGCCTTGGGACCTGGGCATTTACCTCATTGTGTTGAAGCAACACTTAATACAGCCCCTGCAATATGTGAACCTCAGACCAGATGTTCCTTCCCCTGTTGGTGGGAGGCCCTACACCCTCACCTCCCCATCACCCCCATCATTACTGCCATTATCATCATCACTCCCATTATTACCACCATTCCCCATCATCACCCACCATCGCCTTCATCACTGTCACCCCCATCATCATCACCCCCATCATCATTGCCCACATCATCACTGTCACATCATCATCATCACCCCAACATCACTGTCTCCCCATCATCACCCCAACATCACTGTCACCCCATCATCATCATCACCCCAACATCACTGTCACCCCATCATCACCCCAATATCACTGTCACCCCCATCTTCATCACCTCCATCATTGCCCCATCATCGTCATCACCCCCAACATCACTGTTGCCCCCATCATCACCCCAATATCACTGTCTCCCCATCATCATCACCCCAACATCACTGTCACCCCATCATCACCCCAACATCAGTCACCCCATCATCATCATCACCCGATCATCATCATCACCCCAACATCACTGTCACCTCCATCATCATCATCACCCCAACATCACTGTCACCCCATCATCATCATCACCCCAACATCACTGTCACCCCATCATCACCCCAACATCAGTCACCCCATCATCATCATCACCCGATCATCATCATCACCCCAACATCACTGTCACCTCCATCATCATCATCACCCCAACATCACTGTCACCCCATCATCATCATCACACCAACATCACTGTCACCCCATCATCATCATCACCCCAACATCACTGTCACCCCATCATCATCATCACCCCAACATCACTGTCACCCCATCATCATCACACCAACATCACTGTCACCCCATCATCATCATCACCCCAACATCACTGTCACCCCATCATCATCATCACCCCAACATCACTGTCACCCTCATCATCACCCCAACATCAGTCACCCCATCATCATCATCGCCCGATCATCATTATCACCCCAACATCACTGTCACCCCATCATCATCATCACCCCAACATCACTGTCACCCCATCATCACCATCACCCCAACATCACTGTCACCCCATCATCACCGTCACCCCAACATCATCGTCACCCCAACATCACCGTCACCCCATCATCATCGTCACCCCAACATCACCGTCACCCCATCATCATCGTCACCCCAACATCACTGTCACCTCCATCATCATCACCCCAACATCACTGTCACCCCATCATCATCGTCACCCGATCATCATCATCACCCCAACATCACTGTCACCCCATCATCATCATCACCCCAACATCACTGTCACCTCCATCATCATCATCACCCCAACATCACTGTCACCTCCATCATCATCATCACCCCAGCATCACTGTCACCCCATCATCATCATCACACCAGCATCACTGTCACCCCATCATCATCATCACACCAGCATCACTGTCACCCCATCATCATCATCACACCAGCATCACTGTCACCCCATCATCATCATCACACCAACATCACTGTCACCCCATCATCATCATCACACCAACATCACTGTCACCCCATCATCATCATCACACCAACATCACTGTCACCCCATCATCATCATCACACCAACATCACTGTCACCCCATCATCATCATCACCCCAACATCACTGTCACCCCATCACCATCATCACCCCAACATCACTGTCACCCCATCACCATCATCACCCCAACATCACTGTCACCCCATCATCATCATCACCCCAACATCACTGTCACCTCCATCATCATCATCACCCCAACATCACTGTCACCCCATCATCATCATCACCCCAACATCACTGTCACCCCATCATCATCATCACCCCAACATCACTGTCACCCCATCATCATCATCACCCCAACATCACTGTCACCCCATCATCATCATCACCCCAACATCACTGTCACCCCATCATCATCATCACACCAACATCACTGTCACCCCATCATCATCATCACCCCAACATCACTGTCACCCCATCATCATCATCACACCAACATCACTGTCACCCCATCATCATCATCACACCAACATCACTGTCACCCCATCATCATCATCACACCAACATCACTGTCACCCCATCATCATCATCACCCCAACATCACTGTCACCCCATCATCATCACCCCAACATCACTGTCACCTCCATCATCATCATCACCCCAACATCACTGTCACCCCATCATCATCATCACCCGATCATCATCATCACCCCAACATCACTGTCACCCCATCATCATCATCACCCCAACATCACTGTCACCCCATCATCATCATCACCCCAACATCACTGTCACCCCATCATCATCATCACCCCAACATCACTGTCACCCCATCATCATCATCACCCTTAGCCCCCTTGCTTCCGCAGCCACGTTGCAGCAGGTCTTGTGTATCCTCACCGGGTGATGGGCGAGCCCTAAGGCGCCTGTGATCAGGGAGCCGGGACAGAGGCAGATGCACAGCGGGGCAGCGTCTGGGCCACCAGGGTCCCTGGGGAGGGCACTCCGACCCCAGGCGGTGCCCAGGAGGGGCGCCCAGGCCCTGGTCCTTTGATCTGTAGGATTTCACCACCCGAGGCCCAGGGAAGCGGGGAGGGGCTGCAACCGTAATTCTTCAGAGGTCTTAGAGGTTGTTTGGGTCAAGATTGTCCCAGGACCCTGCCTGGCCACCCTGGGAGCCTGAAGGAAGGGCAGGACCCAAGAGTCTGCGTTTTCGCCAAACCCCCAGACGGGGAGGGGGTTCCATCCGCAAACTGAGCATCAAGTCCCCAGGGTCCATCTGCAAGTTGAGCAAGGCTTTAGGAAGGTGTCAGGACAGGAGAGTCAAAAAACGTGATCTTCCCTGAGGTCAGAAAAGTGTTCTCATGACCGGAAATAAAACGAAAACCCCCCTCTCAATTTGAAGTGAAATCCCTCTCTCTCTCAGCCTGCAGCCCGGGCCGTGGCTCACCCTGGGGCAGAGGCCGGACCTGAGCATTTCCAGGAGAGCGGACGCCCTCATCCCCCACTCATGGAGCAGCCTTTGAGATAACCCCAGCTTCCACGGAGCCTGTTTTCTTAGTGATAACTAGGAAAGAAAGCAGGTCAATGAGGCACTTCCCCCCATTGTTAGCCCTTCTATCGCTGCCTGAAAAACCGGCGCTGCCCTCCCCACAGGGCCTCAGCAGAGCGATGTGCAGCAGGAAACTTCAGCTTCCAGAAGGTGCCTCCAGCAGGTGAGCCCCGGGCTGGGGGCCAGGCCTAACAGATAGCCGGACTCCCGGGCCTGCTCAGGAGAGGGTCAGACCCATGCACAGACAGCATCACCGCCTTCCTCAGAGGAAGGAGAGGCTGGAGCGGATCCTCACGGCGGGGCGCTCAGCAGGGGGCGGGGCGGGGCGGGGCGCTGCGTGGCGTCACCTGCCGGCGCCCCACGCTGGCCTGAGCTCCCTCGCCTGAAAATGAAAATGGCGGCCTCCTCCGCATCCGCCTGGCAGGGCAGCTTCTTCTCCCTGAAGAAGCTCATTCCGTGTCTGGAGCTTGCTGCCAGCTGGAACGTTCCTGTGGTTTCTACCTCTAGATCTTGGCTCATCGATTGGGATCGTACAGAAACTAGAGTTCCTCTCCCACATGACAGACTCTGAAACACAGCGAATCCCCAGGATGTGGGCGACTGTCACGGATAAGCATTCACTGGGTATCGGCTCTGTGGGGGAAACTAGAAGTTTCAAGAATGAGTAAGAAACCCTCTCAGGGAAGGAGAGTATGTGGCTTCACACAGACTATGGATGGGTAGACAGAGAGATGACAATAATGATGACAGACGCACGGTAGATAAACAGACAAATGATAGATACATGGAACGATGACAGACAAGTCATGGAGATATGATAGATAATGATGATAGATGACACTGATGAAGGACAAATATAAAGTTGAAAGGGCTGCGGCAGGGCCTATGTGAGGTCCTATGATGACCCCTGGGAAGAGCACTCTGCTCAGTCCAGGAGCTCAAGGAAAACCTAATGGAGAAGATGAGACCTGAGCTAAGCACCTTGGCCTGGTCTCGAAACAAAAAACAATAACAACAAAACACCCTTGTTCTTTCACGAAACAGAATTCTCAACAACCTGGCCCTCTTCCTATTCATTCATTCATTTCTGAGCTTAATACCCAGAACTCCTTACCACCTGCTGAGTGCTACGAGCCAGGTGTCTGTGCAGGGCCGAGGGCAAGACAGACCCCAATGGTGCCCACAGGTACTGCCCGTCTGCGGATGGCACAGGCAACCCAAGGCCACAGTGGGGCGCGATAACTCAGTGGTGAGGGGCAGCACAGGCCCAGGCATTCACAGGGAGCGACACACACCCAAAACCGGGGGCCAAACCGGGGTCCCTGGAGAAAGTGGTTTCTTAGCACAAACTAAATGATGAGAAGTCAGTGAGAAGGGTCATCCAGACCAAGATGAGGGGCCAGAAAAGGGCATGTGGAGTTGAGCAGATAAAGGAGGCTCAGCATGGCCAGAGTGCAGAGGCCAGGAAGCCCACCCAGGGTGAGCTGGACGGGCGGGAGGGAGACCATGGGAGCCAGTCAGGGGTCAGCTGGATGGACAGGAAGGAGAACCATGTGGGACCAGTAAGCATGGGCAGAGAGACCATGGGGACCAGTCAAAGGTGAGCTGGATGGGTGGGAGGGAGACCATGGGAACCAGTCAAGGGTCAGCTGGACGGATGGAAGGAGAACCACGGGGGACAAGTAAGCATGGACAGGGAGACCACAGGGACCAGTCAACGGTGAGCTGGACGGCTGAGAGGGAGGCCATTGCTGCAAATGGGCTGAATTTATCTTAACAACAATGGTTATCTGTGGAAGAGATCAAGTAAGGGAGTGACATGATCAGACTCTTGTTTGGGGGACTCACTGTTGCTACAGAGTAGAAAGTGCATGTCACTAGGACAGGCCTGAAGGGAGAGGAGACAGCTCCCACAATTATCCAGGCCAGAGAGGAGAGGGCCTGCAGGACGTGGAGAGGATCTGTGTCATGGAATTCGCAGGGTTCTGCTTGGATACATTGAGTCACTGTGACCTGTAGACCCTTGAACGTGTCCTGGAGTCCTGTGTCGAGAACTGGCGAAGGAAACACATCGAGAGTCATGGACATGAGATGACCACGAGGTGGAGGGAAGCCCTGGAGGGAAACCCACAGGGAGAGGCAGGGAGGCCCTGGGCTGCCCAGGTGGGTGGAAAGGCTCAAGGAAGCCCACAGACTCCCCTTGCAGTGGAATGCCCCAGTGAGGGCCCAGCTGCAACGCCGCCTGGGAGAACAAGAGGACAGGGTGACGCAGGGAAGAAGCTGCCCACCAAGACCATGGGGCTCTCCCGATGGAGGCGTCCAGCCCCCACCCCCTTTGATGGTGGCATTCGAAGTCAGTGCTGCCAACAGAGACACCACAGAAGTGGGAAAGTGGAATGCGTGGAGGCCCGTTTGTGTGGCAGCATCATGGGTGTAGCCCCGAGGATGGCTCTAGGAGACCCACAGGCCAACACAATCCCTGCAGCGGCCCCTCTCCCCAGGCCACAGGGCCTCCGCATCTGAACACCTGTGTGGCTGGTTCCCCTCTCAGGGAAGGCTCTTTGAAATATCTGAGGTGGCCTCTGCCTTCTTGATGGTTACAGGGAGGGAGGAGGTTATTTGGAAGATGGTGACCACAATCTCAAGAGCCACAGAGGTCAAAAGCCTGGAAAGCAGCCATTGGGCTGGGCAACCAGAAGGTGTGGGTAGCGTCAGCCAGGGTAGGCCGGGGTGGGTGTGGGAGCCGGGCTGCTGCGTCCAGGACACAGCGGAACTGCGGTGGCTCTATCAAGAGATTGGTTTTGTTTCTGTGGAGGGAGAGAGATGGGGCTTCTCTCAGGAGCATGTCCCGCCAGCCCTGGCCTCTCTGAGCGCCGCCTCTCTTGGGCTGCTGCCCCCTTTCAGTGCCAGGGGCAGGGCTGAGTCCAGCCCCAGGCACAAGTCATTGGCCTAGTCAGGGCAGGGCATGAGCTGTGTTGGTGCCAGCCATAGAGCCAGGATCTGTTTCCTCTGAGAAGCAGAAACCGAACCCCATGGCCTAGGCTCCTGGTGGCTCAGGTGCGGTGACCCCAGAAGCTGACATTTCAGTGGGCGAGATCTGTGCCCTGGGTCACCCAAGCTTCTGCACGTGGCCAGGACCTCCTGGGCCTCCTCTGTGCCCATCAGTTCCCACCCTCTATGGGGGCTCCTTGGTGAATTTTCAGGCAAAATCAACCCTTCGGTTCTGAGCTCCACTAGCCACTTGCCAAGGGGCCCAGGGGACAGCACCCTTCTCCATCCCCTCTCCTCCACACGCGTTTCTGTAAGAGGCCCTGGGCTGGGGCTGGTGTTGCAGGAGTGTGAGTGTCTCTGACAGGACTCAGAGTCACCTCATGTCTCCGCATGACAGAGGAGCCAGGCTGGTTTCAGAGGTGAACAATCATTGGATTAGTGCAGCCCCATTTCAAAAGTGTTCATTTAGCTGATTTCCGTAACCCGAAAAGACTTTTCAACTCATGACAACCTCGGAACATGGCCTTCGTTCGTCCCCTGGCCCTGCCAGCGAGAGGGGAAAGTGTGTGGTGAGCAAAGTTGAAATGACCAGCGGAGATGAAATGTACCATCCTGCTGATCATCCCTACCCTGGGTTTCTCCGCAATTGGTTTTTTTGTTTGTTTTTAATTTAGTCACCCGCCTCTGGGCTGTGGAGAGGCCTGTCCACCCTGCATGGCTAATGTTATGCACCCAATTGGCTGGGCCACAGTGCCAGTGTTTGGCCAGACAGGTTGCTGTGAAGGTGTTTTTAGATTAGATCAGTATTTAAATCAGTTGATTTTGAGTAAAGCAGATGACCCTCCGAAGTATGGGTGGGCCTTGTCCAATCAGGTGAAGGACTACAAGAAAAGACTGAGGTTCCTGGAGGAAGAAGGACTTCGGCCTTCAGAGGCCTTTAGACTCCAGCTGCAGTGTTGCCTCTTCCTGGGTCTCCAGCCTGCCGGGCCGCCCTGTAGAATTCAAACATGCCAGCCCTGACAATCACAGGAGACACTTCCTTAAAATGTTTCTTTCTTTCTCTCTCTCTCTCTGCCTCTCTCTCTTTCTCTTTCTCTCACACATACACACACACACACACACACACACACATACACCCTGTTGGTTCTGTTTTTCTGGAGAGCCCTAATTTGATTCTCTTCAAGCCTTTTTTTTTTCTCTAAGCCACCTGTTCTCAACCCTTCGAGCCTCCATCATGAGAAAGGGTTGCATTTCCTCATTCTGTCTTCTGAGCATGCTCCTGTGGTCCAGGCATCATCATCCTGTATCTTTTATTTATGATTGTGTCTTGGGACCTACGACATTGCCCAGCACATAGCAGATGATCAGAAACCATGGTTTGAATACCCTGAATTAATGCAGAAGTGAGTTAGCAGGCATCTCTGTGCCGGCAGTATTTTAGGTGTGGGGGACCCTTTGGTGAACGAGGACAACACAGTCCCATCCCCAAGAAACTGACGATGTCCTTGAACACAGCAGGCCCCAACCTTTTTGGCTCCAGGGACTGGTTTCTTGGAAGACGATTTTTCATGCACGGTGGGCGGGGGAAATGATTTCGGGATGAAACTGCTACCTCAGATCATCAGACTTTGATTCCCATAAGGAGCCCGCAGCCTAAATCCCTGGCATGTGCCATGCACAGTAGGGTTCACACTCCTCTGAGAATCGAATGCTGCCTCTGATCTAACAGGAGTAGGGGCTCAGGTGGGAACGCTCGCTCGCCCACCACTCACCTCCTGCTGCGCAGCCCGGACCCTAACAGGCCATGGATGGTACCGGCCTGTCCCCGGGAGCTGGGGGTCCCTGTTCTAACACATATCAGCCAAAGCTGAGCACAGCACTCCAGGTTTCGCCTGAGTGAAGTGTGGAGTGGCCGGTCACTACCTTTCTTCAGGATTCTGTGCATTTACTGATGTGACCCAAGCTTTAAGAGGGATGCAGGGTCCCGGAACCGCATGCAAGATTGGAAGGTGGACCCGGCTGCCTTTCCGAAGGCACCTCCCAGGGGCGTTCTCGTCCACTCCACACAGTTTCATTACAGGGCATAAAACGGCACCACAGCATGAATCCCCAAAGCAGTGGAGATGAAAGGAGCTCATTGAAACAACTTCTGTATCTTTTCCTACCAAAATACAGGCTTATGACACAATAAAAAAATAAAATTAGGAGCTTCAGATCCCATGAGACATTGTTCCACCCCATTTCCCACAAAGCCATAGATGCTGCCGGTGGCCACTAGACACAGAGCAGGGCCAACGCTGGCCAAGGGATGCAGGGATGTGTCTAGGGGTCCCCACACTGCCCTGCAGGGTCAGGAGACCTGAACGTCTTCCGTCCAGGATCCATATACAGAAGAGAGCATTTGCAAATGCATGTGGTGTGGAGAGAGATCCCCAAGCTGCTCAGAACCATCCTAATTCTCTTCCTCCATGGAAACTAAGTCCAGGGCATGGAGGCCTCCATGCCACAGAAGGTGGCCCTGTCAGAACCGGCAGTCTCACCTGGCCGTCAGATGGCTCGTTCCTGTAAACTCAGTGCCCTCCAGACCAAGGCCCCTTTCTGTGAGTCTGAAACTACGTGGATACAGCACTCGGCTTCCCAGACACGGTGAGGAGCCCAGCCCTGGGCCACAGATAGACAGCACCCACAACAGGAGGGGCCCAGCAGTTCAGGAAGGAGGCATTTCCGGCCAAGGATACAATCCATGCATGGCTCCAGCCTCCACGAAGCCATCTTGAGGCTTCTGAGTTGCTGTTTAAAAGGACGGGGAATGATGTTCAGAATTAAAGGGTGGAAAGAGCCCAGCAGACATGGAGGGGTAATCCCTTCCCTGAAGAAAGAGGAAATGAGCCGTAGGGAGCTGAGAGTGTGCATCCCAGGCCACACAAGCAACGTAAACAAAGAAGCCAAGTCCCTCAGAAGGACACTGAGCCACTGATTCCCCAAAAAACAAAGGCACTAAAAGAGAGTGGAAGCTGCAAGCAACCCAGGCCACAGGCAGGAGCTCAGGAAAGTTCCTAATTAAAGAAACTGCTAACTAGGAGTAAAATATGCAAGATTATACCAAAAGAATTGCACACCCTCACAAAGGAGCTCATGGTGAAAGAGACCCTCTCTGTGGGGCTCACAGTGAGGGAGACCCTGTCCACGAGGCTCACAGTGATGGAGACCCTGTCTACAAGGCTCACAGTGATGAAGACCTTCTCCACGAGGCTCACAGCGATGGAGACCCTATCCACGAGGCTCGCAGTGATGGAGACCCTGTCCACGAGGCTCACAGTGATGGAGACCCTGTCCACGAGGCTCACAGTGATGGAGACCCTCTCCAGGAGGCTCACAGTGATGGAGACCTTCTCCACAAGGCTCACAGTGATGGAGACCCTCTCCAGGAGGCTCACAGTGATGAAGACCTTCTCCACGAGGCTCACAGTGATGGAGACCCTCTCCAGGAGGCTCACAGTGATGAAGACCTTCTCCACGAGGCTCACAGTGATGGAGACCCTGTCCACAAGGCTCACAGTGATGGAGACCCTCTCCAGGAGGCTCACAGTGATGAAGACCTTCTCCACAAGGCTCACAGTGATGGAGACCCTGTCCACAAGGCTCACAGTGATGGAGATCCTCTCCAGGAGGATCACAGTGAGAGAGACCTTCTCCACAAGGCTCACAGTGATGGAGAACCTGTCTAAAAGGCTGACAGTGATGGAGACCTTCTCCACGACGCTCACAGTGATGGAGAACCTGTCTACAAGGCTGACAGTGATGGAGACCCTCTCCACCAGGCTCACAGTGATGGAGACCCTGTCTACAAGGCTCATAGTGATGGAGACCCTCTCCAGGAGGATCATAGTGAGGGAGACCTTCTCCACGAGGCTCACAGTGATGGAGAACCTGTCTACGAGGCTGACAGTGACAGTGATGGAGACCCTGTCCACGAGGCTCACAGTGATGGAGACCCTGTCCACGAGGCTCACAGTGATGGAGACCCTCTCCACGAGGTTCACAGTGATGGAGACACTCTCCAGGAGGCTCACAGTGATGGAGACCTTCTCCACGAGGCTCACAGTGATGGAGACCCTCTCCAGGAGGCTCACAGTGATGGAGACCTTCTCCACGAGGCTCAAAGTGATGGAGACCCTCTCCACGAGGCTCACAGTGATGGAGACCCTGTCCACGAGGCTCACAGTGATGGAGTCCCTGTCCACAAGGCTCACAGTGATGGAGAGCCTGTCCACAAGGCTCACAGTGATGGAGACCTTCTCCACAAGGCTCACGGTGATGGAGACCCTGTCCACAATGCTCACGGTGATGGAGACCCTCTCCACAAGGCTCACGGTGATGGAGACCCTGTCCACGAGGTTCGCAGTGATGGGAAACCTCTCCAGGAGGATCACAGTGATGAAGTCCTTCTCTATGAGGCTCGCAGTGATGGAGACCTTCTCCACAAGGCTCACGGTGATGGAGACCCTGTCCACGAGGCTCACAGTGATGGAAATCCTCTCCACGAGGCTCACAGTGATGGAGACCTTCTCCATGAGGCTCACAGTGATGGAGACCTTCTCCATGAGGCTCACAGTGATGAAAACCTTTTAAATGAGGTTCACAGTGATGGAGACCCTGTCCACGAGGCTCACAGTGATGGAGATCCTCTCCACGAGGCTCACAGTGATGGAAACCTTCTCCATGAGGCTCACAGTGATGAAGACCTTCTCCATGAGTTTCACAGTGATGGAGACCCTGTTCACGAGGCTCACGGTGATGGAGACCCTGTCCACGAGGCTCACGGTGATGGAGACCCTGTCCATGAGGCTTACGGTGATGGAGACCCTCTCCACGAGGCTCACAGTGATGGAGACCCTCTCCAGGAGATTCACAGTGATGGAGACCTTCTCCAGGGGGCTCACAGTGATGGAGACCCTCTCCATGAGGCTCACAGTGATGGAGACCCTCTCCAGGAGGCTCACAGTGATGGAGACCTTCTCCAGGGGGCTCACAGTGATCGACACCCTCTCCACGAGGCTCACAGTGATGAAGACCCTGTCCATGAGTCTCACAATGATGGTGACCCTGTCCACAAGGCTCACAGTGATGGAGACCCACACTTTGATGTTCACAGTAAGAGACCCTCTCCACGAGACTCACAGTAAGAAAAACCCTTACCATGTCCCTCCTTTCATGACATTGCTCCATTTTTGTCCTCCATGCCCACCCTCCTTGTCCTTCATCTTTATCCCTAATCCACGTCCTCATCCAGTCCCTCCTCTAGGTTCCTCCTTCACATCCTCCCTTCCTCGTCCTCCCCTGCCCATCTCCTTCCTCCACGTCCTCCCCCGCACGTCTCCCCCTTGCATGGTCATCATTGGAGGTCACCCTTTCCAGATTTGCTCCTCCGTGCCCCAGGCTCACTAAAGCTTTGCACAGGAAGAATTTCTCTTATGGACCTTTTTGGGGAAGGGACAAGAGAAAGCAAAAAGAAGGGACTCTTCAACCCTAGGCATCCCCTGCAAACTTCTCTTCTGATCCCCTTTCTTCCATCAACATTTTGGAATTCTTACTGAGCTGCAGAGCAGGAATGATGTTCTCTCCTTCTTAGTCCTAAGAGATGAGCACATTTATTTCCCATGAATCCCAGGAATGTTGTGTGTGGTGTGCACCCCAGTCTTTCAGAAGGTGAATTCTGGACGGAGGACCTGGAAGAGGAAGGGACTCTGGAGGGTCTGACACAGGGCAGGGACGCCTAGACCCGGCCAGGTGTGAGCTCTCTGTCCAGGGCCTCAGTGACAACTGGCGTCAGGAATAAAAAGGACAATGTTCAGGGAAGGCCCTAGGAATGTGAACAGGACCCCCGATGGGCTGGCAGCACACTGGACAGGCCAGCAGGACATCAATGGGCCACGGGCCACTGTAACTCTGACTCTGGAAATGAGAAGTAGCCGAGAGGCCTGGGCATCAGCACTCAGCTCCCTCCTTCCCCTCCGCCCACCCCCCAACGCCCTCCTCCACCACACACCCTGGAAGCTGTGACCAGCAGGCCCAGCTGAGGTGGCCACTGAGGGTCGCTGGCCCGGCATACCCGACAGATGCTTTAATCTTCTGTTTGAAGAATGGCTTCTGCTCAGCTCCGCTCTTCAAACATCTGTTTCTCTTTAGAAAGATGGAGGCATTTCCAGTGGCGCTGCCTGTGCCATGCTGGGGACTGTTTAAACGGCACCCACGTTGTTTACATTGTCCTTTACAGCCAGAGAGGATTTACAGCAGGCGGCTGGACATGCGTCTAAGCTCTGTAAAACAGATCACTCACTTTGAAAAATGAACAGCTTAGCTTCCTAAACACATCCTTTTTGAAAGGAGGTATTTACTTTATTAACCCATAAAAAAAATCTAAGGAGGACGAAGCTCCTGGAGCTTTCAGGTTTCAGCACCTTAAAACCACCGAAAAGGAGCAGATTTCTGGCTTTATCACTTGGCCTTGACACCTCCCTGGATGCGCTGCTGCTTGGCTGGCTGGTGGCAGCAGCCCAGGATTCCTGTGCTCTAAACAACACACAAACACTCCACAGCAGAAGGCATCTGCATCCAGTGTCCTGGAAGATGGAGTAGTGGTAAAGACCTTTGAGAATCTTAAAGCAAGATGACAATCTGAGCTGCATCTGAGAAATGAACTCGTCCAGGAAGGACTGAGGGCAAACGGCAGGTGTGGCCAGGTTGTGATGTTTCCACCTTCGGGACAAAGCGACTCCTCCCTGCACCCCACACAGCATCTGAAAATCTCTTTGTTTATTGGGTTCATACATTTACTAAAATAAATGTTTCATTTGTCTTCATCTCCCCAAAGTGTGACACCTCCTGGGTGTGTGATAAGCGTTTGTTGAAATAATTCCTCATGACTTACCACACTCAGGTGAAATGGGAAAACCAGGAGGTGCTTACAGGTTATAAATAATCAGAGGTTATCAGGAAATGGGCTCCTTTGTTCTACATCCGTAAAACTAGACATTTAACCATGGTGAAAAGAAAAAGAAGTTTTCTTCTGCTGAGCGCATTCTGCCTATCCCCATAAAGACTTGAATGGCACTGACGATGCCTTGGGCCAGCGTTGAACACATACGCTCTTACAGAATCCCCCAAATCCTCTGTGTGGTGAGGTTACCTTCATCCTACAAGGGCTCAGAGCAGTGAAGGTGATGGCGTAAGGTCCCACGGCCAATCACAGACAGAGTAGAGATTTGAGTTCCCAGCCCATGCCTTGGGCCAGCGTTGAACACACACGCTCTTACAGAATCCCCCAAATCCTCTGTGTGGTGAGGTTACCTTCATCCTACAAGGCTCAGAGCAGTGAAGGTGACGGTGTAAGGTCCCACGGCCAATCACAGGCAGAGTAGAGATTTGAGTTCCCAGCCCATGCCTTGGGCCAGCGTTGAACACACACGCTCTTACAGAATCCCCCAAATCCTCTGTGTGGTGAGGTTACCTTCATCCTACAAGGGCTCAGAGCAGTGAAGGTGACGGCCTAAGGTCCCACGGCCAATCACAGACAGAGTAGAGATTTGAGTTCCCAGCCCGTGGCTGGTACCCACTGCACCCAGGTGCCTCTCACAGAGACCCCACCTCGTCTACCCTTCATCACCCTGGGAGGAGGACAAAAGCTGAGCCTCAGAGACATGAAAGATGTTATTTCCCAAGACCATACAACTGGCAATTGGAGGACACAGGACTCTACACATTGTCTTGATAAAAAAGTCTCACTTCACTTCTAATCAAACTCACCAGACTTAAAATATGTAATACAAATTTCTTTCTTTTTTTATTCTTTGTTTTTTTTGAGACCACAGAGTTTCACTCTATCGCCCAGGCTGGAGGGCAGTGGTGTGATCTCAGCTCACTGCAACCTCCGCCCCCCAGGTTCAAATGATTCTCCTGCCTCAGCCTCCCAAGTAGCTGGGGTTATAGGCATGCACCACCATGGCTGGCTAATTTTTGTATTTTTAGTAGAGACGGGGGTTTGCCATGTTGGCCAGGCTAGTCTTGAACTCCTGACCTCAAGTGATCCACCCACCTCAGCCTCCCAAAGTGCTAGGATTACAGGTGTGAGCCACTGCACCTGGCTTAGAAATTTCTACATCTGGAAATATAGTTCGGTTAAATTTTTTTTGGTTCTGAGAAGTAGCCCTCCTTTTCTTTTAAATTAGCCTTTCCCTTAAATTAGTAGATAATGGATCTTAACCATTCTACCAAATAAGCTCCATTTTTCCACTAATCAATACAGAAGGGCACAGAGGCAGGGGCACGGAGGTCTCAGATCTTTAAGGCCTTTGGTTGGTGACAAAGTAGGAATGCAGGACTCTGGGATTCTTAGGTCATGCTCCCAGGCAGCTGCCATTGTAGACAAGGGGCCCGGAATCCAAGTGTGCATCAGAGAGCCATGTGCGGAAAGAAACGAAGTCGGGAAGCGCCTGGCTGCAAGCACAGGTGGCCTCGCCCTTGGGAACCAGGTGGAGAC
Source organism: Homo sapiens (assembly GCF_000001405.40). Lineage (NCBI taxonomy): Eukaryota > Metazoa > Chordata > Mammalia > Primates > Hominidae > Homo > Homo sapiens. Next base: position 169,887,881 of record NC_000006.12, on the reverse strand, counting down.
ACTCAGATGCTAGAATATTACTATCCTTTCTTCACTCTCTCCTCTGCCCTCCTATTCAGCCGGAGGAAGGAAAACCTAAATGCAAAGATCTACCTTGGCGAAGATCTGCTCAGTGTGAGTCACAGCCCTACGTGCCCAGCTTATGCAGAACATGTTTTCTTTAATTACATACGTGGTGAACACCACTGACTCTGGTATGTTCAAACACGTCTTGTGCCCACACCGCTCTCTAAGCAGTGCCAACTGACTCCAAACAGAAAACCCGGTGTTTCCCTCATAGAGCTCTGAATTCAGGGCCACTATGCCCTGCTTTCATGGAACTAGAATTGGACACTCTTCTGTAAACACATTCTATCCAATTGTCCTGAAAACGAGAGCACCTCTTCCCCAAAAGTCAGAAATAAAAGTGCATTCCTTCTTTTCAATGAAACAAAAGTCTGTTTCACAAAAAAAGGGCTGAAAATAAAGGCTTTCTCACATTGACATATGGCCAGATGACAGGAAGAAGTTTTCCAGTAAGATTCAGCGGGGAAGGGAGGCAAGATGCCTTGGTTCACATCTTGGTTTACATCTCTCCAGTACCTAGGTGTGTGCATCTGAGCCTCCATTTGTGCTCCTGCTCTGGGCCACACTTAGAGCAGTCTTGACATTAGAATTAATTTACTCAAAGCTTCATTTTGTCTCCTCGGATCATTCAGCTAAGAGTCCAAGGAGAGACGATCTTTTAGCTGTCCCCACGTGGGTCCTTCCTGACCTCAGCCAGGGAATGCAGGCCCCTTGGTCAACAGTACCACCAAGAGGTAACGAGGGCCATGCCACTCTTTCTAAAGGAGGGGGCAGAGGCGGCTGGCAACAAATGCTCTCAGCAGTTGTGACAGAGAAGGCGCTGCCCAGAAGCAGACAGGACTCAGGCAATGCCTCCCACTGCGTTTCAAGCTTTGCAGGAAATTGCGAGTCTTGGAAGACCTGCGACTGAGTGTAGGGTGAGCCTAGCAAAACTCTCTGGGACCACCAGGAGGAAGCACTTGGTCCCTGGAACAGAGGGCAGAGACCCCCAACAGTGCAGTAGGTGCTCCTGTGCACCTCCATCATGGTGGCCCGCCGCCCACCGGTGGACATGTGCATGTACACCGTGCACACCCCCAAAGCAGGCCGCGTTTGCCTGCAGAATCATCTGTTCCAATTGGGCTTATTATTGTCATTGCCTTATGTATCTAGATAAGCCTCATTGTGAGAAAATATGCATGTGAAAACAGAGGCATTATGTCCATGTAATCTAAGCTGAATGCTTTGAAAAGATACCATAAAGGAAATTCACTAAACATGTACACTGATTTAAGTGTGGATGAGACAGCTGTAAATAAATGGAAAATTCAAAAATCATTAAAATCAAGTGAGATTCTGCTTGAGTCATTTACATGTGTCAGCAAGGTTTTGCTACATCTAATTCCTTGGTTGACCTGGTCATTTCCAAATGGATTCATCTGGCCTTAATGGCTGAGGTAAATAGATGGTGAGGTGGTGAAATGGTTGAACAGTAGGAAAGATAGATGACTGGATTCAGTAATGAGCTAGTAAATTTTCAACAACCTGCTCTTTGAAAAGAATAGAGCCCTGACTTGTAGTATTTGCCAATTTCCATGGTGAAAATGATCCCATCATGGCCAATTTCAAGCCACCAACCTGAAGCCTCTGAACTTCTCTAGAGGGACTGGAGTTGGGAAGACATGTATACAGCCTGCCTGGAGAGCAGGGGCCGTGGATGTGGCACCCACAGCCAGATGAAGGGTGGGGTATGGACATGAGTTCTGGAGCAGCGTCACTTCAGGGCTGCACTGAAGGACCTCAGGTGATGACTGAAGGGCTCCAGCCCCTGGCAGCAGGACCACATCAGGTCTCCCCTGCATGCTGCGTCGCCTGGCTGGACCACATCAGGTCTCCCTTGCATGCTGCCTCTCCTGGCTGGCCACACAGTCTTTTCCCTCCCAGCAGAACATCAATATGGCTCCTTTCCCAAAGTTCTCATGCTCAAGGAGCATGATCAGAGAGGGGCCAGCTGTCACATGGACAATGCTGAACTAGACTCATCCACATGTACGTATGTCCTCCTGCCTCTCAGTTATTGATGAAGACATTCTATCATGGTCAATCCACTTTCCTCTGTAACCCATTGTGTAACAGATGTGTCTGAGCCTTACTTTGAACATTAACAAAGACAACTTAAGGACCCTGTTTTTCAGAGTCTAAGAGCCTAAAAATGACATGTAGCATATATAAGATCACTTAGTAAGTTGGACTTGAGACTAGGAAGGTGGTGTGGTTTCAATGTGTCCCTCAAAGTTCATGTGTTTGGAAATTTAATTCCCAGTGCAACAGTGTTGGAAGGTAGGGCTCAAGGGAGGTGTTTAGGCCATGAGAGCTCTGTCTTCATGAAGGGATTAATGTCATTATTGTGGGAGTAGGTTTGTTATAAAAGCAAGTTCAACCCTCCCTGCCCTCTCTCACTGTTGCCCTCTTTTGCCCTTCTGCTTTCCACCATGGGATGACACAGCACAAAGGCCCTCACCAGATGCTGGTACCATGCTGTTGGACTTCCCAGCCTCCATAACCATGAGTCAATATAAATTACTCAGTGCAGGTATTCTGCTACTGCAGCATAAATGGACCAAGACAGAACATTTTTGGTTTTTATCCACTTGGGTGGTTGGGGGTTATTCTTATGGGGGTTATTCTTTATTCCCAGAGATAAATGACATTAAAATAAACATGTACCTCAGAAATGGACAAACATTTTCTGGGAAGAAGCACCATTTACTTTCTTTTTATTTTTGAACATACTGGAATCTGAAATAGAAATGGTACTGAGGGACACAGTGGTGGCCCAAGGTGGGAGCAGAGCAGAGAGAGGAAGGGCAAGGAACACCACATTCTCTGCCGCAATCTCCTTCCTGTGAGGAACCCTGAGATAGTTTATACTGTGTCAACTTGATTGGATTGAAGGATACAAAGTATCAATCCTGGGTGTGTCTGTGAGGGTGTTAAAAAAAGGAGATTCACATTTGAGTGAGTGGGCTGGGAAAGACAGACCTACCCTTAATCTGGGTGGGCACAATCTAATCAACTGCCAGTGAGGTTAGACTATAAAGCAGGCAGGCAGAAAAATGTGAAAAGAGAGGCTGGCCTAGCCTCCCAGCCACATCCTTCTCCCGTGCTGGATGCTTCCTGCCCTTGAACAGCGAACTCCAAGTTCTTCAGTTTTGGAACTCAGACTGGCTCTCCTTTCTCTTCAGCCTGCAGATGGCCTATGGTGGGACCTTATGATTGTGTGAGTTAATACTTAATAAACTCCCCCTTACATGTGTGCGTGTGTATACACACATGTGACATATATATATTCCATTACTACTGTTCCTCTAGAGAACCCTGACTAATACAAACCCTGAACGTCACTCACTGGCACATGGGAAGTGGCCAAGGCTGAGGACACAGCAGCTTACCCAGGTGCTTCAGGGTCTCCCGGCAACATGGCCCACCAGATGAGTGCCCTCCTGTGTGGACAGCGGGACACACCCATCACACCCACCAGGCTGAGCTAACTCCCTCTCTAGCCACACAGAGAGGCCCCAGGTTCCCAAAGTCCATGCATCTTCAGCCTCTGAGATTAACAGTGCCACGGGTTGATCTCCTAGCTTATCGCAGTAGCCATTTGCAACAGCACAGTGTATACAGAAGTGTTGATCTTGAGATTTTTGCCTTCAGATTTTACTGTACTGTAATCAATAACTTGTTGTGTATAATTAAGACAAATACATAATGGCCTTGTGTTTATGAAGTCAATATATAGCTTGTAGGAAATTCCTTGGTATTGTTTGTATGCTGTATAAATATTTTAAGATTCTGCCAGTAACAGGAGTTTCTGTGTATATTATACAGAGTTCTCTTTTATCCGGTTTGAAGAAGTAGTATGAAGGAGCGGATGCAAATTGTCCAAACAAACATTTGTTTCTCCCTCCAGCTGGGCAGATTGTTATGACTGCCTTCTGGGGGACCCTGGTGGTCCCAGCATTCATTCACAGGTAACGTACTACTGGGTTGAAATTGAGTTGGAGTGGGTGGGTGAGTGTGAAGTGGTGCTGTGTGGTATTGTGTGTTGCTGTGGTGCTATGTGGTGTGGCGTGGTGTGGTGTGGTATTGTGAGGTGAGGTGTGGTGTGGTGAGATGTGGCATTGTGAGATGAGGTGTGTGTTATGTGGTAAGGTTTGGTGTTGTGCAGAGTGACTGTGGAGCAGCTGCGTGAAAGTAAAAGGCCAGGCTGGCACCATGGAAAGATCCGAAGTCCGGGTGGACACACGGCACACTGAACAGGGACGCCAGGGGTCGCAGGGACCAAAGGGCTGCTACTGGTGACCAAACCCCCCGAACCTGCCTGAGAGCCAGCCTTTGCCTGCAGGGAGGCCAGTCACAACTTCAGTTCTCTGAGAGATCTCGTCCTTATCCCCTCATAACCCAGAGGACACTGAAGTCTCACCTCACCAACTCACAGTCTTCGACTTATCTGGAAAAAGAAGGTGGGCAGAGGTGATGACTGGCCTGGGTGTGAGCCTCTCATGCCAGGGGGACTTCAGCAAGACCCAAGACAGGAAAATCCTCCTCTCTCCTGGATGTGGCCAGATGCACAGTGGAAGCCAAGCCTCCCCCTGCCTTCCTCCATCTGCAAAGATTTATAGAGCACCTGCTGGGTGCCAGGCGCTGGGCTCAGGCTGGACACAGGCAACCTCAATACAGCTGAAAGCCTTAGATGCTTTCCTAGGACTGGCCACACACATCAGAGAGAACCAGGGTGGGGAAGGTGCCTTTGTGGAAAGGTGGGATTTGACTGCACAGATGAAATGGTTGGAGGGAGACCTCACTGCTTCTGCCCAGAATGGAGAGTGTATGAAAGTCCACAGAAAATCAACTCTGATCCAAATGGAATCACAGCAGTGGAAACATTCACTAAGGAGGAGGGAGAGGAGTTTCCACCCTCTGCTTTCTTGCCAGCAGCTACCATAAAATAAAAGGCTTCATTAGAAGACACAGTGTGGGCAACACTGTACACAGCTCCTCCTGGCTCAGGAGCCCGGGAAGCACGGTGGATCAGATGAATGCTTCCAATGTTGTCTGCCCGCAAGGTGTCCACAGGCATGGAGGATGGAAGGGCAGCTACTGGTAAACCTGATTATGTGGACAGTTAATTGGCCTTTATGCTACTGTGGTAATTAACCTCTTTTTCTCTAAACAAATGTGAAAAGAAACAAGTTATCAAACACATTATTTGTTTCTAGGTCTTTCAGGGTCCATACCTCAAACGTGCACCACTCCCAGGTGGGACCAGCAGCCGGATGAATAAAGGGCCCTTGAGGCCTTGGTGGGATAAGTGACCTCCAAAGCCTGATAGCTCTACTCAGACCTTGTAGCACGAGCCTTTGAGGGACCTTAGAGGGGATGTGGCCATGGCTGGGAAGAAATCCCAGCCATTTTTAAAGTCCTCCCTGAACCCTGACACTTACCCAAAGTCTGAGGTCCGGACCGGAACGGACTGTTCTCCCTTTAGTCCTAACCTCTGTGAGTGCAGGAACTCCAGCACTCTCACGGGCCACCGCCCTCCCGTTGTCCAGCATGGTGCCCAGCCATCACAGGTGACCAGGAAGATGTGTCAGGCACTGTTCTGCGCCCATATAGCAGGAACAGGCAGAACTCCTGCCCCCGTGAGCTTAAATTCTAGTAGAACACAGCGACAGGTGGACTGCCCTCATCTGAGCTTGGTCTCTGCATCAGACTTCAGCACCTCCCCGAGCCCTGTGTTCTAAAACGCCGTTTCATTAAGTCTGCTTCCTTTCATTGTCATTTCTCAAGCTCTGAACGTCAAGACCATTTCAAAAGTTTCTCTCTCACCACTAAATAATTGTTTGTGTTCTACCAGAAAAGCCCATATATGTTATCTTCTGGAATGGATTCCTTCATTAAGGGCTTCTAAATACACAGCGTGAGAGCCCTGCATATGTGAAACAATGACCATTTCCAACTGCAGAAAGAAGACAGAAACGGGGTTGGGACCCTGGAGAAGCTGAGAGGAAGCTGTGGAGGAGAGATCGAGGCATGTGCAGGCAGCAGCGGGGGATGCAGGGCTCACCAGAGCTCAATGGCATGGGGGTCGGGGCATGGACTCTGGCCCCAGACAGGCTGGAAAGGTGACAGCTGGTCTGTGCCTCAGTTTTTCCACCTGTAAAATAGGGATGCTAAAGCTGCTTACCTCATGGGACTCTCCTGAGGATTAAATGAGTACGTTTGAGGAAAGTACACGGGCAAGTGCCTGGATGCAGGACTCGTGCACGGAACACTCCGCAAGGGCCAGCTGCTGCTTTGAGATACTCCAGGCAAAGCGGCTTCTGAATAGCAGCCATGGCTTGGTTGTGTATGTCTGTGTGACAAACAGGAGCAGAAAGAGAACAGAAGAACATCTATGAATGAAATTTCAGTTAACGATAAAAATCACTTACAAATTTCCTTTAAAATCCAGCTCTCCCCTACTCAGATGCTGAAGAAGTTGTATGAACTTCCGTTTCTTGCAAGGTGTACCACATCATTAGCTAAAAGGGGAACATGAGATTAAAGTTAAGCCTTCCAAATACAAAGAAAGGGATTTTTCTTTCCAGGGGAGAAAATTAAAAGGAAAATTGAGCCTGACCTCGGTAATAACATATTGCAGTGTTCTGTGTCCTGCCCCGGGGCACACCTCAGGGGGTGCCACCACCAGGCCCTTTGCTCCTCCAGGACTAAAGGCCAGGTGAGGTCTTGCTGGTGGTCTGGTTGTTCAGGGAAGGTTTCCACAGCTGGGGCTCCTTCCAAAAGTGCCTGGAGAAATTCCTTTCACCCCTTTTCAGGAATCAGAATCAGCTCAAGAAAAGCCAGGGGCCCTGGCATATGGAACAGCCCAGGAAGAAAATCAGCCATGAGATCGCTTAGGTCTTTTCCATGGGCTGAGATGTTAGTGGTTTGAACAAATAGTCATTCACGATTTGCAGCCCAGGCCACTGGAAACAGCTGCAGGGTCTCTTCTGGTGGGGCTGGGCCTAAGGGGAAGCAGGCATCTAACCTGGGACCGCTGCCTGAGCACAGATGACTCCCAGGGCTGGAGCTCAGGAACAAGAGGTGTGGAGTCTGGCCTCAGGTAGAATGAGGAGCAGCCAGTTACTGACAAAGACCCCAGGCTCACAGGCACAATGTCCAGAAGCAGGGGAGGCTGTGCCAGTGCATCCACCTGGCTCCTGCAGAGCACTAAGGAGACAAAATCAACGTACGTGAAAATGAGTTTAGCAAAATCCGGTGGTCAGCAAGAGGACCACCAGGTGTGGGTGATGTATGGCTCTTTAGAGGTGGCCCAGGCACAGATTGAGAGTAACAGAACTGGCTTCCAACCAACGCCCATGGTTCAGCAGCAGATGAGTCTCCTCCTTACCAGTACTACTTGGGAAGGCACTCACCCTTCTAATGATGCTCCCTGTATTTAGAGGTTGGGAATTTCCTTTTCCGTATGGCCTTCAGAGCCTGCAAGCTGTTCTTGGCACTTTCAGAGGAGACACATCTTCATTTTATTAGGACAGATCTCATTCGGGATACAACCAAGAGTTAAATGGGATCAAGCCCAGAGAACAGCAAATGATAAGACAGGGTAATGGCATTTGAAGCCAAAAGTGAGATGAGACCATAAATGATTGAAAATTATATGTTTTATGGTCCATTATTAACCAGCAATTCTAAAACAGCACTCCAAAAATGTACAAGCAAAGCTAGCCTCACTGGCATAAGTGCAATGCCTTCCAAAGCAGCCTGTGTAAAGGAACTGTACTAATTTAATTCCCCCCAAAGTTCAGGCATGTTTTTTGAAATTCAGCCTCATTATCTCAGTCTTGTCTCATAAGGCCCGTTCTTCTTGGACTTGAAAGGTATTTGATTAGGTTGACAGGATCAGACTCATAGATCTGAAGCAGTTGATCCCAGATGGCAAATCCTCAGCACACATACCACTGCCTGGCCCACTCACACCCATGGCAGACATTGCTAATCGATTGTGACATCTCTTCTCACCAGAGGATCCCAGATGGCACTGCCAACTTATGGAAGCTGGGACAATAGAGTGCATTTGCTATCCCTGGAGGAAAAGCTTAAATAACCTGTGTAAAAGGACTTCCAGTTCCAAGATGGCAGCATAGAAACAAGCTGGATTCACTCATCCCCAAACACGCAAAGCCTAAAACAAATATACAGTGCTGAGATTATCACCAGAAATATCCCAGAAATCAAATACAAAGATAAAACCATTCCTGGGGCCACCAAGAAGTGAAAAAACTGAGCAGATGGTAAGAGAATTGGACTTCACATCCATGACACCCCTCTTCCTATTCTGCCCAGTACCAAGCACATGAAAAAGTTCCCCCATCTCACTGTTTCTGCATTGGAAAAGGTGAAATTGATGTAGACAAATAGCTTCCCCACCATCTTGGGTTCCCTGGCAGGAGATCTGTCCCTCTCTTAACCCACAGGAAGCATCATGAGTGCCTGAAGGGAGAAATATCCCTAAGGACAGAGACAAAGGAGACAAGCAGGATTCCCACACCCAGCCCTAGAAACTCTGCTCTGTAACTCAGCCCCGGAAACTCTGTTCTGTAATTCAGCCACAGGAGACGCCAAACGAGAGTGGCTGTTCAGCAGCACGAGGCTATAGGAAGTTTGTCCCACAAGTCTCCTGGGCACAAACTCCTAAGCCAGCCTTCCCACACTGCTGGGATATGCCAATCAGGACCTCCCCCATCTGGGAACAGCAATGTTCTGATCCTTTGCTAGAGCTGAGGCAAAACTGGGTTTAAGGCACCTCTTGAAGCCATAAGGGAGGCAGTAGTTTAGTGGTAAGGAACCTCTAAGCAAATATATTCAATTAAAACAAAATAAAGCTGGGCAGAGAAGACTGGAATAAATAACCAGTCCTTCAATGCAAAGACATAGATGTTCACCCACAAGAAACAACAGTAAACGAGGAGCCATGATCTCCCCAAATGGACAAAACAAAGACAAAACAAAAGAAAAGAAACAAAAACTGACCCTAATGAGAGATCCATATGCCAGCTTTCTGACCAAAAATTCAAAAGAGTAGTTTTAAGGAAATTCAGTCATCTCCAAGATAATACCGAAAAGAAATTAAAAATTTTATGAGTAATTTAACAAAGAGATTCAAATTTTAAAAAAAACAGAAATCTTGGAACTGAGAAACACATTTGCTGAACTAAAAAAAATTAGTCTCTTAATAGCAGAATGAACTAAGCAGAGGAAAGAATCAGTAAGCTGGAAGACTATTTGAAAATACATGAAGGAGAAAACAAGATAAAAATAAATAAAGATCTCCTACAAGATATAGCAAATTACCTCAAAAGACCAAATCTAATAATTATTGGTGTTCAAGAGGGGGTTGAGCAAAAGCAAGGGGTAGAAACTTAGTTGAATAAATAATAACAGAAAATTTTCCACAACTCGAGAAAGACATAAGTATTCAGGTACAGGAAGGTCAGAGAACACCAAACAGATTTAACCCAAATAAGATTTCCCTAAGGCATACAATAATCAAACTCTCAAAGTTCAAGGACAAAGGGAATTCTAATACCAGCAAGAGAAAAGAAGCAAATAATATATAAAGGAGTTCCAATTCATTTGTCAATAACATTCTCAACAGAAACCATTCAGAACTAGATGGAGTGCAATGACATTTTCAAAGTGCTGAAAGAGAAAACACTTCCATACAAGAATACTCTATATAGCAAAGTTATCCTTCAGGTACGAAGGAGAGATAAAGACTTTCCCAAACAAAAGCTGAGAGAATTCACTAGCACCAGGCCAGACTTACAAGAAATGCTAAAGAGAGTTTTTCAATTTGAATGAAAAAAAAAAACACTAATAGGAAAAGAACTGAAGATAGAAAACCCACTGGTAAGATTAAGTACATGGACAAACCCAGAACTCTAATACAGTAACTGTTGTGTGAAATCCACTCATAACCCTAGTATGAAGCTCAAAAGACAAATCTATCAAAAACAACAATAGCTACAGCAAACTGTGAAGAGACAAGCAGTATAAAAATATGTAAGTTGAGACAACTAAAAGCCAGATGGGGAGGGGGTAGACCTAAAATGTAGACCTTTTCATTTTTTGTTTGTTTCTATTATTTTCCTTGTGATTTAAGATAAGTTGTCATCTCTTTAAAATAACTTGTCATCTCTTTAAAATAACTGTAAGATGTTTTGTGTAAGCCTCATGAAAACCATAATGCAAAAACCTATAATAGATTCACTAAAAATAAATAACAAATTAAAACATCCTACCAGTGAAAACCATTTAACTAAAAAGGAAGACGGAAGAAGGGAAGAGAGGAGCTACAAAATAACCAGAAAACAAGCAACAAAATGGCAGTAGTAAGTCCTTACTTATCAACAATGACACTGAATGTAAATGGACTGAATACTCCAGTTACAAGGCACAGAGTGGCTGAATGGATAAAGAAATAAGACCCAACTATATGTTTGGGCATTTTGTTTGTTTGGTTGGTTCTGAGACAGGGTCTCTATCACCCAGTCTGGAGTACAATGGTGTGACCACAGCTCACTGCAGCCTCAACCTCCCAGGCTCAGGTGATCGTCCCATCTCAGTCTGCCACATAGCTGGGACTATGGGTGCACATCACCATGCCCAGATAATTTTTGTATTTTTTGTAGATACAGCGTTTCATCATGTTGCCCAGGCTGGTCTCAAACCAACTATATATTGCTTATAAGAAACCCATTTCATCTATAAAGGCACACACAGACTGAAAGTGAAGGTATGGAAAAAGATACTCCATGCAACTAGAAACCAAAAACAAGAAAAGCAAGATAGCTACATTTATATCAGATAAAACAGACTACAAATCAAAACCTATAAAAAGAGACAGAGAAGGTAAATATGTAATGATAAAGAAGTCAATTCAGCAAGAGGACATAATGATTATAAATATCTATGCATCTAACACCAGAACTCCCAAGTATGTAAAGCAAACAGTAATAGATCTAAAGGGAGAGATAGATGACATTACAATAATGGTAGGGTACTTCAATGCCCCACTCTCAGTAATGCACAGATCATCCAAACAGAAAATCAAAAAGGAACCATCAGAGTTAAACTACACTCTAGACCTAATAGGCTTCACTGACATTTACAGAACATTTCAGCCAACTGTTACAGAATACACATTCTTTTCATCAGAACATAAAACATTCTCCAGGATAAACCATAACTTAGATCACAAAAGAAGTCTGAACAGAGTAGAAATCATATCAAGTATTTTTTTCTGATCACAATGGAATAAAACTAGAAATCAATAGCAAGAAGAACCTCAGCAATGTCACAAACTCATGGAAATTAAGCAACAAGCTTCTGAACAACAAATGGATCAATGAGGAAATTAAGAAGAAAGCTTAAAAATTCCTTGAAACAAGTGCCAATGGAAATATAACATATCTAAATCTATGGGATGCAACACAAGCAGTGCTAAGGGGGACATTTATAGCAATAAACACCTACATCACAAAAGTAGAAAGACTTCAAGTAAACAGCCTGACAATGGGCCTTAAGGAACGAGAAAAGCAAGAACAAAGCCAACCCAAAGTTAGTAGAAGGAAAGAAAAAAATAAAGATTACAGCAGAAGTAAATTGAGACTAAAAAAAAAATAGAGAAGATCAATGAAACAAAAAGATGGTTATTTGAAAAGATAAACAAAATCAACAAAATTTTGTCTAGGCTAAGAAAAAGAGAGAAAATCCAAATAAATAACATCAGAAATGAAAAAGGAGACATAAAAACTGAGACCACAGAAATAAAAGCTATCATTAGACACTACCGTGAACAATTATATGTCAAGTAATTAGAAGACCTAGAAGTGGATAACTTTATGGACACATACAACCTACCAAGATTGAACCATGTAAAAGGTATAAAATCTCAATAAACCCATAATGAGTAACAAGATTGAAGCCATAATAAAAAGTCTCCTATGAAAGAAAAGCTCAGGACCTGATGGCTTCACTGCTGAGTTTTACCAAACACTTAAAGGAGAAAGAAATTGAAGAGGACATCAAAAAATAGAAAGATATCCAATGTTCATGGATTGGAAGAATTGATATTATTAAAATGTCCATACTACCCAAAGCAATCTACAAATTCAATGTAATTTCTATCAAAGTACCGATGACATTCCTCAGAAATAGAAAAAACAATCCTAAAATTTATATGGAACCACAAAAGACCCAGAAGAGCCAAACCTATCTGAAGCAAAAGAACACAACTGCAGGAATCATAATACTTGACTTCAAATTATACTACAGAGCTATGGTTACCAAAGCAGTGTGCTACTGGCATAAAAACAGACACATAGACCAATGGAGCAGAATAGAGAACCCAAAAACAAATCCAACACCTAGAGTGAACTAATTTTCAACAAAGGTGGCAAGAACATACATTGGGGAAAAAACAGTCTCTTCAATAAATAGTGCTGGGAAAACAGGCTATCCATACGTTAAAAAGTGAAACTCGACCCCTATCTCTTGCCATATACAAAAATCAAATCAAAATGGATCAAAGGCTTAAATCCAAGACCTGAAACTAGGAAACTACTAAAATAAAACATTGTGAAAATGGTATAGGACATTGGTCTGGGCAAAGATTTTTTGGGTAAGGTCTAAAAAGCATAGGCAGCCAAAGCAAAAATAGACAAGTGGTATCACATCAAGCTAAAAAGCTTCCGCACAGCAAAGGAAATAATCAACAAAGTGAAGAGACACCTATAGAATGGGAGAAAACATTTGAAAATTACCCATCTGACAAGGGATTAATAACCAGCATATATAAGGAGCTCAAACAACTCTACAGGGAAAAAAATCTAACAATCCAATCAAAAAATGGGCAAAAGATTTGAATAGATATTTCTCAAAAGAAGACATACAAATGCCAGGCTGGGCGTGGTGGCTCACGCCTGTAATGCCAGCACTTTAGGAGGCCAAGGTGGGTGGATCACAAGGTCAGGAGATCGAGACCATCCTGGCTAACATGGCAAAACCCCGTCTCTACTAAAAATACAAAAAATTAGCTGGGCGTGGTGGCAGGCGCCTGTAGTCCCAGCTACTCAGGAGGCTGAGGCAGGAGAATGGCATGAACCTGGGAGGCAGAGTTTGCAGTGAGCCAAGATTGCGCCACTGCACTCCAGCCTAGGCAACAGAGCAAGACTCCGTCTCAAAAAAAAAAGACATACAAATGCCAAACAGGCACACGAAAAGATGATCAACATCATTGATATCAGAGAAATGCAAATCAAAACTGCAATGAGATACTGTCTCACCCCAGTTAAAATGGCTATGTCCAAAAGACAGGCAATAACAAATGCTGGCAAGGATGTGGAGAAAAGGGAACCCTCGTATACTGTTGGTGGTAATGTAAATTAGTACAACCACTATGGAGAACAGTTTGTAGGTTCCTCAAAATAACTGAAAATAGAGCTATAACATGACCCAGCAATCCCACTGTTGTGTGTGTACCTAAAAGAAAGGAAATCAGTACATTGAAGAGATATCTGCACTCTCATATTTGCTGAAGCACTGTTCACAATAGCCAAGATTTGGAAGCCACCTAAGTGTCCGTCAACAGATGAATGGATAAAGAAAATATGGTACATATACACAAAGGAATACTCTTCAGCCATAAAAAAAGAATGAGAGCCTGTCATTTGCAACAACATGGTCACAACTGGAAATCATTATCTTATGTTAAATAAACCAGGCACAGAAAGACAAACGTCTCATGTTCTCATTTATTTCTTGGATCTAAAAGTCAAAACAATTGAACTCATGGAGATAGAGAGTAGAAAAATGGTTACCAGTGGCTGAGAAGGGTAGTGGGGAGGTGTGTGGGGGTGGGAGGTAGATGGGGATGGTTAATGGGTACAAAAAATAGCTAGAAAGAATGAGTAAGACCTACTATTTGATAGCACCACACTCTGACTATAGTGAATAATAATTTAATTGTACATTTTAAAATAACTAAAAGAATATAATTGGATAGTTTGTAACATAAAGGATAAATGCTTCAGGAGGTAGATACCCCATTTTCCCTGATGTGATTATTACACATTGCATGCCTGTATCAAAACATCTCATGTACCCCATAAATATATACATCTACTATGTGCCCACAAATTTTTTTTTGAAAAAGGACTAATGTCAATTTCACCCCAACTCTTCAATAAGACTGAAGAGAAGGGCACACTTCCAAACTCATTCTGCAAGGGCGGCATTACCCTGATACTAAAACCAGACAAGGAAACAATAAGACAAAATTATAGGCAAATATCACTGATGAATATAGATGCAAAAGTTCCCAACAAAACACTAGCTAACTGAATTTAACAATACATTAAAAAGATCATTCACCATAAACAATTGTGATTCATCCTAGGGATGCAATAATGGTTCAACGTATGCAAGTCAATAAACATGATACATCACATTAGCAGAACCAAGACCAAAACCATATAATCATTTCAATAAATGTCAAAAAACATCTAATAAAATTCAACATCCCTCTATGATGAAAACCCTAATCAAATTGGATATAGAAGGAACGTACCTCAAAATCTTAAAGTCCATAAATGAAAACCCACAGCTAACATCATGACGAACAGGGAAAAGTTGAAAGCCTTTTCCCTAAGATCTGGAACAATGCAAGGATTCCCATTTTTACTACTCTTATTCAACATAGTACTGGAAATCCTGGCCAGAGCAATCAGGCAAGAGAAAGAAAGGGAATCCAGTTTGGAAAGGAAAACAGTCAAATTACCCTTGTTTGCAGACGACATGATTTTATACCTAGAGAAACCTAGGCTCCACCAAAAAAAAACTGTTATAACTGATAAGTGAATTCAGTAAAGTTGTGGGTTACAAAATCAACATACAAAAGTCAGTAGTATTTATTTACATCAATAGTGAAAAATCAGAAAAGGAAACCAAGAAAGTAATGCTGTTTACAATAGCTACAAAGAATATAAAATACCTAGGAATCAATTTAACCAAAGAAGTGAAAGACCTATAAAAAGAAAGCTGTAAAACACTGATGAGAGAAATTGAAGAGGACATCAAAAAGTGGAAAGATAGTCCATGCTCATGGATTATCTGAAATTATCCAGGACTATGGAAGAATTAATATTCTTAAGATGACAACACTGCCCAAGGCAATTTACAGATTCAATGCAATTCCTATCAGAATACCAATGACATTCTTCACGGAAATGGAAAATAGACCCTAAAACGTATATGGAACCACAAAAGATTCTGAATCGCCAAAGCAATCCTGAGCACAAAGAACAAAGCTGGAGGCATCACACTGCCTGACTTCAAAATTTACTGCAAAGCTATTGTAACTGAGTCAGCGTGGTACCAGCATGAAAACAGACACATTGACCAATAGAACAGAATAGAGAACCCAGATATAAATTCGTGCATTTGCAGCCAACTGATTTTCAGCAAGGGCACCAAGAACACACAATGGGGGAAGGATTGTCTCTTCAGTAAGTGGTGCTGGGAAAACTGGATAATTATATGCAAAAGAAACTAGGCCTCTGTCTCTCACCACACACACAAGTCAAATCAAAATGGACTGAAGACTTAAATCTAAGACCTGAAACTATGAAATGACTACAAGAAAACATGGGGGACATGCTATATAACATTGGTCTGGGCAAAGATTTTTGGGGTAAGATTTCAAAAGCACAAAGAACCAAAGCAAAAATGGACAAATGTTGGGAGGCCAAGGTGGGCGGATCACCTGAGGTTAGGAGTTCGAGACCAGCCTGGCCAATATGGCGAAACCCTGTGTCTACTAAAAATACAAAAATTAGCCGGGTGTGGTGCAGGGCACCTGTAATTCCACCTACTCGGGAGGCTGAGGCAGGAGAATCGCTTGAGCCCAGGAGTCAGTGGTTGCAGTAAGCTGAGATCACACCATTGCACTCCAGCCTGGGCAACTGAGCGAAACTCCATCTCAAAAAAAAAAAAAAAAAAAAAAAGAAAAAAAAGACAAATGGGATCACATCAAGCTTCTGCACAGCAAAGGAAACAATCAACAAAGTGAAGACAAAGGGTGACCACAGAGTGGGAGAAAATATTTGGAAACTGCTCACCTGGCAAGGGATTAACAACCCCAATATATAAGGAGCTCAAACAACTCTATAGGAAAAAAAATCCAATAATTTGATTTTTAAAAATGGGCCAAAGATCTGAATAGATATTTCTCAAGAAATGTCTATTTCTTGACATTTGACATGACAAACAAATGGCCAGCAGGTATATGAAATAATGCTCAACATCACTAATTATCATGGGAATGCAAATCAAAACTGGAATGAGGTACCATCTCACCCCAGTTAAAATTGATTTTATTAAAAACAGTATCAAATACTGGCAAGAGAAAAGGGAACCTCAGACACTGTGGGCGGGCATGTAGGTTAGTGCAGCCCCCATGGAGAACAGTGTGGAGGTTCCCAAAAAACCAGAAATAGAACTACCATACAACCCATCTACTCCACTACTGAGTGTACGCCCGAAAGAAAGGACATCAGGATGTTGAGGAGATCTCTGCACTCCCATGTTTACTGCAGCACTATCCATAGTAGCCAAAATAGAGAATCAACCTAAGTGCTCACCAGCAGATGAATGGAAGAGGAAAACGGGGCACATATACACAGTGGAATATGGTTCAGTCAGAGAAGGGAATGAGATCCTGTTGTTTTTAGCAACAAGGATGGAACTGGAGGCCACTACGTTAAGTGAAACAAGCCAGGCTCAGAAAGACAGATCTCACCTCAGGAGCTATAACAGTGGACCTCATGAAGATAGAAAGTAGATTGGTGGCTACCAGAGACCAGGAAGGGCAAGGGGTGTAGGAATGAAGAGAAGCTGATTAGTGGATACAAATGTACAGTTTGAAAGAAGAAATAAGACCTAGTTTTTTCATAGATTTACTATAGATTACAATAATCTATTGTATATTTCAAAATAGCTTGAAGAGAAGAATTTTAATGGTTCTAGCAATAACGAAAAGACAAATGTTTAAGGTGGTGGATGTCCCAAGTGCACTGGTTTGATCTTTACAAAATATGTGAATGCATTAAATTATCACATTTAGCCTGAAACCATGTACATCTATAGTACATCAAATACATAAATAAAGTGATGAAACACCTGAATAAATGATGAAACACTGGGATCTTATGTAGAACAAAATAACATTGTTAGTATGGCAACTTTACATGCAATAAGTTTTAAATTTAATTTAATTCTAAGGCCAGGCACAGTGGCCATGCCTGTAATCCCAGCATTTTGGGAGGCTGAGGCAGGAGAATCACTTGAGGCCAGGAGCTTGAGACCAGCCTGGGCAATGTAGGGAGACCCTGTCTCTACAAAAAATAAAAATAAAAAAATTAGCTGGGTGTGGTGGCATGTGCCCATAGTCTCAGCTACTTGGGAGGCTGAGGCAGAAGGATTACTTGAGCCCAGGAGGTTGAGGGTGAAGTGAGCTCTGATCACACCATTGCACTCCAGCCTTGGTGACAGAATGAGAACCTGTCTCTTAAAAAAATGTTTATAAAAGTATAGATAAAACAATTTAGAAAAATACAAAGATTTGCATTATCAAATATAAAATACATATTACAGAGCCATAAAAATAAAAAGAGTGGTATTTTTACAGAAATCAACAATAAACAAAAACCAATGCAATAAAGTAGAACCTCCAGAAGCAGATCTGTGGCCATTACACAGACAGCCCCACGAACACAGCAGAAAGGATGAATGCGGCAAACATAGCTGGGAAAGCACTATTTTGGATCATAGAGACTTGAAATCTCTTTTTTTTTTTTGAGATGGAGTCTCACTCTGTTGCCCAGTCTAGAGTGCAATGGCGCATTCTCGGTTGACTGCAAGCTCTGCCTCCGGGGTTCGAGCCATTCTCCTGCCTCAGCCTCCCGAGTAACTGGGACTACAGGCGCCCGCCACCATGCCTGGCTAATTTTTGTATTTTTAGTAGAGACAGGGTTTCACCATACTGGCCAGGCTGGTCTCAAACTCCTGACTTTGTGATCCACCCGCCTTGGCATCCCACAGTGCTGGAATTATAGGCATGAGCCACCACACCCATCCGAGACTTGAAATCTTTTAAAGCCCCATGTCTGCGGCGTCTCTGTTGAAAAATCCTTTTCCACTGCCTGGGTAGACAGCTGAGCCTCACACGGGGCCTGTGTTAATATCTTGGGTCACACCACAGCCTGGAAGTGACTGCCTCCCGCCAGCCGTGCCTCTCCAGGGCCCCAGGAAGATGTCCATGGAGCTTCCCGGGCAGCCCCCCTCCGTTTCCCGTGGGGAAGAGCGAGGAGACATGGGCTTCACCTTCCCTCTGGTCTGAATAAATTTAATAATAAATTTATCCCACAGCCATAACATTTTCCACCATCCAGAACCAATGTTTATATCACTGAATATGGCAACCTTGGAGTTGGAGATAAATGCTTATAAATGCTTATAGGCCGGGCGCATAGCTCACACCTGTAATCCCAACACTTTGGGAAGCCAAGGGGGGGATCACAAGGTCAAGATATCGAGACCATCCTGGCCAACATGGTGAAACCCCATCTCTACTAAAAATACAAAAATTAGCTGGGCGTGGTGGCACACACCTGTAGTCCCAGCTGCTCGGGAGGCTGAAGCAGGAGAATTGCTTGAACCCGGGAGGTGGAGGTTGCAGCGAGCCAAGATCCCACCACTGCACTCCAGTCTGGCGACAGAGGGAGACTCTGTCTCAAAAATAAATAAATTAATTAATTAATTAATTAATTAATTAATACTTACAATAAAGTTATTCTTTCCTTGCTTAAAAAAAAAATAGCCTGCATGAAGGAGAGGCAGGTAAGACAGACCAGGCCACAAGAAGCCCTCGTGATTCACCCTCACCATGGAAATCCCTCGCAGGCCGTGCAGCGGGACGGAACACACTGCTCCTTCTGTGGGACGCACCCTGCCGTGGGGCGGTTCGCACGTGGTTTCCTGCCCAGAGCCACCCCTTACGCGCGGCAGCTGCAGCTGCTTTCAGGCTACAGCTGCAGAGCTGCATGGCGGGGGTGGAGGCCGTAGGGCCCCGAAGCCGGAAATCTGTAGTCCCTGGTCCTTCACGGGAAACTGTTTTCTAGACCAGGGCGGAAAGAGCCAGACTCCTTCATGAGGACACTTTTTAACCTCAAGCACTAAAGTTTCATCTTCACATAGGGGTGAGAAGGTGCAAACACACACATGATTTATTCCTATAATGCACGATTCCAGAGAAAACGTGCCCCCTGCTCACACCCTCTCATGCTGGCACACCACACTCCAGCGCTGCCTGTAGCTTGTCACATAAAACCTCTGAGCAAGTTTGTTTGCCAATGGGAATAAAAGCAGAATGTTTCCAAAAGAGGCTGAAATGGTCATAACCAGGTGTCCAAGTGGTCAACTGACCCTACAACACACTGACCACGATGCCCCATGGCGGGGAAGACGCCTGATATTTCACAGAGCTCCATGCTGTTCCCACACACACACCAGCTCACCTGGTTGCCAGAACCCTCCGAGGTCACAGGAGGGGCTGTCCCAACTTTAAACATCAGACCAAGATTAAAGAACTTCAGGATGAGGCATGGGGGAGAGTCAAATGGGACCAAAACCCAGCCCTCCACAGCTCCAGCTCCATGTCCTAAAGGCCCCTCAGCATGGCCCAGTAGCCACTGAGTATTTTCCAGTGCAGGTACTGCCCTGGGCGTCTCCCACAAAACGCCTCTCACACCATGCGGCAGGTGCATTCCAGGTTGCAGCGCGGATGTGGGGTCTGAGGCACGGCCCTGTGAGAGGGGAGCACCAGGCCTAAACCCACAAGGGCAGCAGGTCTGCAGCGAGGGGCCGTGCTGTGTGGGCGGTGCAGGCTTGGTGGGCTTCGTGTGCTGTGTGGTCTACCCTTGGGAAGACGCTACTGGAGTGCCTCATTCCAGCTCAGAATTCCCAGAACCTGATGGACAACCACAGGACAGCAAAACCTGTGTATAAAGCATGAGGGTTTCACACAAAACCTCACAGGCCTGATAGAAGAGGAATCTGTACCAACTTCACCACTTGAAGTTGGTCTCATCGTCCTTGCATATAAAATGGAAATACTTGTATTCTTCCATGGTTGCTAAAAAGATGAAAACGGAATATTTGAATACAATTGGCCCAGGGCTGAAAACATAAAAGGTACCATTCATTTCCCCAGCACGTGGAAGGCAGTGTCATTTCCTCAGCACGTGGAAGGGGCCTTCATTTACTAAGCAAACCACCTCGCGAGTGGGAGACACTTTCAAGTGCCCAGCACAGGACCGAGCACGTGGAAGGCACCTTCACTTACGCAGCGCAGCACCTACCACATGGAAGCTACCTTCATTTACCCAGCACAAGACCTGGCACAGGGAAGCTATTTACCGAGCACAGGACCTAGCTATTGGAGGCTGCCTTCATTCACCCAGCCCAGGACCTGGTGCATGCAAGCTATCACCATTTACCAAGCACAGGTCCGAGCTATTGGAGGCTGCCTTCATTTACCCAGCACAGGACCTGGCACGGGGAAGCTATCACCGTTTACCCAGCACAGGTCTGAGCTATTAGAGGCTGCCTTCATTTACCCAGCTCAGGACCTAACACATGGTAGACGCCTTCATTTACTAAGCACAACACCTGTCACACAAAGGGTACCTACATTTACTCAGCAAACCACCTAGCACCGGAAGAAGGCAGCTTCATGTACCCAGCACAGCACCTAGCTCAGGAAGAAGGTAGCTTCGTGTACCCAGCACAGCACCTAGCTCAGGAAGAAGGTAGCTTCATGTACCCAGCACAGCACCTAGCACCGGAAGAAGGTAGCTTCGTGTACCCAGCACAGCACCCAGCACAGGAAGGTGCCTTTACTTACCCAGCAGAACACCAGCCACATGGAAGGGACCTTCATGTACAGCACAGCACCTAGCAAAAGAAGCACCATCCATTTACCTATCACAATGCAGAAGACAAAAAAGGTGCCTTCATTTGTGCAGTCCAGTACTTAGAACAAGGAATACACCATGCACTTACCGGGCAGGATGCCTGGCACATCAAATATACCATTTACACGTAACTAACTAGCATATGACAAGCAAATCCCTCCATCCATCCTAGAAGATCACAAAACTCCTATCAGAAGCATTCATCTAAGGAAATGAATGTCAGGATTCAGTGTGGCCAGACTCCAGGGTCTGCCTGGGTGAGGATGATAGCCAGGGTGGTCAGTGCCCAGCCCTGTGTGGCCGTGAGGCCTGGACGAGGAAGGAGACATCCCTGCTGCCCCTCAGCAAGCGTCCACTGCCCCCCTCCCACCCATCACAAGGCTGCGTGCAGCTGCAGAGGGGCCCCTCCTGCCACGGTGGCACAGCCGGGCCTCAGTTGGCACCTGCTGCCCCTCATCTGACCCGGCCTCCACGATTTTACGTATCAGGACATCAATCTTGCCATGTCAAGTTTCTGATTTCAGAAACGTTAAAATGTTTTGAAAAATTCCATTTTGAATTGAAGACACCCTGTGGTTTGCTTTAGTTTAACCGAGTCTTCCCAGGCACTTCCCTGTGCTCCTGGAGTCAAATCTCTCCCAGTCCTGGGGCACTTCAGACAGGCCCTGGCCTGGGGCCTCAGAGGCAAACGCGCTGGCACTGTGTGCTGTGGCATGGCCCAGGGGGGCTTCTGCCTTGTCCCCTCAGTCCAACACCAGCTGCACGCAGAGACTGACCCTGTGGACACGCAAGGTGGGGTGGCTGAGAGCCAGGGCTATGGGACAAATCCTGGCCTCCATGGCACTCAGGGAAGCTGCCAGACCCTCCCAGGATTCTGCCAATGGCCGCCTCTTCCCATGGATGACACCAGGCTTCTCTCCTTGACAACAGAAAAGAAAGGCTCCACGTGGATTTTCCTGAAACTCAGCTCTCTGGGGAAAGCACACAGCCTGAGCCCCCACAGGACATCCATGATGGCAGCAGCTGCCAGCTCCAGGGGCAGAGGAGGGAGCTGGGGGAGTCAGAGTGAACCCTGCCCCCGTGGTGCGGTTCTGAGGCCGAGCAGGTGAGGGTGAATTTTGTGTGTCAACCTGACCGGGCCACACAGTGTCGAGATATTCAGTCTGCATGGGTGCATTTGGATGAGATGGATGTTTGAATCAGTAGACTCAGTACAACAGACCACCCTCTCCAATGTGAGTGGGCCTCAGCCGATCAGCTGAAGGCCTGAAGAGACCAAAGAGGCCAACCCTGCCCCAAGGAAGAGGGCACTCCTGCCTGACTGCTGGAGCTGGGACCTTGGTCTTTTTGGCCTTCGGATTTGAACTGAATTGGCCTTCCTGGGACCTCGAGCTTGCTAACTGCAGATCTTGGGACTTTTCAGCCTCCACAATCTCAGGAGCCAATTCCTTATAATAATCTCTTTCTATCTGTCTGTTTATTTATCTCTCATTATCTGCCTGTCTATCCAACCATCCATCCATTTATTCACCCACTGACCCTGTCTATTTACCTATTATCTATCTGTCCCTCTGTCTATCCCATTGGACTGTTTCTCTGGAGAACCCGGACGAATACAAGTGTGCGGTCGAGAGGCACATTTGTTTGGATGAGTAACTGTCTCATTAGCAAATGCTTTTTTGTCCACCTGCACACAGCAAGCACTTAATAAATGTCTGCTTCTCAAAAGAACTGCTGCTTCCGGCTCTGCTGCCAGCAGGTGCACCTTTTGGCAGACAGCCAACCCTAACTGCACGTCCAGAGGCTC
Organism: Homo sapiens; assembly: GCF_000001405.40. NCBI lineage: Eukaryota > Metazoa > Chordata > Mammalia > Primates > Hominidae > Homo > Homo sapiens. The sequence goes on along the minus strand of NC_000006.12, from coordinate 169,864,874 downwards.
TGCCCTGCTGCCGCAGCTCCAGCAAACCCTGCTGGAAGACACAGGTGCAGGGATGCGAGGCGGGGCTCCCAAGCCGCCCACCCAGCTGTGACTCCACCGGCGAGATCAAGACGTCAAGAAGCAACTGGCCCGTGCACGTGCCATCACCACAGTGGCAAACCAGGTGAGCACAAATGCATCTGTGCTCAGACCCAGCAGGCATCTGAGTCCTGCCGCACAACTCGCCGGAGCCTTGTCATTGACCACTGTCCACACAGTGTGCCCAACACTGACATCCTTCCTCAACAGGTACTTCCCATGCCCCGTGTTTGATTCATCACCCATCTGCAGGTGAGGCCAACGCGACCTGCAAAGGGATGACCTGCCCGTGGCCATGGGCCTGGGTTGCTGGGATCCAATTCCTGTTTGGCCCCTCCTATCCCAGGGGCTCCTCTGTACCAGCCCCCAACCCTCGCCACTGACAGAAGCTCAGTCTGGCTGTGGTGAGCGGCCTCAGGCATGTCCCCCACAGGTTCTCTCTGTGGACCTGTCTCTCCCGGCTGCAGGGGGAAGGAGCACCAGGGAGGGGGCGTGAGGGGTGGGGGTTGCTGGTGAGACATGGACTCTGTGGGTTCCTTGAGAAGCTGTGAGCACCAGGATGCCATGTGCACTGGACACAGCCCAGCCTCGGCTGCCTGTGCATGTGTTTGTGCAGGTGTGCAGGAGTGCAAGTGTGAGTGTGCTTGAAAATGTGCGTGTGCAGATGTGCCTTGTGTGTGTCAATGCTTGAGTGTGTGCACATACATGTGTGAGCGTGTGCATGTATATGCCTGTGTGTGTGCCTGTGTGTGGGTGTGAGTGTATGTGTGCATGTATGTCCATATGTGTTTGTGTGTGGTGTGTGTGCTTGTGTGTGTGCATGTGTGTTTATATGTGTGGTGTATGTGTGCATGTGTGTGGTGTGTGGGTGAGAGTGTATGTGCATCTGTGTTTATATGTGTGGTGAGTGTATGTATGTTTGTGTGTGGTGAGTGTGAGTGTGTGAGTGCATGTGTTTTTGTGTGTGGTGAGTGTGAGCATCTGTGTACATACGTGTTTGTGTGTGGTGAGTGTGAGCATCTGTGTGCATATGTGTTTGTGTGTGGTGAGTGTGAGCATGTGTGTGCATATGTGTTTGTGTGTGCGTGTGTGTGCATATGTGTTTGTGTGGTGAGTGTGAGCATGTGTGTGCATACGTGTTTGTGTGTGGTGAGTGTGAGCATGTGTGTGCGTATGTGTTTGTGTGGTGAGTGTGAGCATGTGTGTGCATGTGTGTTTGTGTGTGGTGAGTGTGAGCGTGTGTGTGGGTGTGAGTGTGTGTGCATGTGTGTTACTGGTGCCAAGGGAGCCTATATCAGTGGAAACACAGTGTTGTCCTGAAGCCGATCCGGAAGATAGGAAGGAAGGCCGGCCGGGTAAGTGGGGCCACAGCCTGCTGGGCCACTAATTGAAGACCCAGGTACCACAGCGACCTTGGTGTCTCAGCCCCAGGGATGTGTCCTTGGGCCTTGGGGTGAGTGACGGCTGCCCCGGCCAGCAACCTGTGCTGCTGCCTGACCTGCGGAGAGGCATCGTCCCTGCCTGAGCGGGAGGCTGTGGGGTGGGGGTGGGAGGGAGGAGAACTCAGCTGGAAGCCGGAGCGGTGCCAGAGCAGCTCCAGGCAAAGGCAGGTTTGCACCTGGCCATGAAGGAGGCTCCAGAAAGGGTGGCAGGGACGGAGGGAAGGGACCCTCAGCGCCCCACCCAGCTCAGCTTGTTTGCAGTATATCGCTACAAAGGACCGTCACTGGCCCACCCCTCACCTCCAGGCAGCCCAGGCACACACAGGGAGGTGCTCATCCGAGAGCGTGTGCACGGTTGTGCAGGTGTGAACATGCCAGGGAACATTCTCTGTGTGCTGACGCTTCACTCAAGGCCAACCTCCCTGCTGCTTCCAGATAGGCCCATTTCCTCTTCTCAACCTGAGAAAGCATTTGTGTGGCACTCTGACCTTCCCCCAAACACCTACCCACCCCACACACTCACACACAGACACCACAGAGACTGAGGGCACGCCGAGTGTGCAGGTGAAGGGTAAAGACACCCGTGAATTCTGTTCGCAGCTATGCTGTTTGGAACAAGGGCATGGGGCCATCTCCCAAGTCTGCGCACTACAGGAGTGAAGCCAGTGGTGCTGAGGGTGCAGCCAGGAGCCAGGACCTGGGGCTGCTCCCAGCTCTCCAGAGCGCCCACAGCATTTGTCCTTAGAGACTGGCCAAGGCCAGCATGGCCCCTGGTTTGATGACAGGGTAGAAAAAAATGCAAATGAATGGCTGGATTTCTCCCCATTGCTGGGAAACCAGACTGCGGAGACACAAAACCCCGGGTACACCCAGGATGGGGGTCACACAGACAGAGCAGAGCAGAAAGGGTTTTCAGAGCTGAGTTTCTGTGTGTGTTTATTGTTGCTAAAAATAAAAGCAGGAAGCTAAACATAAGAAGGCAAAACGATTTCCTCAGGCCAAAGTGTCGAGATCTGGAGCTGCTTTCCCATAACATTGCGTTCTCCTTGTTAAATATTTAAAACGTAGACATGAGACAGATGGAGTGAGGTGTCCACACCCATGAGAACATGTGTGTGATGGTACAGTCATGTATTAATGTATGTAACTACACTCGGTTAATGTTTATCCAAGGATAAACGAAACAGCCTACAGAACATTAACAACCCATTACTGATTATACAACGCAGCGCGTCAAAACCCAGCATCCTCTCAGCTAAAAGAAGTGGGTGACTCCAGTGAAGGCAGACACTAACCTTTCCTGGCACTTCCAGCCAATGCTGCCCATAGAATGGGGCACCATGACTGCGAGAAGAGTTAACTCCTTCAGGATTTCTCCCGCTCTCCCTCCCTGGCTGACTCTGCTCTTCGCTGACCGTCCCCACCTCGGGGCCAGCACCAGCTCTGTGTCCCCATTCAGGGAGTCTTTTGTCCCCAGTGGTGAGCACAGCACAGTCACAGCAAGTGGACGCATGCTCCCTGCTTGGGGAATTGCTGCCCACAAATGGCGGGCAAGAAGCACAGGGGCTCCTCGTGTGTTTTGTTTCGCAACTGGCCCGTCATGACTTGGGGCTCCAGGACGGGTTGTCTAAATGCTCACATCTTCCTGGAACCCACGTGCTCTTTGAACAGGATGTCATTGATTCTCAATGCTCAGAAACTGCTGTCATCTTCCGTGGACATCACAGAGACACAGAGCCATGCAGGCAGGCATGATGGGCACAGATCCTGCTATTCCCCCAGGCACATCCCAGGAAAAGGGTCGACCAGATGCCAAACCAAAGACGTCGGCATTATTGTCACCTGCTTAAAATCAGAAGCCCTGCTTAATTCCAGATCTGTGGCATGGCAGAGCCCAGGAATCTGCATTCGGCAAACATGTGTGATCTGAATGCACAGTGAAGTTTAGTAACCACTGGCCTAGGGAAGTCTCAAATGTAAGAGATAGGCACCAAATCAAGACTGTTAAACATTTAACATTACACGTCTTCCTGAAACACTGGTGAAAGCTACAAACCATCCTCAGAATTATTCCTTTACAAAGGAATTTATATTTTAAACTATACCAATTTATATAATTTATATTTTAAACTATTTTATATTTTATACTAATTTATATTTTAAACTATACCAATTATCATTAACTACGTAATTATATCTTAATATATAGTACCGTGTCTCACTTGCTATTTTGGGTGTCCCATAGAAATGACATTTGGAGCCCCAGTCTAAGGAAAACCAAGCTCAAAATTTGAATGTTTACTGTCATAGGGTAGATCTTTAAACCTAAACTCTAGAATTATTCCTCAAGTCATCCAGAAAAGTAATAGTCCATTCTCACACTGCTATAAAGATACTACCTGAGACTGGTTAATTTAGAAAGGAAAGAGGTTTAATTGACTTAGTTGCTCATGGCTGGGGAGGCCTCAGGAAACTTACAATCATGTGGAAGGCTAAAGAGAAACAGGCATCTTCTTCACAAAGTGGCAGGAGAGAGACAGCAGGGGAAACTGCCACCTTTAAACCATCAGATATCGTGAGAACTCCCTCACCATCATGAGAACAGCCTGGGGGAACCGCCCCCATGATCCAATCACCTCCCATCAGGTCCCTCCCTCGACACTGGGGATCACAATTCTAGATGAGATTTGGGTGGGGACACAGAGCCAAACCATATCAGGGGCTCCTGAGGGATCCCATCTCATTCTGCCTTTATTCAGGGGAGAGGAGCAAAGTGAGAGACAGTGTGGGAAAAGCCCCATCTCCAGCTACCTGAACCGGGCATGGCTGAGGCTCATGGGGGATGCACAGGCCTTGCCTGCCTCATTCCTGTGGGGATCTCGTGACGGGCAGGGCTCTGCACACTGAGGAGCACCTGGAGGGTCCTCACAGATGGGAAACTCAGGCCTCACACTGAGTTTCAGCTGCTGCACAGTGAGGTGAGGCGGGTGCTGTAACAGCAGCACTTCCTGCCCACATGACACGGAAGGAGCATTTCCTGTTTCCAGAAGGTCCCTCTAGGCTCTGGCTCAGGGATCCACACGGTAGCTCCCGCATCTCCAACACGAGACTTCTGAGGTCACAGCCGACAGGGAAGGCGGATGGGGCCAACAGGCTCCCCAGGCCCTGACTGGACGTCTCATCAGCTGGACCCCCGGAGCCCCACCTGGCTGCCCAGGATGCTGTGACCAGGAGAAGATGCAGTCACGGCTGCCCAGCCCCACAGATGATGACAGCGATGGTGGGGGTATGCACCCAGCACCTGTCAGCCCCACCAGGCCCCGTGCTGTGCCCTTCCACACACAGCTCACAAACACGGTTACTCTTTCCGTCTACATGGATGAGGAAGAGGCGGCTCGGATGGGCAAAGAAGCTGCTCAGCACTGGGCTGCAAAGAACCTGAACTGGGACTTGTAAGACAGGACCTGCCCAGGTCTTAAATGCAAGGAAGGGCCAGAGCCCTCTGCACAAGCACCAGAAGCCCCTCCAGAGCAGGGGAAGATGGAAGCCACAGCCTGGAAAGATGGGGCCGGCAGCCACAGAGGAGCAGGGAGAGACAGGGAGGCAGCAGTGAGAACTCCGGGAGTCACAGAGGAGAAGGGGAGAGACAGGGAGGCAGCACAGAGGAGAAGGGGAGAGACAGGGAGGCAGTGGTGAGAACTCCAGGAGCCACAGCCCACCCCAGAAATGTGGGGTGTCAGATGAGCCTGGGGCCAGCAGAGCAGGAGGGCTGGAAGTCTGGGTGTGGACAGCTGGGGACCCTCCTGGCAGCTGCTCCAACCTGGGTCTCTGATGCTGGGGCTATGCTCTGGGGAGCCTGTAGCTTCAGGGGATCATGAGGCTCTGGAGCCCAAGAGGAAGGGCCATGTAGACACCAGCACTGGGGCTCGCGGGCTCAGGGCCGCAGCAGATGGGGGCGGCTGGGGTCCTTCATTCCTTGCCCCGTCCTTAACTCCCCTCTTTCAACAGCTGCACAGGGAGGAAAACGCTGATTCACCTCTGGGCAAAGATGCTGCCCCTGCCCAGGACAGCAGCCAGCGGCCCACCCAGTCCGGGGCACACTCTCTGTGCTGTGCAGTGTGTGACTGACAAGACCCTTCCCATAGGCACATAGGCACGCCGCCCCAGGGAACATGTGTACACAGGTCTATATGAGTCAGGAGGAGGCTCAGGGCCTGCAGAAAGCAATGCTTGAAAAACATTCCATCAAGCAGGCTCTGCCTTGCAAAGCAGGAGGAAGAAAACTGCGGAGGAGAGGAACTCGGCCCTTCCACAGCTGCCCCCTTCCAGCTTCCCGGCCACTGTGCCTGAAGACACCCTGGGCCACCTGGGCCTGGAGGATGCCGAGGGTTGGCGAGGGGCCCTGAAAGCTGGGGCAGCCTTTGGCCTCCTGTTGCCCGCCCCGGCACGCCCCCACCCATGCAGAGATTCTCCAGGTCTGGCCCTTCCTCTGGTCCTGGACTAAGAAAGCTGGGTGGACCCATTCCCCGAGCCGGCCAGCCCCAGCAGGCCCTGGCACAGCTCCACACACAGACCCTGACAGCTGTGGGAGGCGTGTTGTCACACATGAGGAAGACACGCTTGGCCTCCTTGCCCTTCGGCCTCCTCACCTGGGAAGTGAGAATGGCGACCTTTACTGCTATGCCCCAGCATGCGGGCAGGGTTTAAACGGGGAATCCACAGAGCACCAGGCACCCGGCTGAGGCTCCTAGGATGTGGCTTTGTGTGTAGGTGGTGGTGGGGGCTCCTGTTGTGGCAGCTCCACCCTCAGGAGCTCTCCCTCCTGAAGCTCTGCGGCCAGGTCAGCCTCAGCACGCCAGGCTCCCTCCACAACCCAGGGCCCGTCTGTCCTCAGATCATGTTGTGTCTAACACCAGGGCTTCAGTCACCACCTTGAAACAGGTGATGCATGAATCCACTTCCCAAAGCCAGGCCGCCGGCTGAGCATCATGCCAGTGATCCCTTCCTTCCTTCTATGAAAGAGAATCTCATCATTGATCCCCAGCAAATTCTCACTTGCTGTCCGAGAGCAAGCTCAGCACTCTGGCAGGAGGTGCAGCAGCCTGAGGAGCATTCACAAGCTCTGTGAGCTCAGCACTCTGGCAGGAGGTACAGCAGCCTGAGGAAGTTCAGCACTCTGGCAGGAGGCTCAACGGCCTCAAGAGCATGCACAAGCTCTGCAAGCTCAGTACTCTGGCAGGAGGCACAGTGGCCTGAAGAAGCTCAGCACTCTGGCAGGAGGCACAGCGGCCTGAGGAGCATGCACAAGCTCTGCAGGCAACTGCCAAGTCTCCGTGATGCCTCTCACAAGTACTGTGACCTTGTGCAGGTGTGCTGCCCCCAGCCATGTGCCTGACAGTCTGAGAATTGTGAGTGAGCATGTAAAGTACCAAGCACACTATCAGGCAGGACAGCTGCTCCATGAGTGAAAACTAAACATCAAAATCCAGCTTTAAAAATGGAACCACAGTGAGTTAGTTTTCCAGTGCCCTAGAAAGGTGTCATATCCCGGGTCTGCTGAATTACAAATGGTTGATTACTTCTTTTATGAGCAAATTTTGAAATAATGAAGACATACAGAATTCAACTTAGGAGACTTCATACATCCTCTCCCTCTCCCTCTCCCTCTCAGTCTCCCTCTCTTGCGGAGCCTGGACTGTACTGCCATGATCTTGGCTCGCTGCAACCTCCATCCCTCGGGCTCCGGTGATTCTCCTGCCTCGGCCTGCTGAGTGCCTGGGATTCCAGGCATGTGCCGCCACTCCTGACTGGTTTTTGTATTTTTGGTGGAGACAGGGTTTCACCGTGTTGACCGGGCTGGTCTCCAGCTCCTGGCCTTGGGTGATCTGCCCGCCTCGGCCTCCCGAGGTGCTGGAATTGCAGACAGAGTCTCGCTCACTCAGTGCTCAATGTTGCCCAGGCTGGAGTGCAGTGGTGTGATCTTGGCTCGCTACAACCTCCACCTCCCAGCCGCCTGCCTTGGCCTCCCAAAGTGCTAAAATTACAGCCTATGCCCGCCCGCCACCCCATCTAGGAAGTGAGCAGTGTCTCTGCCTGGCTGCCCATTGTCTGGGATGTGAGGAGCACCTCTGCTCGGCCGCCACGCCGTCTGGGATGTGAGGAGCGTCTCTGCCTGGCCGCCCATCGTCTGAGATGTGAGGAGCGCCTCTTCCCGGTCGCCACCCCATCTGGGATGTGAGGAGCGTCTCTGCCTGGCCGCCCATCGTCTGGGATGTGAGGAGCACCTCTGCCTGGCCGCCCCATCAGGGAGGAAGTGAGGAGCGCCTCTGCCCGGCTGCCCCGAATGGGAAGTGAGGAGCGCCTCTGCCCAGCCACCCCATCTGGGAGGAAGTGAGGAGCGCCTCTGCCCGGCTGCCCCGAATGGGAAGTGAGGAGCGCCTCTGCCCGGCCACCCCGTCTGGGAGGAAGTGAGGAGCGCCTCTGCCCGGCTGCCCCGAATGGGAAGTGAGGAGTGCCTCTGCCCGGCCGCCCTGTCTGGGAGGAAGTGAGGAGGGTCTCTTCCTGGCTGCCCCAAATGGGAAGTGAGGAGTGCCACTGCCCAGCCGCCCCATCTGGGAGGTGAGGGGCGTCTCTGCCCGGCCGCTCTTCATCTGGGAGTTGAGGAGTGCCTCTGCCCGGCCGCCCCATCTGGGAGGTGGGAAGTGCCTCTGCCCGGCCGCCCATCATCTGGGAGGTGAGGAGCACCTCTGCCCGGCCGCCCATCGTCTGGGATGTGAGGAGCGTCTCTGCCCGGCCGCCACCCCGTTTGGGAGGTGAGGAGTGCCTCTGTCTGGCCGCCACCCCGTCTAGGAAGTGAGGAGCGCCTCTGCCAGGCCACCCCATCTGGGAAGTGTACCCAACAGCTCCAAAGAGACAGCGACCATTGAGAACGGGCCATGATGACGATGGCGGTTTTGTCGAAAAGAAAAGAGGGAAATGAGGGGAAAAGAAAGAGAGATCAGATTGTTCCTGTGTCTGTGTAGAAAGAAGTAGACATAGGAGACTCCATTTTGTTCTGTACTAAGAAAAATTCTTCTGCCTTGGGATCCTGTTGATCTATGACCTTACCCTCAACCCTGTGCTCTCTGAAACATGTGCTGTGTCAACTCAGGGTTAAATGGATTAAGGGCGGTGCAAGATGTGCTTTGTTAAACAGATGCTTGAAGGCAGCATGCTCGTTAAGAGTCATCACCACTCCCTAATCTCAAGTACCCAGGGACACAAACACTGCGGAAGGCCGCAGGGTCCTCTGCCTAGGAAAACCAGAGACCTTTGTTCACGTGTTTATCTGCTGACCTTCTCTCCACTATTATCCTATGACCCTGCCACATCCCCCTCTCTGAGAAACACCCAAGAATGATCAATAAATACTTAAAAAAAGAAAAAAGGAGACCTCATACATAATATATATATACAAGATTTAGTAGTTCTATCCTTTCTGTGTACCAAAAATTTTAATATATAAATATAATTTGTGTAAATGCTACTAAAATTTTTGATATACAGAAAGAAGTAGCTACTTACAATTATTGCCAACCAGAACATAATGACAATTTAAAGAGAATTGAACACATTACTTTTTATGATGGTTACTGAAGGCTGACTTTAAACACATTTGTGCTATCAAAATGTTAAGTTCAGACCCATTTATTTGAGAGCATTGAAATAATTTATTTATGGAAATGTATTTGTATTGTTTGCCTTTGAAAAAGTTTTGATGTAGTTGACAAAAAAATAGACAATGCAAATGGGAATTCAGAAGGAAATGGGTAAGGGAAATATGGGAGAAATTGGCTTTTTAAAAAATAGAAAATCAACATAATCCTTATAATCATAAATCAAATTTGGCTTTGAGCTCCCTAGCAGCCAAGGCAAAAATGTAAACATGGTTTATCACAAAACATTTAGTTTCTATTTCTCAGGAAAAGAAAATATATTCTTAACACTAATTTTCAAGAGAAATCTCTCACATGGTACAAATATAGGGGCATTAGGTGCTTCACTAAAGCACAATTTTCTCAACAACCATTTTAAAGTAAATTAAAAACTTGAACTTACATGGCTGTGTTTGAAGAAAACTGCTGTTAAAGTTCAGGAAATAATACTCAAGTACAACCATTGAAAGAAATTCCAGACTGGGTGTGATCGTGAATTTTGTGTCACCTTGGTGGGCCATTATGCCACCAAGTTGTTGTTTGGTCAAACACCAGTCCAGTTGCTGCTGTGGATGCATTTGCAGATGTGATTGACAACTACAATCAATTGACTTTGAGTAAAGCAGATTCCCCTCCATATGCAGGTGGGCCGTGTCCAATCAGTTGAAGGAGTAAAACCTGAGTAAAAGTAAAACTTAGGTTTCCCAGAGGAGCTCTGCCTCAAGACCATAATACAGAAGCCCGCCTGACTCCAGCCTCCCTGCAGATTTCAGATATGCCAGCCCCCACAACCACATGAGCCAATTTTTAAAAACAAATTCTTTGAACTGTGTATCCGGTTGGTTCTGTTTCTCTGGAGAACCCTGACTGATAGGCTGGTTGTTCAGAGATTCAGCTTCCAAAAGACCAAACCCAAGGCCTCAGCACAGGATGCCTGGGGTGTGCTGGAAGGCACCTCCGTCAGCACAAGCCACCCTTGCTGAGCACCTTTCCCCGCGGCCAGGCCTTAAGCACAAGCCACAGAACAGGCAAGCTTTGAGGGGCAGGGGTTCTAATCAGGCTACACACCTGCACCTCTCAGTGACCAGAAGCCATGAGATCATGCAAGTAAAAAGCGGGTGAGTGGCCACGGCCCCACTCTCCACCCTCAGGGAATGACCAGCAAGAACCCAAAGCCCTGGGATGCAGTCAGGATGCTCCAGGGAGGCAGCTGTGGGCTGGTCCCAGCACCAGGATGAGAACCGGACCCCACCGATGCCACCCTCACCTGGATGACTTTCAGAATAGGTTCATCGTGGCCGTGAATGACATTTTCCCACATCATCACCCAGAAAGAGTTCCCAGCAATACATACCCCTGGGCAGCTAAACAAGCTGACCTATTGCCATTACTTATCTTTGAACAACTACCTGCTTCCAAAGCCAACATGGGCCCAGGGCAGCCCTGTGGTCACTGGGGCAGGCAGCTACCCAGACTGCCCGAATCCATGGCGCCCTGGGCTTTACATTTCATAAATATTTTCAACATTATCTCCTATTCCTATGGTCAGAATAGAGAGTAGACAAAGCGAATTCTAAAAGCATAAAACTGAATCACATGATTTTAGCCCAACGTGTTATTCATTTGCTTTCAACCCATCAGAGCAGGTTCAAAGCAGACCTGGCTGGTCCTTAAAACGGCCCAAATCCATGTGTGGGGTTGTACCCCAACACCAAGCACACCGACGGGGCCCAGCGCTGCCGGGGCGCATGCTCACTGCAGCTGAGACGTGAGTGGATTTCCCATGAGGAGGTGCTGAAACCTTCTCTCCCCCACACACTCCTCCAATTATCCCTTCACAGGGCCTGATTCCCATGGGAACTGAGGGCTCCCTCAGGGAAACTGCCGGCCTTTCTGTAGTTAGCATTCAGACACACGACCCAAGAGAAGGATAGAGACAGAATGCAAAAAGGGGAGAAGGAACCCTGGAGCAGGAGGGATCCTGGAGAGCCCCATCAGACAGGGCAATGAGCCCAGATCCAGCAAAGAGCAGCCGCGCCCGAGCTCAGGGGGTGTGGGAGCTGTCCCAGAGCTGCCCTACAAAGTGTGCATGCTCCAGGGCACGTGTGTGCACACACATGCACACATACACAAGCAACATATGCACACATGTATACACATGTGCACAACACACATGCCAACACACCTACACACAAATGGACACATGTATACACACATGCCAACACACCTACACACAAATCCACACATGTATACATGCATGCCAACACACCACACAAATGGACACACATATACACGCATGCCACAAATGGACACACGTATACACACATGCCAACACACCTACACACAAATGGACACACGTATACACGCATGCCAACACACCTACACGCAAATGGACACACGTATACACACATGCCAACACACCTACACACAAATCCACACATGTATACACATGCCAACACACCTACACACAAATCCACACATGTGTACACATATGCCAACACACCTACACACAAATCCACACATGTGTGCACACATGCCAACACACCTACACACAAATCCACACATGTATATACACATGCTAACATATGCACACACCTGCATACAGATGCACACACACATGCACACACCTTCACACACATGCATATGCACAAACCACACACATGCAGATAGACATACATGCACACATGGGTACACATGCACACACCACATATACAAATGCACAAACCAAGCATGTGCACATATCTACACACATGCACACACCCACACACGTGCACATGCACATATACACACATGGCTGTGTGTGTACTGCAAGAAATATTTTTATAACATCTAAACCTTGGAGTTCAAGAAGCCCGAGCAGCCCCCCATGGGGTCCTCCTCCCTGGGAGCCTCTCTTCATTTTGGAAGAGATGGACAAGGGCCGGTACTGTGCAGAGTAAGAACATCAGTCAGCAGAATATGCTAGGAGGGCTCACACCTCCGGGGGAACTAGGCCCAGAGCAGCAGGGCCTACAGAGTAGCTAAGTCCCCAGGCAGGGGTGTGGCTCAGACACAGAGGCTCATGGCAGCGGCCCTGCTCTGATGGCAGAGATACTCAGGGATCACAGGGAATGTGACCTCCTTGCCACATGTGTCAGCCTTGGGAATGTGGGAACAGATTTACTCCAGTCCCTCTCCTTCCCACCTGCAAGAGCTTGTGGAGGTCCTAGAGCTCTGTGACTTTTGAGGAATATCAGGAGGAAAAGTGGGAGCTGAGGCCAGCAGAGGAAGAGCCAGAGGCTCTGCTGAGCAGCGAGGGGGAGATGGGCAAGGCTGTCCTGGCCTCACTACTGCAAGGCGAGGCGGATGCCCGGAAGGGGAGGGCTGGGCCATGCGAGAGCCGGCGGGAGGCAGCCGGGGAGCAGGGCCTACAGACTTCGGGTGGTGGCAAGGGCCCCAGAAGCTACCTCCTGAGTCATAGGGCACTGAGCCCCCAAAAGGAGCTCCCAAAGCTCTTTCTGGGTCAGTACCTGGAGCAGGGCAGGCCTGCAAACAAGGAAACCTGATGTCAGACGCAGGACAGCTATGAGGAGGAAAAGCTGCTGCAAAGGAAACACAAAAATGTTTCTAACAAGAAGCGAGAGTGAGCGGAAATCAGCCTCAGGAAGGACCCATTGTTATTTAAGATCTACGCAGTCGTACAAGCCAATTTGATGTGATGTTTGTGGTAGCTGAGTCATAACCTCCCCCGGGATATGGCCACATCCTAATCCCCAGAACCTAGGATTCTGTGACCTGTGAGGCAAAAGGGACTTTGCAAATGAGATTAAGTTAAGAACCTTGAGACAGGAAATTATCCCGGATTACCCTGGGCCCAGTTTACACTGGGTAATCACCAGGGTCCCTGTAAGAGGGAGGCGTCAGAGGGAAGGCCCCACGGTGGCGGAAGCGGAGGCTGGAGCCACGGGCTTTGAAGACAAATGGGCCAGGCCCCTGGAAGCTGGAAAACAAGGAAACGCACACTGCTGTGGGGCCTCCAGCAGGAACCAGCCCACCAGCACCTTGACTTTGCCCAGTGAAACTGAGGCTGGACTTGTGCTCTCCAGAACCGTAAGATAATATGTTTGTGTTGTTTTAAGCCACTGCATGTGCGGTAACTTTTTACAGCACCAACAGGTAACTGATACAGAGTCCTCATCGCTTTATTTTACTGAATAGTTAAAAAGCCTCAAATGAATTTGTCAGTCCACATTCCACCTTAGTCACCTAGTGTTACTTTTTAAGATTTTATTCTTTATAACTACACATTTTTCTATTGCAAAAGTTTTTAGAAACCTATGCCATAAAATTCAGAAAGACTGAGCTCCTTCCTCATCCTTCCCAGAGATAAGTCTCCATGCGCACAGGGTCCCCGTCCTTCACCATAAAAATGGAGAACTACTGGCAAAACAAACCTCTGGTGGTATCGTTATTCCAGGCTTCCAGGGAGAAGGCAAAACAGCCTGGGCTGGAGTTACTCACATCTGCATACAGCAAACTTAGTCCCAAAGCCGCTGGAGAGGTGTGTGCGCAACCCTTGTCTCGGCGGACAGTATTTTCTCTCTTGCACTTTGGAAAGGACTTGGGTCCACTGTGGGCTATTCCCTCCGACATCTGTGTCCTGCCCTATGCTCTGGGCATGGGTGGAGCTGGAGCTCCTGCACACAGCCCGGCGGCTCTCCGGCCTCCTCCCCATTGCCAGGGCCTCACGTGCACTAGTGACCCTCCTCGCATTCCCACAGGCACACGCCCTAGAGGAACGAGCCCCTAGCCAGGTTCCCACCAATGGTCGGTTCCATAATGGGCACATTCTCCAGTGGTTGCAGGGCTTGCTGTGTCTGAAACACCAGCAGATCCTCATTCAAGGAGTATGGGGCAGGGGAAGGAACAGGCTTGAAGGAGAGGAGGATGAGCTCAGAATTGGACATTTTAAGTTTGAGTTATTATGTGTTATCTAAGCAGAGAAATCCCGCACTCTTAGATACCATTGGATCTCAAGACAGAGAGCTGGGGAAAATATATAGACTTGGGAGCCATTAGCATTGAGTTCTCAATTAGAGTCCTAGGAATAAATGTGATAACCAGGACGAAAGTGTAGGCAGGGGACAAGGCGGTCAAGGATGGGATTTGGGGAAATGCCAACATTAAGGCCCAAGAAAAGCGTCAGGTAAACAGAGTGAAAATTCTACAGGAAGAATGACCCAGTGTCTTCAGTTAAAATGCACTTCACAGGGGTAGGAAACGGCTGAAGACTGAGGACTTTCAGAGATGTGCCGTCCGGAGGCCAGCTGGGTGTGCTCAGAGTCCAACGCAAGCACGCTGCACATCCTTGGTCAAAAAACCTTCAGAGGCCACCAGAGAAAGTGAACACGGACTGGGTATTGGATGACATTAGGGAATCATCACTAACTGTCAGGTGAAATGACTACACTGCGGTGATGTGAAGAAGAGAACCCATTTGCTAGAGACACGAAATAGGTGGAAGAGATGACATGTTGTCTGTGATTTATTTTAAAGCATGTGGGGACACAGCTGGAGGCAGGGTAGCAGGATGTGGCTGATTTTTCAGCCTGGACGATGGATTCGCTCTCCTTCTCTCTTTACATTTAGATGTGCGTGAGAATTTTTAAGATAAAGGATTTTAAAAGAGCAGATTTACTGTCACCCCTGCAACTGAGGCTGTGTGGCCTCTAAAGTCCACAGTCCGTGGTTTCTAACAGGATTTGTGGTCTCCAGTTCTTCTTCTCCAGGAAGACAGCCCATCCTGTTTCCCCAGCACTCCATTCTTCCATTTAAGGGGTGCAGACAGCAGCCCTGAGCTCAGCATCCCGTGGCCCCTGCACAGACACTGGCACCTCCATGCAGGCTCCTCCCCAGCCTTGAGATGCACAAAGCCAATTTGAGGCTGCAGCTCGGAGATAGCATCGGCCCAAGTGGACAGGCGGAGAGCCAGCCTCTCACCGCTCCTTAAGGCGCCTCTGCACCCTTCATCTGCCCAGGTGGACAGGTGGAGAGCCAGCCTCCCGCCACTCCTGACGGAACCTCCACTCCCTTGACCTGCCCACGTGGACAGGCGGAGAGCCAGCCTCCCCCAACTCCTGAAGGGACCTCCATGCCCTTGACCCCGTGTCCTGAGAGCTGGAGCACAACGGCCACCATGACTGTTACGACCTAAAAAGAATGACGCTGCATTTTGCCAGAGGTTTGCAAACAAAAGTGAGAGTCGGAGGAATGTGGGAGAAGAGAAGGAGGAATGAAAACCAGGGCAAGAAGGTCAAGATGGAAACCTGTGGCTCCGTGACAAACGTCTTTGAACGAGCTCAGCTGTGCCTTTCTAGGCCCACGATCAATAGGCAGCCGTTTGAACGGCCATTGATGAGCAAAGGTAACAGCTGCTGAATGTGGTGGCCAAGCGGGCCTGTGGGTTTGGGGTGCTGCCGGCTGCTGTTTGGGAGATTTGTTACACATGACAAGTGACACGCAGGGCCCTGTGTGGCCAACAGAACAGGCTGCCCTTGGGCGTGGCTGCAGAGCTTCGTGTGGAGCTCCGGCAGTGCCTGTCCTGAAACCAACTGAAGGTTTTTAAACACCAACCACCATTGCTGAGAAGCCGGAGCTTCGTTCTCACTACACCCAGATAGTGGTGGAAGGAGAGGCCAAAATAGTTCTGTGAAGATGGGCACTCAGGCCAGCCTCATTCTGCCCAAGAAGGGATTCTCCATGAAAGGTGAGGCAAGAAGACTTAGATCCCTTAATAACCACCGGCTAAACATGAATCAAAAGTGTTTATGCGATTGAGTTTCGAGGTGA
This sequence comes from Homo sapiens, assembly GCF_000001405.40. Taxonomy (NCBI): domain Eukaryota; kingdom Metazoa; phylum Chordata; class Mammalia; order Primates; family Hominidae; genus Homo; species Homo sapiens. Next base: position 169,848,832 of record NC_000006.12, on the reverse strand, counting down.
AAGGGGGGCAATGGTATTCATGCAGCCAGAAACCTTATCTGGAAGAGAATAATGAAGAAGACAAAATGGCCGGGCACAGTGGCTCACGCCTGTTTTCCCAGTACTTTGGGAGGCTGAGGCAGGCAGATCGCCTGAGGTCAGGAGTTCCAGACCAGCTTTACCAACATGGAGAAACCCCGTCTCTACTAAAAATACAAAATTAGCCGGGTGTGGTGGCACATGCCTGTATTCCCAGCTACTAGAGAGGCTAAGGCAGGAGAATTGCTTGAACCCGGGAGGCGGAGGTTGCCATGAGCTGAGATCGTGCCATTGCACTCCAGCCTGGGCCACAAGAGCGAAACTCTGTCTCAAAAAAAAAAAAATAATAAGTTGTAAGCTTTTGTATTGTATCCACTTGGTATTTCTACTTTTGTTAAATTGGGGGAAATACTAACATTCTCAACCTATTTGTGGGTTGCCTTCAGAATTCTGAAAGTTGGGAGTCCCCGAGCAGTGCCAATGAGTGTTGTGCCTGCAGAGGAAGTCCCATCCCTCCCGCAAGCAGCTGTCTCTAACAAACCCTGCCCAGCTGTTTCCCTGCGTTGCAGACACTACAGGTGATGGGCAGAGGGTCAGGCTCCAGAGGGGAGACCACGCCAACAGGGTGAGTGCAACAGGACCCCAGGACCAGCAGCCGAGGGATCCAGCATGGTCTTTAGTGCAGCCTCCTGCTTCTGTGGATGAAGCCTGCGTGTCAGCCATCTATGGCTCCGAAACAAAGTCACCAAACACTTAGCAGCCTAGTCAACAAATATTGATGATCTCACACCATTTCTGAAAGTCCAGGATCTGGGAATATCTTTGCTGGGTGGTGCTGACTCAGCAGTGAGTTGGCAGCTCAATGAGGCAGACGGAAAGGATGAGGAAAGAGATATCCTAAAGTGACGGCAGCTCCTCACTGTCATTATGTTCCATCAAGTCACTGCCAACATTGAGTCAGTGAGTCCCGAACCATCACTCCTCTGGTGAATCTCCTGAAAGCCTCTGGTCCCATTCTCATCAGCCAATCAATACATAAGCTTGTTTTATGTGTGTTTCTGTTAAAAGACACCTGATTTAATATGGGTTGTTAACACTTGTACTAGTCCGTTCTCTCAGTGCTATAAAGACATACCTGAGACTGGGTAATTTATAAAGAAAAGAGGTTTAACTGACTCACAGTTCCACATGGTTGGGGAGGCCTCAGGAAACTTACAATCATGGCAGAAGGCAAAGGGAAAGCAGACACGTCTCACATGGCGGGAGGAGGAAGAGAGAGAGAGAAGGGGGAGGTGCTACACACTTTCAAACAGCCAGATCTCATGAGAACTCACTCATGATCACGAGAACAGCAAGGGGGAAATCTGCCCCCGTGACCCAGTTGCCTCCCGCCAGGCCCCTCCTCCAACACTGGGAATTACAGTTTCTCCTGAGATTTGTGCAGGACGCAGAGCCAAACCATGTCAACACCCAAGTCACTGCCTAGGGCAGCTTCTCAACGTGAGGCACAGCACCGCCTCCCCTCACCCAGGAAGACTAGCAACGGCACTTCCTCACGGCGCTTGAGGCTGTGTTTAACAGCAAAATTTCTAACAAAAAGCATGAAAATGTGAGACTAACTACGGTGTGGAGAGCACTTGTTTACAGCATGAGCTGAAACCAGAGGGCAGTGGCCACTCTGCTGGGAACCTGGGCCTTGGAGACACAGACTTTTCATCATTCTTCCGATGTCATCAAAACACCATAAAAGCACCAAGTACTGATTTGGGGAAAATGAATTCAGCAAGTGGGTAGTTTCACAAGTGGCGAATCTGCAATGACTGAGGGTCAACTGAGGTGCTGCTGAAGGGAGGCGTGTGAAGGCCGGGCGTGAGCTCAGGTGGGGCCAGGCTGCTGCGGCCTCTTGATGAAACAAGGTGCTCCTAGCTTCGGCCTGGAAGCTCCGTGAAGGTCATGAGTGCTTGGCTGAGCTTGACCTCTTCAGGAGGCTCCTCAAGGCACTGGAGAGCCAGCCCGAGTGACTGACAGCCTCACACGCATCCACCAGGCAGGACACACAACCTCCCAAACACATTGGCGAACCTCAGCTTTGACTGACAGGTGCTGAGCCTCTGAGAGCACATCATGTCCTCTCCGGGGCATCAGGGAGCTCCCACAGGCTCCTCTGCAGCCAGCAAATCCCATTTCCTGGGGAGGATAGAGGTGTGCCTTGCTCCCTTCCTCTGACACCTGTGGCCCGTGTGCTCCTGCACCTGGAAAAGCCTCATCCCATCCGGCTGCCAACGCTAGGCTGATTCCCTCGAAACATGCCTGGTGTCCCACCCTCCTTTGGTAATGAACGCCAAATGGGGCTGCAACTCAAGACCCCCAGCAGTGACAGCTGAGTGTGGGGACCACAGATAAAAGGGGCTGGGGATGCCGTACCCCTGGGGACTTGCTGGGAGGTGATGGAGCAGGGAGGGCTGCATGTTGATTCCCCAAAATCATAAGCCCTGGAGGCAACCATTCAAGAATGTGTGGTTTCCCCAGGCACAGGGAGCAGGAGAGGGTGCAAGGTGCTGTTCCCTGGGGCGACCTCTGCAGGGCCCCACACCCTCCTCAGCCAATGAGAGCTCACCCCGAAAGGATCAGGGTCCTGCCAGCCCCGAAAGAGGTGGAACCCGGCCCTTCCCTCCTAACCACTTCGTGGTCTCTCCCCAGTACCCCCCTTATAATAAATTCCATGACCGGCGCCAGAACACGGCACTGCTGCAGGCGCCACGCTGCTTCTGACAGCCAAGGCTCCTCAGGAGAAACGCAGCCCTGGGGAAGAGATCACGCACACGCATTAATAAATGTGTGCTTGTCATCAGTGGCTTCCATAGAACTTCTGGAGGGGAATGACAGTGGATCACGTTTCCTGGGCTCTGGCAGACACTAACCTTTGCATGTTACTGTCTTACATGATCTCTACTATAACCTCATGGGATCTGGAGATGGGAGCCCCGGTTGCAGGTGAGAAGCTGAGTTCGGTGGCTCAAGCTCACTCACAGTGGTGCGGTGGGGATTCAGGTCCAGGTGCATCTGAATGTGGAGCACACAGGCCGAATCTACTCCTAAGGGGCTGTCGGTCCAGCTTGCCACAGTTCCTACAAGGACCTGTGAGCCTAAGTAGGTGGCTCCCCACCTGTAACACCTGTTTCCTGTCTGTACACCGGTCTCGGAGGCATCATCCCCAGTTTTGGTCCCTGATGAACAGGGCCACCGTGCTCATTTTCTCCCGAAAATATCCACCCTGATCACTCTGTCCACCAACTTGGTGAAGCAGCGGGTGTAACTTTATGTTCACAGGAAGGCTGGAGAAGAGTGAGAGAAGAGGAAAGACAGGAGTAAACAAAGCATTTCAAGCAGGCAGCTGAGCACCTCGGCCCTGCAGGAGGCTCAGACACGCACCTGTGTCCCTGAAGTAACCATGCTGGTACCAGCTGAAGAGCTCTGAGCTCCATTCCAGGGCGTACAGTTCCAGTGCCCTACCTGCCATGGAAGGAAAAGGATGGGCAGCATCTCGGGCCGGGGTCCTTAAATACTGGCTGCTTTGGGGGCAGAAGAGGGAAGAGGCAGCAAGAGGGCACCAGAGCTTGTCTCCAAGGAGCAGCACTGGGAGCCAAGCTCCAGGAGGGCAGGTGTCCAGGCCGATGAGGAGGTACGGCCTGGCCGTGGCACCAGCCAGGTGAGAGCATCTAATCAAGGCAAGATGGGAGCTGTGCCAAGCCTTCAGGACCCACTCGTGGAAGTCCACTACCTCAGAGCAGCCCACAGCCTGTCAGCGGGGGCCTCCCTCACAGGCTCACGTCTGCCAAGATGCCTTCATTGACTTTGCAAAAAGGAGGAGTGATACGGCAAGTGGGACATCCACAGGAAACACGTCCACACTTACGAGCTGCGTAGTTCAGTTACCCAGCTGCCAGAAATCCGTCAGTCCCAGGGATTCCGTGAGGCACAAGCAAGTTGATTGGGTCTGCTTTCTTCCGTTACCACACCATAAATCTGTAGGCTTTTCAGCACACATGCAAATATTTTCTATAAAACTAGTTTTTATTTGCATATTAAAATTCTGCTTTGTGCTTTGTCTTCAATGAGTTCCAAAATATATTTGCATAATATGGCATTTGCCTATTTTATTCTAGCTATGTACATGCGATTGCCTCCACCTGGTTTCTATCGTAAAGCATGGTTGCCTCCACCTGGTTTCTATCGTAAAGTATGCAATCTTGCACACCTTTTTCTCTCGCTTTTATTGTAGGTTTTGTTTTGGCTGGCCTCGGGTTTTGTTGTGGGTTTTGTTTTGGCTGGCCTCGGGTTTTGTTGTGGGTTTTGTTTTGGCTGGCCTCGTGGTAGCAGGTACAGACATCATTCTAATCCTGCTGGACGTCGTCTTTTTTTTTTTTAACTTTAAGTTCTGGGATACATGTGCAGAATGTGCAGTTTAGCAGCCATAAAAAGGGTGAGTTCATGTCCTTTGCAAGGACATGGATGAAGCTGGATGTCGTCTTTAAAGAGTGACACTGCCGTTCCTTTTGGTGGGAAACCCCCACCCAGAGTGAGCCACACCCCGGGATGTTTCCTTTTTCACAGCCGTGGGCATTTCTTGCTGGGGTGGCAGCTGAATGTTGCTCTGGATCAGTACAGTCCTGCACTGGGGATGGAGGAAAAGAGACCTGAAAACGTGGAAGGAGGGACTGAGACCATGTTCCAGGTCAACATTTCTCTCATCATCAAAACTCTCTTAGAAGACGGAGCTGCCCTGTGCACATGAAATGGCTCCATTTACAGTGATCTTGTTACACTCAACTTTTTGAGAACTGTATACTCACTAAGTAAAATGAGGAGCATCTGAAATAGTAACTATTGATGAGAAAGGCTCATCACGTTCATATGTCCTTGTCACGCCAACCCTTTCATTAACATACTGAGTCAAGATGGTGTCAGTGGCACAAAACCATCACTACAGTCCCATGACAATTCGGCTGGAATTAAACCTTTCACTAAACAATGTCGGCTCTCTACCCAGAAAGTGGGATCAAATACAGCATGATTTGGGACATAGTTTCTATGTCACATGGATGGATGGTCCGCTCTGTGTAAAGGCAATTCACTGGCTACAAGCTAGCCTCCTTCACATCCAGTCTTGCCCAGACTTGGAAAAAATGGCCTCAAAAGTCAGAAGCTAGGTAGTCATCTGTGAAGTTACAGCTATTGAAATAATCACTTTAAGGTTATAAATTATATAAAGAGCCTGAACACCTATGCCACTCGTCTTGACAGACAATAACCTAGTAATGTCAGCTCTGCATCCCCTAAACCGACAGCCCAATCTCATGCAACCCAGGCCAAAATGGTACCTTAGCTGGAGAATTCTCATTCTCCAGGCAGGAGATGGGGAGACCCAGGATCCCTGTCATTTCCTGTTTGCTGGAACAGTGATGGGGATGCAGCCCAGGCAACTGCCTGTAAGTAATCCTTGAGCAACATGACTCGAAGCTGCAGAGTGGCTAATGAGGAGAAGGATGGCTACCTGGATGCTTCCTCAAGAGGCAGTTTAGCTGTGAAGCTTCCAGATGGCTTCATTGGGCCTGCCCGGGCAGGGACCCCTTCCTTCCCAGAGGGGCTCCGAAGGTCCAGATTGAGCACACCTTGGGTGCAGCTTAGACCGGATGTAGGTGTGACTGCAGCTCACACCTCTTTGCTTGGGAAAGGTGATGATGAGACTGGTCTGCCACATGGCCAGCACAAGGTTAGTCTGAGTTTGGGGGTCCAGTCAGACTTAGTGGTGATTAAATAACTCTACAACCTAAGACAGCTGTACTCCTCTCCTTGGACTAGCCCTCATAATTCCATCTTAGTGGCTCAAGATCTCATTAGGAAGGATCACAAAGTCTCACAAATAGATAAATTTAAAGGTTAAAAATGAGCTAACTGAGAATAGAGGAGAACATAGGAGCAGCGAGGCCACGAAAATAACCTGAAGCTAATCCATGATTAATTTTCAAATGTCTGTTGAGATTCTGACATGAGAAAAGCAATGTATCATTCAACAAAATATATGACAGTCCCTGTTCTCAGAAAGTATTACTGGGGATAAGTGAAAGGCAGATGCAGATATAAAATATATATTTTATGATTTAGTGTTAGTATTTAAGTTCCAAAGGAGTGGTTTAAACAATAACTGGTATAACCATTCAAAAGAGGGGGAAAGAATTACAGACTCACCTGGTCAGAAATAACTTCTCAAGGAGATGAGACTTAGAAGGGAACTCAGTGCAGCATTGGGATTGGCAAAGAGTCCACAGAAAGAACAGAACTAGTGAATTCAAGGGGCCGCTGGGAAGGTGTCCAGGTCTAACGGGGAAGGAGCACAGGGACTCGCCAGACCAGGGCGGACCATGGAAGTGGGAAGCAGCCGGAAGGAGGGGGCAGCAGAGCTCTCTTCCCCCGAAAATGTGTATCTCATCTTCCAGAGTTCAGAAGAGTCATCCTCAGGTTTGATTCAGTACAATTAAATAAATGAACATCTATTGAGTATCAGTTGACAATTGCTTCCCATTGGACAGATTAATCTCTAGTAAAACAAAATAAATAGGGTGGGAACTGTCTTGGTTTTCTGAGCCTGACCGCTGCAGCTCCAAAAAAGTACTGGCTTAGGAAGACAGCCACGGGGTGTAGGATAAAATTCTTGTCCTAAAAGACACCGATCCTCCCCGGGGACCAGAAGGGCTGCCGCCAGCGACAAACTGCCACTCGCTTTTGAAGACCTAGTAAATTCAACTGATGGATTGAGTCCACTCAAAATATACAGTTGTGTTTTAGACACTGCAGCAACACCTGCAGTCTCTTGTGAAAGGAAAATAAATCTCAGGATCCCAAAATCACTAAACCTAAGGGAAGTCAAGCTGGAAACTGTGTTGGGCAAACCTGTCTCCCATTCTATTCCTAAATAAGATGGCTGAGAAGATTTTTAACAAGCTACAGACCACCCTCACAATTTGACCACAAGGAAATTCCTCGTGGACGAAGGACAGACAGAACTCAGTCATCCCTCTGTTCACATGAGACAAACACAGATCGGAATGCTTCCTCCGCCCTGTTGTTTCACTCAGCCAGACTAAGGCATACGTAACTATTCCAGTAAATTGTGCATTCAGTGAAAGGCTAATCAAAAACTCAAAAGAATGCAGCCATTTGTCTCTGATCTACCTATAACCGGAAGCCCCCTCCCTGCTTTGAGTTGTCCCATCTTTCTGGACAGAACCAATGTACATCTTACATACATTGATTGATGTCTCATGTCTCCCTAAAATGTATAAAACCAAGCTGGGCCCCGGCCACCATCACCAGACGTCCTGAGGCTGTGTCACGGCGCGCCCTCAACCTTGGCAAAATAAACTTTCTAAATTGACTGAGACCTGCCTCAGATATTTTGGGTTCACACTATTCCATCAGCACTCCCTGAGAACATCTTTCTTCCAAATTTCCAAAAGATTACAGAATACATGAGATAAAGATGGCCCTGCCAAAGGAGGACTGCAGTAAATTCTGATCTGGGTTCCGGGCAGGCCTGGGGCCTGCAAGGCCCAGCCGTCCTCTCTGGAACTCCCTGGGTCCCTGGAGAATGTGGCCTTTCTCCTTCCTCTCAAGCCACCTGGGTGTTTTCTTTGTCATGAGAGGAATCATCGTCCTGGGGACCAGGTCTTCCCAGCGAGGAAGGTCGTTGCTAAGTTCTGATTTTGCTTCTTCAGTTTCTTCATTGGCCACAGAAAGGGAACTAGTTCCAATAGTGTGCTCTCCGCGTGAAGGTCACCAGTGGTCAGCAAAGAGGGGTGGGGGTGGGGACACAGCATCCTCGCCGGCGTGTGACACGTGCCTGGCCACTCTCTGCTATTCAGCATTTATTTTGCTAATAAAATATTATTATCTGATAATAAAAAGATGATTATTATTTGCAGATGTCATCATGATTGTTCTGGAAAACCCTGGAGAATCAATGGAGAAACTAACAATTGGAGAATACAGGAGAGGAGTGCCATATTCTTTAGTAAACAGGATTGGCAGGTGAAGATCAGCAGGACAGCTGCAGTGCCAGGCCCTGAGACGGCCATTGTCCTGGGACACCAGAGGGCCTGCAAAAAGAGTGAAGTGGCTGCGGCATGGAGTGGGTGTAGTGTGGAGTGGGCGTGGTGTGTTGTGGGCATGGTGTGGTGTGGGCGTGGCATGGGCGCGGCATGGAGTGGGTGTGTTGTGAGCATGGTGTGGGTGTGGTATGGCATGGGTGGGCATAGTGTGGAGTGGGCATGATGTGGAGTGGGCGTGGTGTGGGTGTAGTGTGGAGTGGGTTCTGGTGTGGAGTGGGTGTGGGTGGGCATGGCGTGGAGTGGGCGTGTTGTGGGTGTGGTGTGTGGGCGTGGTGTGGTCTGGAGTGGGCGTGGGTGGGTGTGGTGTGGAGTGGGCATGGTGTGGAGTGGGCATGGTGTGGAGTGGGCGTGGTGTGGGTGTAGCGTGGAGTGGGTTCTGGTGTGGAGTGGGAGTGGTGTGGAGTGGGTGTGGGTGGGCGTGGTGTGGAGTGGGCGTGGGTGGGCGTGTTGTGGGCGTGGTGTGTGGGCGTGGTGTGGTCTGGAGTGGGCGTGGGTGGGCGTGGTGTGGAGTGGGCGTGCTGTGGAGTGGGCATGGCATGGGCGGGGTGTGGTGTGGGCGTGGTGAGTGGGTGTGGTGTGGTGTGGACTGGGTGTGGGTGGGCGTGGAGTGGGCATGCTGTAGTGTGGGCATGATGTGGGCATGGCGTGGAGTGGGCATGATGTGGGCATGGGGTGGAGTGGGCATGCTGTAGTGTGGGCATGATGTGGGCATGGCGTGGAGTGGGCATGGCGAGGCCCTGGGAGAGAAGGGCAGCCAGCAGCACAGAGGCTCGGCAGCCAGGCGAAGAGGGCAGCTTTACTCAGGACCAACGGGGACTTACTGATGGTTTGGGGCAGGAGAGTAGCGTGAGTTGATCTGCGTATTTCAAAGATCCTTGTGGCTAGTGCACCCGTGTCACTTGTGGCTAAGTCTGTGTCACTTGCCACAGCAACCATTGGCAGCTGGCACGGGCATCTGGCGCTCCTGGGAGGGTTTTCAGTGTGGTCCTCTGCACACCTGCTCTGGGGTCCCTTGGGTGCTGATGAGAAGCGCAGCTTCCTGGACCTCACTGTGCAAGGGCCAAGGGACCCCAGAGCCCATGCTGGCCACCTCCTGGCCTGCCCGCATGGCTGGGGCACTGCCCTGAATTAATTTCTAAGTCACTGAGATGAGGAGAGCAGGTGGTGTGGAGACCAATGCTCCGCGACTGCTGTCTCCACTGGGAATTCCGTGGCCGGACTGAGGCTTGAGGAGCAGGACTTGGAACTGCGTTATGCCTCAGGGTGCTCCTAGGTGGGCGTTGCAGGGGATTCGATGGGGGCAGCAGGGGTGTGAGGGAGACAGGGGCGTCCATACGGGAGGCCTTTCCCAAGCGCCTTTATGAGTCAGGGAGACCCAAGGTGTAAGCGCAACACCTACAGGCGGGCTCTGGGACTCCGGGAGGCTTGGGCTCAGGGCAGCTGCACGGTGTGGGGCGGGGTTTGGGTTTCGGCTCATGTCATTGGGCCTAGCGCGTGTTCAGCATCAACTCACGCATTGTCCGGAGCTCTGGACGCATCGTTATTACATGCATCAAACAGCCTGCGCCACGGCCCTCACGCTCAAAGCTACTTTGAAAACGGAGTCTGGGCGCTTTAACATCTGGGAAGCTTCTCGCCCTCTCCTTAGCCTGCGTCACCCTCTCCCTCGCCAGTCCCTGCGCTCCGGCATCCATCGTTTCACCCTCTTCATCCCTGCCTGCTCCGCCCAGAGCTCTGTGATCACGGATGTCTCCATCTCCTTTTCATTTCAGTGACTTCAGACACTGAATACCCCCAAAGACTCTTCCCAAATCTCCCAGTGACCTTCCCTGGAAAAGGGGCTCATGTGCTGGGAGGTGCGGGCTGTGGCCCTGCATGCAGATTCCAGGACGTTCCTGCCCTTGTTTCGGGAGCAGCCCCATGGGGCCATCGCGCCAGCCGGGCATTTAATTAACTAATTACAACCTGCTGACACAAATCCTTGGAATATGGCCTTCAGAGTGCAATCTTTTCCTTCCAATTCATTTATCATGAGCCCCCACATGCAGCTGAGAGGCTCTTCCCTGAGGGGATGCGGTGGTAATTGGTCCTCCCACACGAGGTCCCCGGCTGGTCTGTCAGCACCACAGCCAAGCGTCACCATCTGTCAGCCCGTGCTGTGTCCCCACCTCGCGTCCTGCAGCCGGGGGTGCAGAGGGTGACAGAGGGAGATGGAGATCGTTTTTAACGTGATGAGCGTGACAGTCACCCGAGAGCGGTCACAGACAGACCCACCCAGGACAAAGCTGTCAGGAGGCAATGGAGAGTCTTCACCCGTGTTCCATCCACGGCCTTCTAACGGCCGGTGCTGTGGAAATCTCATTCAAGCACACAAGCTGATGAGAAGTCAAGATGACTTCGGCCATGGCACCTGGCCCCAGAAGAAGGCTGGATTTCTAATTAGGACGGAAGAAACAGGAACTGCCCCTGCTCCTTGGTTTCTGCTCCCTGGGGGCCTGCTGCCTGGAAAGCCCCGCGGGGGGCTGGCACGAAGGGTGTTTGGGGCAGCGCCCCAGCCACGTGGGCAGGCTGGGAGGTGGCCAGCACAGGCTCTGGGGTCCCTCAGCCCCTGCATGTGAAGTCCAGGAAGCTGCACTTCTCATCAGCACCCAAGGGACCCCAGAGCCGGTGGGCAGAACACAGGACACCTGTGTCAGCTGCTGATGGCTGCTGTGGCGGGTGACACAGACTCAGGCCTGTCCTAGCATTCTGTGGGCCAGAAGTCGGAAATGGTCTCACAGGCTGAAATCAAGGTGTCGGCAGGGCTGTCTCCTGGAAGCTTCAGGGGTGACTCCTGTTTTCCAGCTTCTAGGAGCCGCTGCGTTCTGGGCTCATGGCCTGTCCTCCCTCTTCAGACCAGCAATGGTCAGTACAGCCCTTCTGATGTGGGTGTCTTCCGAGGTGAAGGGCCCTGGGATCACAGCGGCCAGCCTGACAACCCAGGATCAGCTCCCTACTTCAGGGCGGGCGCTTGGCTACATTAATTCCAGCTGCCTGAATCCCTCTTTGCCATGTGCAAGACACATTCCCAGGATCTGAGGATTAAAACACAAACATTTTGGGGGCCATTATTCTTCCCACTACACATCCTAAGAGGATTTTAAGGTGAAAGCATCCAAAACTGCAGAGGAAAATGATGCCAGTAGCTGGCGAGAATGACCCGATTTCTCTGTGGGATTGGCCCAAGAAGTCTGTGCTTTGCACACAGTAGGTGCATCATAAAGATTTATTGTTGGGAAAAATTACGACAGTCTACAATGAGGACAAACATTTCTTAGGCTAATATATGACTAATAATAAATCAGGACATGTTTTTAGCTCAAATAAAGAATGTTCTTCCCAATTTTTTCATTCTTTTCATGTGCTGTCCTTATAATATCTATGGGGAAGTTTCTTCCAACGTTCTGCTCATTTTCTAAGTTGGGTTGTTTATTTTCTTATTGTGGAGTTTTGAGAGCTCTTTTTATACTGTCAGATATCATGATTGGAAACTGGTTTCTTCCAGCCTTCTCTTAAATATGTCTTTCATGAGCAATGGTTTTTAATTTTAATACAGTTAAATGTATCGATTTTTCCTCTTCTGCATCGTGATTTTGGTGCTGAATCTGGAAATCCTTTGCTTAACCCCAGGCAACAAAGATTTTCTCCTATAAAGTCTCCTAAAGTTTTAGTTTTATGTTTTACATTTAGCTCTGTAGTTCAATCTCAGTTAACTTTTGTAGAAGGTTTGAGGTTTAGAGCAAGATGGTTGGTTTGCTTGTACTGGCATATGGATGCCCAGTTTTTCACACCATTTGTGGAAAAGTCTATCCTTTCCCCATCGAATTGCCTTTCCACCCTTTTCAAAGGCCACTGGACAATATTTGTGTATGTAGATTTCTGGGTTCTCTATTCTGTTCGTCTGATACGTGTTTCTGTCCCCGCCAATAACACTGTCTTGACTAATGTAGCCTTATGTTAAGTATTAATGGCAGGCAATGTGAGTCCTCCAACTTTTTTTTTCTTTTTCAAAATTATTTTAGCTATTTTAGTTTCTTTGCCTTTCATGTGAATAGCAGAATGAGCTTGCCTATATCTATTTTTTAAATCCTGTTGGAATTTGTATTGAAATTGTGTTACATCAATAGATCAATGTAGACAATATTGACAAATAACTAAGTTCTGTCTTCCAGTTCATGAACACAATGTGTCTCTCAATTTATTTAGATATTCTTTGATTTCTTCCATCAGTGTTTTGTAGTTCTTGGCTTATAAAGCCTCTATGTTTTGCTGGGTTTATACCTAATCATTTTTTGTCCCTATCGTAAATGGTGTGTATGTGTGTACAAATGTGTGTATGTGTAGTTGTGTGTTTAAGTTTTCAGCTGTTCATTGCCAGTATATAGAAATATGATTAATTTTGAATGTTGACATTCTATCCAGCAACCTTGCTAAACATACCTATTAGTTCTAGCAGCCTTTTTTGTACATTTCTTGGAATTTTCTACATAAATAATCACATCACCTATGAACAGGGACAGTTTTTTTTTTGTTTCAACTGCATGCCTTTTAATTTCCTTTTCTTGCTCCATTTGCTGGCTAGGGTTTACAGTGTGATGGTGAATAAGAGTGGTGAGAATGGACACCCTTGCCTTGTTCCAAATCTTAGGAGAAAACCCTTTGCTCTGTCACTATCTTGATATCAGCCATAGTGAATTTTTTTTTAATAAATACGCCTTATCAGGTTAAGGAAATTCCCTTCTCTTCCTAGTTTGCTGAGAGTTTTTGTCATGACTAGATGCTGAATTTTGTCAAATGCTTTTTCTTCATCCGTGGACAAAATCACATAGTTTTTTTTTTTAGTCTGTTAATATAGTGAATTGCATTGATTGATTGTCAAAAGTAGAACCAGCCTTGCATTCCTGGAATAAGCCCATTTCATTGTGATGGATTATTTATTTCATATAGTGTTCGATTTGATTGGCTGATATTCTGTTGAGAATTGATGATGATGAGGGCTGCTGGTCCATAGTTTCTCTTCTTTCCCTGGTTTGGGCATCAAGATAATACTGGTTTCATAAAATAAGTTAGTGCTCCTTCCTCTTCTATTTTCTGAAAGACTGTATACAGTTTCTGATATTTCTTCTTTGAATGTTTAGTAGAATTTTCCAGTGAGATCATCTGGACCTGGAGTTTTATTTTTGGAAGATTTTTAACTAAAAAATCAATTTCTTTGATACAGAACTATTTAGTTTATCTATTTCTTGTTAAGTGTGTTTTAATAGTGTGTGGCTTTTAAGGAACTTGGCCGTTTCATTTAACTTCTCAAATTTAGGTGCGTAGAGTTGTTCATAGTGGTCCATTACTGTCATTTTTATGTCGGTTGTGTCTATAATGCTATCATCTCTTTCAGTCTTAATATTGATCATTTGTTTTCTCTCTTTTCTCTCTGTCATTTACCAGTTTGTTGATATTTTTAAGAACTGTTTTGAATTCATTGATTTTCTTTCTTGTTTTTCTGTTTCCAATTTTCATACAGTTCAAATTTTTTTCTAATTTCTTTGAAATGTAAAATTGACCTATGCATTATCTAAGTGTGTCATTTAGCCTTCAAGTAGCTGGAAGTTTCCCCAATATCTTTTTGTTATTAATTTCTAGCTTAGCTTTATTGTGGTCAAAAGCATGCTTTGCATGATTTCAGATCTTATAAAATTGTTAGAGCTTTCAATGACCCATGGCATGATTTACCCTAGTGAACATTTCACGTGCCCCTGAGAACGTGTGTGCTGCTATTGCTCGGCAGCGTGTTCTGCACATGTCAAGTGAGTCCAGGTGGTTGGTGATGCTGTTCAGTTCTTTATCCTCCTTCTAGAAGATTTTCTGTTCTATTCTAACCATGACTGATAAAGGAGTGTTGAAGACTCCAACTACCAACTACAGTTATTAATCCATCATTTCTCCTCTCGGTCCCACCAGTTTATGTTTCGTATATTTTGAAGTTCTTCTGTCACGTGCATACTCAGGACGGCAACGTCTGCTTGTGGACCTGACCTCTCACCATCATGCAGTGCCCTTCCTCATCAACCACAATCTTCCTGGCTCTGATGTCTATCTCGTCTCTGCAGCCACCGAAGCTTTTTTATTATCATTAATGTTTATGTGGTGCATCTTTTCATCCCCCTACATCATTATATTTAAAGTAGGCTTCCTGGAGACAGCACAGTTTGGTCTTTTTAAAATATCCAATCTGATCATCTGGTTTTTGATTGATATGCTTAAGCTACTTATATTTAATTTAGTTACTGGGGTGTTTGGATTTAAGTATGTCATTTCATGATTTGTTTTCTGATTGTGTCTTACATTTTTTTAATCAATTTCCCCTTTTATATCTCCATTTGGATTCTTAGAATAGTTTTAATATTCCATGTTAAGGGTCTATTGGGGTCTGGTTTATATCTCTTTGCACAGCTGTGTGGGTGTGTGGTTCACGTACGAATTACAATTTACACAATTAACTTTTCACAGTCTACTGAGGATAACATTTTGCTGTTTCATGTGGACTACAGAAGCCACTTCCACAGCGGCCTCCATGCCCTCCGCTGGCCCCGTGCCCTCCCCTCTGTGTGGACCTCTGCGTTAGCTGAAAAGACCAGTGTTATGGATGCTGCCTTCATTCCTCATACACACCGAGAAAAAGGCCTATTTTATTCACCCAGACATTTATCATTTCTGTCACTTTCCCTTCATTCCTGAAGTTCCAGATTATCCTTACTGTTTCTCTCTGCTTGAAGTTTCTGTGGCGCTTCTTTTATCACAGGTAAATTGGAAATAAATTCTTAGTTTGTCTTCATCTGAGACTGTCTGTATTTCACATTCATTGCTGAAAGACACTTTTGCTGGATATAAGGTTCAAGGTGCGTAGCTCTTTTCCTCCATGCTCTGGGCCTGCTGTGCCACTTTGAGGACTCCAGGGCTCCTCCTGAAGGTGAATCCACGCTCCTTTGGATTTTTGCTCCCTGTGCGTCACGTGCTGATTCCTCTGGCTGACTTTAAGATTTCTTCGTGTTTGGTTTTCAGCTGTTTTATTATGCTGTGTCTGGGTGAGGGACTTCTTTAAGTTTATCATCTTTGGGTGGCAGAATAAATTTCATAAGCAGCCTACTCATACTCTCTCAGATGAGTCATCACAATGTCTAATTGGCTAAAGGAAACTCTAGAGTCTTGAAGGAGTTACTATTTTCCCCCAAAATTAACTTAGAAGATCGAGAGTAATAAACCATTCTTACACATATATAGGTGCACTAGAAATAAAAAGAAAAAAAGAAATGTTTCTCTCTATTATTTTCGAGTAGGAAAAAAATGACAGCCTACATTTTAAGTCTGGGCCTTACATATTATTTCTGTGTACGGTGAAAGTGGAGGAAAAGGCCTTCTGTGTGATAATTACGGACAAGGTGCTTCTGGGGGGCTCACAGAACACAACAGTTAACAAGCGGGTGTCTTCACCAATCGTCATTACAGCTAATGTAGGCTGAGCAGTTCTTACACGGCAGGTGCTACACCCACCTCTTTACATGCACCCTCTCGTGTTATCCTTGGAACAACCTTGTGACCTTAAACATTATTAACCCCAATTTGCAGGTGAAATTGAGGCATAAGTAACTTTCCCAAGAACATACAACCAACAGATCCAAGAAGTCCATGTTCTTAAATCCCGACATGAACTCCTGTCACATCCTGAGAAGGCACTCATGCTGAGCAAGTTAAAGGAATCATCTCACCCTACCCACACATTAGCCAGGGGGGCCATTTCCTGTTTCATTTCCTATCAGTGTGTGTCTGTTCTTATTTGGAAAAGTAAAGGAGGCTTGGCTTAAACCAATCTATCCTTGAAGCCACATTTTAGAAGGGTAAATATTGCTTCTCATGTCACATGTTTGATCATGCTTCTAAACTAGCTGGGCAACCAGAGGCGCTGCCTCGGATCTGTGCTGCTCAAGGACACAGCTCTCCCTGTGGCTCTGGGTTCTGTCCCAATTCTCTCCCTCTGCTGCTCTTAAAAAGCCCTTATCCATTAGAGACACAGTAGTTACATAAAATTATATCTTTTGGGATGGCCAGAAAATACTCCAATCCAAAGAGAAAGAGAGATAGAGAGTGGGGACAGGCAGAAACTGATTAAACAAGTTGAGTCGTGAGTCAATAATTATTAGTCATAAGCCACTTAATTATTAATCAGGTGGTACTTGGTACATGGGAGTTCATTACACAGTCCTTTCTACATTTGTATGTACTCTTTAAACATCAAAATAAAAAGTTAAATTTTAAAACACAAATAGAAAACTAGTGTGTGTATAGATGTGTGTATCCATGTATATACCTGTGTGTATAAATCTGGTTTCTGCACTTACTGTTCTACTGAAATGAGTGGCTCTACGACGGCCCCGAATTTCCGAATCCTTGGGTCTGTTTTTAGACTTCTTCGCAACCAGTCGGCGGTGGACTCTGCTGATCTCTTCATTTATATGAACTGGCAACTCGCTGCCCTCTCACAGCTTTTGCGAGCTCCTTAATTTCTGCCGTGTTCTTGGTTTATTTGGAGTCAGGTTTCCTCTCCCCCATTTCTCACACGTTTTCCCTGAAGATGCTCTTCCGCTCACACGGCATCTACTGTTACCAAGTCTGAGGGAATTCCTGTTCTAAATCCCTTTTCAAAGCAGCAAATTGTGCTCTGAGGCAGCTCCTGTCCCTGGAGCAAAGGCTCTGGTCACTAAGGAGCGTTCTCGCGCACGTGAACAGCGCCCCCTGCCGTGGTGTGGAGATATTGCGTCATGGAGACCCTCCCTGCGCAGCTGCCGGCAGGACCCGAGTCTGTCCCCTACCTGGGAGACCTCTTGGCAACCAGGCAGTTTGCGGGGGTTGCTTCCTTGGCCCTTTCCACTCATCGGTGTTGAAGGGTTAGAGCAAACCAGCCGCCCTCAGCCACCAGCTCCCAGCAGATGAAGTCAGGGGTGTGAGAAGACGCTTCCTCATCCTTCTGTGACTCGAGGTATCTCTGCCCTTTGGGAAGCAAGAAGAACAGCAGCCGTTTCTGCCAGTGTCCTCATACAGCTATGGCTTCAGCAAGCCACGCGTGGTCATCTGTCAGGGTCTGGGAAGAGAAAGAAGCCACGGAAGCTACCAGAACAGATAATTCCCATGAGGGACTTGATGTAGGGAATCCGTAGGTAGAAGGTCCTTAACTGGGGGCCAGAGAGGAAGCTGCTGCCTCCCCAAGCTTGGAGGAAGAAAAGGAAGAGACGGACTTGTTCTCATTTTGACTCTTGAAGAAGGGACACATGGCCTGAAGAGGAGGCCCCAGCTGCTGTGAGGGTCTCGGAGGGAAAATTGCAAATGGGGTTTGGGAGCCACTGTGCAAAGTGAGTGAGCAGCCTTGCAGCTGTGGAGCATTGCAGGGATGCAGAGCCCGGCTGTGGCACTGAGAAGGCCGCAGGTGTCAGCGCCGGGCCCCTCCTCCTCCCGAGGGTGGGCAGGGCTGCGCTGCTGGAGGATGAACACCTGAGGGCTGGGCTGCTGCAGGATGCACTGCTCAGGTCACTCACTAGCGGGAGGGAGAATTTTAGGACTGACTAAAGTCTCCGGACACATCCTTGGCAAACACAGGGAAGATACGTGGTTAATGCTCCAGGCAGAATGCGCAAGCGTCCCAAATTCCTAGGCTGAAACCTCACCCACAAGGTGACAGTGTTAGGAGGTGGGGCCTTTGGGAGGTGATGAGGTTCGGAGGGTGGAGCCTCATGGTGGGATTAGTGCCCCTACAAAAGAGGCCCCAGGGAGCTGCCTTGTTCCTTCCGCCCCGTGGGGGCACAGCCAGAAGGCTCCATCTGTGAACCAGGAAGTCTGCCCAGACACCCAGACACTGGAGCAGGGATGTGGAAAATGCCAGGCATAGCCAGGTGATGGTGAGTGGCCCTCTGGGGGCCTGAGTCCAGGTGCCTAGGGGGTGGAGAAGGATCAGTCAAGGGAGCTGTGACCTAGGTGGGTGGCCAAGGCCTGTGATGCCACCAGGACTTAATGCTCTGGGCTGAGGATGCCATCGAAGGCACCTGAAACAATTTCTCTATTATAGAGAGAGGTGATCCTGGCCAAGGGACTAATTTAGAAGCAGCCAGTCTAATCTGACTAATGGCCAAGTAAGTGTCCTAAGCACTTGAAAAGCAGGCAAAACAGCAGCAGCAGAGGAAGATGGAGAAAAGTTCAGCCTGGACAGATTTGCCAAGAAGTTTGCAATCAGCAAATTCAGGGGGATTTTTTTTAAACCATAGTTTAAAATTTGTCTTGTTGCAAAATACAGATATACATATTTGAGTTACATGTGGGAGAGAATTGTAAGGTCTTGTGTGTGGTTAGGGCCCCTAAGTGTTTCCCTCTGGCCCTGTGGGCAGTACCCCACAGTTAGGAAGTCCAAGCCAGCAGGCCAGGACCCCCATGCTCACTTCTCTGCTGGCCTCAGTGGTGATGGAGCATTCACCTCTGGAACAGTGTCTCCTCTTGGCTTCCAGGCATCCTCCTGCCCCACCTCTCCCCCAGATGACTCTGTCCAGCCCTGCAGCTGAGGCTCACTCACCAGCCCTTGCTTGGCCCTGGCCCCTCCCCTGTGCTTCCTGCACCTGCATGGGACATGACAAGACACTCAGCTGAAAGCAGCCAACGCCCTCCTGTCCGTACCCCACTGCCCCCTTGTTTTGCCAAGCAAATGGCCTCACTGTCAGTCTACCCAATGTTTCAGGCCCGAACACGGAGTCATCCTCTGTCCCTTGGTTCTCCTCATCCCCCACCTCCAAGTACCCTCTGTGCCATCCTTTCCCCCACGCAGCTGTTCCAGCCCAAGCCACCTCGGCCCTGCCTGGACCACCAGGCTGGTCTGTCCCTGTGGTCTTTGGCTGTGAGCCTTTAAAACACAGTCAGGGGTTTGTTCCTCTACCCGGGCCCTTCACTGGCTTCACTTTGCCCCAGAAATAAACTCCAAAAGCTTTTCCAGGCATGTGTGGTCTGCAGGGGTAGCCCCCAGGTCTCCTTGCCACCCTGAAGTCTGAGACCTCACCTGGGCTCAGGGCTCCTTGGCTAGGGCCTGGCCACAATTCTCCAAGGGGCGCTCAGGTGGCCCCAGGGCCTTTGCACTTTTTATTCCCCCATTTCCTCCCTCCTTTAATTTCAATTTCAACCCAAAGACAGCTCAGAGGTGCCTTCCCCTAAGCCCCACCCTCACCCCCATCAGGGTGAGCACCCTCCCTGTGTCGCCCCCACCAGGGTGAGCACCCTCCCTGTGTCGCCCCCACCAGGGTGAGCACCCTCCCTGTGTCGCCCCCACCAGGGTGAGCACCCTCCCTGTGTCGCCCCCACCAGGGTGAGCACCCTCCCTGTGTCGCCCCCACCAGGGTGAGCACCCTCCCTGTGTCGCCCCCACCAGGGTGAGCACCCTCCCTGTGTCGCCCCCACCAGGGTGAGCACCCTCCCTGTGTCGCCCCCACCAGGGTGAGCACCCTCCCTGTGTCGCCCCCACCAGGGTGAGCACCCTCCCTGTGTCGCCCCCACCAGGGTGAGCACCCTCCCTGTGTCGCCCCCACCAGGGTGAGCACCCTCCCTGTGTCGCCCCCACCAGGGTGAGCACCCTCCCTGTGTCGCCCCCACCAGGGTGAGCACCCTCCCTGTGTCGCCCCCATCAGGGTGAGCACCCTCCCTGTGTCGCCCCCATCAGGGTGAGCACCCTCCCTGTGCACAACATTGACGTGCGTTCCTGTTGCTGTTTGTTTGTCCTCTGTAGGGTCCAGGAGAGCAGAGCCTTTGCTGAGTCCCAGCTTTACCCCCAGAGCCCACAACATGCCTGGTTTACAGTCGGTGCTGGATAAATGGGTTGAACTCATAAGGCTAAGGGAGGGAAGGGGTAAGGCAAGCTGCATACTTGTGGCCAGCAACCCTTAACTGGACTGCAGATGTGTTTGGGGCCTTTAAAAAAAGTTTATGTTAAAAGGGAGTTGTTTTCATGTTGGAACCCAGATGTGCTGGCCCGCTGCCCGCTGTACCTGCCATCTACTCACATCCCCGCCTGGCATCCCAGATGTGGGATTGGCTTGTGTGGAATATGAGAGCAGAGAGGAACGGGGTAATGGCAGGAGACTGGTGAGGCACAGCCCTTCCTTGAGGCTGAGGTGTCCGAGGAAACATCGTCCATCTGGGAGCAAGGCCCAGAAGGTCACACAGCCCTGGAAGTCACACCGCCCAAAGACACAGGCAGGGAGGAGGCAGACCCGCCCCCGGAGAATCCAAGGCAAATCCAGGCCAGCGACGAGGGGGCTCAGAAGAATCCCCCACAGAGGCCCAGGCAGGAAAGGAGGTGCATGGAGCTCCTACTTCTTAGCTGGGAACCGGGCTGAGTTCTGGCGCTCCAGGCAGGGAGACACCATGAGGCCTTCTTCAGAACCCTCCTATGCGGGAACAGCTAATGCACTTTTGAAGCAAACTCACCCACGGTCCCAAGAACAGACCCCAAATGTCTCACTCCATCAGTGATTCGTAACACTGGCTTCAAATTAGGGTCACTGGTGAATCAAAACAAAAAGTACCTGCGTCAGGGTCTTAGCTGGGATCAGATCAATTAAATCAGTTTCTGAAAGTGGGGTCTGGATTTAGGGGGTCATAGAACTTTCTGGGGGATTCCAATGAGCAGCCAGGACTAAAAATCCCTGGGCTTCAATATAAGGATCAGGGTGAGTTTTAAAAACATCTCCCAAAGCTAAAGAAGAGAGCAGGCAGTGGAGGAGAGAATAAAGAGAAGGATGGAGGGAGAGACAGGAGGAGGAATCAGAGTAAGCAGAGACTGAAGGCTGCTAAGGACCAGCAGGGACGCTGCAGATGGGGAGTGGGCGGGCCGGGGGCTGAGCTGCGTCTGTATTGGGCCCGCAGTCCCTCGCTGCTTGCTCCAAATCCTCCCCATCTGAATCTGAGAGCCCCCTCCCACCCTCTCTTCGCCTCAGGAAAGACACTGGAGGCTGCAGCGCAGTGATCAGGAAGAGCAGGCCAGCCTTGGTGTCCACCCCTCCCAGGCGTGTAGTCTGGGGCCCTTCCCATTGCCACCTCCCTTCCCCAGCTCTTTGCCGGTGTGGAAAGCGCCCTGGCGTCGACACTGTTTAGAGTGGCCCATTCTGTTTTCCTACTTCCATGCTTCATTCCCATCTCACACTGGGACATCACTCCTCCCCTAGTGTCCAGCACTGTGGCTCTTTTTATTTAAATGGCACACAGTAATTGTGATGTTCTGACACTTAGAGTGTATTGTGATGAAATCAGGGTAATTAGCATACCCACCACCTCAAGCATTGATGAGTTCATGTTGAGAACATTCAAAATCCTTTCTTCTGGTTGCTTCAAAGTATTGTTAACTGTAGACCCCTGCAGTGCTATGGATGCTAAAAATTATTCTTCCTATCTAGCTGTGATTTTGTATCAGCTAACCACCCTCTCACTCTCCCCAACCCTTCCCAAGCCTGGTAGCCACCATTTTACTCTGCTTCTATGAGATCAACTTTCTTTTAGTTTCCACATATGAATGAAACATGCAATATTTGTCTTTCTGTTCTTGGCATATTTCATTTAACATAATGTCCCCCAGTTCCATGTATGCTGCCATGAATGACAGGATTTGAACATTTTTCATGGCTGAGTAGTATTCTAATTTCTATCTGTACCACATTTTCTTTATCCAATAGTCTGTGGATGGACACCTGGGTTGATTCCATATCTTGGCTATTGTGAATCATGCTGCAATAAACATGGAGATAAAGTGTCTCCTTAGTGTACTGATTTCCTCCTTTTTTTTTTTTTGGATAAATCCCAGCAGTGGGATTGCTGGATCATATGGTAACTCTATTTTTAGTTTTTTGAAAAATCTCCACATTGTTCTCCATAGAGGCTGTACTAATCTACATTCCCCCCAACAGTGTGTAAGAGTTCCCTTTTCTCCACTTCCTCACCAGCATTTGTTACTCTTTGTCTTTTTGATAACAACCATCCTCCTGGTCGGTGGTGGTGGCGGGGGGCGGGTGTTGGTATCTCATTGTGATTTTGATTTGCATTTCCCTGATGATTAGTGTTGAGCATTTTTTCAGGCCTGTTGCCCATTCATATGTCTTCTGAGAAATGTCTATTCAGATTGTTTGCCCATTTTTAAATCTGATTACTTGTTTTTTGCCATTGAGTTGTTTGAGTTTCTTGTAAATTCTGGATAACTGTCCCTGGTTGGATGGATGGTTTGTAGATATTTTCTCTCATGAACTGGAGCCAAGGGAGTGAGACTGGATTTTGAAAGTTTCGTGAATTCAGCAGTTTCCGCCTCAGCCCCCTGTGTGGCTTGTCAGGACCATGGTGGGGGAGCAGACACCGTCCCTCGTACCCCCTCAGCCCCTTCCATCTGACACAGGTGGACACAGGCTGCCCACGAGCATTGAAAACAAGGATCCGCTCTATCAGAGTGACTCCATCTGATTACATCTGGTAATCACCAAACCTGAGGGATGATGAAGGCAGCTCCTCGAGAGGGTCGGCCCCCGGCTTCCCCATGGGGGCTCCCAGAGTCTGCTCCAGGGCTCCTGTCTGAACCCACAAGAGAGACCCTGGGACATTCTGAGTGCAGGGAGATAAGCTGGGCTTTTGGTCTCTCCTCTCTTCCCTTTCACAGCTGTCTGCAGTGCTTGAAGTGGGGGACGCCATGTCAAGGGAGCACCCCATGGAACAAAAGAATCTGAACAGCAGCCCTTGAGCCCCAGGTCTTCCCTCTGACATCGTCTACCCCAATGGAAGGAACCAGAGAAATAATTCTGGTTCAGGGCAAGGAGGGGCAGGCGACCCTGGTCAGCAGGTGGGGTAGGAGGTGCTGGGAGGATGGGCTATGCTGAGGCAGGTTTCACATACAGCACACAGATCCCTGGTGCAGAAAACTAAAGATCTCAGAGAAAACACCCCTCACGTGGGAGGGAGGACTCAGCTCAGAACGCATCCCCTCTTGGCTGGGGATGCAGCCTTCCCTGTGGGTGTCAGGACCCTGTGGGTGTCAGGACCCTGTGGGTGTCCGGACCCGATGGTTTGCAGGTGGCCTCCCGAGCACAGCCCTGGAGAGACGCAGGTGCTGATGGAACCACTCCTTCCAGCATGGGGTCTCGCTGGACCCTGTCAGGATGGATGCAGGCCTGTCTGTTTCTTCAGTCATCTGACCCGAACCCTTTCAGCCCCCCGGGAGCCTCATCTGCTGTCTGTATCATTGCTGTGACTGACGCGATCTTGAACATTCCAGAATGCAGACCTCCCCGTGCTTTAGGAAGGCGCCAGAGCACAGAAGGCTGCCCCCACCAGGGAGTGGGCTCACAGGGTGTTTGGATGGGGTTCCTCTAGACATCAGGGCCCAGGAACGTGAAGCATTGTCCTCTGGAGATCAGAAGTTGGGACAGGAGAATCAGCAAGACCAGCCAGGTCCAGAGAGACCAACACCGTCCCACCTGTGCATGGGGGAGCTGGAACAACAGGACCCAGGGCAGGGCAGGAGGTGGTTAGGGTGGGGTGGGGACCATGCCAGGTGCAGAGTTTCAGGCAGGAGTGTGGGTTTCCTTGACATCTGCTGCCCAGCTCGGGATGCAGTAATGAGAGGGTACTGTGCATTTCAAAGTCAAGAGAATAAACTTCAGGTCATTAAAACAAAAAAATGGCAGATAGGAGGCAGGACTAACGGGCAGCTCCCATTGGGACAAACAGAGCAGCATGTGGAGACTCGTGTCGTGAACTTTTGCTCCAAGAAATACTGCAGGAACATACCAGGAAAGCCAAGAGAATCCATAGACCCTTTGAAAAAGTGGATTGCCTCTGCAGGCCCCATAAGACAGCCAACACCATGAGTGCCCGAAGTGTGAGAGGGGAATGTGCATTCCTGAACACAACCTTCCTGGGGAACCTGAAGGTCCAGATCGCAGGAGAAGGATTAGAACTTACCTGGAGCTGAGACAAATTTAGAGAGCTGAGCAAAATGTAGGGGTAGAGGAAGCAGCAGCAAGAGCCCTGGGGGCACTCTCAGTTTCCAGGGAAGCCATTTCTGACTTTGTCTCACAGGGGTCCTTAGGAAGGGCTGCCAGTGGAACTGGGGAAAGGCCACTGGGAGAAGGAAACTTCCAGCTGAATTTTGTAACAATTTCAACTGAACGCGAAGCTTCCCGGGCAGAATCCCGGGGGAGCACGTGAACCAGGAGTGCAGACATAGCACAGAAGCCATGGCAGGTGGGGATGCGTGAAACCTGGAAACCCTGCTTGCTTTCCCAGTGGGGAGGCTCGTAGCCTGGGGCAGGCTTGTAGCCCTGCTCACCGGCTGCCTAGAAATAAACTCAGTGCTGTTGTGGGGGCACAGCAGGAGGGAGACTGGCCTTGCTGGGTGTGTGGGAACTGGGTGAAGCCTGTGGCTGCTGGCTTTCCCCCACTTTCTTGGTGACCTGCATGACACAGCAGAGGCAGCCATAATCCCCCGGGAATATAATTCCATTGGCCTGGGAACCACACCCCCATCCTCCACAGCAGCCACAGCAAGCCCCATCCAAGGAGAAGCTGAGCTCAGATATGCCTATCCTTGCTCCCACCTGGTGGTCTTTCTCTACCCATCCAGGGAGCTGAAGGCAAAGGATATAATCTCTGAGGAGCTCTGTGTCCCTGCCCATCATCTGAGAAACCCAAATACTTATCCAGGTGACCCTGAGGCAAGCTGGTACCCCCTATACTACCACAGCTGATGCAGTCTTGAAAGCACCATCTCCTGGCTGGAGGCCAACCGACATAAAACCACTGCACTAAACAAAACTACAACCAACATAAAACCACTGCACTAAACAAAACTACAACCAACATAAAACAACTGCACTAAACAAAACTACAACCAAGGACCCTCACAGAGTTCACTTCACCCTCCTGCTACCTCCACCAGAACAGGTACTGGTATCCACAGCTGAGAAACCTGAAGACGGATCACATCACAGAACTTTTTGCAGACATTTCCCAGTACCATTCCAGAGTCCAGTAGCTCCACTGGGTGGCCACACCCAGAAGAGAAATCACAATCACCGCAATTTGGCTCTCAGGAAGCCCCATCCCTAGGGGAAGGGGGAGAGCACCACATCAAGGGAGCACCTCGTGGGACCAAAGAATCTGAACAGCAGCACTGAGCCTCAGATCCTCCTTCTGACAAGCCCTTGAGCCCCAGATCCTCCTTCTGACAGTCTACCCAAGTGAGAAGGAACCAGAAAAACAATTCTGGTAACACAACAAAACAAGGTTCTTAACCCCCCAAAAGGTCACATTAGCTCATCAGCAATGGACCCAAAACAAGAAAAAACCTCTGAATTGCCAGAAAAAGAATTCAGAAGGTTGATTATTAAGCTAATCAAAGTGGCACCAGAGAAAGGTGAAGACTAACTTAAAGAAATTTTTTTTTAAATATGGTTGTATTCGTCTATTTTCATGCTGCTGATAAAGACATACCCAAGACTGGGCAATTTACAAAAGAAAGAGGTTTAATTGGACGTACAGTTCCATGTGACTGGGGAAGCCTCACAATCATGGCAGAAGGCAAGGAGGAGCAAGTCACATCTTAAGTGGATGGCAGCAGGGAAAGAAAGAATGAGAGCCAGGTAAAATGGGTTTCCCCTTATCAAACCATCAGATCTGGTGAGACTTATTCACTATCACAAGAACAGCATGGGGAAAATCGCCCCCCACGATCCAGCCATCTCCCACAAGGTCCCTCCCACAACACGTGGGAATTATAGGAGTACAATTCAAGATGAGATTTGGGTGGGGACGCAGAGCCAAACCCTATCAATGGTACAAAATATGAATGGAAAAATATCCTGTGAAATAGAGAGCATAAATAAAAAAAACAATCACAACTTCTGGAAATGAAGGACACACTTAGAGAAATGCAAAAGGCACTGGAAAATCTCAGCAATAGAACTGAACAAGTAGAAGAAAGAACTTCAGAACTTGAAGACAAAGCTTTCGAGTTAACGTCACGCAACAAAGACAAAGAAAAAATTATTTTAAAAAATAAACAAAGCTTCCAAGAAGTGTGGGATTACGTTAAACAACCAAACCTAAGAATAATTGGTGTTCCTGAGGAAGAAGAAAAATCTAAATATTGAAAAACATATTTGAAGGAATAATAGGGGAAAATTTATCTGGGCTTGCTAGAGATCTAGACATCCAAATGCAAGAAGCTCAGAGAATACCTGGGAAATTCATCACAAAAAGGTCATTGCCTACGGACATAGTCATCAGTTTATCTAAAGTCAAGACAAAGGAAAGAATCTTAAGAGCTGTGAAGCAAAAACATCAGGTAACCTATACAAGAAAACCTATCAGATTAACAGCAGATTTCTCAGCAGAAACCCTACAAGCTAGAAGGGATTGGGGTCCTATTTTCAGCCTCCTTAAACAAAACAATTACCAGCCAAGAATTTTGTATCCAGCTGTGAACCCTGAACATTTGAGATAGGTCTCAATTAATTTAGAAAGTTTATTTTGCCAAGGTTGAGGATGCACACCCATGACACGGCCTCAGGAGGTCCTGATGACATATGCCTAAGGTAGTCAGAGCACAATTTGGTTTTATATATTTTAGGGAGACACGAGACATCAATCAACATATGTAAGGTGAACATTGGTTCTGTTTGGAAAGGTGGGACAACTCAAAGTGGGGAGGGGGCTTCCAAACTGTAGGAAGATAAGAGACAAATGGTTGCATTCTTTTGGGTTTCTGATTAGCCTCCCCAAAGGAGGCAATCAGATATGTATTTATCTCAGTGAGCAGAGGGGTGACTGAATAGAATGGGAGGCAGGTTTGCCCTAAGGAGATCCTAGCTTGACATTTCCCTTTAGCTTAGTGATTTTGGGGGCCCAAGATATTTTTCTTTCACATTCCCCAACCCCTTTTCTTTTTAAAAACCTTTTGGAGAAAGCGTTTTAGAGAAAATGAGTCTCTGGTTCCAGGTTTCATCTGATCTCTCATGGCTAGGATGGCTTATTCCTAGACAGGTAGGTCCCAAGTTATTAGGAAAGTTCATTTTTAGAAGGTTGTGAAGTCTCATGTCCTATGAAGAGAAAAATAGGGGGAGGAAGAGAGAAAAACAATAACAAACAAAAGAACAATCCTGGAAAACTGATATAGGCCTCATTACTCTGGAGTTCATACATCAGTAGGCAGGTATGAAAGTAGCTCGTGTATGTAAATAGGTTGCTGTTATTTTCTTCTGAAGTTTAAGTTCTCTGGCATCAGTTCAAAGGGCTTTAAAAAAGCACAGCTTAGTTTTCAGTGACTCCAAATTAGGAAAAAATAAAAAAGAAGAAGGAAAAAATTGAAGACTTATTTTGAAGACTTGTAGCCAAGAAAAATTAGAATTCAGTCCAAATGGTGGAAAAATACTAAAAATTGAAAAACATTAGGCAAAACTAGAATCTAACAAGTGTTTGATTATAGTTAGTGTTATAGTTTTTGAAACAATTTTTCTCTCTCCAGTTTCCCATTTTTACTAAAAACAAATCACGATAGAATTGATTGCTTTATTATACTTGGCCTAATTATTTGTAGACAGTGCAGCAAGAATAATTATTTTTTACGTAGACTTTTAAATGGGTTTTGATGGAACATTGTTCCATAGAAGGAATCTCAAATAAGACTCTTTTTAAAGCCAAGCCCAGCCATGGATTTGTGCCATTAAATACCTATGAGTTGGGTGATCCTCTCCTCTTGGGGTTCCAAGATAAACTTGGGGCTCCTGGGCCTGTCAGAAAGTGACATTCTTTACTTACCACAGGTCAGGAACCCTGTACAGTGAAAGTATGAGGTCAATTTTCCCTAGGGGCTTTTATTGGCTCCATAAGTCAAGTTTGATTCCTTAAAGGAAAGCACACCATTCCAGTCAAACCCTTCGTAAGATAACCAGTTTCTTCAATTGTGTCCTGTTGCATTCATGGCTGCTGTTTCAGAAGCACAGCCATTGTTCTTTAGGTTTCACCTGGCTAGCAAAAGGGTGGCCTTGTTATGTAAATAAAGCCCCTTAAGTAGTCAAAATCAAAAATCTTTCCTTTTCTTCCTTTCACTAGCCATTTTTCTACCCTCTCCATACCACTTTTTTGTTGTTTGTTTGTTTGTTTGTTTTGGTGGGAATTTAGCCACTTAGAGGCCTCGCTTATCCATAATTTGGAACTTTCCTTTGGATTTGATCAAATTGGATAGAGTTGGTCAAACTCAATGAGAAAAAGACTGAAACAAAAACAGAAACAAACAACAACAACAACAAACTAACAACAACAAAAGCAGCAAACAACAACAACAACAAATCGGTTAAGCAAAATAAATGATTATACAACTTATATGATTACTGAGTGCTCTAATGGTAACAAGAAATTAAGACCAGCTGGTTGTTAATTTTAACTTTAGCCAAGACAAACCCCAATTCAGTTATTTACCTAGGGATGGGTCTCAGGCTGAAGACAGCTCTCTGCCATCCTAGAAGCAGGAAAGAAAACCTCATCTTCCCTGTTGGAAGCAAGCTCAAACTCCAGAAAGGAGTTACCTGCCTTCCATCATCATGGAAGCAGGAAAAACTTGCCTTCCTGTGTTGGAAGCAAGCTCAAACTCCAAAAAGGAGTTACCTGCCTTCCATCATCATGGAAGCAGGAAAAACTTGCCTTCCTGTGTTGGAAGCAAGTAAAACTCCAAAAAAAAAAGGAGCTGTACAGCAAAATAAACTTTAGATCTTGACCAAATTTCGAGAGATCAGGGATTCTCTTGAGCAGGTGCTCCCAGACCTCAGCAAATTGTTCTATTGGTTTGAGCTATAAAGTTAGCTCATGCTGGTACCAAGCACCAATAGGAGATTTGTCAAAGGTCACGGGCTTCTCCACTCAGAATCCCTCCATGGGTACAAAAATGTGAACCTCAAAAATCTGAGACAGGTCTCAGTTAATTTAGAAAGTTTATTTTGCCAAGGTTGAGGATGCACACCCATGACAGCCTCAGGGAGTCCTAACGACATGTGCCCAAGGCAGTCAGAACACAGTTTGGTATTTAACATTTTAGGGAGACACAAGACATCAATCAACATATGTAAGGTGAACATTGGTTCTGTCTGGAAAGGTGGGACAACTCAAAGTGGGGAGGGGGCTTCCAAATTGTAGGTAGATAAGAGAAAAATGCTTGCATTCTTTTAAGTTTCTGATTAGCCTCCCCAAAAGAGGCAATCAGATATGCATTTATCTCAGTGAGCAGAGGGGTGACTTTGAATAAAAAGTGGGGCAGGTTTGCCCTAAGGGGTTCCCAACTTGACATTTCCTTTTAGCACATTGATTTCAGGGACCCAAGATATTTTCCTTTCACTCAGCAAAACTAAGCTTCATAAATGAAGCAAAGAGAAAGTCTTTTTCAAACAAACAAATGCTGAGAGAATTCACCACTACCAAGCCAGCACTACAAGCACTGCTAAAAGGAGCTCTAAATCTTGAAACAAATCCTAAAAGTACACCAAACTAGAACCTCCTTAAAGCATAAATTTCACAGGACATTTAAAACAATAACACAATGAAAAACATAAGTAAGGTATTCAGGCAACAACTAGCACAACGAATAGACTAGTACCTCAAATCTCGATACTAACGTTGAATGCAAATGGCCTAAATGCTCCACTTAAAAGATACAGAATGGCAGAATGGATAAGAATTCACCAATCAAGTATCTGCTGTCTTCGAGAGACTCACCTAACACGTAAGCACTCACATAAACTTAAGGTAAATGGGTGGAAAAAGACATTCCATGCAAAAGGACACCAGAGCAAGCAGCAGCAGCTATTCTTATATCAGACAAAATGGACTTTAAAGCAACAACAGTTTAAAAAGACAGAGGAATATTGTATACTGATAAAAGGACTAGTCCAACAGGAAAACATCACAATCCTAAATATATATGCACCTACCACTAGAGCTCCCAAATTTACAAAACAATTACTACTAGTCCTAAGAAATGAGATAGATGGCAACTCAATAATAATGGCGGACTTCAATACTCTACTGACAGCAATAGACAGGTCATCAAGACAGAAAGTCAACAAAGAAACAATGGACTTAAACTATACCCTACAACAAATGGATTAACAGATATTTACAGAACATCCTGCCCAGCAACTGCAGAATATACACGCTACTCATCAGCACATGGAACATTCTCCATGATAGACCATATGATAGACTACAAAACAAATCTCAATAAATTTAAGGAAATTGAAATTATATCAAGTACACCCTCAGACCACAGTGGAATAAAATCAGAAATCAACTCCAAAGTAAACCCTCAAAGCAGTCCAAATACAAGGAAATTAAACAACCTGCTCCTGAATGATCATTGGGTCAACAATGAAATCAAGATGGAAATTTAAAAATTATTTGAACCAAATGATAATAGTTATACAACCTGTCAAAACCTCTGAGATACAGCAAAAGTGGTCCTAAGAGGAAAGTTCATAGAATTAAATGCCTACATCAAAAAGTTGGTAAAAGCACAAATAGACAATCTAAGGTCACACCTCAAGAAACTAGAAATAAAAGAACAAATGAACCCAAACCCAGCAGAAGAAAAAACATAACAAAAATCAGAGCAAAACTAAAGGAAATTGAAACAAAAAAATACAAAATACAAGTGAAACAAAAAGCTGGTTCTTTGAAAAGATAAAATTGATAGGTCACTAATGAGATTAACCAATAAAAGAGAAAAGATCCAAATGAACTCAATGAGAAATGAAACAGCAGATATTACAACTGATACCACAGAAATACAAAAGATCATTCAAGGCTACTATGAACACCTTTATGCACACAAACTAGAAAACCTAGAGGAGATGGATAAATTTCTGGAAATATACAACTCTCCTAGATTAAACTGGGAAGAAATAGAAACTCTGAACTCTGACCAAAAGCAACAAGATTGAAATGATAATTTAAAAATTGCCGACCAAAAAAAGTTTAGGACCAGATGGATTCACAGCTGAATTCTATCAGATATTCAAAGAAGAATTGGTACATATCCTATTGACACTGTTTCAAAATGTAGAGAAGAGGAAATCCTTCTTAAATCATCCTATGAAGCCAGTAGCACCCTAATACCAAAACCAGGAAAGGACATAACAACAACAACAAAAACACCCACCAATATCCCTGATGAACACAGATGCAAAACTCTTCAACACAATATTAGCTAACTAAATCCAACAGCATATCAAAAAGATAATCCACCATGATTAAGTTGGTTTCATACAGGGATGCAGGGATGGTTTAACACCCGCAAGTCAATAAATGTGATACATCACATAAACAGAATTAAAAAGAAAATCACGTGATCATTTCAATAGATGCAGAAAAAGCATTTGACAAAATCCAGCATCGCTTTATGATTAAAACCCTCAGCAAAGTCAGCATAGAAAAGGCCTACCTTAAAGAAATAAAAGCCATCTATGACAAACCCACAGCCAGTATTATACTGAATGGGGAAAAGTTGAAAGCATTCCCCCAAGAACTGGGAAAAACAAGCATGCCCACTTTCACCACTTTTATTCAACATAGTACTGGAAGTCCTAGCCAGAGCAATCAGAGAAGAGAAAGAAATAAAGTGCATCCAAATTGGTAAAGAGGAAGTCAAACTGTCACTGTTCATCAATGATATAATCATATACCTAGAAAAACCTAAAGACTCATCCAAACAGCTTCTAGAACTAATAAATGAATTCAGTAGTGTTTCAGAATACAAAATTAATGTACACAAATCAGTAGCACTGCTCTACACCAACAGCAACTAAGTTGAGATTCAAATCAAGAACTCAGTCCCTTTTACAATAGCTGCAAAATAAAATAAAATAAAATACTTAGGAATATTCATAATCAAGGAGGTGAAAGACCTCTACAGGGAAAACTACAAAACATTGCTGAAAGAAATTATACGTGACACAAATAAATGGAATCACATCCCATACTCATGGATGAGTATAATCAGTATTGTGAAAATGACCAAACTGCTAAAAGCAATCCTACAAATTCATGCAATTCCTATCAAAATACCGCCATCATTCTTCATAGAACTAGAAAAAACAATCCTGAAATTCATATGGAGCCAAAAAAGATCCAGCATAGCCAAAGAAAGACTAAGCAAAAACAAACAAACAAACAAACAAAACAAATCTGAATGCATTACATTACTTGACTTCAAACTATATTGTAAAGCTATAGTCACCGAAACAGTATGGTACTGGTATAAAGAGGCACTTAGACCAAAGGAGCAGAATAGAGAACCCAGAAATAAAGCCAAATACTTACAGTCAAGTGATCTTTGACAAAACAAACAAAAACACAAAGTGGGGAAAGGATACCCTATTCAAGAAATGGTGCTGAGATAATTGGCAAGCCTTATATAGAAGAATGAAGCTGGATCCTCATTTCTCACCTTATATGAAAACAAACTCAAAATGGATCAAAGACTTAAATCTAAGACTGAAACCGTAAAAATGTTAGAAGATAACATCGGAAAACCCCTTCTAGACGTTGGCTTAGGCAAAGACTTCATGACCAAGAACCCAAAAGCAAATGCAACAAAAATAAGGATAAATAGATGGGACTTAATTAAACTAAAAACCTTCTGCAGAAGCTTTTTAATCAGCAGAGTAAACAGACAACCCACAGAGTGGGAGAAAATATTCACAAACTATACATCTGACAAAGGACTAATATCTAGAATCTACAGGGAACTCAAACAAATCAGCAAGAAAAAAATTAAATCCCATCAAAAAGTAGGCTAAGAGCATGAACGTACAATTCTCAAAAGAGGATATACAAATGGCCAACAAACATGAAAAAATGCTCAATGTCACTAATTATCAGGGAAACGCAAATCAAAACCACAATGCCATACCACCTTACTCCTGCAAGAGTGGCCATAATCAAAAAATCAAAAAAATAAAAAAAAATAGAGAAGAAGAGGTTGGCATGGATGTCGTGTAAAGGGAACACTTTTAAACTGTTGGTGGGAATGTAAACAAGTACAACCACTATGGAAAACAGTGTAGAGATTCCTTAAAGAACTAAAAGTAGATCTACCATTTGATCCAGCAATCCCATTACTGGTTATCTACCCAGAGGAAAAGAAGTCATTATACCAAAAAGATACTTGCACATGCATGTTTATAGCAGCACAATTCACAATTGCAAAAATATGCAACCAGCCCAGATGCCCATTATGGATAAAGAAACTGTGGTACATGTATACCATAGGATACTACTAAGCCATAAAAAGGAATGAAATAACGGCATTTGCAGCAACCTGGATGAAACTGGACACCATTATTCTAAGTGTAACTCAGGAATGGAAAACCAAACATCGTATGTTCTCACTCATAAGTGGGATCTAAGCTATGAAGACGCAAAAGTATAAGAATGATACAATGGACTTTGGGGACAAGGGGGGAAGCGTGGGAGGGGGATGAGGGATAAAAGACTACACATTGGATACAGTGTACACTGCTCGGGTGATGGGTGCATCGAAATCTCAGAAATCACCACCAAAGAACTTATCCATGTAACCAAACACCACCTGTTTCCCAGAAACCTATTGAAATAAAAACTTTTTTAAAAAATCAAGAAAAAAAGAGAAAGAGAATAAACTTCAGATGTTCTCACCACAAAAAAGTGTTAAGTATTTGAGGTGAGGGATGTGCTAATTAGCTTCATTGAATTATTCCACATTGTATTAATTGTATCATTGTTTTGTACTCCGTAAATATAGACAATTACACATTGTCCATTTACAAAAACAACAAAGTTAAAACACACACACACACACAGAGCATGGCCTGCAGGTGCAGGAGGACCCCTCCATCCATCAGCATGGCCTGCAGGTGGAGGAGGACCCCTCCATCCATCAGGGTGGTCTGCAGGTGCGGGAGAACCTCTCCATCCATCAGCGTGGTCTGCAGGTGGGGGAGAACCCCTCCATCCATCAGCATGGTCTGCAGGTGCAGGAGAACCCCTCCATCCATCAGCGTGGTCTGCAGGTGCGGGAGAACCCCTCCATCCATCAGCGTGGTCTGCAGGTGCGGGAGAACGCCTCCATGCATCAGCGTGGTCTGCAGGTGCCGGAGAACCCCTCCATCCATCAGTGTGGTCTGCAGGTGCGGGAGGACCCCTCCATCCATCAGGGTGGTCTGCAGGTGCGGGAGAACCCCTCCATCCATCAGGGTGGTCTGCAGGTGCGGGAGGACCCCTCCATCCATCAGGGTGGTCTGCAGGTATGGGAGAACCCCTTCATCCATCAGCGTGGTCTGCAGGTGCGGGAGGACCCCTCCTTCCATTGGCGTGGCCTAAAGGTGCTAGAGCGTCCTTCCATGTATCACTGTGGCCTGTGGTTGGCATGAAGTTGCCTGGGGTCCCAGGGTTGGTCACCAGGCACCACGTGAAGAGCTTCACGAGCCACCAAGGGCTCCAAGCAGAGGTGGGAGCCTTTGTTCTCAGCCATCCTCAGCCGACCCAAGGCCAGTGCCGGCCTGTTGTCCCAGACACTAAAGAGGCTACAGGTGCTGCCAGGGGGAGCTGGCAACTGTGGGATTAGTGTCCCCCTTTTAGGTTTGACTCTTGTAAAGGTGTCTTTCTTTCCTTTTCTCCAGACCCCAAATGCATAGAGATTGTCTGAAAGTATCAGACACATTCTTGGCAGTTCCCTTTCTTTCCTACACTGGCTTTTGTATCTGGCTTTAGATCAGAACAATCATTTGAATAAGGCCCTTCTGTCCTCAGCCTCCAGAAATACCTTTTTCTAAGGATCACCCGAAGCTACCTCTACCTTCCACCACTTGGCTAAGAATCAAATTTAGAAAACATTTCTCAAAGCTAATGTTTGTGAAGATGCTTCCAAATTTGTTGGGTAAAATATTCTATGAATGTTGCTGAATCTCTGTTTAAAATATCAGTATTCCTCCGTGGCCAAATGTCACCATTAACCATCAACATAACCCTATTAAATTATTAGAATGAGAACCTAGAAAGTGGGAAATAAAGGACAAATCACCAGGGAGAAGTTTATTCCAGAAATAGATTTGTGAGCCCAGAAAAAGACGTCATTGTTCAAGCCAAGAGCAGGGGAAGTCTTCTAAAGTGAGATAAAGATGGGGGCAGAACTAGGCCTTGCGAAGCCTGGTGGTTTTATAATGGGATTGGTTGGTGGGGGGGAGTTATTCAAGAAAAGGAGTCCCTCCACGCACATTCGAAAGGAGAAGGGAGATGGAAGCAAATTACATACTTGAAAAATCGGGCAAAGCCACAGACATCACAGAATCCAAAATCAGTGTTTTCAGTCACCTGCCTGACACTGCCTCATTTCTCCAGCTCTTTTTCTACACTTTCTCACACCTTTGACTGCTTTTATGTGTGACAATTTTGATATATCATTTCTTTTTTTTTTTCAGATGGATTCTTGCTCTCTCGCCCAGGCTGGAGTGCAGTGGCACAATCTCGTCTCACTGCAACTTCCGCCTCCCAGGTTCAAGTGAGTCTCCTGCCTCAGCCTCCCGAGTAGCTGGAATTACAGGCAAAAGCCACCATGCCCAGCTAATTTTTGTATTTTTAGTGGAGACGGGATTTCACCATGTTGGCCAGGCTGGTCTCAAACTCCTGACCTCAAGTGATCCGCCCGCCTCAGCCTCCCAAAGTGCTGGGATTACAGGCGTGAGCCAATGCACCCTGCTGATATATCATTTTCTATTAAGAGAAGAGAAAGCTAATTCAGCTTTTCCTCTAATAAGTTTTACATAAATCTGTTTTTATCGTATAGGTATCTCAAACCCATTTCCTGCAGTTTCATATTTTGTTATTGAACTTCTACATTTTTACAGGTGAGAGCATTCCTGGAAGGATTCCCGCATCGGGACACTGGCAGTAACTTCTCCACGCACAGAGGCGAGGCAACCCCACCGGCATCCTGACTAAACCCAGGTTTGTCCCTGGCTCCGTGGGCTGTAGCTGGACACCAGCTGCGGCCGCCACACTGAACAGCCAGCACGATGCCGTCGGGGTGCGGATGGAAAGAGAAATCCCACCTGCTGGGGCCTGGAGCCTCAGAAAGTCGCCCTCAGAAAGGTAGGTGCTGACATCGAGGCCAGCTAGCCTTGTGGTAATGGCCTGGGCTGGGCCACTGATTTAGGCGGTGAGGCGGCTGGCAGAGGACAGGAGCAACGGGGACCTTGGAGTGTCCACCCCTGGGGACCTGTGGAGGCGAGAGTTTGAAAAGGTTTGATTTGCCCATGAAATGCACAGGGGCACAGGGGAAAGTTGAGGGGTCCCGAGCCCACCCTGACTTGGGGATCAATGTTGCGTCGGGGTGGGAAGGTTGAGCGTGGCAAAGGCACACCCATGGAACGGCCCAGGAAGAAGGGGAGCCACTCATCAGGGCACAGCACAGGCTCGAGTTCTGCCTGCAGTGAAGGAAAACAAGACCCACTTGGCTGGGGATGGGGAACAATAGAGGCAGCAGATGGGGGTGCCCAGTGAAGCCACAGCCCATCCACAGCACATAGTGGGTTGGAGAGGGAGGAAGGGAGTCGGCTTTGAGTATGGACGGAATGGTCAGGGAGAAGGAAGTGAGGCTGTTCCCCTTGCAGGTCCTGTCCTAGCCAGAGGCCACTCAGGGACAGCTCTGTGCAGTCTCTTCCACCCTGAGGCAGCTCTTGCCCACGATCTGCGATGACAGGCCCGGCACAGCCTCATGCCGCCAGGCAGAAACGGGGACCCTACGTGGCAGGGAAGGCATTGAGGCCTTGGTGGACAGTGGGCTCGGCCAGGTCACTCCTCAGAGGCCAGCCCCAACCTCCCCTTCTGTGCTGAAGGCAGCTTCACAGCAGGCAGGCTGGGGTCCACATCAGTATAGAAACCACTCTTGCAGCTGGGTAGAGGACCCACAGGCAGAAACAGGCGGCCTCTGATCAGATTTGGTTGTCCCCGGTGGCACTAAAGGGGGATGAGGGGTGGCAGAGAAACCAGATCATATTTTGGCATTTGGGGTCTTCTCCAGCCCCACAGCTCAGGCTGGCCCAACATTGCTCCTCACATAAATACCAGAGCAGGATACCTGCCTTTCCCCGTCTGAGCCTAAGATTTCATTCATCTGGTCTTGACAAATCCCATTGTCAGAGGGCCAACGCTAAGTCAGCTGGCAAAGCTCTGTGAGAACGCCCCCAAAGCCGGTGAAAGGGTCCTGTCCAGAGGCACAAAGCCCACCCTCACCCCAGCCCACCTCTAATAGCACCGCATGCCAGGGACGGCCCAGGACAATGCCACCTCTTCCCCCAAGTTCCCTGGACCCTAACTACAGGCCTCGTGCTATTAAGATTAAGACACTAATCCATGCTTCATCTCCGGTCCTTTGAGGCCATTTTTAAAGGTAATTCAGTGCTACCCATTTGAGGACTTGAGACAAAACCTTGGGCAGGAATGACCTTTGATTCCCATCCAGGCTCTGACTAAGGCCTCAACAGGTGAAGCCTTTAAAGTTAGCCTTTTTCATTCTGTCCTGACAATGCTGATTGATAACACAGAGCTAATCTCCTGCTTTTGTTCCCAGGGGGCAAAGGTTTGAGCTGCCCCTTTTGAATCTGGGTCGTTTAACTATCCAGCGAGTGAATCATAACGCGACCTGAGACCCTGGGATTAATTCCCTGCAGGATATGCTTTCCCGGGATCCCAGAGGCCAGGGCCTCTCCTTGGCTGAACACAAACTGGGGGAAACCACGCCTAGAATCTGTGTCTGGTGCTCCACCCGCGGGAAGATCAGCATCAGAGAGTCTCATTATCCACAGGGCTCACGCCAGCTGATCTGCACGTGCAAGGCCTGGGGAAACCCCGGTGTCCTCCCAAGCCTTTGACCAGTGAAAGCCTCTCTCATGTCTGGTTCAGCTGCAGCAACTGCCCAGCGGCCTCTAACAGCCCCCAGAAGTACAGGTGTGCAGCCTGCCCACCGAGGCCACTCCCCTGAGCCCTGTGTCAACGAGGCTGCTCCCCCAAGCCCTGCCCACCGAGGCCACTCCCCTGAGCCCTGCATCATGGGCTCAGTAACTTCCTGCTGCTTCCTACCTGGGCTTTCCGTCCAGTTGTTCCCTTAACCCATCCTAAGCTCAGCTTCCCTAGGCAGAGCCGGAGAGTAACACAGGCCAGCAGAGATAGAAAAAAGAGATAACACTCAGAATAGTTAACAACGTTTGCTCCAACAACACAGGCTCCACAACCCTCCCCAGGTCAGGGTGAACAGCTAAGCCTCAGCACTGGAGAAGTCTTCAAATTGTACAGTTGAACTTAGCTTTTCAAACTTTTTAGAGCATTTCAAGCTTGAACTTCAATTGTATTATTTCAAGATTCAACTAGGGCATAAAATACTGAAGTTTATTTCTGGAAACATAAGTAGTTACATTTACATTATGTGTAGCATGCTGTCTTTCCAAACGTCACCCAACTCCACACACCGAACTCAGAGCAGAGTCTCCTCGGAGAGTGGGGGCATTGGCTTGAGGAAAAGGATGGAAGCGTTTCAATGTATATGTGATAGATAGAAAAAAGAGATAACACTCAGAATAGTTAACAACCTTTGCTCCAACAACACAGGCTCCACAACCCTCCCCAGGCCAGGGTGAACAGCCTTGTGTATTTCAGAAAATAAAGAAGTGTGGAAAAATACTGTGTTTGGGATTTAGGTGGTGAGTACCTAGAGGTTCTATGTTGTTCTCTGTACTATTCTGTGAGTTCTAACCAAGAATAAATAAATAACAAATTACTGTTATGTATTGACAGCAGGGGCTGTCACTGCTGGGGTCTCAGTGCCAGGGGTGTCAGTGCTGCGGACGTCAATGTTGGGGTGTCAGTGCTGGGGACGTCAGTGTTGGGGTGTTAGTGCTGGGGGTCTCAGTGTTGGGGATGCCAGTGCCGGAGGTATGAGTGCTGGGGGACTCAGTGTTGGGGGTGTCAGTGCTGGGAGTGTCAGTGCAGGGCTGTCAGTGCTGGAGGTATGAGTGCTGGGGGTCTCAGTGTTGGGGGTCTCAGTGTTGGGGGTGTCAGTGCTGGAGGTATGAGTGCTGGGGGTCTCAGTGTTGGGGGTATCAGTGCTGGGAGTGTCAGTGCAGGGCTGTCAGTGCTGGAGGTATGAGTGCTGGGAGTCTCAGTGTTGGGGGTCTCAGTGTTGGGGGTGTCAGTGCTGGAGGTATGAGTGCTGGGGGTCTCAGTGTTGGGGGTGTCAGTGCTGGGGGTCTCAGTGTTGGGGCTGTCAGTGCTGGAAGTATGAATGCTGGGGGTGTCAGTGCTGGGGGTGTCAGTGCTGGGGGTCTCAGTGTTGGGGGTGTCAGTGCTGGAGGTATAAGTGCTGGGGGTCTCACTGTTGGGGCTGTCAGTGCTGGAGGTATGAGTGCTGGGGGTGTCAGTGCTGGGGGTCTCAGTGTTAGGGGTGTCAGTGCTGGGGGTGTCAGTGTTGGGGGTCTCAGTGCTGGGGGTCTCAGTGTTGGGGCTGTCAGTGCTGGAGGTATGAGTGCTGGCGGTCTCAGTGGTGGGGGTGTCAGTGCTGGGAGTGTCAGTGCCCGGCTGTTAGTGCTGGAGGTATGAGTGCTGGGGGTCTCAGTGGTGGGGGTGTCAGTGCTGGAGGTATGAGTGCTGGGGTTCTCAGTGTTGAGGGTGTCAGTGCTGGAGGTATGAGTGCTGGGGGTCTCAGTGTTGAGGGTGTCAGTGCTGGGAGTGTCAGTGCAGGGCTGTCAGTGCTGGAGGTATGAGTGCTGGGGGTCTCAGTGTTGGGGTGTTCGTGCTGGGAGTGTCAGTGCAGGGCTGTTAGTGCTGGGGACATTAGTGCTGGCAGTGTCAGTGTTGGGGTGTTAGTTGTATGGGTGTCATACCCATACCTGGGGGCATCAGTGCTGGGGGCATCAGTGGTGGGGGGATTAGTGCTGAGGGAGCAATTCTGGTGGGGGGTCAGTGCTGGAGTGTCAGTGATGGGGGCTCAGTACCTGGGTTGTCAGTACCTGGGAGGTCAGTGCTGGGGAAGTCAGTGCTTGGACGTCGGTGCTGGGGGGATCAGTGCTGAGGGAGCTGTGCTGGGGGGTCAGTGCTGGGGATGTCAGTGCTGGGGGGATGAGTGCTGAGGGAGCAGTGCTGGGGGGTCAGTGCTGGGGTGTCAGTGCTGGGGGGATCAGTGCTGAGGGAGCAGTGCTGGGGGGTCAGTGCTGGGGGTGTCAGTGCTGGGGTGTCAGTGTTGGGGGTGTCAGTGCCGGGGGTGCCAGTGCCGGGGGTGTCAGTGCCGAGGGTGTCAGTGCTGGGGGAGTCAGTGCTGGGGGTGTCAGTGCTGTGGAGGTCAGTGCAGGAGATGTACCTGCTGGGGAGGTCGGTCGTATGGGTGTCAGTGCTGTGGTATCAGGGGAGGGGTGCTCATTGCAGGCAGTGGTCAGTGCAAAAAGGGTCAGTGCAGGGGGTCAGTGCTAGAGGGGTCAGTGCTGGGAAGGTCAGTGCTGCAAATGTCATTGATGAGGGGGTCAGTGTAGAGGGCATCAGTGCCGCTGAAGTCACAGCTGCCAGTGTGAGTGCAGAAAATTTAAGTGTTGGGGGTCTATGCTAAGGGGAGTCAGACCTAGGGGTAAGTACATGGGTGTCTGTGGTGTGGAAAGCTCTGTGTCTGTGGAGAGCTCTGTATGTGGAGACCTCTGTGGCGTGGAAAGTTGTGTATGTGGAGAGCTCTGTGTCTGTGGAGAGCTCTGTGGTGTGGACAGCTCTGTGGCCTTGAGAGCTCTGTGTCTGTGGAGAGCTCTGTGGTATAAAGAGTTCTGTGGTGTGAAAAACCGTGTTGTGGAGAGCTCTGTGGTCTGGAAGCTCTGTGTCTGTGGAGAGCTCTGTGTCTGTGGAGAGCTCTGTGTCTGTGGAAAGCTCTTTGGTGTGTTGAGCTCTGTGGTGTCAAGAGCTCTGTGGTGTGGAGAGCTCTGTGTTTGTGGAGACCTCTGCTGTGTGGAGATCTCTGTGGTGTAAAGAGCTCTTTGTATGTGGACAGCTCTGTGGTTTAGAGATCTCTGTGGTGTGGCGAGCTCTGTGTTTGTGGAGAGCTCTCTGTATGTGGAGAGTTCTGTGATGTGGAGAGCTCTGTGTATGTAGAGAGCTCTGTGGTGTGGAGAGCTCTGTGAATGTGGAGAGCTCTGTGTCTGTGGTGAGCTCTGTGTCTGTGGTGAGCTCTGTGTATGTGGAGAGCTCTGTGTCTGTGGTGAGCTCTGTGTCTGTGGTGAGCTCTGTGTATGTGGAGAGCTCTGTGTCTGTGGTGAGCTCTGTGTCTGTGGTGAGCTCTGTGTATGTGGAGAGCTCTGTGTCTGTGGTGAGCTCTGTGTCTGTGGTGAGCTCTGTGTATGTGGAGAGCTCTGTGTCTGTGGTGAGCTCTGTGTCTGTGGTGAGCTCTGTGTATGTGGAGAGCTCTGTGTATGTGGAGAGCTCTGTGGTGTGGAGAGCGCTGTCTGTTGAGGGCTTTGTGTTGTGGAGAGTTCTGTGTATGTGAAGAACTCTGTGGTGTGAAGAGCTCTGTGGTGTGGAGAGCTAGACTCTGTATGTGGAGAGCTCTGTGATGTGGAGAGCTCTGTGGTGTGGAGATCCCTGGGCATGTGGAGAGCTCTGTGGTGGAGATCTCTGTGACTGTGGAGAGCTCTGTTGTGTGGAGAGCTCTGTGTCTGTGGTGAGTTCTGTGTATGTGGAGAGCTCTGTGGTGTGGAGAGCTCTGTGGTGTGGGGAGCTCTGTGTCTGTGGAGTGCTCTGTGTTGTGGAGAGCTTTGTTGGGGAGAGCTCTGTGGTTTGGAGAGCTCTGTGGTGTGAAGTGTTCTGCATATGTGAAGAGCTCTGTAATGTGGAGAGCTCCACGTATGTCAAGAGTTCTGTGTCTATGGAGAACTGTGGTTTGGAGATCTCTGTGGCATGAACAGCTCTGTAGAGCTCTGTTGTGTGGACATCTCTGTGGAGAGCTCTATCTGTGGAAAGCTCTGCATATGTGAAGAGCTCTGTGGTGTGGAGAGTTCTGTGTGTGCAGAGCCTTCTGTGTCTATGGAGAATTCTGTGGTCTGGAGATCTCTGTGGTGTGAACAGCTGTGTGTATGTGGAGTGCTCTGCTGTGCGGACATCTCTGTGGAGAGCTCTATGTCTGTGGAGAGCTCTGTGATATGGAAGTCTCTGTGGTGTGGAGAGCTCTGTGTCTCTGGAGAGCTCTGTGGAGTGTAGAGCGCTCTGTCTGTGGAGAATTCTTTAGTGTGTAGAGCTCTGTGGTGTGGAGAGCCCTGTGTCTATGGAGCACTCTGTGGCAAGTAGAGTTCTGTGGTGTGAAGAACTTTGTGTACACTGAGAGCTGTGTGGTGTGAAGAGCTCTGTTGTGTGGAGAGCGAGTTCTGTGTCTATGGAGAATTCTGTGGTGTGGAGAGCTCTGCGTATGTGAAGAGCTCTGTGTATGTGAAGAGCTCTGTGGTATGAAGAGCTCTGTGTCTGTGGAGATTGCTGTGGTGTGGAGAGTTCTGTGTCAGTAAAGAGCTCTGTGGTGTGGAGACCTCTGTGTATGTGGAGAGCTCTGTGGTGTGAAGAGATCTGTGGAGTGGACACCCCTGTGTCTGTGGAGAGCCCTATGGTGAGGAGAGCGCTGTGGTGTGAAGAGCTCTGTGGTGTGGAGAGTTCTGTGGT
Source organism: Homo sapiens (assembly GCF_000001405.40). NCBI lineage: Eukaryota > Metazoa > Chordata > Mammalia > Primates > Hominidae > Homo > Homo sapiens. Next base: position 169,805,804 of record NC_000006.12, on the reverse strand, counting down.
GTGGAAAGCTCTGTGTATTTGGAGAATTCTGTGGTCTGGAGAGCTCTGTATTGTAGCGAGCTCTGTGTCTGTGGAGAGCTAAGTGGTGTACAGAGCGCTGTGATGTGGACAGCTCTGGGTATGTGGGGAGTTCCGTGATGTGGGGAGTTCTGTGGTCTGGAGAGCTCGGTGTATGTTGAGAGGTCTGTGCTGTGAAGAGCTCTGAGGCATGAAGAACTTCCTACGTGGAGAGCTCTGTGGTGTGAAGAACTCTGTGATGTGATGTGGGGAGCTCTCTTAATGTGGGGAACTCTGTGGTGTGAAGAGCTCTGTGGTGTGAAGAGCTCCATGTATGTGAAGAGGTTTGTGTCTGTAGAGAGACGTGTGTCTGTAGAGAGAGCTGTGTGTCTGCGGAGAGCTCTGTGGTGTGAAGAACTGTGTGTCTTTGGAGAGCTTTGTGGTGTGGAGAACTGTGTGGTGTGGAGATCTGTGTCTGTAAATAGATCTGTGTCAGTGAAGACCTCTGTGTTGAGGAGATCTCAGTGTCTGTGGAGAGCCCTGTGGTGTGGAGAGCCCTGTGTCTGTGGAGAGCTCTGTGTCTGTGGAGAGCTCTGTGGTATGAGGAACTCTGTGGTGTGAAGAGCTCTGTGGTGTGGAGAGGTCTATGGTGTGGAGACCTCTGTGTCTGTGGAGAGTCTCGTGTCTGTGGAAAGTTCTGTGTCTGTGAAGAGCTCAGTGATGTGGAGACTCTATGTCTGTGAAGAGTTCTTTCTGTGGAGAGCTCAGTGGTATGGAGAGCCCTGTGTCTGTGGAGAGCTGTATGTCTGTGAAGAGCTCTGCGGTGTGGAGAGTTCTGTAGTGTGGATAACTATGTGGTGTGGGGATCTCTGTGTCTGTGGAGAGCTCTGTGGTGTGGTGATCTCTGTGTCTGTGGAGTGTTCCACGGTGTGAAGAGTTCTGTGTTGTAGAGAGCTCTATGGTGTGAAGAGCTCTGTGGTGTGAAGAACTCTCTATCTGGAGAGCTCTGTGGTGTGAAGAGCTCTGTATGTGAAGAATTCTGTGTATGTGGAGGGCTCTCTGTATGTGGAGAACTATGTGGTGTGGAGAGCTCTGTGGTGTGTTGAGCTCTTTGTCTGCAGAGAGCTCTGTGGTGTCAAGAGCTCTGTGTATGTGGTGAGGTTTGTGTCTATGGAGAGCTCCATGTATGTGGAGAGCTCTGTGTCTGTGAAGAGTTCTGTGGTGTGGACAGCTCTGTGGTGTGGAGATCTGTGTCTGTAAATAGATCTGTGTTAGTGGAGAGCTCTGTATTGAGGAGATCTCAGTGTCTGTGGAGAGCCCTGTGGTGTGGAGAGCTCTGCAGTGTGAAGAGCTCCATGGTTTGAAGAGCTCTGTGGTGTGGACAGTCCTGTGTCTGTGGAGAGCTCTGCGTCTGTGGAGAGCTCTGTAGTGTGGATAACTATGTGGTGTGGGGATCTCTGTGTCTGTGGAGAATTCTAAGTCTGTGGAAAGTTCTGTGTCTATGGAGAGGTGTGTGGTCTGAAGAGCTCTGTGGTGGGGAGAGCTCTGCGTCTATGAAGAGCTCTGTGTCTGTGGAGAGTCCTGTGTCTGTGGGGAGTTTTGTATCTGTGGAGAGTTCTATGTCTGTGGAGAACCCAGTGGTGTGGAGAGCCCTGTGTCTGTGAACTCTGCGCTGTGGGGATCTCTGTTTCTGTGGAGAGTTCTGTGGTGTGGCAAGCTCTGTGTCTGTGGAGATCTCTGTTGTATGGAGAGTTGTGTGTCTGGAGAGCTCTGTGTTGGTGGAGAGGTCTGTGAATGTGGCAAGCTCTGTAGTGCAGAGAGCTATGTGGTGTGGGTAGCTCTGTGACTGAGGAGAGTTCTGTGGTGTGGAGATTTCTGTGACTGTTGAGAGTTAAGTGGTGTGGAGAGCTCTGTGTCTGTAAAGAGCTACGTTGTGTGGAGAACTCTGTCTGTGGAGAGCTCTCTGGTGTGGAGAGTTCTGTGTCTTTGGAGAGCTCTGTAGCGTGGAGAGCTCTGTGTCTGTGGAGAATTCTGTGGTCTGGTGAGCTCTGTAGTGTAGAGTGCTCCGTGGTGTGGAGAGTCTTGTGTGGAGATCTGTGTCTATAAATATGTCTGTGTCAGTAGAGAGCTCTGTGTTGAGGAGAGCTCAGTGTCTGTGGAGAGATCTGTGGTGTGGAGAGCTCTGTGTATGTGGAGAGCTCTTTGGTTTGGAAAGCTCTGTGGTGAGGAGATGTCTGTGTCTGTAGAGAGCTCTGCGGTTTGTGGAGCTCTGTGGCTTGTCAAGCTCTGTTGTGTGTAGCTCTGTTGTGTGTAGTGGTCCGTGTCCGCTCAGAGCTCTATGTCTGTGGAGACGTTTATGGAGGCACTGACCCTTTCACAGCACCAGTGTTTACTCCTGAATATGTGGGTATTGGGTCCAGCTCGTGGCCTTCTCTAGCTGTCTTGTGTTCTTCCTTATCTTGTGGCTTAGCAGCCCACAAATGTACTTCCTGGAGAGGAGAATGCAGCCTCCACCAGACCTCTCTAGCTTTCAAATCAAGTGTGGCCTAAAGCTGCCTCCTTGTGTATTTTAATTTCGACCTAAAGCTTTCTCTGTACATCACGAACAGTAACCTAAATGGAATTGTAAACAGACCGTAGCCTACTCTTGTGCCAATCGCTGAGTTTTGGCCAATCTAAGGTGGCCAGCTCTTCAACCATGTTCAACTACTGCAAACCCCAAGCTTAACAAATCTGGCTGTTTCCGTACCTCATTTCCATTTTCTGTACATCTCTTTCCTTTTTCGGTCTTAAATTTTCTTCCACCACATGGCTGTGCTGGAGTCTCTGAGTCCACTCTGGGTCGGGAGGCTGCCTGATTTGTGAATCACTCTTTGCTCAGTTAAACTCCTTTACATTGGCTAATTGGTTTTACTTTTTTTTTTTTTTTTTTTTCTTTTTGACAGAGTTTTGCTCTTGTTGCCCAGGCCGGAGTGCAATTGCTATGGCGTGATCTTGGCTCACCGCAACCTCCGCCTCCTGGGTTCAAGCAATTCTCCTGCCTCCGAGTAGCTGGGATTACAGGCATGTGCCACCACGCCCAGCTAATTTTTTGTATTTTTAGTAGAGACGGGATTTCTCCATGTTGGTCAGGCTAGTCTCAAACTCCTGACTTCAGGTGATCCACCCACCTCGGCCTCCCAAAGTGCTGGGATTACAGGCGTGAGCCACTGCGCCTGGCCCGGTTTTACTTTTAACAAGCGTGAGAGCATCTGTTGCTGAGCTATGTGGGCAACATGCATGTGAGGTGCGGCCCTGCCCTCCAGGACACGCAGCTTCATGAGTAGAGAAGAAATCTTATCCAAGGGCGAGTAGCAAGAACACAGCAAACCAACGCACACAGAGGGCGATCCAGCAGTCAGACTGGGCAGATGGAAACAGCTGAGGGTCTTCAGTGTCTCGCGATGGGAGAGGCGGCCTAGTCTGAGAAACTGAGGCAGGAGGGACTGCCTGGCTTCTGGAGGGAGAGGAGGAGCCTGTCCCAGGCCCAGCCATGTTGGTGACAGCAAACTACCGAACTACTGGAGGGAGAGGCCCGGGCTGTCAGGGAGCACTGCCGGCTGCTGAGAGGACAGGGAGCCCCGGGCCCCCCCTGCAGAGGTTCCTGCTCAGGTCCTCCGGAGCCTGGGTGGAGCAGAGTAGGGTCGTGACCTGTGGGGACCCTGCAGTGCCCAGATTTAGAATTCTGCCAACCTCCAAGCTCACCATCAGCCTCCTGCAGCCCCACTTGTTTCTGGGGCAGCTACTGGACCCCGACCCCATCGTCCCCAGGCAGGGGGTCGCAGCCGCAGGTCTGTGGGGGCTGGTGTCTGGCCTCCCTCCTTCTGGCTGGCTGAGCAAAATATCTGCAGGGCGCAGAGCAGGTCACAGGGATGCTAATTAGAAAGGATAAAGCTTTTGTGGCCTAAGGCGGTTGTGGGGTTCGCTTCCAGTCTTTGAGAACACAGGAGACAATCTGTTTTGAAATCAACATAGAGGCTCCCCAAATCAATACAGTTTCCCCTCCTTTGGGGCTACGACACTGGCTTTTCCACGTGAAGACAGCAAAGCGAGAGGGTCGGTAGCCTGGTCTGCTCTCCGCCCGCGTGCAGACATGGCAGCAAAGAGGCACCCAGAGAAGCCCCCGGGGCCTGGGGCTCTTTGTAAAAAGACAAGGCCCTGAGCAACAAACTGGCTCCTGCCGCTGAGGACGACAACCGTGCACGGCTGCCCGGCGGGTCCGCACTGCCTGCCGCTCCAGTGTCCTGCCCGCTCCGCAGCAACCCCGAGCTCTGCCTCCTGTCCACCCGTGTGTCTGTGCACACAGCATGTTGCTGTCAGGGAACGGCCTCCTGCTTCTCGAGTGCCATGGGACTGGCTTTTGTTTGTGTTTTTCTTACCTAGGACTGGGACAAAAGATGGCCTGGAGCCAGGAGGTGCCGCCCACCAGTAGGGCTAGGCTGGGAGAGCTACTTTTTCCCCACCAGAGCCGCCTCTGCTTTCAGTCCCAGGCTGCACCCCGCTGGCCTTTCTGGGCCACACCAGGACCATTCTCTTGGCAAAATCTGAGGGAAGTGAGGAAACCAAGGGCTCTTATGAAATGGACAGAGTGCGGGGTGGGCACCAGCTGGGCTGCGTCCCTGGCCAGAGCTGTCGGCCAAGTTGGAGGACAGAACAGGGTGCTGGGAGGGAAACATGGATTCACTGCAGTGCTCAGGCCACCAAGCACACCACCTCCCAGACACGAGGGAAACCCCAGCATCGGCAGAGGAGTGAGATTTTGCCACAGTCTGGCCCTGGCAGTTGAGGAGCAGCTGGTGGGAGGCGGGAGATGTGCAGGCTGAGCACAGGCTCATGTGTGCGATGACTCAGGTCCCTCACTGGAGACACCAGCTGAGAGGAGAGACTGCAGGGCCTGGCACACACAGGGCCACTCTTCCTGCTGCCGGCCAGAAGGAGCTGTGTACACACAAGGCAGAGAGAGAGAGAGAAACATTAACCAAATTGCAAGTTTCGGATCATTTGTCTTCTTGTTGCTTCAGAAAAAGTTTATCTTTCAAGCAGGCCCACCTGTTCTTGTAAAACCTTATCTGGGCTATTTGGGAGCGAGTCATCAGTGCTTGTTCAAACATTCCACTGAAGAGGGGAACAGAAAGGAGGGGAGGTGCGAAGGTCATTTTCAAATTTGGAAATCTTTTTTCCCTTGCTTGAAGAAAGAGAGCTCTGCACTGAATGGGTTTGTCCCTCACATTTCCCTCTGATCTTTCAGGGAGCCCAGGTCGGTCCGGGGTGCAGCTGCATCCATTTGTGGGTACATACCAGCCAGAAAAGTTGTGTTAATTTGCAGCGAATATTTTCAAACTCCTTTCTTAAAGATGAAAGTGTTGCAACCTTGTCTTGGCTCCTGCCAGGCTGTGTGGCAAGCGTGTGTGTGAGTGCAATGTCCTGATTCCCGGGGATGCTGAATGAAAGCCCAACTCTGCATGATCCCCTGGCCCACGCCTCCGAGCCTTTCCTGCTGGGAGGTGCACCTGATGTGCACAGGCCCTTGGATCAGGCATGCGTGTTCTGTCTTAAGATTATGCTAAAGGAATTCAGGCCAAAGGCAATGACTTAGATTTTTGGCTGACTTAGATTTTTGGCTGAAATTTCACATCACAGTGCTGTAATTGTAATTAATTATGTTGCTGTGTTTCTTTACAAGGTTGTAAAGCACAAAAGCTGAGGTCGCAGGATGGTCTTGAATGATTGACTAAAATTGTCTGCTTCTCTAATGCTAGGCAGAATATATAAAAAGATAAATTCTATTAAAACCCCTCCTTCCAGAGAGCAGAAAATAAAGGGACTCAAAGTCCATCACTCTCGTGTGCTGCCTAGGGCAGCACTGGGGCCACAGACACTCTTGCTGATGGCTGTTTTGTGTGTGCTGCAGGCTTCCTAATAGAAAGGAGGCTTTGTAAGAGCACAGAAACATGCCCATGCTTCTTGGATGTGCCCTGGAACAGAGCTGAGCAAACAACGTGAAAGCAATATGTGGTATTGATTACTCAGCAAATATAAACAATCCCATACTCTTTACAGTAATCCTTTATTCAGCGTTTTTCAACCTTTAAAAAAGTTGAAGTCATTCTACTTTGATGCCTCTCTCCTTTGCTCAACTGCCCTCTGCCTAGAGCAGGCCACGTCCCTACTGGGGCAGGGAGCTCACTGGCCTCCAAGGTCCTGTTTATCCGCAGCTTCAGTGGAAGGAGGTCCACTCTCCTGCTGTTGCCACCTCCTGGTTGAGCAGCACCTTGTCCAGAACCGCCTCGTCTTCATTCTCATTGTCTTTATTTCTGGTTTTCTGCTGTGCCGCATTTATCCCATGCATATATGACAGCCTTTAAGAAACATCAGAGAGTAACAGAGACGGAGGTGCCGAGAATCAGCAAATGGAGAAGCCCTGGGCTCTGTTCCCCAGTGCTGTTGTGTTAAAGGATTTTGTTATTGTCAGTGGTGGTTTGCCCTTTTTGAAAAATGGAAGCATCAAAGTTTTAAACTTATGCTATCATTAAAATAACAACAACATTCATTGTCTGAAACAAAAATTAACTGTGAAGTGAGAATTTGAGAAGTCTCAGCCAGAACACAGTGCTGACCTTCATCTGCGTTTTGTAGCCACCACGTCCAATCCATCACCTGCTGGTTGTAGCGGCAGAGAGAAGGATGCAACCCCTGTCCTGCTGTTGTTTTATGGCTGATGATTCATGAAGACAGAAAAAATGCCCTCATTTTGGCAGCTTTCATTTGATCATTCTTTCCCACCTTCCCCAGCCTCTGGGAGATGTGTTTATTGCCAGCTTCACTGCAGAGGAGACAAATAAGTAACCCAGATGTTGGTGTTTGTGGTGCCTTTGCAGACACCTCCATGACACGTCATATCATACACTGCATATTGGATGTAACGTGAGCAATTTATGAGTCCAGACGCATCGACTGCTCTCCTTGTGCCCCTGCTGACATTCCCAAGAGATCAATATCCTGTAAAAGCCTGAAGATTGCTTCCTTTAAATGGTAAGTGCCTGCTCCATGCCTTGGAGATAAGACATTTCTACTCTTGGTCCTTAGTCACTATAAAATCACAATGTGATTCTGTAGAATTAAAAGGTGATAAATAAGCTTAGGAAATGATGTTGTTTCGGGGAAGAACGTGGACTCACTGCTGTGTCTCCTCAGTCCTTCCTTCTGGCACTCCTCTTTCCATGGAGACAGTGCTTCAGCAGGACCACCTGAACAGGCCAGTATCTGTGGGCTCGGATTTCTTACTTCTCATTATTTTATTTCAGAGAGAGTTTAAAGTGTGCATCATGTCCATTTAAATTTACTGACAATGTTTATCTAATCTATCTGCCTACGAACCTACTCCTCCATCCACACACACATACTTTGTTCAAGAAAGAATTTAAGGTGCTTTCTTCACTAGAAAAGGTATCTATTATTTTTCAAGCTCAGAGAAAAATGTTAGCTTTTAAATAATGACACAACTGTACTAATTCTAAGTTTTTTCTTCTATAACATTTTGTTAAACGAATTCAAGATGCTGTGGAACTCCAAATGCTTAGGAAAACATGGCATCCTTATGAAAAATTGGGTTTTGAATGACACATGCTGTAAACAACAACCAAACACATTTGTATGTGAAAATCAAATTCAAAAACTTTAGAAAATATTTGCAAAAGCTGATTATGGGTAATTCCTCTGAACAGATCCAAGATTTAAAAAAAATAAGATAATCTGTATAAAAGCTGCATTTCGTATCTGATGAAATTTAGCGTTAAAAAACTTAATAAAATAGGATTTGATAAGTATTTTCATAACATGGTAAGATACACCTATCTCAAACCAAAAGACAATATCAAGTTAATTTCTTCAACAAATAATAAGAAAATTAGTAAGATGTAGGGATAAAATTGATATACAGAAACCAATAGCTTTAGAAGATATAACAAAAGAAATTACTCCCATTTAATTAGCAAGAAAAAGTTCCCAGGAATAAACTTAACAAGAAAGTTAACATCTATATGAGATACATTTTTATCCACCCTCGAAAGTTTATAAAAGAAAACTTGGACAAATAGAAAGACTTATGATGTTCTCGACTAGGAAGACTCAACATCATAAAATGCCAACTTTCCCTGACTTATTATGTAAATGAATGCACCTAAATAAAAATAGACTGAGGTTTTTCTGGATCTTTGTATTTTATTTATTTGTTAATTTATTTTACTGTGAGGTGAGAACTAGACAATCTGATTCTAACATTCAAATAGAAAAAGAAGCAAACAAAAATAGGAAAATCCAGAAAAAAAAAGAGTAAAGAGAAAATTAGCCTTACCAGTTCTTAGATCATATAATAGTTTTAATAACTAAAACATTGTTGTACTGGGTCATGAATAAACACACAGAACAACAGAAAAGCACAGGAAATACAGATAGACACAAAAATAGGAGGGAAATTAGTAAGTCATAAAAGTGACATCTAAAGTTGTTAGTGAAAAAAACTATGTGATAAATGGCATTAGGACAACTGAGTAGCATTCAGCAAAATAAATAATAAAAGATGAAAGTTGCACCCATGTCCCACCATGTATATAAAAATAAATTTCAAATAGATAAAATATTTAAATGTTATCAGTAAAGCCATAAAAATACTAACAGAAATCATGGACAAATTCCATGATTTTTTAAATTAAAACTGAAAAATCCAAATGCAGTAAAATAATTTATAAGTTAAACTACCTCAAAATAGGAATTTCTGCATGAAAAACTACCATCAGCAAATTAAGAAATCAAGACAGACACTGAGGAAAAGAATGTATTTTCACCTCTTATCACAACTTACATCCTTAATATATTAAAAGCTCCAAAAAATCAATAAGAAAAAGATTAAAAAAACTCAATAGATCAATAGGCAAAAAACTTTGATGGAATGGTCCAGTGAAAAGAAACTAAATAGATGCTCAGCCTTACTAATAATATAATAGGAAACCTATTCAATCAGCAAATGTCAGAAGACATTCCTGATGTGCAGGTAGGGAGCCGTGGAGAAGTAGTGGCCTTCATGCCTGGGAAGAGCGAATCACATGACCGCATGCAGGATAATTTGACAACACCTACAGAATTACAAAGATGTGTGTCCTCTGACCCAGCAATGTCACTCCTAGGGACTGATTCCAAAGATGGCTGCAAAATGGTATATTAGCAAGATAACAGCATTATCTGTTATAACAAAAGATTTGAAAGAATCTGTGTCTATCAACACCAACCACCCATACAGTGTGGTACTGAAATACTCCACAGCTGTAAGAAAATGGAATGCTACATGTACTCATAGGGGGGATTATCCAATTTATAAGAGCAAGGTGTGGTAAAGTGCATGTAATCTGCCACCATTTGTGTAAAACACAGAGAAGATGAAGGTGAGCACTCATATTCCTGTGTGTTTGCATCTGCATCAGGAAGCTCTAAGGACGCACAAAAACCTAATCATAACTCATGCCCTTAGTGCCACATATAAAGAGTTCCTAGAAATCAATAAGAAAGACTTTGTTACACACAGGAGTGTAATGAAACCAGGCAGAGGAGGATGTGGATGGAGAACAGACTATACTGAATGCTTTTCATGTTTTTCATTTATGAGCCATGTGAGTTTTCTCCCATACAATAATGAAATTATCATTTTTAAAGCATGATTTCTTCAAGATATATCATAGGCTGTTTTGTTCAGTTTATGATGCATCTTTTTTATTTCTATACATGTATGGGGTACGGGTGTAATTCTGTTACATGGATATGTTGCACAGTGCTAAAGTCTGAGCTGTTAGTGTTCACCCAAAAGATGAGTATTGTACTCATTAAGTAATTTCCCATTGTCCACTCACCTCTCATGCTCACACACCATGTTTTTATTTAAACAACACTTTCTTTTATGTTTGGGGCCTCAAAGAATAAATACTACTATTTTCCAACTAGACAGACTCCCACTGGCTTCATAGACCAGTTATTTTGACACTACAGACAATAATTTAAAAGCAAATATTATGTGGTTTGTATTTATTAATGGGTTAATTTAACAAGAACAGCCTTTTCAAACACTGCAAAGCATGTTTTCTACAATAAGATTTTCTGTTTTTTCTTTTGCCTTTGTTTCCAGCTTACTAATTACAGATTCTGCAAAACTATTTCATAAGCCAGTTCTGTGGAACCCCTTTCTGGCCATTTCCTGAAGCAACTTTCTTTCCTAATCATCCCCATAACATGAAGGCCAGGTTCTGCAAGTAAAGGGTGGTGAGGCAATTCTGGAATCATCTAAGTGGCAAGCCCAGGGGGGTGGGTTTCAGAGAACACATAGAGGAAAGTGGAGGCTCGGGAGGTGTGGAAATACTGACCTGATGGAATTAACCATCTTCCCGGGAGCAAGACTGAGCCCATGGAGGGTGCTGTGGAGCTTGCTGCAGGTTCTGCTGGATAGGAAATTGTGTCTCATCCACCTGCTGTCTGCTTCTGTCCTGTCTTAGCCCAGCAGAGCTGTTTTAACACAGACATTTGCAGCCTGCCCAGTACTCTCCTGGAACCAATAAGTCGCCAGTTAGGAAAAAGATCAGCACTGACCAAACACAGAGATGTTGGAAACCTGCATTAATCCCCAGTAGAGGCAGAGGCTCTGAATGCTGAAGCCACAGCTACGACTTGGCCACACTCTGCACATGGCCCCAGACATTCAGATTTCTGCACCCTCAGGGTGGCTTGCAGGCTCCAGAGCCGGGGTTCGGGCCCTGCTGACCACAGCCAGCTGTCCCCTGCAGCCTCAGACCAGGGCCAAATTCCTGGTGTGCTTCCCTCCTGCACCCACTCAACAGCTCTGTGGCCTTTGCAAGCACCTGCCTGACAGGGCTATGGCAATGTGTGGAGTCAGACAATGGTGCCAAGTCGGGAGCGGACTTACGGTGAGACAGTGTAGATAAAGCCTGGGGCCCAGCTCCCCAGCAGCACCTGCTCCTGCACTGTGGCCACCGTGGCAACGTAGCTGCTTCTATTTCCTTGAGCTCCATTGCCATCTTTTCCCAGGCGGGGCCCCTTCACCCCCTGCACCTGCCACCATCCGCCCTTGCCCCTTACTCCTGAGCCTCCTTTCAGTCCTGCTCTTGGAAGGGAAAGAACCCCTGGCTTGGGGAGCCTGCCTGGTCCTGGGGTGGCCGCCTGCCAAGGCCCTGGCATCTCCCATCCTGAGGCTCCTGCCCTGCCTCTGAGCTCTCCCTCTCACTCCCGTCCCCTTGGCCTCTCCCGGCTGGGGCCTTGCTGTCTGTCACCCCTGAACGGAGCTGATGCTGACACCCCAGAACAGCAGGGACCTGGAACTGTTCCAGTCACCTGCTTCAAGCAGCACCTTGAGGACAGACCTTCACCTGCACTTGGAGCATTTAGTTGAACTGCAGTTTTGATAATAATGTAACTGTGTGCAAACACTAGAGCAAGTGACTGTGGTGTGGAAGGGCGAATACTCGGGAAGTGTGGGATTTTTGTCTGAGAAGTTTATTCAGCAAGCAGCTAATTCATGGTAACATAAAGAAAGTTGATATGAAAACTGCCCTTCCCCTATATCCCTAAGGAGACCACCAAGAAGACCAGGACATGCTATTACGTATGTTCTAGAAATGATGAAGGGGAGCACTGGGGAGCTAAGATACATGGGTTTAATCTCAGATTCACTTCCGATGAACCGCCCTCCTTCGTGCATCCACTCTGAAAGGCGTGGCCTCAGTACGAATTTGGGAAGCTTTTGCAGTGGCAGAAGTCATGAAATTAGGGGGCAGCACCTTAGGGCCATCAAAAGGGAGGGTTGTCTTGGGAATGAAGGTTTGGCGTTAACAGATCTGGCTTGTTGGGTCTAAAGAACAACAAAGTATTCCTCCCTGGCTCTCGGAACTCAAGGTCCTGAGCTCTTCAATACTGGGCAAGTTCACGTTTGCACATTTCGCACAAGCAGGAGGCAGGGTGAGTTGTTGGGATTCATGCCAGGCAGAGCCGAGCACATCAGGGGCCCTGGGTAAAAGGGGGTGGGGACAGCGCAGGCACCAAAGGTCTTGGCATGGGGTTGCCAGCCACCAGCAGACACCAGATGGGAAGGGAAACCGCAGGCCCACCGTTTGCCTCTGCCTGCGGGGTGCTGCCCCCACAGTGCCTCTCAGGTGTCTGTAGTCTCACACTTGTTTCTCACCCTCAATGTGGATCACAGCTGCCGCATGTCTCTGTAAGCACCACAAGGCCGGTGGCATCCCCTTGGGCTCACAGGATGCCTGAACCACCAGCCTCATCCTGAACTCCCCTCCATGTACGTGAGCCCCATTAGCTTTTCTCCCATTTGTAGGCAATGGAAGGCCAAACTCTCTTAGAGAAAGAACAAGAAACTAGGGTGAGCTGCCTCACATGTTGAGATGTGGAAAACTGAGATTTATTTGCAGAGAAAAGAACTGGGCTCCACTGTCCTGAGGGTGCCTCTGGTCTCTCGCAGTTGGATCCCCTCACATTTCCCAAGCCCAGGTCCAGATCTCCTCCTCCCCACCCTATCTCTTCACTTCTCATAAACCAGCTCCCCTAGCTTTGCCCAGATCACCCAGCAACACCATGGCAGGTAAATCCTTCCTCTTTACAGTAGACTCTGAAATTCGCCCTATGTTTCCCACTCCCCTCTTCGTCGATGAAAAGGAACAGCTTGGGGTTTCCAGCACCTGGTGCCTCCTGTCTGCGGCCCCTCCAGGACATTGGCTGTAAAGCTTTCTCCTCCTCCAGACGCCTTCGTGCACCCACCTGCACCGACCGTCCCGACCTCAGCCCACCTTTTCTCCATCCTGAGCCACAGTACATGTCCCCCAGGAATCTGTGGCTCTGACCACCTCTGACAATTCACTCCCCGTCAGCCCCTTGGGAACCCCAAGAGAGTTCAGCCTGAGCCCCCGGCCTTCCGGGCCTCCCCAGCTGTGTTTCCGGTCATTCCTTTCCTCGAGTCCCTCCACCCTGGATGCCCAGGGTGCCACCCTAGCCTCCCCTACACGCTGGCTTGGTTCTTCTCAACCATCGCCATTGGCTTGGTTTCTGTTGTGTTTGGTTTTTAGGGGTCAGGCTGCCGAGTGCTGTTCTTCTCCTGGGCTCTGTCCTCCTCTCTCTCCTTGGGTTGCAGCATCCAGGTCTGATCCAATAACTCCACAGCACACAATGCGGCCCAGGCCATGCACGGAGGAAGACAGCAGAGCGGCCATGAGGCTCCCAAAGGGAGCCAGGGCCCAGGCCCAGCACACCCTGCCCACAATCCCCTGCATCCACTGCCTCTCCTGCACCCGGCACTGGGCAGCGTGGGCTGTGTCAGCGGTGTCCCTCCTCCCTTCTCAATCTGTTGTGAGCTCCATTAGGCCAGGGACCGGTCCTTAGAAGCTGTGGGACCCTTCAGCCTCCCTAGCAGAATGTCTTGCACACAGTGGTGGCTCCATAAAATATTTATTTTCTATTTTGTCCATTTATTTTATAAATCTCATGCAGGCCAGATAGATTGGAATTATCAATTACTCTAGAAAATAAAAGGATAAAAGCAAGATCTGGAAATACAGACCGAGCAGCACTGGAATGCACCAACTAAGGCAGAGAGGCCCCCTGAGGCTCCGCGACTGCTGGACCATTTAAGGCAACATCATATCTCAAGTGGGGAGGGAGAGAATCCGCCGGTCTCAGCGGGGGTGGGTTTTTTAAAGTGGATTTAGTCATGGTCTGGACTTGCCCAATTTTCTGTGCTATGCTGTGGGAAGGGACAAGGTCCTAAACTACCCTCACAGGACTTAAATAAAACAAAGAACACATACAGGTGGGTGGGAAGGCAGTCAGATGACTCAATTCTGTGCCCACCACCCATGGCCCCTGATGGGTCATGCCTTCTGCTTAGACAACAGCCTCCTAGACCCCACAGATGGGGGCAATGGCATAAACTCAGACCTGCAGCCGAGGCCTGACTCACCACAATGGCCCTGCCCTGCACTGCCAGTGACAGACCTGTCACTTTCTCACTGATCCTTCATTTTCCTATGAAATGGGGCTAATATTGCCTCTTTCTAAGGTTGCTATTAGGATTAATTTTTGAGATAATAGACACTGAGATAACAAACCTGCCAAGTGTTACATCGATGTGATTATCCTGAGATTGAGAGGAAATGTCAGTGAGGCACTAGGTGGTGGCATGGCCGTGAGTGGGAGAAAGAGGGTGGATGTTCCAGATGTCCCTGGATCTCTACCAAAGAGAAGATGCAGCGAAAGGACAGCCGTGTTCCTGGTGTCTCCTTTTCCCCTCAGGACAATGAATTACGGGTTTTCTGTGCCTTAGTTTTCTTCCTTTCAAATGCAGTTAATAATACTGTCTCTCAGGGGGTATTCACAGACGTGAACAATTAATGATCGCAAAGTGCTTTGAAAATAAATGAGCTTACTCATAATGGTGGTGTTTGATATTTATAATAATAAGCCTGTGCTGCTGGCTTCGCGAACTATATTCATTGGTACAGAGCTTAGTTTTATGACTGGCTTTTTCAATATTTTAACATAAAATCCTCTTATTTTAAAGTAATCAAATGACCTTCCTGCATTCCTCCAGAGTCTTATTCGGAAAAACTTAAGATTTGATCATAGATCTATTTTAAGAAGTGCCAAGTTAACTGACATCGATGCCATCGTATCTGGAGTCCCTAGGAAATCCAGGGGGGGACAATGAACCGTAGGAAGACTCGGACTCGGGTCTGCCTGTAGCACTCGGAGCCTGCAAGGCAACACAGTTATTGAGTTCTATTAAAATTACTTGGTGTGGCTATAAACCAAACCACACCCCTGTAGCCAATGCGAAGAGCTTCCCGTAAAAGCCGTGCGGTGGGAAGGCCTCTCGCTGTCTCCTCTGCGCGGCAGGCAGACATGGACGACACCGAGGCGTGAATTCAGCCTGCACCTCCTAAAGATGAGCTGTTGAGGGCGATGGCCACAGCAAGTCCGCACCAAGTGCTCTTTAAACATGAGTGTTTCTTTAAACAAAGAACCTTCCCGGCATTGAGGTCTGATTAATGATGCCCCGGCACCTCCTCCCTCACTCAGGGATCACTTCCCTGCGGCGCGTTCCCAGACGCAGGCTTCCCTCACGGAGGCGGGAAGATTTCAGGCGCTGTCTGTTCTTGTCTTTTGTCAGCACGGACAAGGATGGAGACCCCACTGGTCAGGCGAGCCCCGCGGTCCCTGTTCCTCACTTCACCACCTGGGGAAGCCTGATCCCCATCGATTCGCAAAGGAACAAGGAAAGAACACGTTTTACCTGGATGGATGGTCCCCCTCACGGTGGCCTTGGAACCCGCTTCAGCGGGAGAGGCAGCGCCTCACTCACGGCTCCCCCTGGCCGCTGCTTTACCAGGGAGCGCCACCCCGTGCCCCGCCAGAGGAAGTGCAGGCGCCAGCACAGCACGGGCCGAAAGCCACACTGTGGGACCCGCAGCGCAGCTCCAAGAAATCCAAAGTCCATTCACAAGAGGAGCTTCTCCGCCAAATCGTTGAAAAATAAAACGAGAAATGAGTCGCCACCGGTATCCGCTTTAGTCAGCCGTACGAAAACGCAACCCGGTCAGCTGCACTTCTGCTGCCAGCCCTCCTCCAGTCAAGCACCGGCCTCGAGAAGGGCAAAGGGCAGGTAGGAGTTCCGACGCATGCGGCCACGGGGCGGAGTCACAGTTCAGAGGCCTCAGCTGAACCTGAAGTTATCCTAAGCTCGAGCCCCAGAGTGAGGACTCGGGGTCAGGCATCCGATTCCCCATCAGCTCCTTTACTAAAGCTGTGCAGAGAATCCGAGGCTATGAGTGGGGGTGGGGGAAAGATGTACAGGATGCTTTGGTTTCACTCCTGAGATACGAGAACGTCCTCTGAACACACATGCAGATAGCTGGACTTCTAGACAGAGGAAATCCAAATCGTTTCTTTCCTCCCAGCATAAGGGAACGGTCCGGTAAGAGCTGGTGTTTATCGATGCTACGTGCCAGAATGGGGCTGAGCACGGCGCCTCACTGTATCCTAACGTCTAATGAGGCAGGGAATGTCACTGTCACACTCTGCAGACGAGGAAGCCATGCTGTCAGCAGGTACACATCTTGCCACAAAACCAGTAACCTGTGGCACTGAGATCGCACACCGGTCGTCCACTGCCAAGTCCGTGGCCTCCTTCTCTGGGGTTTGCCTGCCTCTTGATGGCGGCCATGCCTCTGTCCTCTCGCAGGGGCTGGCTCTTCCAGTGGTCACTACTTTTTGGTTGCAAGCAGCAGAGATTCCCTGGAGGGCTTGTTGAAAGCACTCACATCAACGGAGCCTCAGAAAGGGAGCTGAGGCCATGCACGGCCCTGCAGTTTCTCCTCAGGCTTTGGTTTGCATCCCTGGCCTGACTTTCCCTCAACAAGTCCTGCTATCTCCACAAGGCGGCCAGCCCAGCCCTGTCCTCACCTTCCAGCCCCAGCTGAGCAGCCCCTCCCCACATCATCTTCAGCTGCTGCCCAGGCTCCGCAGAGCAGGTGTCCACCGCCCATCCAGCCATTGTGTTTAGAGGGCAGAGCGACCTGCCGGGACCTTGACAACACCTGGCCCCACCCACACGTCCTGCAATATTCACTGAGGAATGCACAGCAGCACATATGTGCCTCATGTGTCCTGCTGTGATGCAGCGAGTGGCACACAGCATTATTGTGTCAATCATGTGTCTTGATGTGATGCACTGGTTCAGACAGTATCATGGATGCAGTGTTTCTTTAAAACTGTCAAATTTGAGGAAACAATCTAACAAAAGCCAATTGATGAACATTCTGTAAAGGTGACATAAATACTTCAAAAATGTCTCTGACACAGAAAGAAAAAAAACAAAAAGGGAGCTATTCCAGATTTTAAAAATAAAAGATATAGTAACTAAAAGCAGTTGTGGTGCTTGGATAAAAACAAACAACAGGTATAAATGAAGGTATAAACGATATTATTATACACACTGGGAAAAATTTTATATGGACCATGTATTAGATAATGGTGCTGTGTTATTGTTAAATTTCCTCCATTTGATAACTGAAGGGGAATGATTTTGTTCTCAATAGATGAATGCTCAAGTATTTGGGGGCAAAACATCACATCACAATGACTAACTTTCAAAATGGTTCAGTCAAAAGAATGATATATGTGTACTTAAAAGGGGAAAATAAGTGTGGCAAAATGCCAACGATAGTTGAACTGTCATGTGGGAATCCATTGGACTATTCTAGAAACATTTCTGTAGCTTTAAAATTATTTAAAACAAATGTTGTGGGGAAAAGAACCCACATTTAAGGTAGTAAAAATATTCAGGACACACAAAGAGGGGGTGCAAACAGGTAAAAGGACAGGGTTTCTGACCTCAGAGAGCTTCCTGAAGCTGCGCACATGCCTGTCAGGAAGGCAGTGGAATGAGCAGAGATTCGAGGGGCAGGTCATGTCTCTACTGAGTGGAGCAGAGGATAAGGTCTCTGCAAACAGTGAATTTTAAGCCATTTGTTTAGTCTACATTACAGTGAATCCAAGTAAGAGTTTGGAAAGCCAGTCACATCAGACTATCTTCACTTTGTTTAATGATAGAGACAGGCAGGGATGGGGAACGGATGTCCCAAATGGATTCTCAGCCACATGCTTGGAGCCCCAGAGGAGCGAGCACGGGAGACAGCAGCAAGGACATGGAACAGGCCAGGCTGTTCCATCACTTAATTTAAAAAGGGACGTGGCTTCTGTTCACTCAGGAAAAGGTCGGGGGCAGGGCAGGTGCCAGATGTACCAAGGTGATGCTTTCTTCTAATATTGTTCAGAACATGTCTTCATGTCTCATCAAAACAACTTACGGAAGCAGGAGAACATTCATCCTGTAGCTAAATTCCACGTCCATGCATTCAGAAGGCCCACGCACAATTACCTTTACTCTCCAATATGGCCTGTCAGATGAACACTTGTGAATTTGGACCAACATTTGCTGTTGCTCTTTGAAAATAATTGTTTTCATCATTGCTTTTGAAGGAACACAAATTTAGCTAATTTTCCATTTCTCCCTTGCCTCCAGTAATTCTGGTCTGCTCACGGTATTCAGCCAGCCAGCAGAGACAGAAAATAAAGGCCAGGCACAGTGGCTCATGCCTGTAATCCCAGCACTTTGGGAGGCCAAGGTGGGTGGATCACTTGAGGCAGAAGTTCAAGACCAACCTGACCAACATGGTGAAACCCCATCTCTACTAAAAATACAAAATTAGCTGGGCATGGTGGCACATGCCTGTAATCCCAGCTACTTGGGAGGCTGAGGCAGGAGAATCGCTTGAACCTGGGAGGCAGAGGTTGCAGTGAGTCGAGATCGCACCACTGCACTCTAGCCTGGGCAACAAGAGCAAAACTCCGTCTCAAAAACCAAACAAACAAACAAAAACAAAAACGGAGAGAAAGAAAGGAAGAAAAGAAAAAGCATGGGAGCACAGGAGTTAGAGACTGGAGTGAGATATGATTGTGTCACTGCACCTCAGCCTAGGTGATGAAGGGGAGGGGAGGGGAGGGGAAGAGAAAGGAAAAGAGAGAGAGAAAGAGAAAGAGAGGAAGGAGAGGAAGAGAGGAAGAAGGAGAGAAAGAAGGAGAGGAAGAAGGAGAGAAAGAAGGAGAGGAAGAAGGAGAGGAAGGAAGGGGAAGAAAGAAGAAAAAGGGCAAAAAGAAAAGAGCAAGCATGCAGGAGAATTTGAAGCAGCTTTGCCATCGAGTTCTTGGGTCCCCCGAGCCATGCTACACCGTGGACCACCAGCCAGCAGAAATCCGTTCTTGTTACACCTGTGACCCCTGCTAGCAAGATGGTCAATGTGGCCGGATCCCTCCGGAAGGTGAGAACAGAAGACATTTGCCTCTTAAGGGTTAAACTCTAAGTTAATTCAATTGTGAACAGAGATATGTAACACTGTTTAAGGAAAAACAACCAATTGTAGCCATTTATGATGTGACTGTAACTGGGATGGACATATACTGCAGTTGACCAAGGAAGTGTTCATCAGAAGCAGGATGGGCAACAGG
Organism: Homo sapiens; assembly: GCF_000001405.40. NCBI lineage: Eukaryota > Metazoa > Chordata > Mammalia > Primates > Hominidae > Homo > Homo sapiens. Next base: position 169,786,643 of record NC_000006.12, on the reverse strand, counting down.
GGAAAGAATACCAAGGGAAGGTCAGGCAGCCCAGCAGCATGGCTGCCCACGCACCTGCAGGGAACAGAGCCGCCACTCAAGACAGCAGAGCCTCCCTGGGACACAAGGCCCTGGCCCAGGAGCCTGAGCATCTGCTACTTCAGATGTGGTCTCTTTATTGGAACAAATAGATATAGTCCCGGATCTCTGGTCTGCAGCCACTGATCTGGCAGATGATTTTTCTCTATACCTACGGATATGGGTTGGGGTTTTGTATCCTGCAAACTCACGTCCAGAAGCTGTCTTGTTCTCATCTGGCAGGGACAGCAGCAGCCTTGGTGGGCATGCATCAGGGCTGTGCTACCTCTCCAGTTCCTCCACACAACCTAGAGCTCAGGGCTGCCGGCTATCTTGCCATTCCACAGGATGCCACCATGGAGCATCACATTAATGATGTGGACAGGAAACAAGACACCCCACTGTTTTGGTGACATTATGACCACCTGGGGTGGGACGTAACTCTCATAAGAATGCACAGGGCTGCTGCTCTGAAGTTTCCAGGGCCTGTGATCTAGGAAGGTGTGGATGCACTCCGCGAGGGGGAGGACAGGTTGCTGTGCTCGCATTCACTGGCACTAGAGAGGGGCAGGCACTCTGAGTCTCTCTGGAGCTCTGCAACCAACATCCACCAGACTCACACACGCTACTCTGCTCACTTTCCAATTAACCTACAAACTGCCAGTTCTGCATGAGGCCTAGAAAGACCAAAGCCTCCAGAGCAGGTTGATGTAAAAGCTGGTCTCCCTGTCGGGCCACGGTGGCAATTAGATCCCATGATGCATGGCAGAGCCACAGACAGGCCCAGAGCACAGACCCCTAGGGTTCTGGGACAAAACCACACCCTCTTCTGCAGATAATTATTAATCTGAGAACCAGCTCTCAGCTTGTCCTCTAGGCCCTGATGGATACCGAACATCTACACTTCACCATCGCACAGCTAGTGACAGCTAGCTGGAGCTTAAGCGGACCACCAAAGACTGCGTTTTCTGACCTGTCACGTCACCAGGGGAGGCAACAGCGGGAGCATGTCATCATTACATTCAGGCAAGATGTATATATTTAATAGGCATATAGGTGTACACACACACACGAGCATGCATGCACATGCACACGCACACACAGATTAGGCTTTGGCATGTTCTGGAGCACAAGATACAAGCAAGTGGTTCCGACGCTCTTCAGGCCCACACTGCTGCAGGGACAGCACCCCTCACCACGCACCTACTGGCCTCATGGGGACTTCCCTAGGATCACTCACCTGAATTAAAAGTTAGACTCGATTGCTGTAAAAGATGCTGACAGCTGACACCACTTGAAGGTGAAAATTGGCAAAGTTCTAACCCATTTGAGTGGCCCTAAAGAACAGCGGGGGAGGGGGCCCATGCTCTCAGTAGGCAGGTGGCACGATGGCTGCCTCATGCATGTTAGCCTTTCTCTCCAGCCACCCAGCCTTGCTTGCTCAACGTTCTCATCAACAAAGTGGCCGTAGAGGCAGTGAAGGACGTTGTCAATGGCTCCGACCGCGTGGGCATCCTCATTCCAAGGCTAGTCTGGCTAAGGTCCACTGCTAAATGTATAAATCTGCTAATGGGAGAGACCAACACAATTCCTAGCATGAAAAACTCACCTGGAAAGAAGAGCCAGCCCCCAAGCACATCGGGCCATGTGTTCAGAGGGACAGACGCCTCTTGGCCACCGCACCTGGCTCACAGAAGCCTCATCTGCTGCAAGGTTGCTTACAGAACTGCTTCCAGGAGACCCATTTCAAGCAGAGCTCAGCAGTGAGGCTCGTGGTAATCGTGATCCCAGCACACACATTACCTCGGGGAGCCTCCCAAGCACCGGGCAGTGCTGGCTGTGACAAGGCGCCCCGGGGGCTGCTGGGTTGCCCAAGACGTGCCCTGCACTCCGAGCCATCGGTCAGCATGTGGTGTGGGTTCTCCCATGGCCGGAAAACACAGGTGGAGGCGCATGTGGAGCGGGAATGGCTCCTCTAATTACGCCCCCGCACCACTAGCAAGGTTTGGATTCTCCGCTCACAATTCTGGACTCTGCTGGTTTGGGTGTCTTCATTCCTTGGATGCTTCCACAGAGAGACACGAGGTGCTCACTGTCCTGCAGGCGGAGGCTGCCACCCAGCCGCACTGGATGCCTTGTGCCAATGAGCCAGAAGAGTTTGCTGCTATGGCCAGATGACTGTTCTCAACTGTCTTGGGGAAACACAGCTCCTACCACAGAATGGGGGGCCAGGAGGAGGGTCTGAAATTTAGGGGATTCTCTAGGGAACCTCTTAGTATTCCCAAGTCCAGTGATAAGTTAGTGGAAACCTACAGTTACCCAAAACGAGAAAGATTTGTAATGGAAAAGACCTGTCAGGAATGAGGTCTGGGTTAACTCACCGGGTGAAAAACCACAACCCAGACAGGCAGAGGAAAGGAACATGGAACAGTGGCAAAAAGGGAATTTTCAAACACAAACTTCTGCCAGATCATCAGGTTGCAAAAACAGTGCATGCAGCAGCTCTGTGCGGTCTCCTCATTGCAATGGTAAGACACACCAGTATCTACGCGATAACTCTACCAGTCAGTTCTTTCTTTCCCTCTTCCCATCCCAGCACCACCACTAGCAGGATGGTCAACCCTACGTCACCATCTAAATGCAAGTGTATCAGAGAGAGGTGTGACCGCGCTATAAAAGAACAGTCCCAGAGTGGGAATACTGACACATGGGATTTGTGCTTTGTGTCTCCACTTTTGGGAAGAGGAGGAACCATCTTCAATTGTACAAGAGAAAGTTGCATCACATTAGCCAGAAGTGTCACGCTTACCCAGAGGTGGTGTTTAAGAGGGGCCAGAGCTGAGCTGGCAGAGCACAAACAGCACATGCTCAGCTCTGCTGCCACCCACGGCCCCCAGGTCTCCTGAGCGGAAGCAGCCACAGAATGCCAGTCCTTAGATGACTGCCAGCTGCACCCTGTCAAGGTTTGGAAGGTGGAAAAAGAGAAGCAGTGATTCACAGAGGGTGGGGTGAGGTGGCCCATGCCCAAGCAGACATGAGGTCAGGGCGGCCGCCCAGAGGCTTCCGGAAAGCCCCAGCTTTGCAGCTGCCAACTCTGACAGTGGGGGTCCCAGGCACCCTCGAGAGCTGCAGCGGCTGCAGGAACCCTCGAGTCACACACTTGCTTCTTCAAGCAGGGCCTATGAATGGCAGCTTCCCTAATCTCCTTTCCCCCAGCTCTCCCAGACCCTGCACTGAAACCCCCACATCTAAAAACAGGGAAGGGCTTCTTTTTTTGCCAAATGCTGACCAGGAGGCTGCTGCCCAGCACCCGTGCCTGCCCACCTCCCCTTTCAGGAGCTGGTCTCCAGCACTGACCCAGGAAGCTTAAATTGCATCAGTCCTCTCCTCAGCCTCAGGGCCTCACCCTCCCTGCCCTGATGGCTGGTCCAGGAGTCAACATCTCCCAAGGCCGGTGAATGCAGGGTAGGGTCCCGGCCACAGCAATCGTTCTCAAGGGTAGGCATGTGGCCAGTAACCAAGGAGCCACGCGTTTCTGAGTGACAGCAGCTCTCCCTTCTTCCTCTGGACGGTGTGTTACGGGGAGATGGAACCAAAAACTACAACAGCACTTGGTCACCACAAAGGAAGCCAGACTGAGACTCACACCGACCACTCGGAAAGGGTACATCAGAAGACTGCAGAGTGAGACTCACACCGACCACTCGGAAAGGGCAAACCAGAAGACTGCAGAGTGAGACTCACACTGACCACTCAGCAAGGGTACATCAGAAGACTGCAGACTGAGACTCACACCGACCACTCGGAAAGGGTACATCAGAAGACTGCAGACTGAGACTCACACCGACCACTCGGAAAGGGTAAACCAGAAGACTGCAGGGTGAGACTCACACCGACCACTCGGAAAGGGTACATCAGAAGACTGCAGACTGAGACTCACACCGACCACTCGGAAAGGGCAAATCAGAAGACTGCAGAGTGAGACTCACACCGACCACTCGGAAAGGGTACATCAGAAGACTGCAGACTGAGACTCACACCGACCACTCGGAAAGGGTCCATCCGAAGACTGCAGACTGAGACTCACACCGACCACTCGGAGAGGGTACATCAGAAGACTGCAGACTGAGACTCACACCGACCACTCGGAAAGGGTACATCAGAAGACTGCAGACTGAGACTCACACCGACCACTCGGAGAGGGTACATCAGAAGACTGCAGACTGAGACTCACACCGACCACTCGGAAAGGGCAAATCAGAAGACTGCAGAGTGAGACTCACACCGACCACTCGGAAAGGGTACATCAGAAGACTGCAGACTGAGACTCACACCGACCACTCGGAAAGGGTACATCAGAAGACTGCAGACTGAGACTCAGACCGACCACTCGGAGAGGGTACATCAGAAGACTGCAGACTGAGACTCACACCGACCACTCGGAAAGGGTACATCAGAAGACTGCAGACTGAGACTCACACCGACCACTCGGAGAGGGTACATCAGAAGACTGCAGACTGAGACTCACACCGACCACTCGGAAAGGGTACATCAGAAGACTGCAGAGTGAGACTCACACCGACCACTCGGAAAGGGTACATCAGAAGACTGCAGACTGAGACTCACACCGACCACTCGGAAAGGGCAAATCAGAAGACTGCAGAGTGAGACTCACACCGACCACTCGGAAAGGGTACATCAGAAGACTGCAGACTGAGACTCACACCGACCACTCGGAAAGGGCAAATCAGAAGACTGCAGAGTGAGACTCACACCGACCACTCGGAAAGGGTACATCAGAAGACTGCAGACTGAGACTCACACCGACCACTTGGAAAGGGCAAATCAGAAGACTGCAGACTGAGCCTTACATCGACCACTCGGAAAGGGCAAATCAGAAGACTGCAGAGTGAGACTCACACCAACCACTCGGAAAGGGTACATCAGATGACTGCAGAGAAACAGAACCTGGACCCTGGCCAAGCAGACCCTCAACTCCACCCTGTCTTTGGGTTTTTAATTTACACGCTGTTAAAATCTGTTAAAATTAAAAGCATCCTGACTTACAAGTTTTCATAAGAGTACTTTACTTGTGGATTTCTTGGCTAAATGTATTAACATTTGTTTCTTCTCACTAAAAGTCCACATTTTCAACAAAGCTGTATGTGTAAGATTGATAGTTTCATTCCACTTGTTCTTTTCGTAACTGGTGTAAGCCACCAGGTTCTCCGTGTACTGCAAGATCGACTTTACAAACCTGTAAAAAAAAAATTAATTTCTTTATCCATTCCATTATAAAATGAAACAATGAATTAAATGTCTTCACTTCATTCTTGGAATTATTCCTAAAGTAAACTGCAGTTAATTTATGTCTGAGGATTCAAGAAAAATAAATCCGTATAAATAAAAAATAAGAGAATACAAATTAGAAGAAAGACAAAAATGCTGAAATGTAAATGCTACTGGACACTTGGACAGGCTCCAACGCAAGCACCTTTTCAAGCATTCTTCTCCAGCCCAGACATGACGGCCGTCATTCCAGGAAGGAACTTAGGGGTCATCTGCATCAAACTGACACATAATATAATAAACACACAGCACAAAATAAACACACAATATACAGTCATCTAGTGGATACCAAAATCCAAGCATACTCAAGTCAAGCGTGAAAAATTGGCCCCCTGAACATGTGGGTTTCGCAATGAGATTTTTGTGTTTTGTTTTTTTTTCCCACATTGATGTCTGCAACCAAGAGCACTGTAATTTCAATCTGTGTTTGCAAGAGACGCAGAGCCTGCTGATACAGAGGACCAACTATATTTACTGAAAAAGCTCCCTGGACAAGTGGACCTGTGCAGTGCAAACCTGCATCGTTCAAGGTTCGGCTGCAATGACAAGCAGGCCAGTCCTTTTAGCCCCGTCAGGAGCCTGGTGGGCAGCGTGCCCTCCCCCTCCTCACACATCCAATTTCCATCCCCCGTGATGGAGGGGCCGGCTCAGAGAAGATGTGTGCCACTGAGACAGCTGTTGCTGTTAAAGAGATTTTACTTAAGTTATTTCTCAAAATGTTAACAGCGGGGTCACTCTGACTGATGACAATAAATGTCATCTTTACTTTTTCCACATTTGCCAGGTAGTTTTCACCAGCATTTTATCTTGAAAATATTCAAACTTAAAGAGAAGCTAAAAGGATAATATAATGAAAAGCCACAGACACTTTGTCTAGAGGAGGGCTCTCTACTGGGGTGATTTTATCCCCCAGGGGATATCTGGCAATGTCTAGGGCACTTTTGACTGTCAAACGGAGGGTAGGGGTGCCATTGGTATTTTGTGGGTAGAGGCAGGGCTGCTACTGAGCGTCCTACAATGAGCAGGGCAGTCTTGCACCAGCCCACAATGCCAGCAGTGCCAAGCATGGGGCACACTGAGCTGGAGTCCTCAGCTGCTAACAGTCTGCATGTTTGCTCCCTCACTCTCAGCAGGAGTCTATGCATCTTTCCATAAGACACCCCAGTTGTATTTTCACGTTCATTTAAACATGTACTGAGGTGCCTGGCACCTGCAAAGCACTGGCTTAAAACCAACAAGATATCCAGAACTTCCTAGCAGCCGAGGGAGACTGGAGCTGGAGCTACACTCAAGCCCAGATTGACAGCTTGTTTGACCTCTGCCCGGAAGCCTCCTTGGTTTGGAATCTCTGGATGTAAAGTGGGTCACACAAGTGTCACACTACTTCAGACTCCTAGATCGGGATGGTCCTAAAAGTGGACTTCCCGAATTGGAAACAATTTGTTACATACACGAATTGGGTTTTTGGCCAGGCACAGTGGCTTTTACACCTGTAATCCCAGCACTTTGGGAGGCCAAGGTGGGATGATCACTGAAGGGCAACATAGTGAGACCTCATCTCTACAAAAACATTTAAAAATTAGCCAGGTATGGTGGCATGGCTGTGGTCCCAGCTACTCAGGAGGCTGAGGTGGCAGATCACCTGAGCCTGGGAGGTCGATGCTGCAGTGAGCTGTGATTATGCCACTGCACTCCAGCATGGGCAACAGAACAAGACTCTGTCTCCAAAAAAAACAAAACAAAACAAAACAAAAAAAACATGGTTTTGAGACATTTGGATGTGGGAGTTCTTGCAGGCCAGATGTCAGACCCTTGCCTGAGATGGCGGTGGGGCCACCAAGGGGATAGTGTCACTCACACTGCCCCAATCTCACTCCTACAGGCTCACCCGCAATCTGCCCCACGATGCAATGTGACTGCAGACATACTGTGACACACTTACTTTAGGTACTGCTGATACTCATGCGCATTCTTCCCACAAACAGCATGAATGTTGACCAACTCCAGCGCAATGAGTAACAGTATCAGGCTGAGCACAGGGGACAGTAGTCTGATACTAAAAACAGATAAAAGTAAATTAAAATGTGAGGATATGTTGGTATTTTCCACCTTCATCAGGAAAAAGATGTTTCACCTAATCAACATCCTTAAGTCCCAACTTCTCAAAAAATAATTTTCCTAATCCTTAGAGCCCAATGCCTGCTTCCAGCCCCGAGGCCCGTGGCCGGCAGGAGTGCCCAGCATAGCCCTTGCTCCCGGCCCATCCTGCACGTCCGCATTTCTTGCTCTGAGTCACCATCTGAGGCGCCCGGTCTACATCAGGGCTGCCAGGGGCCATGCACGCTCACAGGGCACCAGGCAGGTACAGTCTGCGCCCAGCAGCCCCCCTGCTCGCTGCCCTCTGACATCTAGGGAGGAACTCTCACCAGAGAAAAACAAATGGCCTCGATAGGAAAGCAGGCTCAATGCCACCAGATTGAAGAAATCCCAATTAAAGTTAAGATCTTACTTTTCCCATGAAACTAGTTGAGACATGTAAAAATATTGTGGTTTTGGAGAGTGGTAGTAAGAGAATGACCTTGTCTTATAAACTGCTGGTAAGAGTGTAAATTGAGCAGCACCTTTCTGGAGGGGAATCCAGCGATATCTATGTAAAGCTTTAAAAACAGATACCACTCAACCCAAAAATTCTAGAAATGTATCCAAAATGGCCATTTCTTAAGGATGTAGCACATTCTAAAATATACTCTATAAGTGAAGAAACCATAATGCTGTTAATCTGCTGTTAATCAAGTTAATCTGCTGTTATATTTTAAATCCAAATATAATCTGCTGTTAATCACGTTAATCTGCTGTTATATTTTAAATCCAAATATTCATTTAGATAGATAGAACCCACATTTCCACATGCCCAAATTACAAACAATATTTAAAATAGTATGTACTACAACTTTCTATGAAAATCAGCACAGGAAGTCCTCAAATAACATCATTTCATTCAACATTGTTTCGTCACAACATCAGTGAGAAAAGAAATGGATGCCCCAGGAGGGCCACTGCCCGTGTGGAGAAGCACATTCGTTATGGGTTCGGCATGGGTTTTCTCCTGTCCCCCAGTCCCCTCCACATCCCAGAGCTGTGCACGTTAGGTGAACTGGCGCATCTCCATGGTCCCAGAGTGAGTGTGGGTGTGTGACTCGTCCTGCGACGGAAACGCGTCCTGTCCAGGGTGGGTCCTGCCTTGTACCCAGAGCAGCCGGGATAGGCTCCAGCCACCCACAACCCTGACCCTGAACTGGAATAAGCAGGTTGGAAAATGAATGAATGAATGAATACAAATTATAAGAACTTGTAAAGTCTACCATAATCATACAAGTGCTCGACAGTAAGTGACAGATACAAAAGTGCTCAGTGACCCACACATTTGTTCCTGTTGGCGCTGGAGCTGTGGGTGGGGGGAAGGGGGGCGGGCCTGGGGAGGTCTTGCTCTGCAAACATTATTGCCTCATTTAACCACCACCTGGACTGCCATCACTCACTGCCTCACCAAACACTGAGTGGTTATCTCACTTGTTTTTAATTCATCTTTATTAAATGTCCATAGAGTTCATATATACCTCAATGTTTAACATTGTAAGTGTTTTGGGTCTTCATTTAGAAGCTTGGTAATATTTGTATGACCAGAAACATGCTGTGGGAACTTAACTTTTGTTTCTATCATGAAAGGAAAATAAATCTCAGGACCCCAAACTCACTAAGCCAAAGGGAAAAGCCAAGCTGGGAACTGCCTCAGGCAAACCTGCCTCCCATTTTATTCCTAAATAAGGTGGCTACAAAGAGAAAAAAGCTACATACAGACCTCCCTCATAATTTGTCCACAAGGAAATTCCTCATGGGCCTCAAGATCTTTACCCTGAAAGAGTTCTGCTGAATTTCTCCCTGGCAATGTAGTTGCTAGCTGATCTTCCCAGGTGTGGGACAGGAAGTCATCCCCCAGCTCACCTGAGACAAATGCCTATATGATTGCTTCCTCTGCCCTATGTAAAATGCAGCTTCACTGAGCCACACTAAGGTCTAAGTGACTATTCCTCTACCCCCACTCACAAGTAAATTGTGTATTCACCGAAAGGCTCATCAAAGACTCAAAACAATGCAATCCTTTGTCTCCTGTCTACCTATAACCTGGAAGGCCCCCACCTTTGTATTTTCCCGCCTTTCCAGATGGAACCAATGTACACCTTACACCTGCGGACTGATGTCTTATGTCTCCCTAAAATGTGTAAAAGCAAACTTCGCCCCAAGTACCTGGGGTACATGCCGTCAGGGCCTCCTGAGGCTGTCACAGCATGTCCTTAACCCTGGGAAAGTAAACTTTCTAACTGGATTGAGACCTGTCTCAGATACTTTGGGTTCACACTCAGTTGTGGACTCCAAGTATATCAACACCTGTCGATGGGGTTCAGTGAGGGGCTACTGTGTGTGTCTGGAAGTGAGGACTAGAACTGCATCTGTGACAACTTCCTGCCCCACAGTGCCCCTCCAAAACAGGAAAGTGAGCGCGCACCTACTCCACATACGCAGGTAGTTCTGCCGCTGGCGAGACCGCAGCGTCCTTTCCACCCACTGCCTGTGTCTCAGCTCTGAGGCAACGGTGACCTGGCTGGACACACGGCGGCACTGTTCGCTGATGCTTCGGAGCACAACCAGCACTTCCAGCACAATCCTGGGGCAGAACAGGGTGGGAACAGGTGTGCTGCAGAGCTCACGGAGAAGCTGGGGCCACCTGCAAACAGAGCCAGACTTGGAGCAGGCATCATGATCCTCACCTGGGCCTCACTCTCCTTCTGCACCTGCAAGGCTGCGGCTTTCTGGGAGCCAGGGCTAGCGGCGTATCGCTGGTTGGTCTGCAGGGACAACCGTGACACGCGGCAAGTGTTAACTAAACACACTGAATTGTGGCAAACAGAATGTGGCATTCACAGCCTCATCAGATGTGCCAAGCTTGCACAGAGATTGTCAAAACTTATCTCATAATTCCTCCTGGAGCAGTAACAGTGGGATTCTAAGACTACTACCAAGTTTATAAAATCTAAAACATAGAAAATGCTAAGTTTGCTATGCTAATCTGCTGAATCAATGTTTCAACAGTTGTCAGGATGTCCTGGAACTTACGTCTCAGTAGGAAGACGATCCAAGTCCTTTAACACACAACGATTCTCAGGCATATGGTGATACAGCTCATCCGTCATTTTTGTAATCAAAGAGTGGCAGGCATTTGTTTCAGAATTATCTTCTAATCTGAAAAACAGAAAATATTTAAAGATACGTGACAATTAAAGTGCTCACATCAGTGCCTGTGCACAAGAATGTTCAATGGTTCACTGAGCAGCGACCTGACTGTGAATCTCACTTTCCTCAAATATAAAATGGAAAAAGCCACCATGACAATACAGTGGAGAAACAAACGATGCCATATGCCAAGAGCAAAGTCCAGTGACGACGAGACGATGAACCACCTGCGTATTCTTCCTGCTGAACAAGGATGTCTGCTGTTGTTTACGATTCCAGAATTTATGTCTCCATCCCTACTTCTCTCCTGAGCTTCAGACCCATCTTTCTTCCTATCTACTCAGGGTACTTCTCATGGACGCCACTGTCTACCCACAAAACCTGCCTCTCGTTCCATGTTCAGTCTCCACCAGGGCCCCATGCCAGTTGGAAGATCGCATTCAGCGACACTTCCAGCTCCCCACAGCCTGCATCAGCCACCAAGGCCCAGAAATTCCTCCTTCCCCTTTTATCTTCCCACAGCCTCGTTAAAGAAGAAATGCTGCTGAAACTAATAGTACCAGACAAGCTTGAGGTCAGCCAGGCCCCAGGATGCCACGCACCTGACGGCTTGCCGAGTGAGTTCTTCGGGGAAAGGCAGCAGAGCCCAAACCCTGATGCTCTCCTCACAGCTCAGCACCTGGGAGGAAATGTTTTATTGCTTTTGTAGATTTCACAGTAACTTCCTAGAAAATCTGTGTTTTTATGGATGTTACATCACTCTCTAGAAAATACGTAAATTATTACAAATTCTAAACATTTTAAAACCAGATGGTGGGTGTCAGTTCTTCAGTACATTCAGATGGGGGAAGGCTGCGGAAACTACCAGTGGATTGGAAGGGAGTGAACGTCTGGGGTGGCTATGACCATGTCCACAGGTTCTTTGGACACCTGCCATTGAGAGGGAGGCCCCCACCAAATCTGCACGAGCTCTGGCGACTGGCCTGGAACCAACAGAACACAGCAGGTGTGACGATGCTGTGCAGCATCCAAAGCCATGTCAGAGGTGCAGGTGCCTCTCCAGTTCAGGCCGCACTCGAGGTGCAGCAGCTGTCACCTTGGGACTGTCCCTGCAGGACCCCCATGAAGCCCCTGGCCAACTTCCAGCCTTCTCAGATGGGACACCCACGAAGCCCTGGGGGACCACAGCCATCAACGCCCAGGTCAGGCCACAAGACAGATCCCTCGGCAGATGCTCCCCATTTCTAACCCACTAGCGTATGAGCAAGTACAACGGTGGCTGCTGACACCAGTGAGCGTGGGTGGTATCAACAGCAGGAATAACGGAAGCCCAGGATGCAAAGCTGCCTGAATACCTGTGAGATGCCAGGAGGGGGACAGGAAGTGGTAAGTACCCAAAATAGCCACCATGGGGCACAGCAGAGGATGGCCTGGAGTCTCAGTGGCTCTGGTTAGAAGACAAAGGCTGCCTTCTTGAAGCTCCTCTTCCTTCCTAAATCTTCCCTCCTCCCTACCTGCCCACCTCCACCTTCGTAAGGGCTTGCTCTTGGAAAGCACGGCATCCCCACTGGTAAAGCTGGTCCACAGCGCCAACGGGGAATGGCATCTGACCAGCACAGCCCGATGCTCTGCCTCCGAGCCACACCTCCAGAAGGCTGTTTTCCCAACTTCACTGTTGACAACCCCCTTCTGACCGTATTTTCCTTAAGGCATTCTCAAGGAGGCCTCAGACTTCTCAAGGCACCTGCCATCACGCCCGGCTAATTTTTGTATTTTTAGTAGAGATGGGGTTTCACTGTGTTAGCCAGGATGGTCTCGATCTCCTGACGTTGTGATCCGCCCGCCTCGGCCTCCCAAAGTGCTGGGATTACAGGCGTGAGACACTGCGCCCAGCCTCTAGGCACCGTTTCTTTAAAATGCCTTTGCAAATCTCTCCTGACCCGCCGTGTGTTGATTTTACAGCTTCCTTTTAGAGGTAATCTCATTTATAAATTTTCACCTGCACAACTGTCATGATGCTTATATTCTTGGGGACTGTCTCTTTCATCCCCTTGCACTACCCTTGTATCCTCCCGTATGTAGAATAAAGCACCTTAGCTGATTTCCAAATTGGAGCCTCCTGGCAGAAACACTTAAAAAATTGTTTGTCTCAGTAAGTTAACAAAAGCTAGTCCGTGTAGAAGAAAAACTGACGTTACTCACCACTGACAAATAAAAACTGCTCCTAGCTCTGCGTTACTGCTGACAGCAATAACAGCCTGCCAGGGGACTCAGCAAAAACACTTCCCAGTGCTCATCCATTTAACACTAAAAACCTCAGTGCCGTCAGCACCGCATTACTTTCAACTGCTAGACACGGAACTTGAGACTCAGAAGACTGAGCAACCAGGCCAGCGCCACAGCAGGCCCCGCACTGGTTAAAAAGCTGGATCTGCCCAACTCAAAGTCTGACTCAGCAAGCAAACTGCACCCTTCCAGCATCTCTGCAGAAGACAGGTGGTTTCAGAGACATACACGCCCCTCCCGGGACCCTGCATTTGGCATACCTGTTTTTTAAGCTGAAAAACCGGATGACAGCGAGAACTATAGCCTTCTGCAAGACTAATCAACAATTCTACGGCTGATTTTTCCTAGTGCAGAGAAAACAGTGGTTACTATCATGTTTGGGTGGGCTTTTAGCTTTCTTCTATTGAACTGTAGGCCACTTAGAGTCCCCATTTCTCATTATCTTTCTTCAAATAATTCTATGCAGCTAGAAAAGCAAGTGCTTCATTAAAATAGGCTTGACATGGCAGGCAAATGACAGCCAATAAAATGATTTTAAATGGAGGCCATTAACAATAATAGATCACAAATGCCACACCCACCCTCTGTGCACAAAACTGGAGATGAATAAGAAAAAAAAGATTCCAAACAATTGGAAATGTAACTAGGAAATAGTTACTTAAACACTAAAAATGAATACAACTAAAAAAAGGATCGCATAAACATTTAATTGCCAAGCATATACATATTTTAAAAAGCATAAAAATTACATTATTTGCAGCTGATATAACCACATAACTTAAAAATCCAAGTCAGCCAACTAAAACCTATGAGAAACAAAGTCAGTGAATTGATAGCTGACAAATTAAAAAATCTGTAACTACCTACAATTTTTTTTTTTTTTTTTTTTTTTGAGACAGAGTCTCACTGTTTTTGCCCAGGCTGGAGTGCACTGGCGCGATCTCGGCTCACTGCAACCTCTGCCTCCCAGGTTCAAGCGATTCTCCTGCCTCAGCCTCCTGAGTAGCTGGGATTACAGGCACCCACCACCACGCCTGGCTAATTTTTTTTTATTTTTTAGTAGAGACGGGGTTTCACCATGTTTGGCCATGCTGGTCTCGAACTCCTGACCTCAGGTGACCCATCTGCCTCGGCCTCCCAAAGTGCTGGGATTACAGGCGTGAGCCACTGTGCCTGGCCCACTACCTACAATTCTTAAAAGCACAAAACAAACAACTCAAGTAGCTAGATGTTAACTACAGAAGAAATGTGCTGGCCTTCCCGTCACTCAGGTGTGTAAGAGCCTGGAGTGCACCAGGGAGTGTGCTGGGCAGAAAACGGGAGGTACACTCATGTGCCTGCATGGGTGACGTCCCCGCAGGGCAGACACACACGCAGCATATGTGTGCCACTGAAGAGCACCTGGCTTCTGTTCCAAGATGTGAACCCATCCGAGGGCTTCCGAGGAGAAGGAAGACATGTTGGTAAAAGGATCAGTCTGGCTGCTGTGTTACGACAAGGTGAAGGGCTCGCAGAAGTCGGTGGGCAGACCAGTCAGTGCCAGCAACACTCCAGGGAGGGGCCAAGGCGGCATGGCCAGGTGGTGGCACAGGAGGGACAGGGAGTAGCAGATGTGGAACATATTTCTTTTTTTGTTCTCTTTATTTTTCTGAGACGGAGTGTTGCTCTGTCATTCAGGCTGGAGTGCAGTGGCACAATCTCGGCTCACTGCAACATGTGCCTTCCGTGTTCAAGCTATTCTCAGGACTACAGGCACCCGCCACCACGCCCGGTTAATTTTTGTATTTTTATTAGAGACAGGGTTTCACCATGTTGACCAGGCTGGTCTCGAACTTCTGACCTCAGGTGATCCGCCCGCCTCGGCCTCCCAAAGTGCTGGGATTACAGGTGTGAGCCACCGCGCCTGGACTGTGGAACATATTTCTAAGACCTGTTCCAAGGACTGAGTATGAAGCGAAGAGAGGAATCTAAGGCTTCCCGCCTGAGCAGCCACCTAGGAGGCTGGAGGTGCCGCGTACACGGGAGGACTTGAGGAATGAAGATGGGGAGAACCTGTGTCCCTGAATAAGCTTCAATATTGTGAAAAATGTCAATTATCCCTAACTCAATCCACGAGGGCCTCATTCTTATTTGTTTTTTGGGTTGTATGTTTGTCCAAGTTTACACAGAATAATAACTATTAATTTTTTTAAAAGTAAAGCTAGATTCTGTACCTTACTCCCAAGATGAAATAAATTCCAGTTGGATCAAAAGACGTAAATGGAAAATGAAGAAAAAATAGGCAGGGCACGGCGGCTCATGCCTGTAATCCCAGCACTTTGGGAGGCCGAGGCGGGTGGATCACAAGGTCAGGAGTTCAAGACCAGTCTGGCCAACATGATGAAACCCCGTCTCTACTAAAAATAGAAAAAAATTAGCTGGGCGTGGTGGCGGGCGCCTGTAATCCCAGCTACTCAGGAGGCTGAGGCAGAGAACTGCTTGAACTCGGGAGGCAGAGGTTGCAGTGAGCTGAGATCACGCCACTGCACTCCAGCCTGGGCGACAGAGCAAGACTCCGTCTCAATAAAAAAAAAACAAAAAAAAAAGAAAGAAAAGAAAAAAGAAAAAATAGAAGTATCAGAGAAAATGTATACATATATTTTTAATTTTGAAAAGCAAAGATTCTTTTCAGAATGACTCCAAATGTGAAGCCAAAGAGAAAAAAAAATCAAAATCTATAAACAAATAACAAAGCAATATGTACACAAACAAGGCTAATGATCCAATGGGAAAAATAAAACTGAAATAAATGGAGAAAATACATTAATAGGCAATTAACAAAGGAATTATAAACATCTAGTAAACATAAAAAAAGAAATGAAAATAAAAACATAATCTTGGCTGGATATGGTGGCTTGTGCCTGTGGTCCCAGCTACTCAAGAGGCTGAGGTAAGAGGATGGCTTGAGCCCAGGAGGTTGAGGCTGCCATGAGCCATGACTGCACCACTGCACTCCAGCCTGGGTGACAGAGCAAGACCCTGTCTCATAAAAAATAATAATAATAAAAAAATTTAAAAAAACCTTATTGATATATTTTGTCTTAGAACTTTACTTTTTAAGAGTATTTACGTAAGTGCCCAAATGAACAAAGATGTTCATTTCAGCATAATAATTAGGAATTTTCTACATCAGGGAACATTACAACTCATTCATCAATGATGGACTGCTTAGGTAAATAATAACATATTGATAAAATGGAATATCAAACAGCTGACAAAAAGAATAAGGCAGAACAAAAATGCCAAAAACACAGTTGATGAAAAATGCTAGCTATAAAACATAACATACCTTCCTATGAACTCACTTTAGTATACTCATAGCAAAAATGTGGTAGCAACAACACCGAATTATTAACAGTAGTTATTTCTGAGAGATGGAATTCCTGAGGGCTCTTACTTTTCACATTAATTTTTCTATTTCTAGTAATTTTTGTTTGAACATTTAAACAATTTTTAAAATAACTGTCACATGTATAATCTGAAAAAAAGATTAAAATATAAATAACAAATGTTCTATCCTAAATTATTTACTTTGAAATAAAAGAGTTTATTGATGATGCAAATATCCTACCCCATCGATTTAGCAAATATCTGTAAAAATTTCCTAATATTTGGTTAATCCTGTTTTATAATTTGTTCTTTCCTTTTCAATACTTAGCTGCTGTTACATACAAAAGCAAATGTGTTTTTAAGAAACGAGTTAAATTATTTTAGCTGAGATTAATATTGATTGATCTGTGATAGAGAATATAAACATACATGTAATCCATTCACTTTTTTTTCTGATGGAGGATACTGTAACTCAGATATATTAAAAGATGATTAACAGTTAATTACATTTGAAAAATAAACTATATTTTCATAGCTGAATGAGTTAATCTAATTAATGATTTTCTTCCCTATAAATTACCTTAAAAACTGATAGCAGACAGTCATCAACGAATCTGAGTAGCAGTACAAGAGAAAATGCAAGCAACTGATTAGTTGTTTCTTTTGAAAATTCATGTAAGTTGATCTCCCCGTGGCTTAAATGATCTCTTATGCGGGGACCCTCCTGATGGTTCAGGAAATCCCAGAGAAATTCCTTTCAGAAATTAAACAGAGAAAATATTTTGTTAGTATCCGCAGCAGAGAGACGTGCCTGGTGTTGCTGAATAGAAGGAAAGAGTGCATCCATCAAGTCCTCTGAAGCCCTGGGTGGGACTCTGCTGGGGAGAGCTCTTCTCCTACACCCACAGGACAGACCAGGGAGCCAGAGAGGCTGTGGGGAAAGCAGAGCTGCCCAGGTGGTACTGGAGCCTCATCAAATTCCAGTCTTTCTTGTTTTCACCTTCCTCCAAGGAAGGGAACTGAGTGTGAACATTTGCAAATGAGCTTTTCCAAGGCAATAAAAGAAATCACGGCTCTTTCTTGTGTGAGCACAGCCCCTGCACTTTCTCATCTGCTCTTTCACCTTCAAAAGTCTGTTGCTTCTTACGACACAAATCCAAGGCCTCTCCCACAGGTTTTAGGGAAAAGAGGTCAGAAAACTGCTGCCCTTGGCAAACCGCCAATGGTCAGAAGCATCACAGAGACTCAAGGTGGAAAGAACATTAAACTAGTTCAATCATCTTATTTTTTGATGGTAAAAATGGATGTCCACAGAGCACGGAGTCTAAAGTCACAGAACATGAGCATGATTCTAGGTCGCCTGACTGTTAGAAGGAATAAATGTCAAATACCTATTGTAGTCCAAATTAGTCACCGAAATATCTTCATAAAATATAAAAAAATGGATAGATGGCCTTAAACAATTAATGATCCTCTTTTCATCCAATACTCAATCTTATTACTCACATTTGACTGTTGCTTTTATTTTCAGACGGAGTCTTGCTCTGTTGCCCAGGCTGGAGTGCAGTGGCAGGATCTCAGCTCACTGCAACCTCTGCCTCCTGGGTTCAAGCCATTTTCCTCGCCTCAGCCTCCTGAGTAGCTGGGACTCAGGAGTAGGTGGGTGCCCGCCACCGCACCCAGCTAATTTTTGCATTTTTAGTAGAGACGGGGTTTCAACATATTGACCAGACTGGTATTGAACTCTTGACCTTGTGATCTGCCCGCCTTGGCCTCCCAAAGTGCTAGGATTATAGGCATGAGCCACCGCACCCGGCCTAACTGTTGCATTTAACAAGGCACAAATATATGTCCGTTCTACAGCACAAATACATGTAAAAAACAAATACAAATTTTGCTTAGGGACAGGGCAGCTAAATCATCAGGCCTTTAAAAAACACATTTAAGGAGTGACAGCTTGGCAAACATCAGCTGATTGGTGGCTGAAGCTGAGACAGCACAGCAATGTTTCAGAAGTATTTTTCTTGAGCAAACCACAAGCCAAAATTAATTTAATTTTAGAGAAGTGCTGACGACATCCATAAATACAAGAATATTAGCCTGGAAAATACCTAATACTTACCATAGCAGGCTCTCCAAGGAAAAGAGGAAGCTGATTGATTTTACCATCATTCAAGTGTTTTGCCAATATCTAAAACATCAAAAATAAATACATTGGTTAACTGGTCCCCATACATAAACATACAGAACTTTCAGAGTTGATGGATATAGTACTTTTAGCCTAACTTGTTATCTAAGGTCTAAGCAAATTAAATGGACAGTCTTTAAAATTCAGCAAACAGGTGTTCAGGAAATATTTTCTTAACCAACAGAATGACTTTAAGACTATATTAATAATTGTATACACATGTGTGTTTGTGTATGTGACTATGAATATGTGTGGTGTGTATATGTGTATGTGCATATGTGGTGTGGGGGTGTGTACATTTGTGTGTTTATATGCAACTGTGCCTGTGTGTGTGTGTGTGTGTGTGTGTAGTGTATGTGCCTGCATGTGTGTATGCCTGTGTGTGTATATGTGGCATGGATGTGTGAGTTCGTGTGTGGTGTGTGCATGTGTGTTGTGTACACATTAGAGTATGTGTATGCCTGTGTGTGTCTGTGTGGCATGGAGGTATGTGTTCATGTGTGTGTGTGTATGTGTGGTATGTGCATGTGTGTTTGTGTACACATTAGAGTGTGTGTATGCCTGTGTGTGTATATGCAGCATGGAGGTATGTGTTCGTGTGTGTATGTATGTGTGGTGTGTGCATGTGTGTTGTTTGTGTACACATTAGAGTCACTTCCAAAGTCATTTCTTAACTCACCATGGACTTTGCCCAACCACCCCAACCAATCCCACAGATCTGATCCTCTAGAGACTGGGCTGCACTATCTAATCAATTCCTCACATTACCAAAGGTCTTACACATTAAAATCACAACAGATTGTTCACCTAATGGAAGAAGCTCTGCAAGTAAACAGGCACATTTTTAACTCAGCCACAACACAGTCGCTTAGGATCTAATAGTTGTCTTAAAGGCAAAACCGAATGTCCGGACCTCTACAGGTGACCCTTCCCTTGGTTTCCCATAGGCTGTCGTCACACTTTAGGTGCACATGAACGCTACCCGGGGTTACGCACACAAATGCCTGTGCGCTCCGTGGCTGACAAGAGGCATTTTCAACTGTGAGTTTTCTACTATTCACACCGCCAACATGCAGATTAAATGAATCAATGTATCCCACACACTTGTAACAGTAGCGGGGAATATTTCCTGTACAAAAAAGATGTCACCCCTAAATCTAAAATGCAAGCCTCTAAATAATTATAGCTAATCATGTTAGATCCCTTGGTATTTTCCAACTTTGAGCTTTGGATAGCTTTGGGAGCTAGATTGGTAACACTGGGCCCCAAAATTAACCGGAAATATCAATTATCAGCTTTTTTTGGTTTATATTACTATGGACATTTTCCTGTAAGTATATGATTTATGGCTGATCTTTAATTTTGCATTTTAATTTGTATTTTAAAAGAAGACAGCGTTCTGTTTGTTTCAAGTTACCTTACAAGTTTACTTACTTACTTGATCAAAGGTGGTATAAAGAGCTGTTGACTTCAGAAAAGGAAAGAAATGAAAATAAACAATTAAAGCAAAATACAAATACACTAACACTATGCAAAATAAGAAAAAATTCTGGTACATGGCCACACATCCCAAAGTTTTTTGTTAAAACAAACATTCATCTAGAAACACTATGAGAGGAATGTCACTGACAAAATAAACACATTACAAAAGACGCAAAAACACAGTGCAGCTGGCCATGAAGCCGCATTAGGACACTGCTCTCAACAGAGCTTTAGCCCAGTTATCTCTAAAATGTACAATCCCAGGCCCTCACAAATCGCTGCTCATACAACAGAATACTTCTCCTGACGACTGGTATTTGTGCACAAGGGAGCACAGCTTCCTATTTTCTCCAATGAATAGCCTTGTCTGTTTTTATTTTATTTCATGCACGCTGCTTCTCAGCATCATCGGCACGGCCTACAGACATGTGCTGTCCTGAGTTCTGATCCCAACTGCAACATTTTCTAGACATGAAACCTACAGGCAACCGATTGAACTCCACAGATGCAGGTTTTCTCTGCAAAAGGAGAAGTTAAGAATGCCTATCTCAAAAGGCTTTTGGGGACTTCAGTGAGATTTGACAGACAGCATGACGAAATCACTTCAGTGAGATTTGACAGACAGCATGACGAAATCACTTCAGTGAGATTTGACAGACAGCGTGACGAAATCACTTCAGTGAGATTTGACAGACAGCGTGACGAAATCACTTCAGTGAGATTTGACAGACAGCCTGATGAAATCACTTCAGTGAGATTTGACAGCATGAGGATTGGCTGCACGGTGGCACGCTCCATCACTGTAGGGCCATGCGGTGTGATGTGATGAAATCAGGATTTTGTGTAAGCTAGCTCTCAAGAAATGTTTTTTGATTTATTAATGTTTAATAATAAATGTTTAATAATCTATTTTAAATTTCATATTGCCAATATTCTTCAACATTACTACACAGATGACTCTAAAATCTGTTATCTTTAGCTCTGAAATCTGTATTGCTAGCCCTAAAATTCCCTCTGAGTTCTAAATATCCAACGTCTACCACATATTCCCACTTTCTCCAAAAAGCAGAATTTTTCATTTACCTACATCAACTACACACATTAGCTTCTACTTTGTTTTACAGAGTTAGTATAAATGCCTTCTCACTCTCCCATGATAAATAAGCTTCTGAAGTCAGAAAATCTCACTCATATTCATATCTTCCACTGGTCCTGAAGAAACCTCATGACACAAAAGTAATCAGTAAATAATAACAGCATCTGCAGTGTCTTATTAAGTTTTATAAAATATCTTCATATATGTACTGCCTTAAAAACTGATCCTGTTTATTCTGGGTGAAAGCCTGTGCTAATAATATATTCTTTGATAGATTATATCCTCTGTGGAAACAGCCATGTTATTTATTTATGAAGTCAAATGACAAGTAAATATCCAAATTTATTTGCACCGCATGGCCCTACAGTGATGGTGCGTGCCACCGTGCAGCCAATCCCCATGCAGGTATCATGAAGCAAGGGCTCTAATGGGTGGGGCCCAGCTCTTTCCTGAAGCTTCGCTCCACACCGCGCTGAGTGGCCTACATGGAAGGCACTGGGCATGGGCAGCAGGCGACAGCAACGTGTAGGCCTGCCTCAGAGAACCCGCAGAGACCTCTGCAGAAATGCACACGAGTAAGGCAAAGCAGGACTGCCTCCAAGATGAGACAGAAACAGAACACAGAGAAAAGCAGCCTCCACCTTTGAGTAGATGAGCCTCTGGAAGGTCGCTTTTGTGGCCACAGCCCCTGACCTGGAGCGGAAAATCTGGGGGTGAGGAACAAAGTAAGAGGAAAGACAAGCAAGTTCTGGAGCTGACAAGAAGCCTAAATTTCACTGAGGTATCCAAACAGGGAACACACCAAAGAGGAGGGCAGGGTTAGAACCCGAGGCCTTGCTGCCACGTGAAGAGGATGAACTCCATCTGGCAGGCAGCAGGACATCATCGAGGAGGTTAAACAAATGAAAAAAAACCATAAATAACGTAAGAATATCAGCTTAGAAAATAATCAGTGGGGCCACGTATGGTGGCTCACACCTGCAATCCCAAAACTTTGGAAGGCTGAGGCAGAAGGATGACTTATGCCCAGGAGTTCAAGATCAGCCTGGTCAACATGGCAAGACTCTGTCTCTACAAGGAAAAAAAAAATGTAAAAATGAGCCAGGTGTAGTAGCACACATCTATGGTCCCAGTTACTCGGGGGGCGGAGGTGGGAGGATCGCTTGAGCCCGGGGATTGAGGCTGCAGTGAGCTATGACTGCACCACCGCACTTCAGCCTGGGTGACAAAGCAAGACCCTGCCTCAAAAAAAAAAACCAAAAAAAAAAAACTAACTAAAAAAAAGAATCAGCAGGACTGTGAGAATGAAATTTGAGAAGGAGGAAGAATCGTGAGATGAGCTCGGGTGGGCCGAGGAGCCAGGCGGGGGGCTTCTCAGTTTGGACAGGAAGAGCACAAGGTCAGCTGGGTGGAAACCACCGGCTGTGCTGGCCACTGAGTGGACACGGGAGGTGTTGGGGAAACACGAGACGCTGCTGGAGTCTGCAGCTGGTGAGGCTGAGATGACAGAGGGAGCGTCAGAGGACAAATCTGTGGGAAACAACGCCTTTCTGAAAGAAGATAAATGTGAGGTGCTGAGGAAAACTCACATGAAGATATTTAGTGAACATAAGCAGGTCTAACTGCAGAGATCAGATGGGGGTCAGTGAGAAGCAACACTGGGGAGCCCGGCTCCGGGGCCGTAAGCTGCCCTCGCAGCACTGCTTTTGCTGGGTCCAAAACTTCCATGTGTTGGGTTTCATTTTCACTGGGTTCAAAGTATTTTCTAATTGTTGTTCCCCCAGAGATGAAAATGTAAGGCAGAGAATTGTATGAGATCTCCCAGGGAGAGGAAACAGAGGATGGGGTTGACGGCAGAGCATTGAGGAATGCCTACAAAGAGGGGCAAAAAGCAAAAGCCAAGCTAGAGAAAGAGACGAGAATCCGAGGTGTGGAGCGGCTGCACCTGCCCTCCCTCCACAACAGATCGTCCCGTGGGAAGCTGGGCACTTGGCCATCCAGGAACGCTTCCATGCCTCCCTGGCAGCAAGTGCGACTAAGCCCTGGCCCAAGGCCTGTGCTACCTCCAGGAAGTGTCCTTAGAGAGGGGCATGCACCAATCTTTGCTCTTCCTGCTGGCTGGAAAGCAGATGTGATGGCTGACACAGCCGGCTGGAGCCAGGAAGTAGTAGTCTCCATAAGGAAGGCCTGGCCCTCATCACTGGAAGACGACACAGAGGGGTCTGAGTGCTGATGATGGGGGTGCTGCCATCTCAGTGGGAGCTACTCACATCTGGGAAAGGCAGAAATGCACTTCTATCCTATTTCAGTCACTGCAGCCATATTATTTCGAGATCTCTGTCACTAAGCAGCAGGATCTTATCATAACTACTAAAAAGGAGCAGAAATGAGAAATTCTAGGAGCCAGAGGAGGTAGGCTGGAAACTCAGAGACGCTTGCCTCAGACAGGGCGACCGGGGGTCAATGTGGAACTCTGAGACAGCTGTGTGTACGCGTGTGTGTACACACATGGAGGGGCTCAAGAAACTGAGACAAAGGCTTTCATGACCTGCTGCAGGGCTGGCACCACACCAAGTCACCTCCAAATCCTACGTCTTCCATTTGTAAGATGGAGAAACTCAAGTTCAGAAGGTTTTGATTAGTTTCCCAAGGTCAGGTTCAACCACTGGTCACCTCAGTCTCCCGGCTAGACCGCAGCCATCTCACGCGGTTACAGTGACACACCATCAACACAGCTAGAGAGAGAACCAGTGCCTACTACGTTCACGGTATCATTGAGTTTTAAAGACTGTTTAGAAATATTACAGAAATATCAAAAACAATCATAAATAACATAAATATAAATCCTATAGAAATGATAGGCCTTCCACAGTTCTTAGCTAAATTAAAATCATTTTAATGTGAAACAGAATAACATTTTTAAAAACTTTTAATTGGTAACAGAAAACTGTTAATACAGCAACAATGATCACAATCAATAATAAAAACAAGCTTACCTCAGCAGTCAGGAGTCTTTTTGGACATCTGTTAAGTGTGGCAAAAACATTCCTAAGTCCAGTCTCCAGTTGTGTCAGCAACAATATGGCGCAGTCAGCAAACCTATGAAATTGAAGGGAAAAGAGGTAAAACTCCACATTTCAAAAATAAATATTAGGCCAGGTGCAGTGGCTCATGCCTGTAATCCCAGCATTTTGGGAAGCCAAGGTGGGAGGATCGCTTGAGGCTAGGAGTTCAAGACCAGCCTGGGAAACCCCATCTCTACAAAAAATTTAGAAATTAGCAGAGTGCAGTGGCACTGCCTGTAGTCCTAGCTACACAGGAGGCTGAGGCGGGAGGATTGCTTGAACCCAGGAGTTCAAGGCTGCAGTGAGCTATGACTGTGCTACTACACTCTAGCTTGAGTGACAGACTAAGACTCTCTAAGTAAAAAACAAGCAAAAAACAAAAATAATATTGACACCAACATCACAATAACTGCTGCAGTCTAGATATCAAAAGCAAAGAGAAATGATAATACTTGCTAATACGAGAAGCAAAACAGAACCAGCTGGGCGCAGTGGCTCAAGCCTGTAATCCCAGCACTTTGGGAGGCTGAGGCGGGCAGATCACATGAGGCTAAGACTTTGAGACCAGCCTGACCAATGTGACGAAACCCCGTCTCTACTAAAAATACAAAAATCAGCCAGGCGTGGTGGTGCATGCCTATAGTCCCTGATATTTGGGAGGCTGAGGCACAAGAATCACTTGAACCTAGGAGGCAGAGGATACAGTGAGCTGAGATCACACCACTGCACTCCAGCCAGGGTGACACAGTGAGACTCTGTCTCAAAAAACAAAACAAAACAAAACAAAACCACTTACACATAGAACAAAAGTTTCACTAACTAGTGATTTTAAAAACATTTTCCAGTGTTTTAATGTTTGATGAACCATTTTTAGTAGCTTCTACAGAATAAAATGTCATCAAAGGACTGTCTAACTCATTTCATTGCTTCTAGAAAATACTGAGGCTGGGTGCAGTGGCTCACTCCTATAATTCCAGCACTTCGGGAGGCTGAGTCAGGAGGACGATCACTTGAGCCCAGGAGCTCAAGACCAGCCTGGGGAATGGACTGAGACCTCATCTCTAGAAAAAGTACAAAAATTA
This sequence comes from Homo sapiens, assembly GCF_000001405.40. NCBI lineage: Eukaryota > Metazoa > Chordata > Mammalia > Primates > Hominidae > Homo > Homo sapiens. Next base: position 169,761,380 of record NC_000006.12, on the reverse strand, counting down.
GCCAGGCACAGTAGTGCACACTTACAGTCCTATCTACTCAGGAGGCTGAGGTGGGAGGACTGCTTGAGCCCAGGAGTTCAAGGCTGCAGTGAGCCGAGGTGGCTCCAATGCACTTCAGCCTGGAGGACAGGGTGAGACCCAGTCTCAAAAAGAAAAAAACAAAAATGCACATCCCAGGATTTCAGTGGGTTCTCAAGGCATAAAAATGAATGAATTAGGGTAATATCCTTTAAGGAACTAAAGATCAGCTCACCAGACCTTCTGGTGGCGACCATACATGTGTTTGCTCCTCAGGAAACAGAAACAGAATGTAAGGACGAAGCTGGCTTATCTATGTTTCATGATTCTGAACATGTTTCACTCATTCTAAGACTTCCAGAAAATATTAAAAAGTGGATCCTGAAAAATAATTCTATCACCTGCACCAAAAGGCAATGTTTCCAATATAATCACAGGCGGTCCTTGAAGCGACTCTATGAAGGTGTTTTATTTTCAGGTCTGCTCAAGTCAGTCCAGGTTCTCTTCACTTCTACTCCAACAGCAAAAAGCATCGAAAGTGAAGGGCATCAAGAAAGAATGGCCTCCAACCACTGCAAACCACTCTGCCATGTACCCTTTAGTTACCTGTGTGACTTGAACTTGACCAGTGCAACTTCCCAATATGGTAACATGATTTTTAATATAAAAGCAGATTTCATCATCACTTCTTCTAATACTGAAAGCACCTCATAAGTAACATCTGTAAAATAACACACGGTTTTAAACACAATCATACTGATCAACTGAAAAAAGATGGAAACATGCTGGGGGAGTGATGCCAATGAGCCAACCCCTTTAGGTGGCTGAACCGTGACCCCTGCAGCAGGGGACTTGTTAGAGAGTAGGATTGCCCTGACCAAGGGCCCGAGGTGCAGGTGACCCTTGGAAAGTGGGGCATGGACATCTCTTCAGTGACTTAGGCAACAGTTCAGGATGGACCAACTGAGCACAATGACCAAGAGAAGTAAAACACATTTTCAGAAGGTGTAAAAGACCCTTGATATTACTACAAGTATTTCTGGCATAATGATCATGAGTACAAAGACACAAGAGGTAAAAGGAGGAGAAAATGTACATCATACAACAGCCTGAGGCCACTGTTGCTCATAGTGCATCTGAGGAAGAAAGAGCTCAGCTCACACAGCTGCAACTCCTGTGACCCCCACAACAACCCCAGGGCATGGTGGGAGGAGGCAGGGCTTTGGGTGGTAAAATGTAGGAGGTTCTTCAAGCAACTCTGAAAGCCATCCGACTACTGAAGAACAACTACTTCACCCCACCTCAAGAGTGCACCTCTTAATGCTGTTTACTGACTTTGCAAATATCTACGCAAAGCTATAAGGAAAAATGTGAAACATAGTACTTACCAGGAAAAACAATCAAATCCTCGAGGTTTGTAAGAGATATGAAAGAGCGATGTGCCAATGTAAGTTTAGTGTTTTGAAGGTAACTCTTCAGTAACTGACCCAATCCTGCCGTCAACAGTATCATCATTGAACAGTATCTAGGAAATACCATAGAGATCTGTTACAAAAATGTACTCAATCATGCCTATAAAAAGCTTCACTGTGAAAAATACAAATTTAAAATTAAGAAAGCAAAGTTAAATTGCATGAAACTGTCCGATCACGGTGGCTCATGCCTGTAATCCCAGAACTCTGGGAGGCCGAGGCGTGCAGATCAGTTGAGCTCAGGAGTCTGAGACCAGTGTGGGCAACAAGGTGAAATCCTATCTCTACAAAACATACAAAAAAGTTAGGTGGGCATAGTGGCGTGTGCCTGTAGTCCCAGCTACTCAGGAGGCTGAGTCGGGAGGATCACTTAAGCCTGGGAGGAGGAGGTTGTAATGAGCTGAGAATGTATCATGGCACTCCAGCGTGGGTGACAGAGTGACACTCTATCTCAAAAAAAAAAATTGCACAAAATTCTCTCGATGTAGGAATTAGACTGTGCAGTAGTTGGGCAGCACAACAGCACCACAGACACTCTGATGAAGACCCTAATGAAACTCAGGGTCTCCCACCCACCCAGGACGTGAATGGCATAACATCCTTCTGGTGTCACCCCTGAATTGCCTTTGGGGTGTAAGTCACTGAAATTATAACCCAGTCATCACTCTGGTGACTACACTAGTAATATTCAATTTTAGCTTCAAAATCCTATCTCAAAACTCACTTATCTTTCACAAAATCTATTTCCTTCTCATGAAATTCAAAATTTAAAAAACTCTTTGGTAGATCCAAAAAAGGAAGAAAATGTCTTCACTTGCAACTTACTTTGGAGGAATTTCTTCAGGTGACGCAAACCCATGCCATAAGACGTTACGCAGGTTGAGACCACACGGAGAGCCAACGAAGACTTTTAGCACATTCATCTAATCCGCAAATCATTACATAGTTAATTATACTGAATTACTGAATAAACCAATATAGTATGAAGATAACATTTGTGTTCCTCTTTTTAACTGAGAGTCAACAGTTTTGGCTAGTATATAGCAGTAATAATAAAACCAACATTTACTGAGTGTTTAATATGTGCTAGACACATTTTGTACATGTACATCAACTCATTCATCCTAAGAACAACCTATGAGGAAGGTACTATGATTATCCCCAGCATCTAGGTGAAAAAAATACAAGCATGGAAAGGTGAAACCAAGGTCTCAAAGGCTACAAAATCAATATGGGGGATAAGATCTGACCCAGGTTATCCTGCTTTAATAAAGTTGCTTCAAATGTGCATAATATCTAAATAAAATGTAAAAAGACAATGATATGATAAGCAGAAACATATCACTGTATTAAGCAGCACGCAATTGTGTGGTTAAACAGAGGCAGCAGGGCAGATGCCCGAGCAGCATGGCTCCAGGCTTGAGCCTCCACTTCCTAGCTGTCTGACGTGAAGCCCATCACTTATCCACCCCACCATCTATCTACAGAGTGAAGAAAACACCCAACCAGGCGTCCTAATAAATGGACTGCAGTCATGTCATGCCCAGAGAACTGCTTTGGGTTTGAGGCGCCATACTTAGAAGAAACTCAGAACATAATGGAAGATGTTCAAAGACTAAAAGAATTCATGTCATAGGAGAAAGTATGGTTGAGCCTCCAGAAGACTCGAGAAGGAAGTGAACACTGTCTTCATGCATGTGAAAGATGGCTGTTGAGAAGGGAATATGGACGCATTCTGAACTTCCCTCAAGGGGAAGACCCAAAACCAGGAGGTGGAAATGATCAAGAGCAGTTCTACTGAATGTTGGAACATTTAACAAGCAGTTCTTCTATGCAACTTCAGGAGATCTTTTTGCTCTACCAATAATTTGTGAAATACTCATGGTTCACACTATCTGGTCAATCAGATGTATAAATGCCAGTGACCTGGCAGCTGAAGGGGCCACAAGTGGGCAGAAGGCCCATCACATATAAGCAAGTACCAAAGAACAGATCGAAGAAACAAAATGTGTTTGAGAATTCAGTGTAACAAGAGGTTTGTACTTTTTATCTTCATTCCATGCACTCCACAAAAGAAAATGATCTTTAAGCGGACAAGGAGTAAAGATCCACAGAAAAGAATGGAAAAGCTCCACTGAAGACAGATTTCTTTACTCCAAAAATCATCTAGCACCCTGGCTTGGCAAGCACAGCTTCCACACAAGGCTCTTCTGGGTTTCTCCATCTTGACCCTGCCTCAATCAGCTGCCTAAGGTTATTCATTAGTCCTAAGTCTCTTGATCATGTGCCCTTTATGAGATTTTAATATAGTATAGTAACTGCATGATTTTTTTAACATCTGAATTTTTTTCCACTGTAAGTTTAAATGGTTTCAAAAGATAATTTCACGTTAAAATTTTCAAATAAAACTGTATTATCACTCATTTAAAGGGTTAAAGTTGTATTCTGGATTTAGTATTATAGTTATTAATATGTAATTGATCGAGGCAACATGCTTCACATTGGCCCTGTGGTGCCCCAGAGTTATTCACACTCGGGATAGGAAAGCTTTCTATGTGCTGGAGGAGGGGCAATTTTGAAAGGGAAGGTGGGAAGGGAGAATATGCTTGAATCACTGATACAATTTTTCCCTAAAGCATCATCAGTTTGGGAAGAACAAAAGCTCAGCATATGTGAATTGTTGTTTTGCACTTACTCCGTGATATGGTTTGGCTGTGTCCCCACCCAAATCTCAACTTGAATTGTATCTTCCAGAATTCTCCCATGTTGTGGGAGGGACGCAGGGGGAGACAGCTGAATCATGGGGACCGGTCTTTCCCGTGCTATTCTCATGATAGTGAATAAGTCTCATGAGATCTGATGGGTTTATCAGGGGTCTCCACTTTTGCTTCTTCCTCATTTTTCCCTTGCTGCCGCCCTGTTAGAAATGTCTTTCTCCTCCTGCCATGATTCTGAGGCCTCCTCAGCCATGTGAAACCGTAAGTCCAATTAAACCTCTTTCTCTTCCTAGTCTTGGGTATGTCTTTAACAGCAGCATGAAAACGGACTAATATACTCCATGAGTTTAGATGAACAAGCTTACCACAGACTGACTGAAGACTTGAGCAAGCTCCTCAGATGAAAGCAGATCTCTTAAAAGAAAGGGGCATTCCTTCCCAATCAGTAAAAATACCTAAAATTCAAACAAAAATTGTGTAACAGTTGTATTATGAGCCAATAAACATTAAAAACATTATCCATGAAGCAACTGTTTGTACAAATGAAGGGTGAAAAGTACTTAGACACCAATCCTTTGATTTCATAATCATTCAAAAGGGAAATATTAAAAATTCATACTAAATGATTTTATCTTATAGGAAAATAATCAAGAAAACTGAGGACAACTGTAAAATAGTTTCATGTTCATTCAGATAATTTAATGGGCCAATAATGAAAGAGTTCTCACACTTACATCACCCAAGGCTCGTTCTAGACACGATGTCAGTTTCATTAAGCTAAGAGAAATAGCAGGAGATTGTAGACTTTCCAAGGCATCAAATATTTCAGGAAATAACTATTTACAATAAAACACATATTAGGATGTACACTCTGAAACTACTTCTCAAAGCAACAATATTATTTATTGAAATTCAAACCTCGAGAGATTTCAACTGCCATATTTTATTTTCAGTGAATAAGTAAACATTTTCTGTATAATTATATTGCCTAAAGAATCAATAAAAATATTTTAATAGCTAAAGAATTCCTTGAAGGTTCTTTATTTAAACGTTTATTGAAAGCAACAAATCTGGCACAATTTAAGTGGAAAAGTCAAGCATTTTGACCTCCATCATGTTTCTCCTTTTGATTTGGCTGAGCCCTCAAACAGATACACACAAGGCACTCATCCTGCCATTTAAAAGTGCTAGTACAAGGGGGACATGATGATTCCTTCACTCCAAATTCAAAGCAGAATTAGATTTGTTATAGTTACTGCTTTACTGGGGTCATTTAGTGTGCCAAATAAAATGAAGAAAAACTGACCAAAAAAACAAATGAAAACAAGATTTTGGGTTAGGCCCCAAATTACCCATACTCCCTTCAGTTCCCCATTAACAAACCAAGTATCCCAGCTCTGGTCTCCAGGCCCCACTGTCTTAGAACACCTCAATACCTCTCCACAACGCCTTATTCTGGAGTAGTAAATTTTTCCTCTATCCTTGGATGGGCACCGTGTGACAAATGTTAGCTCTCCAACCCCTAATCCTGTGATAATGAATTCAAAACCTTCCTGTGTTCCAAGGGGCATGTTTCTCAGCTCAGGCTTTGGAGACCCTGCATAATAGCCCAGGGTTCTCTTACAACCCTCAACACTTCACCGCTGGAGGGCCTGGGGATGAAGGAGGCCCCTTTAAAATTGGCAAATAGTACGTCCTCTAAGTAGTATTCGCACAGTCTTTTATTTCTAAAGGTTGTTCAAAAGCCAAACCTCTGGAAAACTTGTCCACTGGAACCACGGTGCATATCGAATTTCAAATTGCCCCTTGGTCAGAGATAAGAAATGTGAATGGACAGCCTCACACACAGGGCCCAGCAGCCTCACGCTTCCCCAGTAATCCAGACCCTGCTCTTAAAGGATAAGAAAACAAATTTCAGCACCATAGCTCCATATCACATGATATAAAATATCTACATCATCAAAGAAAAAAATGCTTTAATTATAAAATTTCCACAAAATCAACAATTAGCTTACCATTGAACATATGATATACTTTTATATTGTTGGAAATAAATCACATAATGCTTATCAGGTTATGAAAGAAAAATATACTATCAGCAGAGAATTTAGAAAATACAAAAAGTTTCAAACAAGAGAAAACTATTTTGTCAATGTCTTTACCTGTACATAAGAATACAGAAAACCAGGCTCACATTGTATATGTAATTTCGTAACCTGATTTTTTTTTTAATTAAACCAGGCTCACACTGTATATACAATTTTGTAACCTGATTTTTTTACGTTAACGTTATTAGGCTGAGATTTCTAATGGCAATGAATTGTTTTAAACATATTTATAATATGAAGTTTTTGTTGTTTTAATTTTTTTTGATAAGTTTGGGATTAACCATCTACTTGGTTCCTGATCAATGAATACCAAAGGGTAATTACAAATACATGCCCCTCCTATTCTTTTTCCAACTTAGCTCAGAGACTTCTGTATAAGATGAGCCTCCTCATTCTTTTCTACCACTGCATAATATTCCATTATATGAATTTATCATAATTTACTGAACCAATCCCCTACTGCTTGATGTTTGGCTGTTTATTTATTTAGCTATTATAAACAATGCTGCAAGGAATAACCTTGCACACACACATTTTCATATCTGTATCTGTCTTAAGGATTCCTGAAAACGGACTGCTAGGCCAGAGTATGTTCATCTGTAATTTTTATAACTATTATTAAATTTCCCCACCTATATCTCTGCTCCAAAGTGTGCAAGAATGTCTAGAAGACACTTAAAATAACTGTATAATCTATTACTGGTCATTTTCTACCCTTAATTCACATGACTCCTACAGAGAATCATCTCAAGGCCCTGAGATCTACATCATCAACAGCCCACCAGCCCCTCTGTGCCTCCTGACACCTCCTCTGTAGAGGTGGTTTTCTTAGCCCAGCTTTCCATTAACTTTTCCATGCTTCTCTGGCCTCATTCCCTCTCTTTTCACATTGATTCCTGTTCTCCTTGGAGTTAGGCCTGTATTATAACATTATCTAACAAAAGGAACCAATGGTCAGAAAGGGGAATTTTACAGGTCAAGACATTTTCAATGGGACAGTTATGAAAGTTTGGAGTACAAAGACAGCACAAACCTGACTCTGTGTAGCTCACACAGTCTGTGATTGTTTTCCAGCATACTTCACCATTCTGAGTTACAATGCTATTGATATCACAATTTTCTCTGAGTTGAAACCCAAGATTACAAATTATATCATACACTGAGGGAGAAAGACATGTGGTAATAGGGTCCCCTATTAATACCTAAAAAATAAAATAAAATAAAAGGCACTGCTTAACAGAAAGAAAAATAGAGTATTATATATTTCAGACACATCTCTTAAGAACTGAATGCACTCAGGTATAGTTGCTGTTAACATGCTTTCTGGATATCGTGAGAGCTGTATGATTAAAACATAGTGATTAAATATTAAAGATAATTTACATAAATGTTCTCAAATATGATAAAGGCTTAAAGACCTAAAATTATCAATCATAATATTTGCAAACTGCTCTGTCTATGGGGTAGCCATTGTTTATTCCTTTACTTTCTTAATAAACTTGCCTTTCACTTAAAAAAAAAAAAGAAAAAATACAAGTTCACGGAAGCTGAATGTGTTTTACGACCAGAGCATTATTGCTCTCAGCATTCCTTCACTATCCCAGAGTTATCAAAATAAGCAATTTTTTTAAATGGGGAATGGGAGAGCAGAAACCAAGTATAACGAACAAGAAGGAAAAAGAACCCCACGTACCTCTGACTACCTAAACGGTGTTGAAGAAAACCACAATGTCATCCCAAAACATGCCTCTTCGATATAAAAACAACAACAAATTTGAGCTGAAGACAAGAGGCAGCAAATGAAGGAAAAGCTCTCTCTATCCTCCCCCTCTTCCGCCCAAAGACAGGATATAAATTCTTTACTGGGGATAACTTTAGACTTACCAGACCAGTTAAGGTACCAGGGGAATCTGCAAACAATTCTTACTCCATTAGTTTCCGAATATGTATCTACCTTCCCAATTTCCTGCCCTTTGAAGCCTAAAACTGCTCTCCTGTGTCCTGTCACTTCTCTGCAAATCTACAGTTCTTTGTTGAAGATGGTATACAAATGTAGTTCTAAGCCACCATTTCAAGTTACTTCTCATTAAGGTTTATCCCTTGTGATGTGTACTCTGTCCAAGAATAAACTTTTTTCTTGTTATCCTTTCATTTGTTAAAGGGGTCACTCCGAACTAAGATGGGCAGAGGTAAAGTTTAGCCTTCCCTGCCATGTAAAAAGTAGCAAACCGTACTGGTTTTCCATGGAGAATTAAATACAATCGAAATCCTCACAATTACCCCACATGACACTAAGACCATCGTATAAACCTGCAAAGAAGTCAAATTCAGGATCTAAAGCGGAACCGAAGCTCTTTATTTTGGTGTGTTGAGTTAAGGGGGGGCTGTGTTGTGACAGTCATAATTAGCTCTGGGCAGCTTCCTAATGTGGAAACTGCTATCAGTTGCCCTGTTTGCTCCTCCTGCACCCAGAAGTTGCACTTTCCACTCTCAGCCCTGGTTTTCGAACAATCCCAGCAGGCCCTAACAATTAAGTCATCACTAAAGAAATCTACATCAACTATTTGTTGATTGGCGATTGTCACTCGCATCCTCCATGTGGCTCTATGGGGCTGGAACTCTGCAGACTACACTGGGCCGGTGCTTTGGAGCTGGACTTAAATTTGAATCATTCCTCAGCCTCTGACTACCTCTTGCCTTGGAAAAGTTACTTTATCGGAATCTCAGTTCTAAGTGAAATAAAACGGTGCCAGGCTGCACCTGGTAGGGCTACAGTAATCAGATAACACATGAAAAGCATCTAGCACATAGTACTCAAAAATGGTAGTTATCGTTATCATCATTTTGGAGACGGGGTCTCGCCGTCGCCCAGACAGGGGTGCAGTGGCGCGATCTCGGCTCACTGCAGCCTCCACCTCCTGGGCTAAAGCGATCCTTCCACCTCAGCCTACGGAGTAGATGGGACCACAGGCCCCACCACGCCCGGCGATGAACACAAATTTACTGTCCGAGTGTGGACCCTACAGGCAGCGACTAGGAAACTGCGCTTCTAGGAACGAGCCACGGTCAGGTGAGAGCCCGACCTGCGGCTTTCCGCCCCCGCGCCACCGCGCACAGCCCTCCCTGACCGTCCGCCGCGTTCCAGCTCAGGGCCAGGAGGCGACGGAGAAACCGAGCCTGGCCCAGGGAGGCCGGCAGGGCCCGCCAGGCGTCTTGCAGGGCCGAGCGTCCGATACCGCCACAGAGGCCAGGGCCGCGACGTCGCCAGCGCCCTCCAGCGCGGGACCGCCGGCCACCGCAGGCGCGTGCTCGCTCGCCCACTCCGCGTAGCCGAGCACCACCCAGCCTGGCGCCGACTCCCTGCCTAGCTCGGGATCGAACCGGGCCCTACACCCGCCCTACCTCCATAACTTCCGGTGCCCCGCTGCGGCGCGCGTGAATGACGCAGGCGCCTGCGCGCCCCTCCTCCAGGCGCTTTGGAGCCCTGGCGGGCACTTCCTACCGTACGAGGCGCAGGTGGGAGACTTCCGCCCTCGCGGGACTGGCTAGGGCGTTTGACCGCCGGCGGTGAAGGGGAGGCGGTGGGCGTCTTGGAGAACAGAGCGAGATGGAGAAGCGAGGCCGAGGCGTGAAGTCGAGCCCCATCCAGACCCCGAACCAGACCCCTCAGCAGGCTCCGGTGACGCCTAGGAAAGAAAGGAGGCCTAGCATGTTCGAGAAGGAGGCAGTGAGTGCGGAGACTGCTAGGGGCCCGAGACGGCTATGTCCGACCGTTTAAGTGAAATCGCTCCCCAGTGGGCCCCGCTCCCGTCACCACCCCCAGAGCCAAGGAGGCAGCATCTCCCTTTTGTGTTTCTTTTTTCCCCAGATGCGAAATTGAAGCCTGAGACTGAGTTGGGCAGTCCCCTTTGGACTTGAGTGCTAAAGTTTTCTTGTTTTTTAATTAGGGCCATAGAACCCTACATAAGTCGATTGGAAGGGTGGTTACAAGATCTTCTTTTCAAATTTACTCAGCTTGCGGATTTCCTGAGAGTACTCTGAGTATTATTGCTTTGTACTAAAACACAGTATGTTAGTGTATTTAGTGCCATTATAAGCAGTTTTGCTAGCGAAAAATGAGTGTGTTGTATTAAAAAAATAATTTGATAAACCAGGCAGAATAGTGCCATGTTTTGGGTTTTTAAAACATCAGCAGTCTGGATATTTGAAGAATGTACAGGAGAAAAAAACTTAAGTTGAAAATACCCTGTCCAAAACTTACTGATATTGATGGAAAGGGTCATTATTCAGTTTTATTGGTGGTATAACAGGTATTTCTATATGATTAGGCTTTGAAAACCGTTAATGTATTAAAGACTCTATATTTTATTGATACTTTAACAGAAAATTAGTTTGCCCAAGGATACAAAGCTGTAATGATAGAGCTGGGACCAGAACCTGTATGCTAGTACTCGGTCCAATTGGCCTATACTGGTTTCTCTTCGTACTTACTTCGTGGACCTATAATAGGATGAAGATAGAGATGACAGGCAAAACAATTTTTTGAAGACCCTAAAACATTTTAAGATTACTCTTAAAAAGAGAATTCTCAAAATAATGGCGAAATTTCAGGTTCTTGTTTCCCTGGTGTCTACATTTTACAGAGGAAAGAACGAACTAAATAAAGGAGGAAAAGCAAACAGGCCAAGTTTACACAGCTAAGAAAAAGAGCAGAGCAGGGCTAGAAACCTAAATCAGTTGGACTTAAAACTTCACACTCCCAAACACTATGCTGTATTTCTTGGCAATGAGTCTGAGTAACAGGTCACCAACAGTAAAGAAAAATTTCTATATATTGAGGCAGACAAGGGTGGCTTTTATAAACTTACTGCCTATCTGAGGTCTGAAGTGGTCTTTAAAATTCAATGAGCCTGAACTCAAAATGAGGAGACACATAGGTGCACCTGGTATATAGGTTAAAATCTGGGAGTGAGGGGACATGGACCAAAGTAATTATTAGTATTTGATATGGATGTGATCAATTATAGCTATCTTTAAAGTTGATTCTTTTAGAGGTGAGAAATTTGAATAGAACAATAATTGGGAAGAAATTGAGAAAGGACTCTACAAATGCTCACTAAATGTACCTGAGGAAACTGTTCACTTAGTTATTTCTAATTTAAGGTAGCTGTTAATTTCCCTATTTTGGAGCATAGGAAAATTTAAGACATACTGTTTCATCAATATGACCATCTCTTGATTTTATCTGTCTTGCCTCCATTTCTTTTTTTCTAGTGGTAGCACCTCAGTTAACTTTTAGAGAATTAACTCATCTGCAATTGTATAGAGCTTTGGTGAGATTGTCAGCTACTTCCCTTAACTTTTTAATAAGGATGAGACCCAAACTAAGCTAATTAGATGAATTCTTTGAAATAATGCAAAGAAAATGATTGAGGTTTATTCACATTGAAGATGAGAAGCTAAAGTGTTCCCTGTGTCTTTCTGAATCTGGTTCATCAGCCTTCTCTGCTGTTATGTAAACTGTATCTTTCCAATAAATTATACTTTGGCTTAACACGAATGAGTTCCTGTTGTTGCGATCAAAGGTAACAAAATGCGAAGTAGATTACTAAAATTGGAAAACGTGATTGTTCTCACTTGTGCACATGCATTGAAATTCTTAAATACAGCCGGGTGCAGTGGCCCATGCATGTAATCCCCACTTTGGGAGGCCAAGGCGGATGGATCACCTGAGGTCAGGAGTTCAAAACCAGCCTGGCCAACATGCCAAAACCCCGTCTCTACTAAAAATACAAAAATTAGCCGGGCTTGGTGGTAGGCACCTGTAATCCCAGCTACTCAGGGAGGCTGAGGCACGAGAATTGCTTGAACCCGGGAGGAGGAAGTTGCAGTGAGCCGAGATCATGCCACTGCACTCCAGCCTGGGCAACAGAGTGAGACTCTTGTCTCAGAAAAGAAAAAAAAAATCTTAAACACTAGCATGTGGCATTTAGAAATAAAAGTAATATCTCCTGCCCAAGCTCATTTTATTTTAGGGCTATATGTAGGCTCAATATAAGGAAATGCTATATCAGTAGAAACTCAGGTATTATTAGATGCCAAAAAGTTGATCATATTTAAAGCCTATTCCCAATTTAAAAAAGATTATAAAGATTCTTAATAAAAGGAATAAAATACTCTTAATAAGTATAGCAAGTCAGCCAATATTATACACAAAGGAGAAATGGTACAGATGTAAATTTTCAGCATATTAGAAGCATTAATGGTTATTTTCAGGCCACACACGAATGCCCCATTTCCTTAAGAATCATTGCAGTTGAAAGCCGCTGTTAATGATACTATGTAGTTGCATCCCTTGAGTATATTGTGGAGGAAAGGAAGGTCCCAATCACTGCCTTAGAGAAGCATTCTCTTAATAAACAAGAACAAAATGATTTTGTTTTTAAGAGGTTTAGGGAGCTAATAATGCTGCTTTTGCAGTTAAGAGACACAGAAGCCTGACAGATGATCACAAGAAGAGATTTATTTATGTGAGGGACTTCTACTCGCAGCCAATATGGAGTAATTCTTATCAGAAACTACTTAAAGTAACACACAAAAATGTATGGAACAATTGTTTCCATTGATTTAGGTGTCAGGCAGGACGAGAGTGATTTCCAAGAGATGAGAAATAGGTAAGGTGAACCCCAATATTGCCCCCACCTTAATTGCCTGGTGAGAGTTTCCAGGCTACAACACAAGGAAAGGCCTCCTTTATTTCAAAAGGAGTTAGGAGCCTGGGAAGCCAAGGTAGCATGAGACTGGAGAGCAGAGTATTAAGACAGGGATGCACAAACCGCCCCAAAGACCTACAGAGGGTTTCCCAGAATATTCAGCTGAGTGCAGCAGTGCATCTGGTGAGGAAGCTTCTCACCAAAGGTGGAGAGTGGAGGTGGAGAAAGAATCACCCAAAAGGAACAGAAAAAAAATCCTTGGACATGTTCCCACCAGAAAAAGTGGAAAATCATGAAAAATACAGGGCTTTGGTTAGCGTGCTAAGACGTGTATTGCCTCAGTAGTGGGAAAAAATAGAGAACAAGTTCTCTGATCTGGCTTATCAAGGTTGAGAAGCAAGGCTAAAGAGGATTAAACTGTTTCCAAATGTCTTTGTTCTAGAAGAAAGCTCAAGAGTCTTAGGAATACAAAAATATCCAGCCTATAAGAAGGTAAAATTCACACTGTCTGGTCTTTAAATATTAATAGACCTACAGAAAAGCACGAAAATAAAGTTCAAAATTGAAGAAGCAGTAAAAACAGCCCAGAAATTACACAAAAATAGAATTAGTATAAACAGACATTAAAGTAGTTAAGAGAGTTATTAGTTTTCGTCAAATTTAATCATATGAAGTTATTATAATTACATTCCATATATTTAAGAGTGTAGAGAAAGACTGAGCATGTTAAATTCAAATTGAACTTCTGTAGATGAAAAATACTATGTCAGGGATGAAAATACACTAAATGGTATTAACAGCAGATTCAACAGTGCAGAAGAAAGGACATTTAGAGATGTGGAAATTGGGGGGGATGCTGAAAAAATATTACACGATGTCAATGAGCTTTGACAGAACTTAAAGTTGCCTAACGTTCTTATAATTTGAGTCCCCAAAGAGGTGAGAGAGGACAGACAAAAAGTACTGGAAGAAATAAGGAATGAGAAATTTTCAAATCTGTTGAAAACTATAAACCCACAAATCTAAGAGGCTCAGTGAACTCCAAGCACAAGACACATGAAGAAAATTATGCCAAGACATAGAATAATAAAATTGCTTGAAACCAGTGACTTAAAAATTTAAAGGCAACTAGAACAAAGGAACGTTACACACATAGAAACAGACAAAATGACAGCATACTTCTCAGAAACAATGCAAGACAGAAGACATCGAAGCATCATCTTTAAGGATTGAAAGAAAATGACTAACAACCTAGAATTCTATACTCAGCTAAAATATCGTTCAAAAAGCAAAGGTAAGACTTCCAGCTTCCTTAAAGTCCCTACTATGTCCTAACAAGTAAAAAGCTGAACAAACTGAAAAAAGTGAGGTCACAGGACAAACTGCTGCCCCCAAAAGTAGATTAACAAGCAGCAGTTTGCTCTGTGACCTCACTCCAGCCCTCCTTAGCCATCCTGTGTGACTTAAGCAAGTAGGGAAAAAAACAAAAAACTCAGAAACATATGTGAAGTTCACAGTCCAGAAGCACAGGTTCACTAAAATACCTAGTCATACAACTACAGAATGCTTCCTCTCCGTTAATACATTACCAGCACATTGCCAGAGGCCTTGTTAACAGCAGTTTCTTTACCTGGTGAATCATGTCTGGCTATCAGGAAAAAAATTAGGCATACTAAAAACAACAACAAACACACAGAGTGAGCAGCAGAACCAGACATGGCAGGGATGTTGGAATTATCACAATTTAAGTAACTATGATTAATATGTTAAAGGGCTGTAGTTGACAAAATAGCATGCAAGAACGGATGAGCAATGTAAGCATAGAAATGGAAATCCTAAGAAAGAACTAGAAATGCTACACATCAAAAAACACTGTTACAAAAGAAGAAATCTCAAATTTAAAAAATATTTTGAGCTAAATAAAAATGAAAACATACCAAAATTTGTAGAGTGCAGCAAAAATGGGTTGGAAGGAAATGTATAGTATTGAATGTGTGCATATATTAGAAAAGAAGAAAGAGCTAAAATAAGCCTCAAAGAAACTAGAAAAAGAAGAACAAATTAAATCCAAGAAGAAAAGAAATAATAAAAATTATAGCAGAAATTGATGAAATTGAAATCAGGTACCAACAAAACCAAAAGCTTTTTCTTTGAAAAGATCAATAAAATCTATAAGCCTCTATGCAGGCTAAGAAAGAGAGGACACACATTACTAATAGCAGAAATGCAAGTCAGGATATTGCTAGAAATTACATGAACACTATAAATATAATGAAAGAATATTATGAACAATTCTGTGCCCAGAAATTTGATAACCTAGATGAAATGGACCAGTTCCTTGAAAGATGCAATTTCCCAAAAGTCATACAAAAAGAAATAGATAATCTGAATAAGCATATATCTGTTTTTAAAACTTGAATCAATAACAGCCTTCCAAAGCAGAAATCACCAGGTTCAGGTGATTTCCTTGGTGAATTCTACCAAGCATTTAAGGAAAAAGTTATATCAATTATTACAATCTCTTTCAGAAGATAAAAGCAGAGAGAATACTGTCTAACTCATTCTGTGAAGTCAGCATTACCCTAATACCAAAGGCAGACAAAGATGCTACAAAAAAAGCAAATTACAGACCTGTATCATGTATTAACACTGATGCAAAAATTCTAAACGAAATACTAGCAAACTGAATTCAGCATTTTATTTAAAGGATTTGACACCGAGGCCAAGTGAAATTTGTTCCTGGAATGCAAGGATGGTCCAACATATGAAAATCGATCAAGGTAATACACCACATTAACTAAATGAAATAAACCACATGATAAATCTCAATTGATGAAGAAAACTATATGTCAAATTCAACACTCTTTTATTATAAAAACACCCCAAAAACTAGAAATAGGAGGAAACTACTTCAACCTAATAAAAGCTCTATATGAAAACTGCACAGCAAATGCTGGGTGCAGTGGCTCATGTCTGTAATCCTAGCATTTTGGGAGGCCAAGGCAGGTGGATCACGAGGTCAGGAGATCAAGACCATACTGGCTAACATGGTGAAACCCCGTCTCTACTAAAAATACAACAACAACAAAAAAATTAGTTGGGAGTGGTGGCATGCACCTGTAGTCCCAGCTACTCAGGAGGCTGAGGCAGAAGAATAACTTCAACCTAGGAGGCAGAGGTTGCAGTGAGCCAAGATCGCGCCACTGCACTCCAGCCTGGGCGACTGAGCAAGACTGTCTCAAAAAAAAAAACAAACAAAAAAAACTTCACAGCAAACATCATACTCGATGGGGAAACACTGAAAGCTTTTCCTGTAATATTAGTAACAAAGCAAGGATGTCCACTTTTGCCACTTCTTTTCAACATAGAGCTGGAAGTTCTAGCCAAGCAATTAGGCAAGAAAAAGAAATTCCTGGCTATTAATAAAATGAAGCTTACTGCTTTAACTTAAGAGGTTAGAGCATTTATCTGGGACATATTGGGCACTAAGCAAATATTTCATTAATGCATATTGGATGTCACAGAATGGATGTTTCATGTCAAAAGCATGAACTGATATATATATCAAATCAATGCTCTTTTGGTGTCTTTTCACCTTAAGACTTACGAATGTGCTATCTAAATAATTGTATTATTTAAAAATAAGTAAATGAAGTAAAATAAAATTTTAAGACAATGAAGGATAATATTTTCATAATCTCAGGGTAGGGAGGAAGAAAGGTTTTCCCTATATCTCCATCCCATAGCCACTCAGTTGCCCTCCCTGGAGGCCACTCTTGTTTCTAGTTCCTTTGGATCATCCATGGATATTCTAAATATATGCATGCAATTTGTATGTATATGTTTGTGAGTATAGATAAAAGAATAAATAGTATTCCTATTTTTTTTTGCCAAATTGATAGCCAGGAGTGAATCTAGGATTTAGCAACCACATTATTGTAGAAATCTGTTTAACAAATTTCCAAGCTTTGTGTGAGCCCTGTCCCACTGTACAGGCTTATTTAATCTGAAAACTCATTTACAGTTTAAAAAGTAATCTTTCTGCCTTTCTCTCTTCCCCTCTCTCTTTCTCCTCCAGTATACACAGATTTTAAGAGAAAGACTGAGAGAGTCAATTCACAATGTTCAGTATGTGGAGCCTCCTTTTGATGACTCAATTGCTGATATAGGTAAAGAATGGAAGAGTGCCCTGGCAAAATTAAAGTTTGCTAATTCATATAGAATGGAGCCATTGAAGAAATTCCAAGCTCATTCAGTAGAAACTAAAGTCCAGCAGATACTAACAGTAGGTTGATAAATATATATGATAGCAGTATTGTATGAGGGTTCTACAGAGAAACAGAAATTATATATACGAAGAAATTTATTCCAGGAATTGGCTCATACAATTGTCACTAGAACCAGAAGGTATTGTGTCATTGGTGCAGGCACAACAAGTTAGTTAATCAGAGATGTGTAGTCTGTCTGCTAGGTGTCCAGTTCTGCTCCTGGTTTGTAAGAGTAATGCTTTATAGTCCACAAGCCATGTCCATTTCCTTCAAGCTATACATTAATTTATTAATAAACATGGTTAGAAATCTTTGATTTCATTTTCCTGGAGGCCAGAGAAAAATTAGTGGAGTGAGAGACTAGAGGGGAGGGCTGGAAAGAAGTAGTTTTAATATGAGCCCACTGAGCAGGGCAGTGACTTGGTACAGGTTCTGAGTCCAAGTAATCTTCAGTATAAGAAAACCAAAATCTGAATTTTAATAAATGTATAAATTTAAAAAGGTTTCTTTCCTTTACCTAAGAATTTCCTTTACCTTCTAGAAGTCTTCTTTAGAAAATCTCCTTGTGTCTATTAACTGTTTGGCAGAGTAGTCTAGTAAATTACAACTTACAGCTTGTATCGCTAATGAAAAGTAATTGAATATAATTTGAAAACCCCAATAAATATTCCTCAAAATTGTTACTGAAATAGGTAAGCATAAAATTTATTTAATATTATTTAGTTAGGAATATATTTATTTTAAAACAGTTATATATATATTATTTAGACATGTTTTCTACTTGAATTTTTATATAGAAAATATTTGGTTTGAAAATAAAAGTATTTTTCTTAAATTTTCTTAAAGGAAAGTCTTAAAGATGTCAAATATGATGATAAAGTATTCTCTCACTTGTCACTTGAATTGGCAGACCGCATACTGTTAGCAGTCAAAGAATTTGGGTACCACCGTTATAAGTTCATTATAAAAGTATTATTTATTCAAAAGACTGGCCAAGCAATAAATGTAAGTACCCCATTGATACAGGATCTAGCAATTAGAACTATAAGGCATCTCCTCCCTAGTGATTTGATTTTTATTGTGATGACTCAAGGGCATGCCATAGATTCTGAGGTACTTTTTGAAGGAAAGTATCATGTTGTTAAGTATATTTATTTCACTGTAAATTATTTGAAAAGTACAAACCAGCTGGGTTCGTTGGCTCATGCCTGTAATCCCAGTAGTTTGGGAGGCTGAGGCAGGTGGATCACCTGAGGTCAGGAGTTTGAGACCAGCCTGGCTAACATGGTGAAACCCCGTCTCTACTAAAAATACAAAAATTAGCTGGGCATGGTGGTGGGTGCCTGTATTCCCAGCTACTCGGGAGGCTAAGGCAGGAGACTCACTTGAGACTGGGAAGCAGAGGTTGCAGTGGCCCGAGTTCGCTCCACTGCACTCCAGCCTGGGCAACAGACTCAAAAAAAAAGAAAGAAAAGTACAAACCTAGAAGTAGCAATTTGGTACTACTAATTTATTAAATTGCACTGCTATTCTGTTCCTTGATCATATCAATTTTGACAGTTTAATGTCATTTAAGTTAACCAGTAAATTTATTTTGGGCACTAATAGGTGTTAGGTACTAAGGAAAATCAAGGAATGATAAAACACGGACCATGATTCTCAAGGAGATTTTACTCTACTTAAGGAGATAAAGCAGCACAATTTAGAATTCAGGGAAATAAAATGATAGGGATAATGTAAACAGCCTGGGTTTTGGAGTCAGATTGCCTCTGCCACACTTGCTGGCTGTGGCCTTGGCACAGTTTCTTCATCTATAAAATGGTGATGATAAAACTGGCTTCCTAGAGCTGTTGTGAAGATTAAATGAAATTATCTGTATTAAAATCCTTAACATAATCACCAGCACAGAGCCCTCAATAAACAGCAAGGTAATTATAAACATTATTTATTAATAAAGAGATAATATCACTAGGCTGTGTAATTATGTAAGGAGTTGGTAAGGAATATGTGGGAGTTGGAGAGAAAAGAGAGAAAAAGCTGTGTTTGGAAGAATCTGTAGAGGTTCCATAGAGGAGTGGACTGCATGATGAAGCATGGGGAGGGGGACCTGGACTGGCAGAGGGGTACTGGCGAGAGAACCGCCAGTCAGCAAGAAAGAACCGTCCTGGCTCCCATGGAGAAGAGAAGCTGCACCACATATGACATACAGACTTAAGAAATAGGGACGTTGTAGATGATAAGTGCTACAAAGAGAACATTAAGGTAGGGATATGACAGAGTAGCAGAGTGGCTACTTGGGATTGTTTAGAGAAGGGAGAACCCTCTGATGTTCAGATAAGAAGGAACCAGCTGTACCAAAGAGAAGGGAGAATGTTCCAAGCAGAGAAAACTTCAAGTGCAAAGATCCTGAGGCAGGGATGACTTGGAGTGCTTGATATGTAACAAGTGTAGCTGGACTAGTAGCTAGTAGATAGTGGCATGATGTGCAGTGGGGGAATGTTTCAGCTTATATTATTGTATAACAAACCACCCCAGAACTGAGTATCTTATAACAACAGCCATGTATTTGCTTACTTTCTGTGAGTCAGCTCAGCCTGGGTCAGCTACTTGGCTTTTCTGCTGGTCTCACTGATGCACTTGTAGCCCTCTAATGACTTACCTGGGCCTGCAGGTCCAAGATGGCTTCTGTCACTTGTCTGACTGGTGGGCTAGCTGTGGCCTGGGCACCTGGGTTCTCCTGCATGTGAGCCAGCATCCTCCAATAGGTTGAGTGGGCTTTCATAACATGGGGGTCTCAGCATAGTGTTCCACGAGTGTGAGAGCAGAAGCTACAAGACCTCTGAAGGCCTTGCTTGGAAGTTTCACAGTGTCATATTTTACAACTCATAGCAAGTCACAAGGCCAAGACTTATTCACAGGGTGGGGACATAAAGTCAACTTCCTAATAGGAGAAGCCATAAAGAATTTGGGCCTTTTTCGGCCAGACGTGGTAGCTCATGTCTGTAATCCCAGCACTTTGGGAGGCTGATGCGGGTGGATCAGCTGAGGTCAGGAGTTCAAGCAGCTTGGTCAACATGGTGAAACCCCATCTCTACTAAAAATACAAAAATTAGCTGGATGTGGTGGCAGGCACCTGTAATCCCAGCTACTCAGGAGGCTGAGGCAGGAGAATCACTTGAACTCAGGAGGTGGAGGTTGCAGTGAACCGAGATCACGCCATTACACTCTAGCCTGGGAAATAAGAGTGAAACTATGTCTCAAAAAAAAAAAAAAATTGGGGCCATTTTAGATCCTCCACAAAGAAGTGGGCTGGAATCAGATCACATATGGGTTTGTACACAGAGAAAAGGAGTTAGAATTGTCCGTAACAGCCTACTTGTATAGTTACTGCCATTTCTTCATTTCAAGGCAAGGCCCTGACAAACCTCTTTGGCTGAAAATCTTTAAAGGGTGGGAAGACTTCCTTATCATGGACTACATGGCAGAGTCATACTGTATGCAGAGCCACTACATCCCCATTCCCAGGGGCCTTCTGCTCCTGGCCCTGGAAACACAGCTAAGGGAGCCTCTCTCTGTTTAGAGAAAGGCCAGCCTCCGGTAAAGAAGAAGGATGGGCTGGGGCAGCGTCATTCTCCAGGCTCTTTATGAAAGGGAAAACCAGACAAATTACATCTTAAAAATAATTTCTGAGATACTGATGCATTCATTTTTAAAAAACTAGTGTAGATTTGAAAATTACTTCTTAATATGTTCAATCTAAAGTTGGTCTTTACAAAATTTCTCTCACAGATT
Organism: Homo sapiens; assembly: GCF_000001405.40. Lineage (NCBI taxonomy): Eukaryota > Metazoa > Chordata > Mammalia > Primates > Hominidae > Homo > Homo sapiens. Next base: position 169,740,292 of record NC_000006.12, on the reverse strand, counting down.
GCCAGCAGATGGATCTGGGACATTGCATGGGACAGCTGGGTCGCAGCTAAACACGAAGCAGAATCCTACGTGGCACTGGTCTTGGTGTTTGCCCTTTATTATGAATAGCTCATTACAGGTACTAAGGATTGTTTACTTCCGAACTTTTCAAAAATAAATGAAATTTACATATTTGTAAACCTCATAATATTTCTGATTTGCTATATTCTTATTCTCATTTGAGGCCTTTCAATTGTATTATTTTAACAACAAAGTAGAAGCCAGATTTTTATATTTATACTTACTGTTATATTAACTAACATAATATTATGCCAAAGTAGTATAAAAGGTGTATGCATGTGTGTCTGTGTGTGTATATATGTATGTATATACAAATTCTTATAGTAGAGTATAGGGAAAATATCATTTTTGTAAGATTTAAGAAAATGATAATTTGCTACAGGAAATTAAAATGCAACCTTGTAAAGTATCAAATTCAGTAGATGTTAAGATAGATTTTGGAAATTTCTAATGATATTTTAATACTTTGTATTCATTGTTTTGAAAGGAATTACCAAGTTTGAAAGAAAGATGTTATTATATTTCATAATTCCCTAATATCCTCCCGCTCCAGCCAAACTGCTTACAAGTGTGTAGTCAATTTACTAATCTATTAGGCTCTGTTAGGCTCTGTGAGCCTTCTAGGATCTTTTTTTCAGATGCAAGAACTGAAAATTCATATTAATTGTTTAAAGAAATGAGGAAAATTTTATTTCCCAGGGATTTGATCAAGGATCCAGGTTCTCTCCAACTTCCCATTCTCCCCACAGACTTCCACGTACATTCATTTTGCTTGACAGAATTTAATCATGTTCCTATGACTAGACCAGTTGTAATTCCCTCCTTAAGATTGGGGCTGGAGCCTACCTTTTCTGAAGCGTGAGATCATGTGAAAAGTGTGGCTATTTGCCAGCCACAGTGGCTCACTCCTATAATCCCAGCACATGGGAAGGCCAGGGTGGGAGGATTGCTCTAGCCCAGGAATTTGAGACCAGCCTGAGCAACATGGCAAGACTCCATCTCTTAAAAAAAAAAAAAAAAAAAAGGAGAAAATTGTGGATCCAGTGTACAAATTGGGACTCTTCTAGCAGGGAGGCAGGGTGTGCACTTGTGGGAGGCAAGCAATACCTGTGATAATCAGTATGATTTTCATCATTACAACCAGAACTGAAAACAACCATGTCAATATTGACAAGTAAAAATACCTATTAGTTGAATTATCTATAAACAAGGAGATAAAAATGGCAGAGAAGGGTTTTTTTTTCCACTTAGGTTTTATAATGAGTTGGTGTCAGTTTCCACTTATGAGAGTTAAGGAGCTGAAATATGATTCCTGCCTGAATAGATCCAAATGGAGTTTGGCTGCGGGAGTGCATGAAAGTTTGGCCAGAATTATTCTTAGAAAATCACTCCAGCTCCCTCCTGCTGCCTTGTGAAGAAGGTGCGTTGCTTTCCCTTTGCCTTGCGCCATGATTTTAAGTTTCCTGAGGCCTCCCAGCCATGCAAAACTAGGGGTGGGGCCAAGACGGCCGACTAGAAGCAGCACCATGTAGGAGGCTCCTATGGGAAAAAAAGCATAAGCATGTGAATCCTTCACCAGCAACCAAGGTATCCAGGTTCTCTCATCAAAATTGACTAGAAGGCTGGCATTACCCACACAGAGAAGGAAGAGCAGTGTGGTGTGGCAGCCCACCTGAGAGCCACATGGGGAAGGGGAACCCCCTTCCCCCAAGCCAGGGGAGGTGGTGAGTAAGAGTGCTACCCAGCCAGGGAAACTGTTGTTTTTCCATGGAACTGTGCAACCCACAGATCAGAAGATTCCACTTGCAAACCCACGCCACTGGGGCTAGCATCACAACCCTGGAACGCGCAGATTCGTACAGCCTCTCAGCTGGAATCTGCTTAAGCTTACCCAATTCCCATGAGGAAGGGTGGCCAGCACTGGCTGCAGCTGCCTGATGTCTAAGCCATTTGAACTCCTTGTGGGAGGGGCAGCAGCCAGCACTGGGACTTGCAACTGCCTAACATGCTAAGCCCCCTGGGTAGGGGAAGGGCAGCACCCATTTCTATAGTTCCAGGCTGCGCTTTTCCCCTGCTGGAGCCAGGCAGGCTGGACAGCTTGGTCCCATGACTTGTCCCCACAGCCCAACACACCAGCTGTGGCAGTCTGCGGCCAGAGTGCCTCTTCAGGTCTAACTCTGACCCATCCTTCCTCAGTGGCTTTCCTGCAGGATCTCCAATAACTCCAGCCAGAGGCTCAGGGACAGAATTTGGATCTCCCTGGGCCTGAGACCCTAGTGGGAGGGGTGGCTGCAGTCTCTGTGGACCAGCAGGCTTAGCCTCTCCTCCTGGTAGTTCTGAGTAATCCAGGCAGCCCAGACAAGTGGGTTTCCCCCAGTGAAACATACCCTCTCTACTAAGGGACAAATTGCTTCATTAGATGGGTCCTGCTCCCTGTGTCACCCAACTGGGTGAGACCCTCCAACAGGGGTTGTCAGATACCCTATACAGGAGTGATCCTACTGGCATCAGGCTGGTGCCCCTCAAGGTCAGAGGTCCCAGAAAAAGGAGCAGGCACCCATCTTTGCTGCTTTCCAGCTTCCTTGAGTGACATCTCCAGGTATAAGAGCAAATCAGATGAGTAGGGCCATTCACCCCAGCAAACTGCAGCAGCCCTACAGAAAAGGGGCCTATTTAAAGAAAAACAAAGAAGCAGAAAATGACAACAACAACAACAAAAAAGGCCCCCACAAAAACCCCATCTAAGGGTCAGCAGCCTCAAAGACCAAAACTAGACAAACTCATGAAGATAAGAAAGAATCAATGAAAAAAATGCTGAAAACCCAAAAGGCCAGAGTGCCTCTTTTCCTCCACATGATCACAGTGTCTCTCCATCAAGGGCACAGAACTGGACGGAGGATCAGAGGGATGAATTGACAGAAGTAGACTTCAGAAGATGTGTAATAAAAAAATTATGATCAACTAATGGAGCATGTTCTAACCCAATGGAAAGAAGCTAAGAACCTTCATAAAAAGTTAGAGCAATTGCTAACTAGAATAACCAGCTTAGAGAAGAACATAACCAACCTGATGGAGCTGAAAAACACAGCATGAGAACTTCGTGAAGCATACACAAGTATCAACAGCAGAATCGACCAAGTGGAAGAAAGGATATCAGAGTTTGAAGACCACCTTACTGAAATAAGATATACAGACAAGAATAGAGAAAAAAGAATGAAAAGGAATGAACAAAGCCTCCAAGAAATATGGGACTTCATAAAAAGGCCAAACCTACGATTGATTGGAGTAGCAGAAGGAGATGGGGAGAATGGAAACAAGCTAGAAAACACACTTCAGGATATTATCTAGGAAAACTTCCCCAACCTAGGAAGACAGGCCAACATGTAAATTCAGAAAATACAGACAACACCATTAAGATACTCCATGAGAAGATCAACCCCAAGACACATAATTGCCAGATTCTCTGAAGTTAAAATGAAGGAAAACCTGTTAAGGGCAGCCAGAGAGAAAGGCCAGGTCACATACAAAGGGAAGCCCATCAGACTAACAGCCGACATCTCACAGAAACTCTATAAGCCAGAAGAGATTGAGGGTCAATATTCAACATTCTTAAAGAAAATAATTTTCAACCCAGAATTTCATATCCAGCCAAACTAAGCTTCATAAGCGAAGGAGAAATAAAATCCTTTCCAGACAAGCAAATGCTGAGGGATTTTGTTACCACCAGGCCTGCTCTGCAACAGCTCCTGAAAGAAGCACTAAATATGGAAAGGAAAAACTGGTAGCAGCCACTGCAAAAACACACCAAAATATAAAGACCAATGACACTATGAAGAAACTGGATCAACTAGTGTGCAAAATAATCAAATAGCATTATGACAGGATCAAATTCACATATAACAATACTAACCTTAAATGTAAATGGGCTGAATGCCACCAATTAAAAGACACAGACAGGCAAATTGGATAACGAGTCAACACCTGTCAGTGTACTGTATTCAGGAGACCCATCTTACATGCAAAGACACACAGGCTCAAAATAAAGGGAAGGAGGAAAATTTACCAAGCAAATGGAAAGCAAAAAAAAAAACAAACAAAAAAACGAAACAACAACAACAACAACAAAACAGGGGTTGCAATCCTAGTCTCTGTCAAAACAGACTTTAAACCAACAAAGATCAAAAAAGAAGGGCACTATGTAATGGTAAAGGGAACAATTCAACAAGAAGAGCTAACTATTCTGAATATATATGTACCCAATACTGGAGCACTCAAATTCATAAAACATATGCTTAGAGACCTACAAAGAGACTTAGACTCCCACACAGTGATAGTGAGAGACCTTAACACCCCACTGTCAGTATTAGACAGATCAATGAGACAGAAAATTAACAAGGATATTCAGGACTTGGAACTCAGCTCTGGATCAAGTGGACCTAGTAGACGTCTACAGACCTTTCTACTCCAAATCAACAGAATATACATTCTTTCCAGTGCCATATGGCACTTATGCTAAAATCAACCATATAATTGGAAGTAAAGCACTCCTCAGCAAATGCAAAAGAACTGAAATCATAACAAACAGTCTTTCAGACGACAGTGCAATCAAATTAGAACTCAGGATTAAGAAGCTCACTCAGTACCACACAATTTCATGGAAGTTGAACAACCTGCTCCTGAATGACTCCTGGGTAAATAATGAAACTAAGGCAAAAATCAAGAAGTTATTTGAAACCAATGAGAACAAAGGTAATATACCAGAATCTCTGGGACACAGCTAAAGCAGTGTTAAGAGGGAAATTTACAGCACTAAATGCCTGCATCAGAAAGCTAGAAAGATCTCAAATCAACACCCTAACATCACAATTAAAAGAGCTACAGAGGCAAGAGCAAACTAATCCAAAAGCTAGCAGAAGACAAAAAATAACTAACATCAGAGAAGAATTGAAGGAGACAGAGACACAATAAACCCTCCAAAAAATCCATGAATCCAGGAGCTGGTTTTTTGAAAAAAAATTAACTAAATAGAAAGACCACTAGCTAGATTAATAAGAAGAGAGAAGAATCAAATAGACACAATAAAAAATGATAAAGGGGATATCACCACTGACCCCACAGAAATACAAATTACCATTAGAGAATACTACAAACACCTCTATGCAAATAAACTAGAAAATCTAGAAGAAATGGATAAATTCCTGGATGCATACACCCTACCAAGACCAAACCAGGAAGAAGTTGAATCCCTGAATAGACCAATAAGAAGCTCTGAAACTGAGGCAGTAATTAATAGCCTACCAACCAAAAAAAGCCCAGGGCAAGAAGGATTCACAGCTGAATTCTACCAGAAATACAAAGAGGAGCTAGTACCATTCCTTCTGAAACTATTCCAAACAATTGAAAAGGAGGGAATCCTCCCTAACTCATTTTATGAAGCCAGCATCGCCCTGATACCAAAACCTGGAAGAGACACAACAAAAAAAAAGAAAACTTCAGGCCAATATCCCTGATGAACATCAATGTGAAAATTCTCAATAAAATACTGGCCAACCGAATCCAGCAGCACATCAAAAAACTTATCTACCACGATCAAGTCGGCTTCATCCCTGGGATGCAAGGCTGGTTCAACATATGCAAATCAATAAATGTAATCCATCTCATAAACAGAACCAAAGACAAAAACCACATGATTATCTCAATAGATGCAGATTGATAGGGCTGACAAACTTCAACATCCCTTCATGTTAAAAAACTCTCAATAAACTAGGTATTGATGGAACAGATCTCAAAATAATAAGAGCTATTTATGACAAAACCACAGCCAATATCATATTGAATGGGCAAAAGCTGGAAGCATTCCCTTGGAAAACCAGTACAAGACAAGGATGCCCTCTCTCACCACTTCTATTCAACATAATATTGGAAGTTCTGGCCAGGGCAATCAGGCAAGAGAAAGAAATAAAGGGTATTCAAATAGGGGCAGAGGAAGTCAAGTTGTCTCTGTTTGCAGATGACATGATTTTATATTTAGAAAACCACATCATCTCAGCCCCAAAACTTCTGGAACTGATAAGCAACTACAGCAAAGTCTCAGGATACAAAATCAATGTGCAAAAATCACAAGCTTTCCTTTACACCAACAATAGGTAAGCAGAGAGCCAAATCATGAATAAACTCCCATTCACACTCACTACAAAGAGAATAAAATACCTAGGAATAGAGATAACAAGGGATGTGAAGCACCTCTTCAAGAACTACAAACCACTGCTCAAGGAAATAAGAGAGGACATAAACAAAGGGGAAAACATTCCATCCTCAGGGATAGGAAGAATCACCATTGTGAAAATGGCCACACTGCCCAAAGTAATTTATAGATTCAATGTTATTCCCATGAAACTACCATTGATATTTTTCACAGAATTAGAAAAAACTATTTTAAATTTCATATAGAATCAAAGAAGACCCTATATAGCCAAGACAATCCTAAGCAAAAAGAACAAAGCTGGAGGCATCATGCTACATGACTTCAAACTATACTACAAGGCTACAGTAACCAAAACAGCATGGTACTGGTACCAAAACAGACATATAGACCAATGGAGCAGAACAGAGACCTCAGAAATAACACCACACATCTACAGCCATCTGACCTTCGACAAACCTGACAAAAATAAGCAATGGGAAAAGGATCTCCTATTCAGTAAATGGTGCTGGGAAAACTGGCTAGCCATATGCAGAAAACTGAAACTGGACCCCTTCCTTACACCTTATACAAGAAGTAACTTAAGATGGATTAAAGACTTAAATGTAAAACCCAAAACCATAAAAACTCTAGAAGAAAACCTAGGCAATACCATTCAGGACACAGGCATGGGCAAAGACTTCATGACAAAAATGCCAAAAGCAATTGCAACAAAAGCCAAAATTGACAAATGGAATGTAATTAAACTAAAGAGCTTCTGTACAGCAAAAGAAACTATCATCAGAGTGAACTGGCAACCTACAGAATGGGAGAAAATTTTTGCGATCTACCCATCTGACAAAAGTCTAATATCCATAATTTGCAAGGTACTTAAACATATTTACAAGAAAAAAAAAACAACCCCATCAAAAAGTGGGCAAAGGATATGAACAGACATTTCTCAAAAGAAGACATTTATGTGGCCAACAAACATATGGAAAAAAAGCTCAACATCACTGATCATCAAAGAAATGCAAATCAAAACCACAATGAGATACCATCTCACACCAGTCAGAATGGTGATTATTAAAAAGTCCGAAAACAATGGATGCTGGCGAGGCTGTAGAGAAATAGGAACACTTTTACACTGTTGGTGAGAATGTAAATTAGTTCAACCATTGTGGAAGACAGTATGGCAATTCCTCAAGGATCTAGAACCAGAAATACCATTTGACCCAGCAATTCCATTACTGGGTATATACCCAAAGGAATATAAATCATTCTACTATGAAGACACATGCACATGTATGTTTATTTCAGCACTATTCACAATAGCAAAGACATGGAACTAACCTAAATGCCCATCAATGATAGACTGGATAAAGAAAATGTGGTACATATACACCATGGTATACTATGCAGCCATAAAAAGGAATGAGATCATGTCCTTTGCAGGGACATGGATGAAGCTGGAAGCTATCATCCTCAGCAAACTAACACAGGAGAAAAAAACATCACATGTTCTCACTCATAAGTGGGAGTTGAACATTGAGAACACATGGACACAAGAGAGGGGAACAACACACACCAGGGCCTGTTGGGGGTGAGAGTGGAGGGGAGGGAACTTAGAGGATGGGTCAACAGATGCAGCAAACCACCACGGCACATGTATACCTATGTAACAAATCTGGACATTCTGCACATGTATCCCATTTTTTTAAGAAGAAATAAAAAGATATTTTGATCATTTTCTTACAATTTCTACCAATTCTATTAGTAAACTAAAATTCCCTGAGAGTTTCCTTCTGGCAACTATATATCAGAACAACTGTTCTTTCATAATAAAAGAAAAATATGCTTGGTGAAAAAAAAATCACTCCACCATTATACAGAGAATATACATGATAGTTGTAGCCAAAAACCTCTTTAAAAGGAGCTATTGATGCTAATCTTGACCACAGAAAAAATTAGTAATAACCTATGAAATATGTCATATCATGCAATTTGCCTTCCTGATGAACTTGTCAGGATGAATTAATTGCAAAATATACTACCTGGTAATTGAGTTGACTGCCTCATAGATAGACTTGTTTGTAAAATGAGAATTATACCTTTTTCCTAAGGTTTGCATGTGAATTAAAGTAAATAATATGTAATCAAGCACTTATGCACACTTATTCTTATTAGGTCTGACACATCCAAATTACCTTTAGTTCTGTTCTTTCTCTTTCCCTTCTGTAAAACCCCATATATACTTAGTTGTTAAATTCTATAGATTTTAATTTTTTGAAGTGGCTCAAAATAGCTTCAATTTTCCATTTGTTATATCTGTAGCCTAGGTACTCACTTCTCTCAAATCTGTTTCAATAGCCCCTTTATTTCATTGATTCATTTATTATTTTTTTGTTCAACAGAATCATGCATCTACTATGTTCTAGGCACTGTTGGAGATGCAGATTGTATTGTGGTGAAAAAAACAGACAAGTCCCCTGACTTCACTGAACTTCTTTTGTATTGGGGGGCTGGTATTCAGCAACTGCACCTCTAGTAAATGCTTCCAAGAATGAGGCAGGGAGAAAACCCAATGGGCCTATTTTCTTTGCCTTACGTCTCATCTCCATACCTTACACATAAAACTGATGGAGTTTTCATCTTGGAAGCATAACTTTGTATCAGTCTTTGCCTCAAAACCCCTCAGTGGCTCTTGATTGCCTTATGAGTGAATACCAATTCTTCTGCCTACTCTTAAGGTTCTAGATTGTCCATAATGTAATACTCTGCTATTTTCTGAGGTTAAGTGGATTCCAGGTGCATTATAAAGATCTCAGATCCTAGCAACACTTCTCACTGTCAATCCAACGTCTCTCTCACTGCTTCTCCAGATTGGGTGAGATATCCCCCTTTGTCCTCCATAATATCTTCTATTATTGCCTTTCCTCTAACATAAAACTCCTTTCCTCCTTTTCTTCCCCAATAAGCTATGTTGAGACCTGTACCAAGAAAACCTCTGCCCTGCTATCATCAGCCTCTTTCCCCTAGGCTCCTCCACCTAGGCTGTACTTCACCACGATCCTATAAAAGGGTAGTATCACCTGACCCCACTAGACTATCATGCTAAGTATTCAGATACATAACTTTTGAACCACTTGCCCACTGTGAAGATCACTCACATAAAATATCACATAAACATTTCCTTCAGTCCATCGGCTCACTGCAAGCTCCACCTCCCAGGTTCACACCATTCTCATGCCTCAGCCTCCTGAGTAGCTGGGACTACAGGCGCCTGCCACCATGCCCGGCTAATTTTTTGTATTTTTAGTAGAGATGGGGTTTCACTGTGTTAGCCAGGATGGTCTCGATCTCCTGACTTCGTGATCCATCCGCCCGCCTCGGCCTCCCAAAGTGCTGGGATTACAGGCGTGAGCCACCGCGCCCGGCCGGAACTTTCTTTATATGGTTCATCAGGCTCCTCTATATTCCCAACCTCTCTTCCACATGCATTTTGAGTTCCTTTCCTTAAAAGCAATCTGACTTTTCCCTGAAGAGGAGTGCCACTGCAGCCCTCTCAAATGAAGGCTGTTTTTTTCCTCTCAATCTTTGATGACTTACAGCCAGGAGTTAGCGTAGGTAACCCCTTTGACCTTAAAAAAAATTCTGGCTCCTGAAAATGTATGCTATCTGAATATATAATCTTTTACCTGTTGATTTCTGCTGCCTGTAGTTCCTGGCTTATTCCTCCCCATCACTTGAAGACTTGAGCTACTGGATTATATAATCTTCATCCCCACCCAACTCCTGTCATCTTTCCTTGGGACTTCAACATCCACATAGATGAGCCATCCAAAACAAGGCAGTCCTCACTTTGCACAGTTCTAGTATGCACTGTGCAATTTTCACTTTCAGAATATTCAAGCAAATTTCATTTACTGTGGTTTAGTTAAATAATACCAGTTCCCCAACAAGGTGGTTCACATTTCAATTATGATTGCATATTAACTTTATGTGAGGAATTGCATAAAGAAGAAAATTCACAGCTAGCTCTTCAGTTCACAGATCACTATGTAAATAACAGATGGGCACTGTCTTAGCTTGGGCTAATATAATTAAATGCCTTAGACTGGGTTGCTTAAACAAATATTTTTTATTGAGGTTCTAGAGGCTGAAAGTCTGAGATCAGGGTGCCAACATGGTGGTTCTTGGTGAGGGCCCTCTTCCTGGTTATGTCCTTACCTGGTCTTTCCTTGGTGGGGGTGGGGGCAGGGGAGAGAGAAAGAGAAGGAATATGAATCTTGTATCTCTTCTTCTTTTTGAAAGGATATTAATCCCCATCATGGGGACTCTGCTCTCGTGACCTCATGTAAATCTAATCACCTCCCAAAGTTCTCACTTCCAAATACCATCACACTGGGGATTAGGGCTTCAATTTATGAATTTGCAGGTAAGGCACAAACATTCAGTCCATAGCAGATATCACAATCCTTCTTTCAGAGTCTGTCAGTTATTGGTCACTGCACAACTGTTACTCAGTTTTTCAGTTTACAAGCAGCAAAGCATGTAGTTGTATAGCTTCCTTGATTCCCAGTGATAAACTAACATGATATTTTACAAAAATGGATCATTAAAAGGGAATTGGCCAAGAAAGATGAAAGTACAGCAAATAAAAAAATAATAATGCAGAAATGAAATTAGATGTGATTAGGGAATTTGAAAATGACAAAAGCAAAGCAAAGATAGGATGAGACCTCGGCCTACACAAAAGGCACCATAGAAGCCATAGAGAAAAAGTTCAGTAAGTAGAAAAAACAAGGTAAGTTGCTTCAGGATCTTTTGGTTTAAATTGCACTAGAAAGAGAATGCAAATTATGGCCGATATAAAGACTTTTTCCTGCTTTTGACTGAAGACTGTAATAAATTTAAATTTTTTCCCAATCAGTCTGGCTAGCATTCGGGTGAAGTGTTGAAGTTGGTTGTCTTGTTGAAAGAAAATGATAATTACAAAGAGACTAAATAAAAACCTTATTCAGCCAGTAAATTCTGGTTTCATCATTTTATGAATTGATTAATGTTAAGAGATTAAAGTGGCTGTGACAAAAGGGTGAAGAGGTCCACAGGAAGTGTTGCTGATACACTTTGTATTAAAGAATTCCTGAGAATAGTTCACAAGATTGAAAATGCAAAGATAAAATGTTGGAAGCTAATCTAAACTTAGAATGCAGAATAACAATTTTTCAAGACAGAAGATTAATAGTATGAGAAGAGGCAAACAGTTCACACTACTATTGGTAAGTTGTTTTGTTTTCTTTTGTTTTTCACAAAGAATAAAGACTGATTCTCCATGTTTCTCATGTTTTAAATTATGGCATACTAAATAAATTAGTTTTACAATTTAAAAAATTCCTGATATGTCTACGTAGCAGTAACAGAGTTTTTGATGTTTCAACAAAAGTTCTTAAGTGTCACAGAACAATTTTAATTTTTCTCTTTGATTATTAAGATCACTTTGCACAATTTCAACTTCCATGGTCATTTTTCTAGTCATGTTCTACCATGCCAAGCTAGGACTGGCTGTATGCTTTCTAATTCCTTAACCAACTCACATTCAGTTGCCTTTTACCCCTCTAGACTTTGCTGTCGCCAATATTAGTATGACTTCTGAAATCTTTATTTCAAGCAAGTTATTCTCATGCAATCATTTCCTGTCCTTCCAGCTCACCACCTCTAGTACCCCGAAGACAGCCATTCTCTAATCTTATTGAAATCTCCAGTTCATTGGCTTTTTTCACCATTTATAGCCCTCAAATTTCCTACCTTGTCCAGCTTAGATATCATGGCTCATCATTATAATCACTCCTTTACAAACAGACTTCAATTTCTTTGTCCCTCTTCCTCACCTGGAAAACCCCTTCCTGAATGAACCCCATTATCCACTTTGTCCAAGCCTGAATCCAAGTAGGTAAACTTGACTGAGAACCTGACAAAGCCAGACCGAGTAGTTTCACTTTAAATTCATGACCATAACTCTCAAGAAGGCAAAACACTTGGCATCCTGGAAACTTTGCTTTCCTGCTGACACACCTCCTTCTTCCTCAGATCTTCTGTATCTCTCTCCCCTACACAACTGTCAGCTGATTTTCCCTTTATATTTCATGAAGGAAAGAAAATATATCAGAAATAAAAATCCTTCAAGTTGGCTGGGTGCAGTGGCTCACGCCTGTAATCCCAGCACTTTGGGAGGCCGAGGCAGGCAGATCATGAGGTCAGGAGATCGAGACCATCCTGGCTAACATGGTGAAACTCCGTCTCTACTAAAAATACAAAAAATTAGCCAGGTGTGGTAGCGGGCACCTGTAGTCCCAGCTACTTGGGAGGCTGAGGCAGGAGAATGGCGTGAACCCAGGAGGTGGAGCTTGCAGTGAGCCGAGATCAGGCCACTGCACTCCAACCTGGGCAACAGAGTGAGTCTCTGTCTCAAAAAAAAACAAAAAAACAAAAAAACAAACCTTCAAGTTTTCCACTCACCTGCTTGCAGCTGCGACCACCTTCTGTCTTTCCTGTTAAATTGGGTGGATTCTGCTTCCTGTCTAATACCTGTGCTCTGGAGCCCATTTTTCCTTGCCTTCTCACAAGCTGCCTTCCAGTAGCATTTCCTCTCTCTGCTCAATCATGGTTTTCTGCCTTCCTACTCAGTCATTCTTTTCAGTATACCAACATGTGCTAATGTCTTCCATCTTAAAAACATCCCTACCACCTCTCCAGATACTCTCTTTCTCCATTACTTTTTATAATAAAACTACACAGAAGAGTTGTCTATACTCTGGCTCCAATTCCTAGGCTTCCATTCCTCCCTTAATCTGCTTTAATTTAGTTTCTGAAACCACCACTTTGCTGAAATAGCTTGAAACAGTCAAGACAGTTAATTACCTCCAGGTTGATAAATACAATGTATTCTTCTCTGCCACCTTACTAACTTCTCCATTAGGAGAGCTGACCAGTCCCTCTTTTAAAACACTCTCTCCTTTCAGTTTACAGTACTTTACACTTAGTTTTCTTTTTTTTCCTTCTCTATCTTACTTCCACAAGTTGAGTACCTTTGGACTTCTTGGTCTTGGGCCTTATTTTCACGTATATCTGCATAATCTAAGTGGTCTCATACGGTTTCATGCTTTTTTCCCCCTTATCAGTATTTCCAGGGCCTAACTCAGGGTGTAACTTAGTAAACAGTAAGGCATTCATTTGATGAATGAATGAATAAATGGTTTTTTTATATCTTCATCATTTAACATAGTTCTTAGTTAATACTTGGCTTGCCATAAAATATTTGTGGAATAATTGGACATTATTGTTATCATACAAATGAGGAAATGGAGGGTCAGAGAGATTAACTAATTTACCTTTGATCACACAGCTAATAAGAGGCACAGCTGGGATTTAAACCAAAGTCTTAACTTGAAATCTTTGTTCTCTCCATTACATCATAGTACCTCCCTACATATTTCATCCTTAACTCCTAGAATCCATCTTCATTTATCTCATTCTTATGCCAAACTGGAACGATTGATGTACCTGAATATGTCTATTTTCCCACCCCTCAGCCTGTTTGGGGCTTGAAACCCAATTTCTACTTCCATTGCACATCTACCTGTGTCTTTCTTACCTGTCTTTAAAGCAGTTTTCAAATTCTAGGTCAACCTTGAAACCTCCATTTTTTTTAGTTGGTAGTAAACTCCATTTTTTTTTTTAGTTGCTAGTTGTTTTCCCACCTAAGCTGCCTTAAAGTACAATTATATATTCGTACCATATTGTATTAGTGTTGAAGCTGCCTATAGGCAGGGATCTAATCTATACAGTGTCTCCTTAATATTCTTCTTTGCCTTGCACATTGGAAGACTGAATCAGTTATTTGTTGACTCCAGAATAAATTTGCATTTGATCTTGTCAACCTAAATAACAGACAGGTTTGCCAAACATGACAAATTTATTTGAAAGTGGGCATTGCAATGTAGAATATGGTGTCATAGTAAACTATAGGTGTATTCAGGGAGGTAAAGGAAGATAAGGGGTTTAAAAGGAAAAACGAGGAGGATTACGTAAGTTGTTTTGAAACAATTATCCTTGGCTACAAAGATCAGTAACAAAGGGGATGGCCAGTCCAAGGTTGGACAGGCAGTTGCTGCGCAAATGTCCTTGAAGCATTTTTTTGTGTAGTTTTGTGGCCTTTGTGCAAGGTTGTGGTTTTGGCAGTCTTTTGTGCTAATTCTTTATATCAGGCAATTATTAGTGAGAACTTTCCCATCACGGCTTTCCCTGACTCCATTCTCTGACAGCTTTCACAATCTAGAGACAGAATCCCGGAGGGAGAGGAGTACCAAATAGCTTAAGAGTTTTTTTTTGTTTTTGTTTTTTTTCTTAAAAAAAAAACCGCTAAACTCTACCCTGATCAGTGAAAAGAATTTAGCTGAAAGATGCAGTTTCTTCTTGGCAGATTCAGACAAGAAGTGCGGCGGAAGCTTACACCTGCACGTGGTGGGACAGAGGCAAGAACGGATGGTCTGGCTGAGGCTGAGAGAACCAAGCTGGATTAGGATCGGCTTGAGGGCCCGGCGTCGTCAGTGGTGACCTCTCTGACCTGAGGCAAGTGAGTCAGGCTGGACTGAGCGTGTTAACGTCGGTGTTTGTCAATGTGACGCGCTAGAATAATCCCTTTATCTTTCCCAACTTTTGTTTGTTGAGTGTAGGCAACTATAATGAATGGAAAGGAAACCGGATTGTACTTTAAATCCGAGAACATTCTCTACTCTCCAGAACAAGTCATCTGCAGGCGCAGGCAGTGGAATCCGTGAGGCCAGCTGTACGGCGGGCCGCCCCGGACCCAGGCTTGGCTCCTCACTTTCCGCTGTTTTTAGTGCGGTCCTACAAGTGCCCTGGTGCAGCCCGAGATCAGTAATAAATGCAGCTGAAATACACCGGCTCCCACGTTCTCGCGGGGGTACCTGCCAGGCCGGCGTCCACGCTCCTCCCCGGCTCCCGGCCGACCGCGTTCTCGGCGGAGGCATCAACCACGCGGGCACGCAAAGCCACGAGGGCCGAATCTCAGCGACTTCTTCCCGCTGTGCCTCCCGCACGCTCCGGGGCGGGCGCCGACAGCCCCCGGGTGCAGCTGCGGATGCTCGGGGAAGCGTGGCCTGGGCAGGTGGCTCCGCTGCTCTCTCGGAGCGCCACCAGCGAGAGGGGCGACCCGAGAACAAAGGCGGGAGAGGAGCGGCGACCGCGAGCGCGTAGAGGCGGAGGCCGCGCAGTCTCCGCGCGACTGCTCCGGGCAGGGCGACCCCCGGCAGAGAGGGGGCGGGGCGGGGACCCCCGGGAGGGGCGGGGAGGGGCGCGGCGGGGGCGCGGAGAGAGGGAGGGAACGAGGGTGACGCGCGGAGGGGCCGGGCCGGGGGCCGCGGGGAGGGGGCGGCTGCGAGCGCGCCAAGTGGCGACGTGCCGGGCCGGGGCGGGCCGGAGGGCGGGCGGGAGGTGGGGCGCGCCGGGGGCTGGGGGGAGCCGCGGCCGAGTACAACGCCGGGCCGTGGGGAGCCAGGCGGCGGCGGGGCTGAGGCGGCCGCGGGGCTGAGGGGAGCGGCGGGGCTGAGGCGAGCGGCGGGGCTGAGGCGAGCGGCGGGGCTGAGGCGGCCGCGGGGCTGAGGCGAGCGAGCGGCGGGGCTGAGGCGAGCGAGTGGCGGGGCTGAAGGGAGTCGCGGCGGCGCTGAGGCCAGCGGCGGAGCTGTGGGGGGCAACGGTGCTGAGGCGGTGGCCGCGGCCGGGCGGGTTGGGCTGACGTGAGAAGCGCCGCCGCCGCTGGGCCTCCTCCATTCCGGCCCGCAGCCCCGCGCCCTCCCAGCCTTTGGCGCCCTCCCGCGCGGGCGGCGCGCTGGCGACGGCCATGGCGGTGGCGGCGGCGCTGGCGGGCCGCGGGGCGCGCGGCGGCAGGGGCCGGCCCCCGGGCGGGCGGGCGGAGGGGGCGGGGCCGGGGCGGCGGGGGGCCCGCGCGGCGGCGGCGGCGGCGGCGGCGGCAGCGGCGGCGGCGGCCGGGACAAGGCGGAGGCGACGGCGGCGGCGGCGGCGCGGGGCGCTCGGGCTGATGGCGGCGGCGGCCGGGCCCGGGGCTGCGCTGTCCCCGCGGCCGTGCGACAGCGACCCAGCCACCCCCGGAGCGCAGTCCCCGAAGGTGAGGAAGCGGCCGGTGCGACCCGACCCTGACCCCGTCCCGGGCCTGGGTGCCGGGGCGTGGGCCCAGTCCCACCGGCGGCCGCCCAGCGTCTCGGGGGCGTGGGCCCAGGCCGGGCGCCGCGCCTGAGACCGGGGGTGGTCGGCGAGGCGGGGCCCCGAGGTGAGCCCGCGGCCTCTAGCGAGCAACAAGTGCGGGCGGGCGGGGGACGCGGCGCGGCTTCCCCGAAGTTGGCAGCCGGCCCTGCTTGACAAGCTTGTCCCCAAAACGCCTCCTCCTAGGCCAGCCGTGGGACGGAACGCGCCCGGGGCCGAGAGAGTTGGCCTCGGAGGGGCCTGCAGAAGCGCGCGTTCGCTCAGCGTTCATTCCGCGCATAGTTTGCCGAAGTGTTTGAACGCTTACTGCAAAAACCGAGTGGCGAACGATATGGAAAATCAACACACTCAGTGAACTTACTGTAATAACTAAGTTAATACGCAAGCGTCCGGATGTTTTCAGCGGAAGTCTGTTAAAACTTTTTACTGCTTGAGGAGGTGAAAAGAAATTGGTGCTTGTGGAGAAAATGGAGATGAGCAGTAGTGTCACGCATCAAAACGTTTTGGTTCTAAAGTTAGGCTAGCAGTTTGTGACAGAAAGTTGGAAGGGAGGAATGATGTTTTAAAAGCCTGGAAGCTTGAAATTGGATTGAAATTAGAAGGCGGTGGGAACTGGAATGCTGCAGAGCCAGCCAGCCTTCGTGCGGTGCGCGGTGTGCCGTGTGCGCGTTGGCAGGGGAAGCCGTCCTGTAGCAGCCTAGCCGGGCTGCGCCTGCTTGGGAGCTTTTCCCGTTGCGCACGTCCACCGTGCTGTGAGACTCATTTTGAAGGTTCCTCAAAGGCTGTCGTCAATGGAAGTAACTAGATTGTAAGACTCTGAATGCACATCCTTGCACTTCCAGCATTTGACGTCTGGCCCGGCACCTGGAGGGCACTGAGCCAGTGCCCCCTGAGTGCATTCTTGACCCCTGAGCCCTAGGAAGGATGTGATGCATAGAAATTCATCTGATCTGTAGTTGGAAACCACCTGTAACTCTGGAAGGCACATCTCTGATTTAGTATGTTTGGGAGTCTTTGAAAACATGGGCCTCTGTATCAGTATTGCGGTTACACGGAAATTCTTACCTTATTCCGTCATGTATTGGGAACAATATTGCTGTTACTACCTCCCTCAAGAAAAAGGCCCGCTGCCCAGATGCTCACTTTATATAATAATGCCTTTGCCTAGAATTTGTAGTAGTAATTTAAAACACTTGATGAAATTGTAGTCTCAGCTTTTTTGAGCACTTTGCATTTTTAACTTTATTTTTGTATATTTTTGAGTGTCTCAACTTTTTAGCTAAAGGAAAATGTTTTTAAGTTTAAGGATATAAAAATCCTTAAAATGCTCACCAGTAAAATAGAAAAAATACTGGAATGTTTAAAATGAGTTATGTTGAAAGTATTGAATATGCAGTGTTGCAGTTGTATGCAGATACTTATGCAAATTTTCAGAGAGTAGATTTAGACTATGCAAAGCTCTTTAATGAAATGCTTATTTTATAAGGACTGAAAAAGAATATATATTTTACTATTTGGAAAAGAACCAGTTAATTCCTAGGAGCTAGAGACATTTGAGACTTTATTATCATCATAATCATCATTTTAACTAATATTTATCAGATAACTCGCCAGTCCTTGTTCTAAGTACTTTTAATATAGTAGCTCGTTTAATCATTGAATTAGCCATGTAATGGGGCACTATTATAGTCTCAAATTTTCGGATAAGGAGATGCTCACAGAGAATAACCTACTCAGCTAGTGAGGGACAGTGCCCAGTGAGAACCCAGGCCGTCCAGCTCTGGCATGCCTGGCCACTATACCATATTGCCTCTTTATATTCTTTTGCAGGATTGCTTTCATTTTAATATGTAGCAAGAGGACTATAGTATTTAGCAAAATTGGATTAGCGTTGAAAGCTATATTACATTAAAAAATTATGATTTTTAGACTTTAAGCCTTGGCTAATAAGTAAATAAATCAATTTCCTAACATCTGATACTTTTTCTGAATGAAATGGTTGAATTTATAACCTTGATGTTCTTGCCACATAATGGATTACATTAAAAATATATAATCTTCTTTAAAAAAAAAATTCCCCTCCCCCTCTCAAGCTTCTTTTTTTGGTGTGTGTGCTGCTATATTATAGATTGATGACCCTTATTAGGGTATATTTTTGCTAAATTTTAGCAGTGTAAGAGGAAGAGTGAATAGTTAGAATTGTTTTCGGTCTCATATGTCCCCTTTTCACAGGGACATAAATGCCTAAAGTAGTCAATTAAAATAGTCCTATGAACCGGCTTCAAGTTGAATTGAGAACTGTAAATGATCCATACATTTTTTTCCCCCTGAGCTTGGGTAGGAGAGTTTGCTTTAATCCTAGAGTGATGCAGCAGTTTGATATGTTTATGAAGAGCAGAAACCAAAGCAGATTTGCATTTACGGGTTCATTGAAAATGTTCTTATTTGGATTGGATTGAAGATCAGTTTTAAATTTTATTCCAGGTCTTGCTCATGCCAAACTCTTGGACCCTTTTAATTATAATATGAAGTTAATACTTGTATGACTAGTTGTCCTTAGACAGTCTTTCATTTATTGAGACTTACTGTTCTTTTATTCTTTCTCTAATTATTATTTTTGAATCTTTTAAATGTATAGGATGATAATGAAGATAATTCAAATGATGGGACCCAGCCATCCAAAAGGAGGCGAATGGGCTCAGGAGATAGTTCTAGGAGTTGTGAAACTTCAAGTCAAGATCTTGGGTACTGTCATTTTATCGGTTATTAATATTTTTTGTGATGTTCCTCTTTGCCTTAACATCCTCTTCCCTTTCCCCCAGCTCTGGCAAAGGCAATTATTAAAAATTGTAGAATATTTTCTTCCTGTTCTATAATGTGCCATCAAAGTTGGTCTTGCTACTGAGTGTAATTAAAAAGCAATTTTATGATAGTAAAATACATACATACATAAAATTAATCATTTTAACAATTTTTAAGTGTGAAATTCATTGGCATCAGTTACATTCACAGTGTTGTGCAGCCATTACCACCATCCATTTCCAAAACTTTCACTACCCCAAACTTTATAACCATTAAGCAATAACCTCCCTTTCTCCCTCTATTTAGCGCCTTGCAACCATCATTCTACTTTCTATTTCCGTGAATACGACTACTTAGTTACTTCATATAAGTGGAACCATAAAATATTTGTCCTTTTGTGGCTGGCTTATTTCTCTTAGAACTTTGAATATCTTCAAGGTTCATCTTTGTAGCATATGTCAGACTTTTTTTCTGTTTTTAAGGCTGAATAATACTCCATTTTATGTATATACTGATTTTGTTTATCCATTCAGATGTTGATGGGCATTTGGGTTTCCACCTTCTGGCCAAGGTGAATAATGCTGCAGTGAGCATTGGTGTTCAGAGTTTGTGTTTTCAGTTTTTTTGGATGTTTATCTAGGAGTGGAGTAGCTGGATTATATGGTAATCCTATGTTTAATTTTTTGAGAAGCTGCCAAACTGTTTTCCATAGGGGCTGCACACCAATTTACATTCCTACCAGCAATTCACAGTTTCCAGTTTCTTCATATTTCTCACCAATTTGTTATTTTTCATTTTTTAAAATAATAGTTACCCTAAAAGGTGTGGAGTGATATTTTATTGTGATTTTGATTTGCATTTTCATAATGCCTACTGATATTGAACATCTTTTCATCTGCTTGGCCATTTGTATAGCTTCTTTGGAGACATGTCTATTCAAGTTCTTTGTCCATTTTTTATTTGGGGTTTTTTTTGTTGTAGGAGCTTTTTAAATATATTTTATATATTAATACTTCATCAAAAATATGATTTACACATATTTTCTCCTGTTCTGTGGGTTGTCTTTTCACTGTCTTGATAGTGTCCCTGTACAAAATTTTTAATTTTGATGAAGCCCAAATTTTTCATCTATTTTTTCTTTTGTTGCTTGTGCTTTTGGTGTCATATGTAAGAATCTACCTTCAAATCCAAGGTTGTGAAAGATTTCTATGTTTTCTTCTAAGAGTTTTCTAGTTAGCTCTTATATTTAGGTTGTTGATCCATTTTGAGTTGTGATATGAGGTAAAGGTCCAATTTTATACTTTTGCATGTGGATACCCAGTTTCCCAGCACCATTTTTGAGAACACTGTTCTTTTTGAAGGTTACTTTTTAAATAGATGGATGCATAACATAGTGTCACTTTCCCATGTCCAATATAGAGGTTGAATTGGCCCATATCCTGAAATCTGTACTCTGTTACTCAGGATGGAGATCGACTGTGATACCCTGGCACCTTCAAACTAGGTCCATTCTTTGCTTCTGGGTTTGTGGAGTATCTGAGAACAAACAGTTACGGTTTATGATATGATGCACTGAGATAATAGGTTTTTAAGAGTTCTGTTTTCTCAGCTATTTATGACTCACTGAACAGTAGACAAGAGACAGAAGTTGATTATTCTTTGGGTGGATGAAATACTGGCTATGCATTTTAAGCCCAAGAGAAAGAAGTCAGAGCTGATACCATCATCACCTTGCTTTGCCCTCATAGGTCCTTTAAACTAAAAATGCCTTCGTTCTTAGCAATTGTGATTCTACGTTCTTCCCAGTGTATAAAAGATGTTATTTTCACATACCTTTTTGACTTGGTAGACCAGATAATTATTTCTATTCCTTGTACCTGTTTTGTAATTTTCTTTGATACACAGGAAGTCAAGTCATAGGAGGCAAATAATTTAAATACTTAAAATAGTTTTCAAAATATCCTCAATAAAAGTGATTAAAAATTAATGAAAGCTACATTTAATGCATAATATGTATTTCTGTACTTAGTTTTAGTTACTATCCAGCAGAAAACTTGATAGAGTACAAATGGCCACCTGATGAAACAGGAGAATACTATATGCTTCAAGAACAAGTCAGTGAATATTTGGGTGTGACCTCCTTTAAAAGGAAATATCCAGGTACTAGTTTATATAATAGATTAATTTATAATTGATAGTAATTCTTTATGATACACTGTCAACTTCTGAATTTTTCTGTAGATTATATTTTATATTCTTGTGCTTGCTGTTTTTTTTTAAGACTAAGGGTCTCATTCTGTAACCCAGGCTAGAGCGCACTGGTGCGATTATAGCTCACTGCAGCCTTGCACTCCTGGGCTAGCTGTCTCCCTGCCTCAGCCTTCTAAGTATCTGGGACTACAGGTGTGCACCACGACGCGTGGCAGATTTTTTTAATTTTTATTTTTTTAGAGATGTGAAGTCTTGCTATGTTGCCCAGCGTGGTCTCAAACTCATGGCTTCAAGCTATCCTGCTGCCTCAGCCTCCTGAATTGCTAGGATTACAGGTGTGAGCCACCACGCCTGGCTGTGTTTCATTTACTGCTATCATTCAGCATCACTCTTCATTATTGATATTTTCTATGGCTCATAAACTGATTTAAAAGCAAAATGGGAAAGGTGAATTTCCTGAGGAAAATTTTAGAAAAAATCATTTTATAGTCAAGTTTGGGATTTTTACCATTGTTTCTTGATCTAAGGAATAGAGTTAGCTATATGAGCCGTATCTGAATTTGAGAAAGGCTATTCCTCATGAACTAGTTTAGTATAGTTATTTATATGACCTTCTTGCTTTGGATTATTCTATTTCCTATTTTATTCTAACTTTTGTATCTTGCTGAGTTTTATTTCTTGAATTTATAAATTTTTTTGTAGCCCCTTTAATAATATTTGGAATATGTAATATGAATACTTTAAAAAGTCAAGGTTTTTAAGCTTTTAAAAGTTTTACAAGTGCATAAGGTTTTGCTGTTTTTAATAGTCTTTTGATCTTTTTTTTGGAGATTTAGAGCGACGAGATTTGTCTCACAAGGAGAAACTCTACCTGAGAGAGCTAAATGTCATTACTGAAACTCAGTGCACTCTAGGTAAGAATAGCTTTTTAATGTGAATTTTTCAAGCTGAACATTTATGAGATAATACTAGATAAGTATCTTATTTCCTAAAATATTTTACAAAATTAATAAAATAAATTGAACTATTTAAATGCTACATTATTTACTTCATTTTTGATTATTGTTAAAATACACAGGAGAATGAAGCTTGAACACACATGTGGTTCCTGACTTATGATGGTTCAGCTTCATGATGGTGTGAAAGCAATGCATATTCAGTAGAAACCATACTTCAAGTGTCTATACAACCATTATTCTTTTCACTTGCAGTATAATATGTAACAAGTCACATGACATATTCAACACTTTATATTAAAATTTGTGTTAGCTGATTTTGCCCAGCTGTAGGCTAATGTAAGTTTTCTGAGCATGTTTAAGTTAGGCTAGGGTAAGCAAAGATGTTTGGTAGGCTAGATGTATTAAATGCTTTTACTTTTTAGGATAGTTTCAACTTAGGATGGGTTTATCATATGTAACCCCATTGCAAGTCAAGGATCAACCTCTATTCTATAACAGAGTATAATTGTCTAATTTTTCTCTTTTTTTTAACACAGAGTCTCTCTCTGTTGTCCAGGCTGGCATGCAGTGGCGCGATCTTAGCTCACTGCAACCTCCATCTCCCGGGTTCAAGGAATTCTCCCTCAGCCTACCGAGTAGCTGGTACTACAGGCGCATGTCATCACAGCCATCTAATTTTTGTATTTTTATTAGAGACGGGGTTTTACCATGTTGGCCAGGCTGGTCTCCAACTTCTGACCTTGTGATCCACCCACCTTGGTCTCCCAAAGTGCTGGGATTACAGGCATGAGCCACCATGCCCAGCCCTTGTCTAATAATTTTTACAGAGTTTTCAGAGTGTTTGTATTTTTTGTACAAAGCTTGTACAATATATTTTTTTAAGTTGCAGGTTCTTTGCTAAGTGCATGGTGTGTGCGTGTGGTCCCAGCTACTTGGGAGGCTGAGGGAGGAGGATCACTGGAACACAGGACTTTGGGGTTGTAGTGTGCTGTGATCATGTCTGTGAATAGCCACTGCACTCCAGCCTGGGCAAGATGGCGAGACCACATCTCTAAAATGCAAAAAGGCAAATTTTCTTCAATTTTTAGTTCTGTATAATTATGTCCGTGCTTTATTTGTAATCTTTTTTTCACAAACATTTTAATGCAACATGGCTACTTTTTATATAAATTCTTGGGAATGCATTTTAGCAATTGGTGAAATCTGATACTGTGAGTTTTGAAAATTGTCTCCATGGTGTGTGTGTGTGTGCTGATGTTTTTGGTGAAATTTTAATTGATTGTAATATTTCTTGTGTATGGAATTTGAAGACTGGGAACTATAATATGTTGAATTTTTTTTTATTCATCTAGTATTCTGTAGTACTTGTTAGTAGTTAGTGCATTTCATTATTTAACAGTTGTTTCCAACTAAAGGGATATATGTTCAAAGCACATAGAATCTTAAAAATAAACTTGTTTGGTTGAAAAATTGATATATTTGCCTTTTGCAAGATAATCTTTTGATTGCTCGAGTTTATATTGTGAATATTAAGTTTAATTATTTTCAAATGTACTAAGATATTTTGCTTTGGCTATTGGAAAACCATTACAACGTGGAGCGGTTTGAAGAATTAAATTTTGAAGAGTGCTTTTGTTCACTTATCCTTAAAAGAGCTTCTTTATTTTTTTATTTTTTGGTCTAAAATAGGCTTAACAGCATTGCGCAGTGATGAAGTGATTGATTTAATGATAAAAGAATATCCAGCCAAACATGCTGAGTATTCTGTTATTCTACAAGAAAAAGAACGTCAACGAATTACAGACCATTATAAAGAGTATTCCGTAAGTAATTGAGGTGACTGGCATTTTTTATTTGGGTTGGGGAAAATGACATTTTAGAAAGTTATATGTGACTTCCAACTGTATTTTTTTTTTCCAGCAAATGCAACAACAGAATACTCAGAAAGTTGAAGCCAGTAAAGTGCCTGAGTATATTAAGAAAGCTGCCAAAAAAGCAGCAGAATTTAATAGCAACTTAAACCGGGAACGCATGGAAGAAAGAAGAGCTTATTTTGACTTGCAGACACATGTAGGATAACTTAAATTTAGTACCCCCTGAACTTAGTTTATTACTTGTTATTGCAGAGTGCCCATCACCCCCTTTATCGTTATTTTTTGTACCACCTATGTGTGTGTGTTTTTTTTGTTTGTTTGTTTGTTTTGTTTTGTTTTTTGTGGCAGAGTCTGTGTAGCCCAGGATGGAGTGCAGTGGCATGATCTCGGCTCACTGCAACCTCCGCCTCCCGGGTTCAGGCGATGCTTCTGCCTCAGCCTCCCCATTAGCTGGGATTACAGGCGCCTGCCACCACACCCAGCTAATTTTTTGTATTTTTAGTAGAGATGGTGTTTTACCATGTTGGCCATGCTGACACCTGCGTGTTCTTTTTTTCCTCAGAAGTTGAGATGTTATTTTTAATGGTGTGCTTAATAATACTCAATTTACATTTTTTTGTGAGATGTCTTTTGCTTTACGGTTAATAATTCTAAATGAGACTAATAATAGCTACATATCATACTTGCTGTGCGTCCCAAGAGTTTTTAAGAGATTTGCATGTTAATTCTCATAGTAACCATGTGAGGTTGGAACTAGGATTACTTCCATTTCATAAAGAAATTGAGCTACAGAGAGGTCGTATAAGCTACCCAGATCACTCTGCTGTTAAGTAGTGAGCAAGAGATCCACTGCCATTCCTCAGGAGAATAGGCCTTTAAAACAATAATATATAGAACTGAAAGCACCAACTGTCCTCTTAGGTTATAGCTCCTGATATCTCCTAAAATTTTAGCTTTTCGAGGGGGAAGTGGGCGTGCAGTGGTGAGCACGTGGGGACTCTTCCTAAAGCCTTGATTCTTAGCATGGAATCAGTTTTGTGTTTCTCTTTATGTTAACGTAGGTTATCCAGGTACCTCAAGGGAAGTACAAAGTTTTGCCAACAGAGCGAACAAAGGTCAGTTCTTACCCAGTGGCTCTCATCCCCGGACAGTTCCAGGAATATTATAAGAGGTATTTAGTAGTTTTAGTTACAGTTGGTATCGGCTATTGGTAAGGGGTTTCAGAGCCTTTTGTACTTGCCTCCTAACAATTTTGGGGTCTATAGATATCACCGTAAGATATCGTATAGGATTTGTGTTGCTATTCTTCTCTGGTTCTGTGGTAAACAATACCCTGTAGTCAGAATTTGAATATATGCTGGTGAAGTCTAGATGCCTCTGTCTCTGCCCATTCTGTTTGGGTTTGTTAGAGACAGATGCTGGGGGTTCTGTAGCACCTCACTGCTCAGGGTATGTTCCGTGGTCCAAAGCACTGTTATTGCTCAGAAGCTTGTTGGAAATGCAGAATCTCAGGCCCAACTCTAGACCTATGACTCAGAGTCTGCATTTTAACAGATGTCTGTGTGATTCATGTGCAGGTTAGAGTTTGAGAAACACTGACTTTTACTGCAGAGAAGATGAGAGAAGGAGCGGAGAGGGGCAGGCATGGGCAACTGGGTGCCCCAGCCACATTGCTGACCTGGCCTGGCTGCTGCTCCAATATGGACCCTAAATGTTACTTATCTCCTATTCCCAAATTAAATGTAACTGAAAAAAACAGGGCTAACAGATTCTTTTTTTTTTTTTTGAGACAGTCTTGCTCTGTACCCAGGATGGAGTGTGGTAGTGTGATTTCGGCTCACTGCAACCTCTGCCTCCTGTGTTCAAGTGATTCTCCTGCCTCAGCCTCCCAAATAGCGGGACTGCAGGCACATGCCACCACGCCCAGCTAATTATTTGTATTTTTGGTAGAGGTGGGTTTTACCATGTTGGCCAGGATGCTCTTGATCTCTTGACCTAGTGATCCGCCCACCTTGGCCTCCCAAAGTACTCGGATTAAAGGTGTGAGCCACTGTGCCCAGCCCATTTTGTTTTAAAGTCTCAGCTTTTACTTCAACCTTAAGCCTTACTCTGGAACCGTATGTTTTTCATAATATACTATTTTTTAGAGAATAGAATTTAAAATATAGTATCATAACTCACACCATTTGAAAGTCAAATCTTGGGCAGAAATTTTTTAAATAAAAAAAGATTTTTTAAATTCAAATTTAAATCATGAGCAGCAATTTTTTAAAAGTTTTTCTTCAAATTTTTTTTTTTTTTTTTTGAGATGGAGTCTCACGCTGTCGCCCAGGCTGGAGTGCAGTGGCGCGATCTCGGCTCACTGCAACCTCTGCCTCCTGGTTCAAGTGATTCTCCTGCTTCAGCTTCCCGAGTAGCTGGGATTACAGGTGCCCGCCACCTTGCCCAGCTAATTTTCTGTATATTTAGTAGAGACGGGGTTTCACCATGTTGGCCAGGCTGGTCTCGAACTCCTGACCTCAGGTGATCTGCCCACCTTGGCCTCCCGAAATGCTGGGATTATAGGCGTGAGCCACTGCACCCGGCCTTTAATTTTTAAAAATTTTATTTTGGCATCAGCAAATTATTAAAAGTCATATGCAAGTATATTAACCCCTTTGCTTTTTGGTGTGTTGTCTTAGTTGGAGAAGTCTTCATCTAGGGTTGCCTCCTGAATGGGGGCTACTGAGGGTGAGAATGGAGGTGGCACGAAGCAGTGCTGTCTGACCTAGGGGAAGAGATTGCCAATATAGTTTCAGACAAAATAGATGATTAAATTTGTTAGAATACATGCTTCCCAAATTTGTTTACAATAATTGGTTACTAAAAATTTTGCTTTCTATGTTATTATTTTAAGTAATATCATGTACCATGCACTGGTGTGATATGTATGCATTAAATAAGTTAATGCATATATATCAACTGTATGCGGTAGATGCTATTATTAGGTCTGTTTTACAAATGGAGTGACAGCACAGAGAAGTAGCAAAGACCTGGGACAGTGGTCGAGGTGGATGTGAGCTGGCAGCCAGACTTGGGGCTGCTGACATTTTATTTACTTTTTTCTTTTTTTGGGTTGAGGGCAAAGAGGGGAGGCACATTATCTCTTAGTAAGAATCAAATGCATATTTTACATAAGTCTAGTGAAAAGATGTTCAGGCTTTTTATTAACCCTACTTGATGACAAAAATGAAAAATTAGTACTCTAGTTTTCAAAAGTCTTCGGGGTTACTCAAGAAGTTTAAGGCTATCTTCATAGGTCAAAGATGAGTCTGTTTATATTTAATAATAAAGGGAAACCAAAAATAAACTCTCTGAACTTCAGGTACTCACCAGATGAGCTGCGGTATCTGCCATTAAACACAGCCCTGTATGAGCCCCCTCTGGATCCTGAGCTCCCTGCTCTAGACAGTGATGGTGATTCAGATGATGGCGAAGATGGTCGAGGTGATGAGAAACGGAAAAATAAAGGCACTTCGGTGAGAACATTTCTCTCTAGTAGGAAGCATTTCCTTTCTCTTTGAATTTTTGTTACATTGAATTTCTGTCATCACCCTCTCCTTGAAAAAGGATGGTTGCATGTAATTTCCAGAAAGTATTCATCAATAAAAGTTACTTATAGTATGTTTTGATAAAAACAAGCAGTGAATGGCCTTTGGTAAGCTTTATGCTTAAAATCGCCCCTTTGTAGTTACCATGAGCAGTTTAGGCAAGGGTATGGAAAATTAGCTTACAATCATTTATTCAACTTGCTGTCTCTTTAGCTTAAAATATTGAACAAAACAGAATTTGATCTCTTGACACAGAAATGTAGTTTTCTTAGTTGAGGGGAGTGCATTTGCTTAATCTTATGCTTCCTATAGGAAAATATTATGTTTAGTAATATGTTGTACAATTTGTTGGGTTTTCCTGTATGACTTTTTTTTTTGTAGCAAAATGCACCTGCAAGACAGTGGGCAGTTGGTGTATTCTGTGCACCTGAAGGAGAATAAAATCCCAATGATGGTTTGGGGCTTTGATCCCAGTGATGACATAGGGCTTTGAATTTCTTTAGCATTGTGTTTTAAGTAACTGGCTATTTCAAACTTTTCATTGAAGCCAATGTAAATGTGAGATTGTGCTACCATTGAATGGACATTATTTCCTTGTCACCAACAGCTTCTAAAACATCTTTAATAATACATATTATGCAAAATAAGATACTGTTCAAGTATTAAAGTGGTGACACAACTTTTCTCCTGTCATGTTGCTAAAAGGGGAGCTATGGCATGCAAAGGGTGATGAAGCTGACTTCCTTTCATACTGCTAGGAAAAGTGTAAACTAATCCAACATTATGGGAAAGCATTTTGACAGTCTTACCAATTTAAGTTCCATAGTATTTGACCTAGCAAATCCACTAGTAGAATTTATCCTAAGGATTTAATCAGATGCTGAAAAATTTTAATTAGAAAAAAAGGTCCATTTGAGTGTTGACAGTATTTTTTATGCTGGAAGTTACAAATAAATTTTAATGCCCACAGTGGGTAATATTATATTACATTTATAGGATAGAAATGCAGTTCAAAGAATATTTAATGATTGTGAGAAAATGCACATAATGCTTTTAAAAAATACCAAAATACACATATGCATACACACACAGTGTAATCCAGTTTTGTATTTTAAAAAATGAGGGCACAATGAGGTAGGGGGTAATGTGTGAGTCTCGGTATCTTTATGTATATAAGTGGACACCCAGAAAAAAGATAAAGTAGATACATTCATGTTTCTAGTCAGTGTGTGTTTATCAGGGAGGCTCTAGATAACCTAATTTTTTAATTTATAATTTTTGTAATTTATATGAAAGTTCTAATTAGAACATTTTAAATTATAAAATGAAGAATTAAATGATCAGATACTGAGGTCTTAAACCTTGAATATATAAAATATTTCAGATCCTGTTGTAGATAGTTGAGGGATTGGCTCTGCATAGTTTAACATTGTGAAAACACAAATGTGTACTTGAAGGACTTTTTTTTTTTTTTCCTAACTGCAGCGCTTCATTTTTCCTGAAGGACCTTCTTAATGACTTTTAGTACTCAGTGAAAATACCCACACTTATTTGTAACAATATATTTTTGTATGAAACAAATATGTTCCCTTGTGACGGAAAATGATGTTGAAGCTGTGTGCCGTAATAGTAGCTGAAGCGGATAATTGTGTTTTTGTGACTTATGTCAGAAAACAAAGTTGATGAAGGCACTGATATGGAATCAGTTTTATATAATATACTTAGAAGAAGGAGGAATGATTTTTAACATAACTTACTTTAGTCTCCACTGGAAAAAGCTTTCTTACATTTAGAATGATCTTTTTATTTTTAAAATGATAAAGCTTTAAAACTTTCTTTGAATATTTTCCATAGTTTTCAAAATCCAGACTCAAATTTGTCTTAATTCCAAAGAATCTTTGTTTTTGCCTTTTAAACTCCAGGACAGCTCCTCTGGCAATGTATCTGAAGGGGAAAGCCCTCCTGACAGCCAGGAGGACTCTTTCCAGGGAAGACAGAAATCAAAAGACAAAGCTGCCACTCCAAGAAAAGATGGTCCCAAACGTTCTGTACTGTCCAAGTCAGTTCCTGGGTACAAGGTAGAAGAAAAAAGCCCCTGACTCAGCTTCTTTACTGACCAGCCTCTCCCTGAAATATTTTAACTTGACTTTCACGATTGTGGAGCTTCTGCCTGCTGTACCTCACTAGCTGTTCTTCTATGGTGTGCCCTTTGTCCGCTGCTTTCTTTTTTGCTTTATTTCCTTGGTGGCTTTTCTGTCACTTTTGGCTATGGTTTACCTTCTGTTTTCTGTATATGTACAATTTATAAGTCTTTTTTTTTCTTTGAAAGAATAACCAGGCAAGTATGGGTTTTTAAAACATTATTTCATAGGCAGAAGTTTATATTTTCTTTCCTTGGAGTAAAGATCATAATTATTTGGCATTTTAAATGCCCCAGCATTTAGTGTAGCTAAAGCTGCTGAGCTATAAAGTATGAGTGGATATACTGTTAGACTAAGTTGCATTTTTTTTAGTGCCTTTCATTAAGAAAGATCTGGGTTTAATCTAAGGATTATTTGATCCATATGCTAAATTTAGCTAACTCTGGGATAGAAAATAATAAAACCTGTTACTTACATTGTAGTGATTTTTAGCATAACCTTGGTAAAGAGCCTATATGATTCTATGGCAAGAATTAAAACATACTTGTTAACTTGTTGATCTGATTATCCTCAGAGTAAAGGAGTAGGTTGTCAGCAACTATTATTATATTTTGAACTTTTCCTCCCTCTGTCTGCCCCTCCCTTTTCTTCTGAAGAAAAGGTGAGGTGAGAGATGAGTAGCCTTATTTGCATATAGGGATTTAAGAATATCATAAAAGGAAGAATTAGCTGTACAGTTTCATATTTGGGATGGTGGTAGTAAAATAGACTACCTTTTGATTCTTTTGGTCTGAAATGTATTAGAACATGCTTTTATTGCACTTATGAAGGTGTATTGAAGGAAAATTTTAGAGTAAGCTGATGAGAAAGTTTTGCCAAGTGAAATTGTTAAACACCTTGTATGTCAGAACTGTGATTGTGGTAAATAATTCACAAGAACAGGCTGAAGTAAGTCACCTTTCCCTCAAACTAACTAGAACACGTTCTAACATGTTCATTTACCTTTCTTCAAGTAAAAAAAGCGACATTAAGTTAGTGTATTTCATATTTTATTAGGAAATGCTTTTATGTAATTAACTTAAAAATTCTTTTTTTTTTTTGTAGCCTATAGCAAGCAAATTTTAAGCTTAAT
The DNA here is from genome assembly GCF_000001405.40 of Homo sapiens. Classification (NCBI taxonomy): domain Eukaryota; kingdom Metazoa; phylum Chordata; class Mammalia; order Primates; family Hominidae; genus Homo; species Homo sapiens. The sequence goes on along the minus strand of NC_000006.12, from coordinate 169,709,040 downwards.
TCAGCAAGGGTTGGCTTCCAAGGGTGGCTGCAATAGGCTGCAGCTATGTGATTTTTGTACTTGTTTTTACATATATAGCTTATGTAATTTCTTTATATAAATTAATGCTTAATAACTGAAAGCAAGTGAGCTCCAAAGATGAAATTTCAGAAGCAGTATACATGAATGAGTGTGTTCTACTGGTCTGCTAAGAGCTTTAAATGGAAGTGGCCGCTCAAAGCACAGTGTCCTGTTAACTCTTGAGTGCTAAGTAGATCTTTGCAACAGTAAGCTTGATTGATCATGGGTTAAAAAGAGAGAATATTGAAATAGATGTTTTAATACAGGCTGGAAATCAGCTATTCAACACTATCATTGATTTAGTATACAAGAAATCATATGGATTAACTGAACTTAATAGTACTCAAGTAGGATATGCAAAATTTATATTTTACATAATCTGTGAACATTTTTAGTACCTAAAAATGTTTCAGGTATTTCAAAGATGGGAACAACCAGTATCTAGTCATCATACATTAATGTGAACATGCTTATTAAAAGTTAACCTCTTTATAAAAAGTATTAATAAACCAAGATGTGCCTAAATATTAGGGTACTTCAAGCTAAAGGTCATAGTTTATATATAAAAAGTACGAGATTCAAGGAAGTAATGTATCTGATGCTTTGCTTAATAAGATTCACTAGTGCTTGCCCTTAATTCATAGAACAGTATTGTTTAGGTTACATTAACCTGAAATTTAAAGCATAATTATTAGGATTCCGGCCTATAAATACAATAATTAAAATCTATACTATATTATTGCTACCATGAAAGTCTTATCTTTGGCTGTTTTTCAAGTAGAAAAGTAAGTGTACTGTGAGCCTTTTATTTGAGATGCTGAGAGCTATTAGGATGAGTATTTCAGTTTTCTTGTCAATAGTGATACTCTGATGATGTTGCAGTTATTTGAAGTAGAACTGATTGTCTAAACCAGACACACATAGGAGTGTGCTCCATTGGTCTTGTGGAGAGTGCTGCACATTAACCCCTCCCTCAACTGTGCAATCCACTTGAGACTGGCTTCTCTAAGCCACAGTTGTTATCTGCTGTGTAAAGTCCTGGATGCCAGCACTGTGGCTTCTTAGAGAGGGCAGATGCTTTGTATATCGAGCTGCAGCATTCATCGTAGAAAATGCTACAAAGCTGTCTCTCTTCCCCTTCTCTCATGTTTCCCTCTTTTCATCAAGATGAAGGCTGTTGGGTAAGAAAAACTAAGTGATTTAACAAATCATTATGATTTAAACTTAGAAATAAACCTAGAATTTTTTGGTGTCCCTTTTATCATAGGTGTTTAATGTATATTTTAATGATTGTAGAACTTGAATTGCTCTAGAATGTGAATGACTACCCTTGTGTTTTACTCCTTTTGGCTTTTGTTTTGTAAAGAATCTCCTGTGAGGAGTTCTGTTTTTAGAATTTAATATTGTTTGGTTACTTCCCTGACTTTAGTGAAAGATATTAGAGTATTTACTATGCCAGTATCTAACTTAAACTATTAGTATTAAATAAGTATATCTTTTACATTTAGTACAGGTACCATAACCAAGAGATTTCTTAGTTTTGATGGATTAAGAGAGAGCATTCTGCTGTATATTATGGCAGGTACAGATATGATCATAACTGAACCAGAATTTGGATTATAGAAGTGCACTTCCTAGCTGTTTTTTATTTAGGTATAGGAACACACAATGAGAACCTTATGTTTAGAATGTAGCAGTAACAACAGAGGGTAACTACACTGCAAGACTTAAATGGTTTGAGCATGTGACACTATCCTTTTGTTGGGGGGAGCAGGGTATAAAAATATACATACAGGAGATTAGTTTAATAGTAAAGTTTTATATGTATGTTTAACTTCCATGATATTTATTATTTTGTAGAGACATTTGTGATTGTTTAGAGTTCTTGTTTTTATTCTATTTATGTATAAGGTTGACTTTTTTTAAATAAATAAGCCAAAAATTCTTTTTGAATGCCTCTGTCATCTTTTGCAAAGAAAGATAATTTAAAAAGTACAAAACTTAAGAACAAATTGTTTAGGTCTAACAGGTTATGAAGGTGGCAGTGAGACATTTCAAAGCTGGAATATATACAACGTTTGAGTTTTGTTTAGGTTCCTCTTTGGTTCAGTAAATTAGGAAAGGGATGCATTTGGCAGGGTGGGAATAAAGCAGAAATGAAACAATTCTACTTAAAATAATTATTTTCCCAGTTCATCTACGTGTGTGTGTGTGTGTGTGTGTGTGTGTGTGTGTGTGTGTGTGTGTGTGTGTATGTATGTATGTATGTCCCCTTACCCCATTTCATTCTTGGCCCATGCTTGCTCTTCCTTTTTTACCACTGTTATTTACTTATTTCTATAGCATGAGTGAACGTCATTTTGTAACAGTCAAGACCGTGACGTTCGGATGCCCTCCCTCCCCTGGTAATTTTAAGTGCAGTGAACCCTTTTTCCTTTGTCATTTCCATGTGTAACCAAATATGTCTAAAATTCAGACACCTTCACTGGACCATGCATGTTTTTAATCTGAAAGATCAGTAGTACTCAGAGTGTTCGTGTATTTTTTAAGTGACTGCAATTTTTTTTTGCTTGTCTGAAAACTTATTTTTCCCTTTTATAATTTTACATTTTATAGTGAATCTTTCTAAGTATAGATTCTTTTATTAGACATGCAAAGAGAATAATCACACAACTAAGTTTTCCACAAACGTTTATGTACACGCCAATGTATGCATGAGACATCTTTCAATTAAAAATGTTTAAACTGATTTTTTTTTAAATACCACTATACCAATGAGGATAAGCTGATTTTTTAACTTAGATTTTATAGCTCTAGTTTTGCAGTTTTGGAAAATAGCAGGTTTTAAACAAAATTAATATATGAGCTATTTAAAATGGTCTTTTTAGAGTAAGTCTTACACATAATGGTCATTTGCTACTTGGATTTTCTTGTCCAATTAATAGTGACATTTGACATTGTATTTAGTCTTTCCTTCCATTCATTAAACAAATCTTACTGTGCATGTAGGGAGTATAGAATGCTACATTTAATCTTACGAGATCATGCTGTTTACCAAATTTTATGATGAAATTAATGCTTTCTTCAGTAGGCAGTCTTACATTGTAGGCAGACTCCTGTCAAGTTTTGTCTTTCAAAATGGTCCTCATTAGCAAGTTACCAAAAGTAAAAATAGGGCAATAAAGTAACAGAATTCCTTTTAAACCCATAGTAAGCTCTTCTGGCATGAATTTATAGCCCTCTTCTACCCTTCCAGCCAAAGGTCATTCCAAATGCTATATGTGGAATTTGTCTGAAGGGTAAGGAGTCCAACAAGAAAGGAAAGGCTGAATCACTTATACACTGCTCCCAATGTGAGAATAGTGGTAAGTATTGAAATGTCTTTTTAAAATTTTAACCACCGTATTTATTGGTTCAAAAACTAGAATTTATAGTTTCAGGCAGATTTCAACCAAAGAGTCACCAAATTAAATACACAGGGTAGCTTGTGAGGCATAGACACAGCCCATGTGTTTTCCTCTACATTGTATATTCATTTCTCTTTGGCGATTTGACATTATAGCCATTCTCTGGAAGTCCTAAAGCAAACTAGTATTTTATGTGCCATATTAAGTTAAAATTTCTTATGTGAGATACCACTAATACTGGTTTTGATTTAGGCCATCCTTCTTGCCTGGATATGACAATGGAGCTTGTTTCTATGATTAAGACCTACCCATGGCAGTGTATGGAATGTAAAACATGCATTATATGTGGACAACCCCACCATGAAGAAGAAATGATGTTCTGTGATATGTGTGACAGAGGTTATCATACTTTTTGTGTGGGCCTTGGTGCTATTCCATCAGGTAAAGATTAAAAAAAGAGCAAACATTATCTTTGGGTGATGAGACTCTCCCAGCACTCCAAAAGGCTGCATAAACGCTATCATGACATGAAGAGCTTGTGGACTCTTATGTGCAAATATGACCAAAGCTGTGATTATACAGGTCATGTCCACCAGCTTTTCATCCCTAGACAATTCCAACTAAAGGATAAGTGAAAGGCCAGAATGCCCCTGCTAAGTTTTGGAAGTATAGTTCTATAGAATGAGCTGGTGTTTTTCTACTGAAATACTAAAGTAACAAAGCCTTTATTTTTATATGTTATCTATTTAGAAACAACAAAATGACTGCTACGTCTTTATACATTTCTATAGAAATCTATTATAGATTTCTGTAAATTGAGGCAGCATGACAATTCCAGATAACTTTAGAACAGAGTTGAATAAATCACAGTAATTGGACTAAAACATTACACAGATAATTGTGTAATTTTAGAACTTACTTGCATAGTTAACACTGTATAATACTCTTATAAAATATATGCCTACAACGAAGTTTCCTGGGAATCATTAAGCAAGCAACATAATTATTTTTCTGTAGTAATTCAGATCAAGTATGTAGTACAAGTTATCATTGTGCTGTTAAAGTTTTAAAGTGCTGTCAGCAGAGTACACCAGGACTTGAAAGAATGCTGTTAAGACACACAGCTGCCAGTGAGCAGGAGAGAAAAAGTCTTAAAAAAGCCAAATTCCGGAATGGGTTTTGACCTTTTGAAGTATGATAGTGTTTGAATTTCAGGAAAGATTGTACTTTCTTAAAGGTCCGTATCACCGTATGGCATTGCATCTCTCCCATCCCCCTTGACTTGCAATGAATTTTGCATGGCATTGATTACATTGATTAAGTTTACATTTTTTCCTTAAATTAAGGAACTCATAGTGCCCTTCTCACCACAAAATCCAGAGAGGAATATCATTAGTGATAGCTAAGGCAGAAGAGTTTAGATGGGCTTAAAATTCAGTCCTGTAAAGATAATTTTTCATTCTATATTAACAATTTTTTTCCTAGGTCGCTGGATTTGTGACTGTTGTCAGCGGGCCCCCCCAACACCCAGGAAAGTGGGCAGAAGGGGGAAAAACAGCAAAGAGGGATAAAATAGTTTTTGACTCTAATACTGTATATGCATTTAAGTGGAATATTTGGTGCCATTTACAACATTATTTTCATGCCAATAAAAGATTTTTTTTGCAAATTATGAGCTTAAAATCTGCAGTTATTTCTGTTAAAAGCTACGCTTACTCTCGAAACTAACTCCAGGTAGAGAATTCATCTTCCAAAGTATTTTATAGTAACCTTGGCTCACTCCAAAAATTCAGTGGAAATGTTTAGTAACTTAAGATACTTAACTGTTTCTCCATAGCCCCAAAAGTTAATTTTCATGAAACTTCCTAATCTACATTGTTTCCGGCCTACCATAGGTAGCACTGACAAAGTTATTTAATAACTGAAGAATTTTCATAGGTATGACAAATGGCCCACTAAGATTTGGTGCAGCTGGATTTAGAGTTGTCATTATTGGACTGGTACAGGAACAAACTTTGTAAATACCTGCCTGCCAGGAAATCCTTTTTGTATAGAAAAGTACCATCACCTACTTGGGGTACAGGCATGAGGCTTTAGTCCAGGCTCAGGGAAGTGTACGTAAATCATTTCCAACTTGATTTTAGTAACTCTTGAAAACTTACACCAACTTCGGTTAGAATCTCCAGAGTAAAATTACAAAGTTATCAACCTTTTGATTTGTGTCACAGCATGAAAGGTTGCTCTATTTTATATAAACCTGTTACTGCAATCATTTTTAGTCAACCTGCCTAATGAAAATGGAGTCTAAACACTTTGTGCACAGTCCTTTTATAGGAATTATGATCTTTAAAATACTGTGCTTGCTGCTTTTCCTATTTTTGGGGTAACTGAGGTAACAAAACTGCGTATGGCTTTATTTTTCCATCCCTTGACTAAAGGTACCTAGAACTTCAACCAAGTACAAGTAGCAAGGTTCACAGCAAACTGCAATCAGCTTCACAGATGGAGGGTTTTATATCCCAGAGTGTGGTCAACGACTCAAAAGAGAATTTCAAGTACCAGTTTCAAAATGCTAATTAATATCGTCCAGAGAACAGATTCCTCCTCTTGCGAGGCGTCTTCCGGGGCACCAGCGTGCTTCTGGCCGGCATCTGCGCCGTCGGCGGGGTAGGCGGCCTCGCCGAACGGGTGCTGCTCGACCGTGCCGTCGTAGTACACCTTCATCTCGAACTCGCTCTCCAGGTGGGAGGGGTGTCCATAGACGCCGATGCCCACTGGGCGCCGGAAGTGCGCGGGGATGGACACGGCGTCCGGGCCGCAGGTGGCCGATTGCAGCTCGTAGTCGTCGAAGCTGGGGTGCAGGCTGCTGGCGGAGACGTACAGATCCGCATCTCCCTTGAGGCTGCGCATCCTGAGGACTATCTTGCCCTCGTGGTTCAGCCGCAGGTAGCTGTAGTTCCCGGCGCCTATCTGGCCCTGGACGACGTGCAGGAGCACCCACTCCTCGGGGACCTCCTCCTCGTCCGCGCAGCTTCCCGGAGACAGGACCTGCGAGGCTAGGAGCAGCAGCAGGGCCGTCGTCCAGGGCGCGGCCCTCCCGCGGGGAGCGGCCATGGCTGGCGGCTCAGCTCCGGGGCCTGCAAGTGGGTCAGTGCTGCTGGGGACACCGGAGGCGCTCAGCACCGGAGCCTGTCCCCGCCGTCCGCACGCGGGTCCACGGCGCGTCCAGGCGCCTGGTCTGTCGCTGGGACTGTCCCTTCCCACCCGCGTGAGGCCCCGGGGAGGAGGGGTGGGTTAACCCCTCCCCCGTAGCGCGGCGCCCACTCAGGGCAGGGGCAGGGGCAGGGGCAGGGCCGCTGTGGCACCCTCGGACTCACCACCACTCCCCGCAGGGGGCCGCGCTTTATACATCCGGACCCGAGGCCGGAGCCTCGCCGGAGGCGGAAGTGACGCTAGGTCCGTAAGTGAGCCGGCCGGAAGCGAGGCTTCTCCAGCTGTCGCGAGATAGCGAAAGGGGCGTGGGCGCGAGGGGCGGCGGGCTAGTAACCATAGCGGCTCGCGTGGGTCGGCTGGCAAGTAACCATAGCGGCGAGCGTGGGGCGGAGTGTGGCTCGGTAGTCCTCTGCGTGCCCTCCTGGGAGCTGGGTGCTGTGAGTCCTCCCCTAGCGGGCTGGTCTCGGCGCGGAGTCGGCGCCGAACCCGAGCTGCTGCTCTGGGGCGTGTGCCTAGGGCGCAGGGCTGGAGCGCGGGGGCTGCGCGGTTGCTCGCGGCTCCGCTGAGGTCTCTAGGAAAGGGGGCGATTTGAGGGTTCCGCCGTGACCGCTTCCAACGGCGGACACGCGCGCTCTGGACCAGAGCCGTTGCCCGCTGTCTCGTCACCCGAAGCCTCCTCCTGACGCCGTGCTAGTGCGAGGGTCTCCAGGGGAATTCGGGGCACAAGTCGGGCCGGAGCATCCGGGCGGCCGCTTGAGATCGGCGCTTTGAGAACTGAGCGCATGTGGAGTTCGGAGGAAAAGGGCTCAGGTGGTTATTTTAATTAAAGCAGCTGTGTATAAGGAGCACTCAGATCTCTTTAAAAGATTCAGTAGTTTAGGAACGAACCAGGGCTGTAGAAATGCCCGGCCTCCTGCACCTCCCGTCGGTTCTGAGCTCCGAGGGCGGGAGCGTGGACCCTGAGGGCTCGTTAATTATGCCCCACTGGCCTTTCAACCTGCGTGGTAACTACCAGGCTAGGTTTTCCTAACTCGAGCCAAACAGCAAGTTTCTGACTTGATTATCACTAAAAGAGAAAAATTTCGATCTTTTCTAATCAGAAGGGAGTAATTTTCTCTTTTTAAAAATATTCGTATGTACATTAAAAAAACGGAAATGCACAGGATTTTATCAGTGGTACTCCTCGAGTAGTAGAGTTTTCATCTTTTTATGTATTTCTAAATTTTCTACAATTTACACACACTGCTCTGTACCAGTAAAGGAGTATTAACTCTACAGCTTCCAGTTTATCTGGGATTACTATCTTGTGTTTACTGACTTAACTTTAAGACTATGGTATCTTTAGCAATCACTTGTCACTGCCTTTTCCTGAAGTGCTTACCTAGTGTTAGGTGCACTAGAATCTCACTAAAATAATAAATTTAGTTTATTTTCCCTGACTTGTTCTGTGCATGTATGTACATGGATATTCCTGGGGATATCCTGTGACATTGATTATCCCCTAGGGTTGGCACAGCAGGGAGAGGAGGTAGGGATAAAAAACTTTATTATTTCTGCATTGTTTAAATGTTTTGTATTGTATTGCTTTTGTAATTCAAAAAAATGTTAAACAATTTATATTAGTGGAGGTAGGTTAAGTGCTGTAGCAATTCACCCCAATAGAACAGTTGCATGTTTCTTGCTCACACAGTCCTGTGTAGCGGTTTCTAGTCAGACGATTCCTTTGGGCAGCTCTCTGCAAGCTGCAGCCTAAAATTCTTCCATGTTGTGGTTTTTTTCCTTAGGCCCTCTGAATTCTCCGCATTTAGCCAGTGGGTGGGGAAAGAAGAGAGGCAGTGCAGGAGGAATTTATGGGCCAGGCACTCAACGACTACATGGCTGCACTTAATTGCAAGGGAAGCTAGGGAGTGTAGTTTAGTTCTGTGTCTAGAAGGAAAGGGAAGTGGCTTAGTGGAAAAGGAACAGCACTTACCGTAGTCTCTCTTCTGGTGACCAGATCTCTGCTCCACTCTTGATCCCACATGGAGAACACACTCTCCCCACCCCAAGGGGGACACTTTGTCAAGGTGCCTAGTGCAACACAGAACATTTCTCAGGATTGCACAGTTCTCTCCATCAGGCCTGGCTGTGGTTCCTCGTGGTCCAGAGCCCTATGGACTAAGAAGACAAACTAGTTGCTCTCCCCACTAAAATGCAGTGGTTAAATATGACCATGGTTTTTGTAACCATCTCCCTTTTGGAAAAGGGAGACACATGGCAGACACTGGTCTATAGCAGTTTTGAAGTGATGCTGGGGTGGAGGTGGGAGGAATTTCCCAACTAGACCCTGATTCTGCTATCTGGGAGGAATTCCCTTGTCCATTGTTCTTTTTCTTTCCTTTGAGACAGGATGTCACTGTTGTCCAGGTTGAAGTAGAGTGGCACAATCACAGCTCACTATAGCTTCAACCTCCGTGGCTCAAACGATCCTCCCACCTCAGCCTCCCCAGCAGCTGGGGCTACAAGCATGCACTGCCACACCTGACTACTTTTTTTTTTTAAAGTAGAGACAGGGTCTCACTATGTTGCCCAGGCTGGTCTTGAACTCCTGGGCTCAAGTGATCCTTCTGCCTCGGCCCCACAAAGTGCTGGGATTGCAGATGTGAGCCACTGTGCCTGGCTTGTTTGCTGAGGCCCTTGATTCTACCCTTAGTCCTTTTCCTCCACGGTCTCATCTGATGTGGCTATGAGGATGCTGTCTTGGAAGGCTGCCATAGCTCACTCCTGGAGCATGGCAGTGGGGACCAGGCAGTCAGCCCTGAGCCCACCGTGTGCCCTTACTCTGTTCTTTGCTTGATACTTCTTAGGCTTCATCGTGTCCTCACGAGCACAGCAGCTTCTGGTCTGTGTGTATCTCGTCAGCTCTGTGTGCTGGTGATGCCATTGTCGTTCTTCCTGTGTCTACTGTTCAAGCCTGACTTTATTTTCTTTTGGTCTCCTGGGCAGCTGATACCCTGAGGTTATGTGGAACAAAGGCTTGAGTGGGAAGGTAGCCATCCTAGGTCAGATCTTTGCTGAAGGGCCAAGACCTGATGGTCCTTTGTCCCTCCCTGCAGCCTCTCAGGGCACTCAGGTTTCCCAGTGCTGCAGCCCCTGCTCTTCGTACTTTCTTTTCGTGTCCATTCCGCTTGCACACCAGCCAGTTCTCTAGTCCAATTCCGTGTGTTGGCTGCTAATGCGTATTCTTTGCAATAATTTCCTGTAGGGCTGCAGGAGAGTAAGCCTGTGGTAAGTTTTCTGCGTTATTACAGGTTGTTGCAGTTGAACCTGTTTGTCACTGCCTAACGTGAGTCTTGAGCTTTTCCCCTCCTGAATTTGTTTCTGTGCCCCATCACTCAGTCACTCAGCAACATCCTACAGTGTCACTGAAGCATCCTGCTTCAAGGTACCCACATCAGTCAAGGTAGGCTGACAGAAGTGACCTCAGCTTCATGCACTAAATGTTTCTCTCTTGCTTACACAACAGTCCAGCCTGGTGTCCTGATCACCCTTTAGTGGGAGCAGCACAGGCTGCCAGGTGCCACCACCGTGGCCCCTCTCCTCAGCCTTTGGAGCCCTCCGCCTCCAGCATGAAGGGCTGTGCACGGGCTGTGACAGGACCAAGCCTGTGCATGCATGGTGTGCTTTCCAGACCAGAAATTGGTGCACGGCTGCCCTCGACTTCAGAGGCTGGAAATGTGGTCCAGCCATGTTCTTAGTGGCTCCAGGGAAGAAGCAGAAAGAGCTTGGGGAAAACTGCCAGACCACAGAAATAGAAAAATGAATATTTTAACATATAGAAAAATAACTTTTTACACAAATGATTTTAGGGGCCATCTGACCTCTGTTCAATGGGAGGATAGGTTGCACTTCAGTTAGCTGCCCTGGACTCATGTTCTCGACGTGGACACGTGTGTGTATGTGTGTGTGTGTGTCGGTGTGTCCCTGACGATGTTTCTGCCTGCACCAGACCCTCCCTCATCCCTGTCTGTACCACCCTGCCATGGAGCAGGAGAGGCAGGAGAGGTAGGCATTAAAGCCGAGTACACTGAGGCAGAGGTAGGCATTGAAGCCGAATACACTGAGGCAGAGGTAGGCATTGAAGCTGAGAACACTGAGGAACAGAGGTGTTGGGCAGCTGGAGAGGTGGGACATCAGCTCGTGCACACTGGGGCCAGACTGACCCAGAAATTCTGAGTGCAGGCTGGTGCTTCCTCGTCAAGGTGGCTTATGTGTCCTGACAAGGCTTCCTTCCCTCCTTGGCTTCACACCATTGTTTCTGTGAACTCTTCATACTAGTGAGTCATGGTGTTATTTCTTTACTATGCACTCATCAGGAAATGCAAGCACATTCATATTCTGCCTGTAGGGACCAGCCCGCAGGGTCAGTGGGTCTCTCCCCGTGCGCGGGGACGAGTGTAGAAATAAAGACACAAGACAAAGAGATAAAAGACAGCTGGGCCCGGGGGACCACTACCACCAAGTCACGGAGACCGGTAGTGGCCCCAAATGCCAGGCTGCACTGATATTTATTGGATACAAGACAAAGGGGCAGGATAAGGAGAGTGGCCATAGGTAAGGCCATGTGGGTCACGTGTCCACTGGACAGGGGGCCCTTCCCTGCCTGGCAGCCAAGGCAGAGAGAGGAGACAGAGAGAAACAACTTACACCGTTATTTCTGCTTATTAGAGACTTTTAGTACTTTCACTAATTTTGCTACTGCTATCTAGAAGGCAGAGCCAGGTGTACCGGATGGAACCTGAAGGCGGACTAGGAGCGTGACCACTGAAGCACAGCATCACGGAGATGGTTAGGCCTCCGGATTACAGTGGGCGAGCCTGACTGATGTCGGGCCCTCCACAAGAGGTAGAGGAGTAGAGTCTTCTCTAAACTCTCCGGGAGAAAGGGAGATTCCCTTTCCCGGTCTGCTAAGTAGCAGGTGTTTTTCCTTGACACTGAGGCTACCGCTAGACCTCGGTCCACCTGGCAAAGAGCATCTTCCCAGATGCTGGCGTTACCGCTAGACCAAGGAGCCCTCTGGTGGTCCTGTCTGGGCATAACAGAAGGCTCGCACTCTGGTCTTCTGGTCACTCCTCACTATGTCCCCTCAGCTCCTATCTCTGTGTGGCCTGGTTTTTCCTAGGTTATGATTATAGAGCGAGTATTATTATAATATTGGAATAAAGAGTAATTGCTACAAACTAATGATTAATGATATTCATATGTAATCATATCTAAGATCTATATCTGGTATAACCGTTCTGATTTTATATTTTATTATACTGGAACAGCTCGTGTCCTCGGTCTCTTGCCTCGGCACCTGGGTGGCTTGCCGCCCACACTGTCTTTATTTTGGAAATAATTCCAGTGATATCAGACGTTGGGTGTCAGGAGATAGGTTTTTGTTGTTTTTGCTTTTGTTTGTTTTTGAGACAGGGTCTCGCTCTGTCGTGCAGGCTGGAGTGCAGTGGCACAATCTTGGCTCACAACAACCTCCGCCTCCCGGGTTCAAGTGATTCTCCCGCCTCAGCCTTCCAAGTAGCTGGGACTACAGGCACGTGCCACCATGCCCAGCTAATTTTTGTATTTTTAGTAGAGATGGGGCTTCACTATGTTGGCCAGGCTGGTTCTTGAACTCCTGACCTCGTGATCCACCCGCCTCAGCCTCCCAAAGTGCTGGGAATACAGGCGTGAGCCACTGTGCCCGGCGTCTGCTTTTGTTTTTAAGACATGAAGGGGTCCTGTGCTTCAGGCATGGAAGAGGTCTTCAGGTCTTCGGATTGTCTTTCTCCTATGACCGTGGGCTCTCTGACCCCAAACCTTTCACCAAACCCGTTTTGATCGGACAGCTTTTTATATGTGTGCAGGCATACATGTGTGTGCACGTTTGGGTGCATGTGTGGGATTCTTTGTGTGCATGTGTGTATACAGGTGTGAGATTTTGTGTGTGTGCATGCATGTGTGTATGTGATCTCTTGCTTCACAACTGCCCATACCTTAACTTCTTCCTCGTAAGCTTCACTGCGCCATTCTTCCCAAGATCTCCTAGCACCATCTCAACCCTTGGGTCACCCTGGACTCTTGCTGTTGATTGCTTGTTCTAGTCTTACTTCAGGGTTCAGTCCCGATAGGACACAGATCACTGTGTAGACGTATGCAGGGAATTGTCATTTCGTTTCTACAGTTTTCATTTTGTAGGCACTTGTATTCGTTTGTTAATTCTGCTGTGACAAACTAATGCAGATTTGGTGGTTTAAAACAGCGCAAATGGATTATCTTACGGTTCTGGAGGTCACAAATCCAAAATGGGTCTCAAACTGCTAAAATCAGGGTGGCATTGGGGCTGGCTCCTTCCAGAGTCTTTGGGTGAAAACTCCTTTCTGTGCCTTTTCCAGCTTCTAGGGCCACCACAGGCCTCAGCTCCTGGGTCCTTTTTCTGTCTTGAGAGCCGGTAACCACAGCAGGTTGAGTCCTTCTCACAGTGCATCATCATCCCAACTCTTCTCTCTCTAGCTTAGTTAAGGAAAGTATTTAAATTGAATATACCCAGAGAATCCAGGATAATCTCTCTTCTGAAGCCCATCTGATTAGTAACCTCAATTCCCTTGGCTGTGTAGCCTAATGTTTGCAGAGGTTCTGGGGATTAGCATGCAGACATCTTAGGGAGAGTGTTACTCTGTCACCACCGTGCCCCGGGGTATTTAGACTCCTCACCATTCAGCTCATAGGTACTATTTTATGTAATTGGTGCAAAAGGGCAACACTGGGTGCTCTGTAATCATTTAGAAATGAGAGAAACAAGATGGCTTTCTGAGTGTTACCCTCTAAAATGGACACACTGTGGATTAGAGAAGCGATGTCTGTTTCTTCCACAGTTACTTGAAAGAAATTTTGGTGCAATGCCTAGAGGAAGCCACAGTTGATGTTTCAGCATTTGACATAACGTATCCAAAACGGAATCTATGCTTCTCCCCTGCCAAACCTGTTCTTCCCCAGCTCAGTAAGTGGGGTCTCTTGTTGTTCAGGCCAGAAAGCTAGGAGCCACTCCTGATTCCTCAAATTCCTCTTCAGCAACCAACCCGTACTGGCTTCCATCGGTCCTAGCTCAGAAATAACATGTGGTGTCCATTTGTTTAAACCCTGCTCTTAGGCTCCAGCACCAATGATCTTTTGAAAAATAGAAGTTTTAAATTTGTAAATATTTATTCCATTAAAGTTTTTGTTTACCCTTCTTGATATTTTTATACTTCTAAGCATTACTATTTTTGTTGTCTTAGCATCCACATCCTGTTTGGGCAAAAGCACCTGGATTTCCTCTGGGCTACCACCCTTCTCCCTCTGCTGGCCGGGACTCAGTGGAGAGGTCTCTGTCCCAGGCCTGACTTCTTGGCATCATTTCATCCTTCTGATTACGTGATTAATTCAAACATGGAAAGTGTCTCAGACTGGCCCAGACTCATGAGAAATGTTCAAGGATCAATGGAAAGAGATGCTTTCTTCCGCAGCGCCCTGCAACGGTGGGAGGCCACACTCAGGTGCTGCCGCCCATCTTTTTGCCACTGCATAGGAACAGACAATGAGCAGCACCTAGACAGGTGGAGCTGAGGGTTGGGGAGACCAGGGGGCCGTCCTGACGGTGTCGGTGAAGCTGCTGTAGCCAGTCATGTGCTATAACTGTTTAATTACATATTAAACTCCTTTTCTCTCCATTGGATTAGGTTGAGCTTGCTTTCTCTTCTGAGACATGAAGTAAACTTATTTTTCAATGTTATTTTTTAAAACATCTGCATTGTATTCCACTCAATGTAAGAACCGTTGCTACATTTCATATTATAATCAATGTTATGATGGACAGCCTTGAAGAAATACATTTGGGAAAGGTAGAATGATTTACTTGTTATAAATTTATAAAAGTAGAATTTTTGATTGCCAGATAGTTAAGTTTATGTCAGTTTATTCTTTTACCAGCAGTGTATGTGGAAATGTTTCTGTGTGCGTGCGTTGATGACTTATTTATTTATTTATTTTTTTGAGACAAAGTTTCGCTTTTGTCACCCAGGCTGGAATGCAACAGCGCAATCTCGGCTCACTGCATACTCAGCCTCCCAGGTTAAAATGATGATACTCCTGCCTCAGCCTCCTGAGTAGCTGGGCTTACAGGCGTCTGCCACCACGCCCGGCTAATTTTTGTATTTTTAGTAGAGAGGGGGTTTCACCATGTTGGTCAGGATGGTCTCAAACTCCTGACCTTGTGATCTGCCCACCTCGGCCTCCCAAAGTGCTGGGATTACAGATGTGAGCCACTGCGCCCGGCATGACTGTTACATTTAACAAGGCACAAATACATGTTAATTTTATTTGTTCTACGGTGTAGTTTAAGTCCATTCTTTCTTTGTTAACTTTCTGTTCTGATGACCTTTCTAGTGCTGTCAGTGGAGTATTGAAATTCCCCAGTATTATTGTGTTGCTATGTCATTTCTTAGGTCTAGTCATAATTGTTTTATGAAGTTGGGAGCTTCTGTGTTAGGTGTGTATATATTTAGGATTGTGATATTTTCCTATTGGACTAATCCTTTTATCATTGTATAATGTCCCTCTTTGTCTTTTTTTTTTTAAACTTGTTGCTTTCAAGTCTATTTGTTTTGTCCTATGTAAGAATAGCTTTTCCTGCTTGCTTTTTGTTTCCATTTGTGTGGAATATCTTTTTCCTCTCCTTTACCTTAAGTTTATGTGAGTTCTTATGTGTTACATGAGTCTCTTGAAGACACCAGATACTTGATTGGTGTATTTTTATCCATTCTGCCATTTTGTATCTTTCCAGTGGAGCACTTAGACCATTTACATTCAGCGTTAGTATTGAGCTGTGGGGTACTGCTCTATTCATTATGTTAGTTCCTGCCTAAATACCCTTTTTTCATTGTGTTATTGTTTAAGGGCCTGTGAGATTTACGTTTTAAGGAGGTTCTTTTTTGGTGTATTTCAAGGTTTTGTTTCAAGATTTAGAACTCCTTTTACCATTTCTTGTAGTGCTAGCTTGGTAGTGGCAAATTCTCTCAGCATTTGTCTAAAAAGACTTTATCTTTCCTTCATTTGTGAAGCTTAATTTTGCTGGATACAAAATTCTTAGCTGACAATCATTTTGTTTAAGGAGGGTAAAGATATGACCCCAATCCCTACTGGCTTGTAAATTTTCTGCTGAGAAGTCAGCTGTTAATCTGATAGGTTTTCCTTTATAGATTACCTGATGCTTTTGTCTCACAGCTCTAAAGATTCTTTCATTCTTCCTGACTTTAGATAACCAGATGACTGTACCCAGGTCATAATCATTTTGTGATGAATTTCTCAGGAGTTCTTCGAGAGAATATCAGCTGCTGTGTTAGAAGGGGTATATAAGCTTTCCCTAAGTTGGCGAGGGGAGGCATTCTGGTTTCTCAGGTGATGAGCAGGGCCTTAGGGTTCCCAAGAGTTTATGTCTTTTGTGTTTGGCTACCAGGGTGGGTAGAGACAAACCATCAGATGGGGGCAGGGTTAGGTGGATCTGGGCTCAGAGTCTCCCTGGGCAGGGCTTGCTGCAGCTGCTGTGGGAGACGTGGGAGTGGTTCTTGGGCCAATGGAGTTATGTTCCAGAGGGGATTGTGGCTGTGTCTGACGCATCACATAGGTTGCCAGGGAAGTGGGGGAAAGCCGGTAGTGAAAGGCCTCACCCAGCTCCCATGCAGTTTGTGAAGCTGGTCTTGCTCCCACAGTGCCCAGCTAACAGCACCAGGTTTAGATGCAGACAGCCTGTGTGTGGGACTCAGCCCTGCCCCAGGCCATAAGTTCTGCACTGAGAAAACGAGCATGGCCATAAGTTCTGCACTGAGAAAACGAGCATGGCTGGCTTTCAGGTCTTGCCCCTCCCCATCTGTCCACAGTGTTGGCAGCTCCTGTGCTCATATCTGTAGCACTTCCCTTTTACCCACTCCTGATTCTGCTCAAGGAAGTTCATGCCCAGTCTAAATTATCACATAATTCAGTTGGAAGCTTCTTTCACCCTATGACCTCTCCCTAATTCCTCTGGCTGTCTTTTCTGAGGGAGGACCCCTATGAGATACAGTCAGGGATGGCTTCCCTGGACTGGAGCTGGAGACTAGGAGTGCCTACAAGGCTCTTCTCACTGCTGCTTCTACTTTTATATTTCGCTTGGCTGCCTAAATATGCTTCAGCTCTAGGTAAGGTTACATCCTTCTCCTGTGATATTGATTTTTAGATTCCCCAGTGGGGGTGTTTGGAGGCAGTTTTCCCCCCTCTCACATTTTGGGAACTCACAGTTTTTTGCCTGTCTCATGGAATTTGCAGTGGCCTGCTGCTTCTTTAAAAGGATCTGTGAATTCTTTCATTTTTTTTGGTACATTCCTGCAGTGGTTCTTGGAACAAAACTTCACAGTATGAGTATCCACATGCCTTTCAGTCCATCCTAGTGGGAGATGCACATTAGTCCTGTCTCCTAGCTGCCGTCTTCTTGCCTAACCACTTTAAAGGGTCACTGTAATAATGATAATCTATGTACTCATATATAGAAACCTGCTTATTAATGTCTACAGAAGTGGTTTGTAAACTGCAAATTGGCATACAAGTACTATTATTTGTAAAATGCTGCTGAATTCTATAGGAATTACAGAAGAGAATAAGATAATTATACTACAACAAAAGTTTATGTTGAAGAAAAAGATGGAACTCAATCACAATTTGATGAGTGTATTATTAGCATTTTTGAAACAACTATAATTTTTTATGTATTCTTCATCTGTCTCCGAAGATGTTTTATGTTTTGGGAAGCAGTGGATCTGGTGACAGCAGGTTCGTATTGTTCCCTTAGGACACATCTGCCCAGCACCTACTGCCATGCTCAAGTTACAGAGTCTACTGAGTAACTGTGGTAGCTTTGGAAGGTGTAGCTATTTTCATATGACACTCAAAGTATCTTTGCAAATATTAAAAAAAAAGTGAGATAAAAATTGTGAATTGGAGACAAATTTGCTTTAAAATAATGTACACATGCTTTTATTTTGTTTTTCTCCAAATATTGAGAATTTTCAAGCCTTTAAAAATTACGTTTTTTTAAAATTTAATTTAATTTAATTTTTTTGAGACAGAGTCTCGCTCTGTTGCCCAGGCTGGAATGCAGTGGCGCGATCTCGGCTCACTGCAAGCTCTGCCTCCCAGGTTCACGCCATTCTCCTGCCTCAGCCTCTTGAGTAGCTGGGACCACAGGTGCCCGCCACCACACCCTGCTAATTTTTTGTATTTTTAGTAGAGACAGGGTTTCACCGTGTTAGCCAGGATGGTCTCGATCTCCTGACCTCGTGATCCGCCCGCCTCGGCCTCCCAAAGTGCTGGGATTACAGGCGTGAGCGACCGTGCCCGGCCTCTTTTGAAGTATTTTCAGAAGATGATCTCGAGTGGTCCATTCTCCTTTGCTTCACTTCTCTTGTGAAATTCTGCTCCCCCCTGCACACAGGAAATTGTTACTGCTGCCCCGCCCGCAGCACAGAGGTGGTACTGAACGGTCACACCTTGCACTGGAATGTCAGACTTCTCAGTCAAGGGGCTGGGAGGCAGGCAGCGGAAGGTCCTGCTGATGAGTAGCACCCTACAGTGCTCTTTCTTTCTATGCAATTCCTGTCTGATCAAGGGTCCTTCAGACAAAGGATTCCATCCTATCAGTCTGGCCATGGATCCATGTCCTGCTGCCTCCTAAGGGCAAAATAGTTTAGATTGTGTGAAGTGCTGGGAAGGAGGTGGATGGGGTAGGGGGGCAGGGATGGGAGCCAGCTCTCAGGGGCCTCTGCTGAGACCTGGAGAATGGGAAGAGCTCCCAAGGTGCAGAGATGAGGAGGAATGGAACATGAAGATAAAGTGTGCGTGCTGAGGCAGTAAAAGCCCTGCTGTGTTGTAAGAGCTGGAAGAAAGAGTAAATAGAGTAGCAGTGGAGGGAGGAGCTGGAGAAGAGGAAGAGAAAGGCAGAGGCTGGGTTAGCAGAATCTCTCAGGGCCAGCATGAGGAGCACACGGGTGGATTTTTCGAATCCACGTGACCAGTGTGATGGCTGCATGGGTGTATCCTTTGAATCCACATGACCAGCATGAGGGCCTCATGGGTGGATCCTCTGAATCCATATGACCAGCATGAGGGCCTAATGGGTGGATCCTTTGAATCCACATGACCAGCATGAGGGCCTCATGGTTGGATCCTCTGAATCCATATGACCAGCATGAGGGCCTAATGGGTGGATCCTTTGAATCCACATGACCAGCATGAGGGCCTCATGGGTGGATCCTCTGAATTCACATGACCAGCATGAGGGCCTCACGGGTGGATCCTGTGAATCCACATGACCAGCATGAGGGCCGCATGGGTGGATCCTCTGAATCCACATGACCAGCATGAGCGCCACATGGGTGGATCCTCTGAATCCACGTGACCAGTGTGAGGGCCTCATGGGTGGGCCTTTGAATACCTACAGCGTGCATGACCCCACTGGATATTTGGGTGCTTGCCCATCACTTTCTAAGCAGGTCTGTTGTCTGTGCCTTCAGGTGCATCTATTGCCGGCCTGCAGTGGGGTGTGGGGTACAACAGAATCAAGGATGACCCCAGTGCCATTCCCACATGTTTCTGAAGTGATTATGCTGTGAAGTTAAGTGTAAAGTTGGATGAAGATCTGAAACATTTTATCTTTGTCAGTGTTTCATTAGTTTATGCTTTACGAAACATAGCCAGTGAATCACTGATTATAGAACCTGTGGTAGCTTAACTGTAATTACATACAGTGTTGTGAAATTGTTGAATCAAGCCCAGGTTAGTTATGGGAGATGCGGGTTCCAATTGCAGTTTCCTAACAACTGATTTGCTGTGGTCAATTCAGAAAATAACTTTGTGTCTTAGTCATTTCAGTAACCAACGTTTAGAACGCTAAGTGCCACAGCGCTGCACCCATGCCACATGGATCATTGTTTAGTCTTTGCCTCTCAGTAACTGTTCTCATTTGACAGTTGTGGAAGCTGATCGAGGAAGCCTAAGCAGGCTCTGTGAAGTGGGAATAGTGGTATTTGAGTCAAGGTTTGCTTAACTGGAAAGCCCGTGAGAAGAATGGAGCAGTTGAGAATGTGGAAGCTCCAGAGTTTTCGGCAATTTCTCTTCTTTTTTCTTGGGATGAGGAGAGGTGAATAAATAGGTATGATGTGGTATATGTGTGTGGTCAAACTAGTAACTATCAGTAGGTAATAGACTTTTTTTCTGTATTAAATATGATACCTATAGTCATCTTATATGTACTTTTTGTTTTCAGATTGAAGATGGAAAATCCCCAAGACATTTTCTCAAGTAATGGTGGCTGTCTAAGTGATATAGTTATAGAAAAATACCTGGTTGAATCCAAGGAGTCTGTGTCTCATGTTCAGCTTGCTTGCAGCATGCAGGACTGTGCTTTCCCTTTGGATGGAACTGAACTTTGTATATGGAACACTAAGGATCCTTCTCATCAGGTATTGAACGAGTTACATGTCCAGTGTCATGAAGGCCTTGCCCTTGTCTCTCCATGTCTTTGATGCTGTTCGGACAGCATTACCCTCTGTGGATTCAGCTACCAACTATAGGAGAAAAATATTGATAAAAACATTATATATATTTTTTTATTTTTAAATTTACTTTCATGTATTTTATAATATTTTTATATTTAGAACACAAGTGATTTGGAATTAATTTAATAAGTTTCTTCAGTAAGAAACTGATTGAAAAGGTTCATCTTAACATAATCAAGTCTCCTACATTCGAATGTTTAGATTGACGTTTCTCACTTTTTCGGTGAAGTATAAACTACTTAGAAAAAAAAAGTTCCACATAATAAGTGCATGTTGTAATGACTATAACTAAATGAATATGTTCAGGTAACCACCCCTAGATCATGCCTTTTCTCCGTCAATGCCCACTTCTCTCCTCCCCAAAAGGCAACACTATCTTGACTTCTAATACCACAGGTTAATTTTGCTTGTGATGAACTTTATATAAATGTGATTATACATTACGTACTTTTTTGTGCTGGTTTCTTTGATTAATCAGCATGTTTATGAGGTTCATCCATGTTGTTCATTTTCATTGCTACACAGTATTAGGATTTATTAGGTACCACTGTGCCGTTTTTGAAAGGCTAAAATAAAAATACATTTTTATTATAGAGTAATAAGTAGAATTACATTCTACTTATGTAAATAGACACTTTATCCTTTTTTATTATAGAATGATAAATAGAATTACATTCTACTTATGTAAGTAGACCACACTTTATCCATGCTTCTGTTGGTAGACATTTGTTGTATTTCAGTTTTTTGGCTGCTAGATTCTTTCCTATGTCTTTTGGTGCACACACACATAATTGCTGAGTTGTAAAGGATACATAAGCAGTTGACTCTTGAACAGCATGGGTTTGAACTGTGCTGGTTCACTTATACATGAATTTTTTTCAACGCAATGTGGGTCAAAACTATAGAATTTTCAGGATATGAAAACTGCATATTTGGAGGGGTACCTTTTCATATATGTGGAGTCCACACAGCCAACTGTGGGATGTGGGTGTACACAGATTTTGGTTTATGTGGGGTTCCTGGAATCAATTCCTCATGATAGTGAGGGATGTCTATATTCAGTAGATAATGCTAAGCAGATTTCCAAATTGGTTGTACCAATCTGTATTTCTTCTAATGGTGTGTGACTTTCAGTTGAACCATATCTTCACCTACACTTGTTTATTTTTATTTTAGCCTTTCGAAAAGGGCATAGTGGTACCTAATTATAATTAGTAATTCTGTGATTATTAAAGAGGTTTAGCACATTTATTGGCCATTTAGATATTGTTTTTTGTGATATATGTTTTCAAATCTCTTGCCATTTTTTTCTATTGGATTATCTGTCTTTTTTCTATTGATTTGAAGGAGTTCTTTATATTATAAATATAGGCTTTCTGTCCCTTTAGTTTGCATTTTCTAGAGTTTTATGTAAATAGAATCATATGGCAATTTAATTTTTATTGACATGTAATAGTTGTACATATTTTGGGGGTATATGTAATATTTTGATACAAGTATACAATGTGTTATGATCAAATCAGGATAATTGGGATGGCCATCACCTCAAACATTTATCTTTTTATTGTGTTGGTAACATTATAGTTTTTTTCTTCTGGCTATTTTGAATTATATAATAAGTTATTATTAACTGTAATTTTCCTACTGTACTCTTGAATACCAGAACTTATTCTTACTATCTAACTGTATTTTTTATCCCTTCTCTCACTTCTTTTCACTCTCCCCAATTCCCTTCCCAGCCTCTAGTAACCACCATTCTACTCCCCACTTCCACAAGATCCACTTTTTAAGTTTCCACATATGAGTAAGAACATGTGATATTTGTCTTTCTGTGCCTGGCTTATTTCATTTAACATAATGACCTCCAGTTCCATCCATGTTGCTGCAAATGACAGGATTTCAGTCTTTTTTATGGCAGAATAGTATTCCATTGTGTATATGTACCAAATTTCTTTATCCATTTATCTGTGGATGGATGCTTAGGTTGATTCCATATTTTGGCTGTTGTGATAGTGCTGCAATAAATATGGGAGTGCATTATTATATAATGTATTGCTTGTCTCTTTGTACAGCTTTTAACTTGATGTCTGTTTTATCTGATGTAAGTATAGCTACTCCTGCTTGCTTTTGGTTTCCATTTGCATGAATATATTTTTCCATCCCTTCACTTTAAGACTATGTGTGTCTTTATTGGTGAGATGAGTTTCTCGTAGTCCACATATAGTTGGGTCATATTTTTCTTTTTATTCAGCCAGTCTATATCTTTTAATAGGGAATGTTATTTATTTACATTCAGGGTTATTGATAGGTAAGTACTCATTCCTGTCATTTTATTGATTGTTTTCTAGTTGTATATCTTTTGTTCGTTACTTCTTCTCTTACTGTTTATTTTTTCAGTTGGGTGGTTTTCTATAGGTTTGATTCCTTTGTCTTTCTCCTTTGTGTATTGGGTCTACAAGGGACTTTTGTAGTTTTCCATGTTTTCATGATGGTGGATATCATCCTTCTCCTTCCGGATAAAAGACTCCCTTGAGCATTTCTTGTAAGACCAGTCTAGTGGTGATGAATTCCTTGAATTTTGTCTCTGAAGATTTAATTTGTCCTTCATTTCTTAAAAATAGCTTTGCTGGGTATAATATTCTTGGCTGGAAGTTTATTTTCTTTCAGTACTTTGAATATAGCAACCAGTTCTCTCCTGAACTGTAAGGTTTCTGCTGAAAAATATGCTGTTAGTCAAATAGAGATTCCCTTATATGTGACTTGATGCTTTTGCTGCTTTAATTTTTTCTTTGTCTTTCGATTTTGACAATTTGACTATAATGTACCTCTAAAAGGACCTATTTGGTTTGAAACTATTTGGTTATTCGAGCTTCCTGAACCTGGATTTCCATCTCTTTCCCAAGACTTGAGACGTTCTCTGCTATGATTTATTAAATATGTCTTCCTCACCTTCTCCCTTATCTTCTTCTGCTAGAATGCCCATATTATGAATATTTATTTGCTTAGTCTCATAAATCACATAGGCTTTATTCTTTTTTATTCTTTTTTTGTCTGCTGGTATTATTTCAAAAGTCCTGTCTTCAAGTTCAGAAATTCTTTCTTCAGCGTGATGAAGCCTAGTTGCTTAATCTAGTTGTTAAAGCTCTCAATTATGTTTTTAAATTTTATTCATTGAATTCTTTAACTCTATGATTTCTCTTTGGTTCTTTTTAAAATAATACCTATTTCTTTGTTGAATTTCTCATTCATATCATGAGTTGTTTTCCTGATTTTGTTGAATTGTCTATCTGTATTCTCTTGAATCTCAGTGAGTTTCCTTAAAATTATTATTTTGAATTCTTTTTCTGACATTTCATATATTTTCTTATGATTGGTGTCTGTTACTGGAAAATTGTTGTTTTCCTTTGGAGGTGACTTTTTGTTGTTGTTGTTTGTTTTTGGCTTTTTTTTTTCTTTGATTTTCATGGTTGATATGTCCTGACATTGATTTAAGAGCATCTGATGGGAAAGTTGCACCTTCCAATTATATGGAGCACGTTTCATAGGGATTTATTTGTATGAATGGGTCCTGGGGTGTCAGTTTAGTGGGGTCTTTTGGTCTTGATTCTAGGTGGATGTAGTAGCGTAGTATCTGTGTGGTTTCTTCTGTTGTAATCCACACTAGTGGCATTTATGAGTTTCTCAATGGCCTTGACTAAGAGAATTTGTGGTGATGGTTGTGTAGCTTTGCCAAGGATGGGTTCACCTGGTATTTCTCAGGTTGGGGGTACACATGTACACATAGGGTCAGCCAACTTGGGGTCTGGCTTGCTGGGGTTGGGGCCACAGGGATGTTATTGTGGCCAGGAGCATGGGCACATGGTTGCTTGGCCAGCGTGGGGACATATCTGCTGGGGCAGCTCCTGGGGCTGTTTCTCCAGCATTGGACGTAGGCACAAGGCTGCTCAGCTGGCTGCGGGCATGCCCATTAGGGGTGGCCCATAGAGCTGTTTCTCAGGCTTTGTAAGTGGGCACACAGCTGCTGGATTTGTCTGAGAGCATATCTGCTGGGGGAAACCCACAGGACTGCTTCTCAGTCCCAGGACATAGTCACACAGCTTATGGCTGCTTGGCTGACCTGGGGGTATGTCTCCTGGGTGTGGGCACAGGGCTACTATAGGCCCAGGACATGGGAACAGGGCTGCTCAGCCCGCTTGGTGATGTGCCTCCAAAGGCAACCCATGGGTCTTTTTCTTGAGTCTGAGACATGGGCACATAGCTGTTTGTTGGGCCTGGGAGCATGCTTGCCATAGTCAGCCTGTGAGACTGTTTCTCAGGCCTTTATTGGAGACTCGGGGACATTGGGCAGCCCAGAAGTATTTCTTCTTGGGGCAGGGGTGCCATAGGGGTGTTTCCCAGGTCCTGAGCACAGGTGTTTAGCAACTCTGCTGGCCCAGGGGTGAATCATCTGTTAGGAGTCTCAGGAGCCTCTCCTGCTTTGAGGAGGGTGTGCAATGGTTTGGCTAAATCAAGGGCAGGTTTGTCCTTGGCAGGAGTGCTGGGTTGTTTCTCTGGCTGGAAGTGCAGTGGCGAGGGTTGGTTTCTCTGTTGTGCAGGGCCAGTCTCAACAGCCGATCCTGGTCCCAGGCTCCATGCAACTGGGGTTGTGACATTCAGCCACTCATGTGGGCTTGGTATAGTAAAGATGGAGCCCCAGGGCTGGAGAATGGCAGTGACTTCTGGCCCCCAGAGCAGGGCATGTTGGAGAGGCAGCTCTGGTCTCAAGATGGTGCTGTGCTACAGCAGCTTTGGCTCACAGGGTGGGTGGGGAGTGAGGAGTGCACACTTCGTGCTCCTAATCTGGGGTAATGCAACAGCATGAATTTCCAGCAGCTCCCAAACTAGGCTCAGGGCTTGCAGGGACTGTGGGATTCTCCTGTTGTAAAGACTTCAGGTGTTTGTGGTGGTGATGTGGGTGGTTGGGGATCTTTTGCTTACCTTTTCCTTGCAGGGGGAAGTCCCATCTGACGCTGGGCAGATTTGACCCAGGCAGGGGAGTTGGGGCTACAGAGGCTAGGTACCTCTATGCTGCTCTCCTGGACTTCCAGTCACCACAGGTGCATCATCACTTCCCCTGCTGTGTTGCAGTGCTCTTCCTTCCACACTCTAGTCAAATCTTAGCTTTTTATTTATTGCCTTGTTTTTTTTTTTCTTTTGGAGGGGCTCAAGTGCCAGGTGTCTCTAGTCAGCCGTCTTGCTGATATCACTTAGTCTAGTTGTCAGTTTCTCCAGGTACAGTATGCTTGATTGGCATTTTTTTTCTTTCCCTGAATATATCACTGCCTCCCCTCACTTCTTGCCTGTAAGGTTTTTGCTGAACAGTCTGCTGCCAGGCATGTTGGGTCTCCCTTGTATGTTATTTACTTATTTTATCTCACTGCTTTCAAGATCCTCTCTTTGTCTTTGACCTTTGAAAGTTTGATTATAATATATCTTTGGGTATTTTTATTTGGGTTGAATCTTATTGGTAACTTTTGACCTTCCAGTACGTAGATATTTATATCTCCAGGTTTGGAAAGTTTTCTGTTATTTCTTTGAATAACCTTCTACCACTTCGTCTTCCTCAATTCCTTCTTTAACTCTAATAACCTGAATATTTGCTCTTTTGTTGTCTCATAGCTCCCATAAGCTTCTTCATTCCTTTTCATTTTCTTTTTTCTCCTCTGACTGTGTATTTGCAAATAGTCTGTCTTTGAGCTCACTGATTCTTTCTTCTGTTTGCTGAATTCTGTGGTTGATGCTATCTATTGCATTTTTCATTTAATTATTTGTATTTAGCTCCAAAATTTTTGATTTTTTTTAAAATTAATCTCTGTTAAGTTTCTTTGGTGATTTCTGAGTTGATTCTCTGTTTTTCTAAATTTTCTTGAGATTCCTTAAAACAGCTATTTTGAATGATTTGTCTGAGGGACCACTCATATTCATTATTTTATGGTCAGTCTGTCGCAACTTATTTTGTCTGTTTGATGGGGTCATATTTTCCTGAGCATTGCTGATGCTTGTGGACATGTGGTTACGTCTGTGCACTGAGGGATTAGGTATTTATTTAAGTCTTCGTAAGTCTGGCTTTGTTTGTGCCTGTCCTTCTTCAGAGGGCCTTCCAGGGATTCTACATAGACTGACTGTTGAGTTCCCTGAGCCCATGACCACTGCAGCCATCTCAGCATTAGAGGATGCTTTAAGCACAGGATTGCTGCGAGTCTTGCAAGAACTCTGAGGTTGACACAGCTTTCTGGCCCAGATGGACCTGGGTAGGACTCAGCGTGGGTACTGGGGCTCTGTGGGAATGCTGACCAGGCACCTGAGTCCAGAATGCTGTCCTAGTGGCCCAGACAGGTGTGTCACCCAGCAGGTCTCTGCACAGGTGAGGAATGGGAGTTGAGATTGGGAGTCCGTGGATAGTTTTCTAACAGCAGTGAGAGGGGCCAGAACTGAGACTGGGTCCCTTCAGGATCTGCTGTGGGATGGAGGTTGGAGAGCTGATTTTGTTGGCTCAGAGAGTCATTTGTCTCCCAGGGAGACCCTGCGCCAATAAGATAGTTTCCCAACTGCAGCAGGATGGGCTGGAGCTGAGATTGGGCCCGTCTGGGATCTGCTGTGGGACAGAGGTTGGAGAGCCTGGTCACATTGATTCAGAGGGTTGCATGTCTCTGAGGAAGTCCCTGCAGAGATGAGATAGTTCCCCGATTTCAACAGGAGGAGTTGGAGCTGGGACTGGGCCCCCTTATGATCTGCTGTGGGTGGGAGACTAGAGAGGTCTAGTTGGCACAGAGGAGCATGCATCTCCTAGCAGGTCTCAGCACAGATGGGATAGTTCCCTGAGTGCAGCAGAAGAGCCCAGAGCTGAGATTGGGTACCCTCAGGATCTGTCATGGGAGGAAGTGTGGCGAGCCTGCCAGGGAGGGCTGAGACTCCCAGGTTGCAAGATACGGGCAAGTCTCCCTGTGGGTCTTTGTGTAAGCAGCTCTTACCTGGGACCTCAGATGAGGGAATTGGAGCGAAGCCACAGGGCAGCTTTCAGGTTCATTGCCTAGACCATTGTCAACAGGCAGATGAGCCCTTCCATCAGTTAGTAGAGTGTGTGATTCCTGCCAGACCCTTTGGCTGTTGGTTTTGTTTTCAGGCTCAAGGCCAAATGAGGTGGTAACCAAGCCCCTTGGAGGACTGGGCCATTTCTGGGCTTGAAGCTACGAGCACGCTTAGTGAATCAGCCACCTAGGTGTGGGTCTCAACTCTCAAAATGACCTTCTAAGATCTTGGCTCTGCTGGGGTTTCACAACTTCCACCTGAATTCTGAGGCTCTTGTAGAGAGACTTTGGACCATGGATGGGTGCAGAATTTTTGTTATTGTCGGGAGATATGAGTGGGTTAGCTTCTATTTCACCAGCTTGGTGATGTCCGATACTTACTCATTTTGTCTGGCTTTCTTCACTCAGGATAATTGAGATCCATGTTCCTGCATTCAGTAGTTCATTCTTCTTTATTATTGAGTAATATTCATTGTATGGATATACTATACTTTATGCATTCTCCTATTGGTGGGAATTTAGGTTATTTTTAGTTTTTGACTATTGCAAGTAACACTATTAGGAATAATTGTGTTTGTGTCTTTTGTTTTATAAATGTCAGTTAGGTTGAGGTGGCTAATAGTGTTCTTCAAGTCTTCTATATTCTTGAGGATTTCATGTCCAGTTGTTCAGTCAGTTATTGAAAGAGGCATATTGAAATCTGTGACTCTGTGAACTTATCTGTCTTCCATTAGTTTTTACTTTATGTATTTTGAAACTCTGTTATTAAGCACATATGTGTTTAGTATATTTTATGTCCTGTTGAACTGACTTCATTTATTATAAAGTGATACTGTTTTTTGATCCCTGGTAATATTCTTGCTCTGAAATCTTCTTTGGCTACTTTCTATTTTCGTTAATGTTAGCATTGTATCTCTTTCATTTCCTCTCTCACAACTTTTATGTTTTTGTTGTCATGCATTTTACTTTTGCATATGCTACAAACCTGACAATCCATTATTACTTTTGTTAAACATTCAGGGATCTTTTAAAGATATTTAAACAATAAGAAAAATATCTTCTTTTTTCTTTTGAGATGGAGTCTTGCTCTGTCACCCAGGCTGGAGTGCAGTGGCGCAATCTTGGCTCACTGCAAGCTCCGCCTCCCGGGTTCACGTCATTCTCCTGCCTCAGCCTCCCGAGTAGCTGGGACTACAGGCGGCCATCACCAAGCCCCGCTAATTTTTTGTATTTTTAGTAGAGACAGGGTTTCACCGTGTTAGCCAGGATGGTCTCGATCTCCTGACCTCGTGATACACCTGCCTCGGCCTCCCAAAGTACTTGGATTACAGGCGTGAGCCACTGCGCCTGGCCTTTTCTTTTTTAATTTTAAGGCTCTTAAATTTAAGAAGGAAAAATATCTTACACATCTACCCACGTAATTATATTTTTGGTGCTCTTCATTCCTTTGTGTACATGCATGTTTCCGTCTGGTAGCATTTTCCTTCTGCCTGAAGTATTTTATTTAACATATGTTTCAGTGCAAATATGGTGATAAATTATTTCAGCCTTTGTGTGTTTAAAAAAGTTTTTATTTTGCCTTGTTTTTGAAAGGCATTTATATTGAGTAGAGAATTCTAGTTTGACAGATTTTTCTTCAGGTTTTTAATATGTTGCTCTTCTATCATTTCAATGAGAATTCTGTTATTATCTTTATCTTTGTTCTCATGTATACAATGGGTTATATTTGTCTGGCTGCCTTTAAAACTTCCTATGTTACCAATTTTGAACAATTTGATCATGCTATGTTTTGGTGTATTTTTCTTCATATTTCTCATTCTTGCATGTATTAGGCCATTTCTGTATTGCTATAAAGAAATACCTGAGACTGGATAATTTATAAAGAAAAGAGATTTAATTGGCTCATGGTTCTGCAGACTGTACAAGCATGACACCAACGTCTGCTTTGCTTTTAATTAGGACTGCAGGAACCTTACAGTCATGGCAGAAGGTGAAGAGGGAGCAGGTACTTCACAGGGTGAAAACAGGAACAAGTGGTCAGGAGGAGGTGCCATACACTTTTAAATGACCAGATTTCATGAGAACTCACTCACTGTGGTGAGGACAGCATTAAGCCATGAGGGATCAGCCGGCATGACCCAAACACCTCCCACCAGACCCCACCTCCAACACTGGGGATTACATCTCCACATGAGATTTGCAGGGGACATGCAGACTATATCATTCTACTCCTGGTCCCCTACATTTTATGTCCTTCTCACATTGCAAAATATAATCATGTCTTTCCAACAGTCCCCCAAAGTCTTGTCGACGAAAAGAGTCAAACTTTGTAAAATATTTTAAGAGATTTATTTTGAGCCAAGTATGAGTGACCATGGCCTGTGACATAGCCCTCAGGAGGTCCTGAGAACGTGTGCCCAAGGTGGTCAGGGCACAGCTTCATTTTATATATTTCAGGGAGGCATGAGACATCAATCAAATACACTTAAGAAATACATTGATTTCATTCAGAAAGGCGAGACCACTCAAAGCGGGGGCTTCCAGGCTATAGGTAAATTTAAACATTTTCTGGTTGACAGTTGGTTGAGTTTATCTAAAGATCTGAGATCGATAGAAAGGAATGTTCAGGTTAAGCTAAAGGATTGTGGAGACCATGTTTTACTCTGCAGAGTAAGCTCTCAGATAGCAGACTTCAGAGAGAGCAGGTTGTAAATTGTTTCTTTTTGGACTTAAAAAGGGTGCCTGGCTCTTAGTTGATTATCTCCTGGATCTGGAAAGGAAGGAAGGAAAACAAAGGGAAAAGGGGTTTCTCTATAGAATGTGGATTTTTACCACAAGAGACTTTGCAGGACAATTTCAAGGTATGGCAAGGAAATATATTTTGAGGTAAAACATTTTGATTTTCTTCCTTGTTATGCCAGAGTCAGATTGGAAAGTCAGCCACGATAGAAAGGGTCAAATAAAACTCATCTGCTGAGAATTTATGGTTGGTAGGGCATGACTCCCCAGACCCCTTAGAAAGGAATTTGGGCAAGATAAAAAAAAATCAGAGCTTAATCCTCAGCCTTAACTTGTTCCAGCATCAACTCAATCAAAAGTCCCAAGTCCTAAGTCCAAAGTTTCATCTGAGACAAGGCAAGTTCCTTCCACCTATGAGCCTGTAAAATAAAAAACAAGTTATTTACTCCCAATATACAAAGGGATTATAGGCATTGGATAAACATTCCCATTTCCAAAGGGAGAAATTGGCCAAAAGAGAGGAGCTATAGGCCCCATGCAAGTCTGAAACCCAGCAGGACAGTCATTAAATCATAAAGCTCCAAAATTATCTCTATTGACTCTGTGTCCCACATCCAGAGCACACTGGTACAAGGGGTGGACTCCCAAGGCCTGGGGCAGCTCTGTCCCTGTGGCTTTGCAAGGTTCAGCCCTTGTGGCTGCTTTCACTGGTTGCTGAGTGCCTACGGCTTTTCTAGGAGCAGGGTGTAAGCTGCTGGAATATCTGCCATCCTGGGGTCTGGATGATGGTGCCCCTCTTCTCACAGCTCTAGTAGGCAGTGCCTCAGTGGGGACTCTGTGTGGGGGCTCCAACTCCACATTTCCCCTTGGCATTGGCACTGCCCTAGTAGAAGCTCTCTGTGAAGGCTCCACTCCTGCAGCAGGCTTCTGCCTTGGCACCCAGGCATTCTCACAAATCCTCTGAAACCTAGCTGGAGGCTGCTAAGCCTCCTTTACTCTTGTACTCTGTGCACCCGCAGGCTTAATACCACATGGAAACCACCAAGGCCTGTGGCTTGCACCCTCTGAAACAGCAGCCCAAGCTGTATCTGGGGTCCTCTGAGCTGAGGCCAGAGCTGGAGACGGGAGCAGTGTCCTGAGGCTGTGTGGGGCAGCAGGCCCTGGCCGTCAAAACCATTCTTTCCTCCTAGACTTCAGGGCCTGTAATGGGAGGGACTGCCTTGGAGATATCTGGAATGTCTTGGAGGCCTTTCCCATTGCCTTGGTTATCAGCCTTTGGTTCTTTTTTTAGTTACACAAATATCTTAAGTAAATGGTTGCTCCACAGCCTGCTTGAATTCCTCTCACCAAAAACAGTTACTTTTTGCCACATGGCTGGGCTGCAAATTTTCTGAACTTTTATGCTCTGCTTTCCTTTTAAATATAAATTCCAACTGTATGGCATTTCTTTGCTCCCATTTATGATTGTATGTTGTTAGAAGCATCCAGGAGACATCTTACATGCTTTGCTGATTAGAAATTTCTTCCTTCAGGTACACTAGGCCATCACTCAAGTTTAAGCTTCCACAGAGCCCTAGGGCATGAACAGAATGTAGCCAAGCTCTTTGCTGTGGCATAACAAGAGTGACCTTTGCTCCAGTTCCCAGCAAGTTCATTTCCATCTGAGACTTCCTCAGCCTAGACTTCACTGTCTTTACCACTATCAGTGTTTTGGTCACAGTCATTTAACTGGTATCTAAGAAGTTCCAAAGTTTCCCTCAGCATCTCGTCTTCCTCTGAGCCCTCCAAACTCTTCCAACTTCTGCTGGTTACTCAGGTCCAAAGCCACTTCCACGTTTTTAGGTATCTTTATAGCAGTGCCCCACTTCTTGGTACCAATTTTCTGTATTAGGCCTTTCATGAATTGCTATGTCAATGAAAGCATCAAAGTCTGTAAAATATTTGAAGAGATTTATTCTGAGTCAACTACGAGCGACCAGAGGCCCAAGGCACAGTCTTGAGGTCCTGAGAACATGTGCGTGATGGTCAGGCTACAGCTTGGATTTATACAATTTAGGGAGACATAAGACATCAATCAATACATGTAATATGTACATTGCTTAGGTCCAGAAAGGTGGGACAGTTCAAAGTGGGGGCTTCCAGGTCATAGGTGGATTCGATAATTTTCTAAATTGCAATTGGTTGAAAGTGTTAAGTTATTGTCTAAAGACCTAGACTCAATAGAAGGAATGTCTGGGTTAAGATAACGGATCGTGGAGACCAAGGTCCCCAATATACATAAGAAGCCTCCAGGTGGCAGGCTTCAGAGAGAATAGATTGTAAATATTTATTAGACTTAAAAAGTGCCAGAGTCTTAGTGGTTACTCTTCTGGATCAGGAAAAAGGCCTACAAAGGAAAGGGGATCTTCTGCAGAATGTAGATTTTCCCCACAAGAGACAGCTTCGCAGGCCTATGTCAAGATATGGTAAAGAAACATAATTGGAGTTAACATATTTTAATTCCCTTCTTTATCTGTCATGTGATGTTATGCCAGAGTTAGGTTGGAAAGTAAGCCACGTTATATAGGGTTAAATAAAATCCTCTGATGAGACTTTATGGTTTTTAGTGTGTGAATCCTTAAGCCCCTTAGATAGGAATTTGGACAGGAGAAGAAAAAGGTCAGAGTTTAGTCCTGAGTATAACAAAATACCTGAGACTGGGTAATTTATAAAGAAAAGAGATTTAATTGGCTCATGGTTCTGCAGGCTGCACAAGTGAGGACTAAACTCTGATTTTTTATCTTGCCCAAATTCCTACCTAAGGGGCCTAGGGAGTCATGCCCTACAAACCATAAATTCTGATTAGATGGGTTTTATTTGACCCCGTATATCATGACTTACTTTTCAGTCTGACTCTGGCATAACATTATGAGATAAGGAAAAAATATTCAACCCCAAAATATATTTCCTTGCCATACCTTGAAATTGCCTTGCAAAGTCTCTTGTGGAAAAATCCATATTCTATAGAGAATCCCCTTTT
This sequence comes from Homo sapiens, assembly GCF_000001405.40. Classification (NCBI taxonomy): domain Eukaryota; kingdom Metazoa; phylum Chordata; class Mammalia; order Primates; family Hominidae; genus Homo; species Homo sapiens. The sequence continues at coordinate 169,675,895 of NC_000006.12, read as the reverse complement.
CCCTTTGTTTTCCTTCATTCCTTCCCAGATCCAGGAGATAATTGAGTAAGAGCCAAGTACCCTTTTAAGTCCGATAAGAAAAATTTTACAGCCTGCAGTCTCTGAAGTCTATCTGAGAGCTTCCTCTGCACAATAAAACATGGTATCCACAATCCTTTATCTTAACCTGAATATTCCTATCGATCTCAGATCTTTAGATAAACAACCAATTGTCAACCAGAAAATGTTTAAATTTACCTATAGCCTGGAAGCCCCCGCTTTGAGTTGTCCCGCCTTTCTGAACGAAACCAATGTATTTCTTAAGTGTATTTGATTGATGTCTCATGCCTCCCTAAAGTACATAAAACCAAGCTGTACCCCAACCACCTTGGGTACATGTTCTCAGGACCTCCTGAGGGCTGTGTCATGGACCATGGTCACTCATATTTGGTTCAGAATAAATCTCTTAAAATATTTTACAAAGTTCGACTCTTTTGTCGACACAAGCATGGCACCAACAAATGCTTGGCTTCTGGTGAGGGCCTCAGGAACCTTACAATCATGGTGGAAGGCAAAGGGAAAACAGGCATGTCATATGGCAAAAACAGGAGCAAGGCATGGGGGGAGGTACCACACACTTTTAAATGATCAGATCTCATGAGAACTCACCATGGTGAGGATGGCACCATGCCATGAGGGATCTGCCCCCATGACCCATACACCTCCCAGCAGGCCCTACCGCCAACACTGGGGATTACATCTCAACGTGGGATTTGGAGGGTGTCAGGCCTCTGAGCCCAAGCTCGGCCATCATATCCCCTGTGACCTGCATGTACACATCCAGATGGCTGGTTCCTGCCTTAACTGATGACATTCCACCACAAAAGAAGTGAAAATGGCCTGTTCCCGCCTTAACTGATGACATTGTCTTGTGAAATTCCTTCTCCTGGCTCATCCTGGCTCAAAAGCTCCCCCACTGAGTACTTTGTGACCCCTACTCCTGCCCGCCAGAGAACAACTCCCCTTTTTCCTTTACCTACCCAAATCCTATAAAACCCCACCCCATTGCCCTTTGCTAACTCTCTTTTCGGACTCAGCCCGCCTGCACCCAGGTGATTAAAAGCTTTATTGCTCACACAAAGCCTGTTTGGTGGTCTCTTCACATGGACGCGCATGAAAGAGGGGACATCCAAACTTTATCATTGGGGTTCTACGGGTTTATGGTTTTCATCAAAATTTGGAAAATTTTCAGCCATTATTTCTTCAAATATTCCCCTCCTCCCAAACGTTGTGGACCCTGCTTACATGTATGTCAGGTCACGTGAAGTTTCCCACAGCTCACTGATACTCTTTCATGGTTATGAATGTATTTTTTCTCTCTTTCATTTTTATATAGCTTCTATTGCTTTGTCTTTAAATTTACCAATCTTTTCCTCAGCAACATCTAATATGCAGTTAATCCCACTAAGTGTTTTTTAAAATTTTATCTTATTCTAGTTTTCATCTCCAGAAGTTAGGTTTGGGACTTTTAAATATCTTCTATGCCTCTACTTAACTTTTGAACATATGGAAAATGTTTTAATAATGGTTTGAATGTTCTTGTCTAGTAATTCTAACATTTGGATCAGTTTTAGTTTGGTTTCAAGTCTTATCTGGATGACTTGTAGGCATCGCATTTCTCTATTCTTTATTTTTCTTTGTTTTTGACTAAATGGTCTTGTCTCCTTGAATACCTGGTTGTTTTTTAGATTGCTGGATTTTGTATATGAAAAAAAAGTATAGCTGATTTGATACTCTGGATTCTTACATTCTTCCAAATCAGATTTATGTTAGCTTCTGGTAGCCAGTCATGCTCAGGGCACTGGCAGTCCTAGATTACCCTAAGCCAGTCAGGTGTTAAGTCAATTCATAACTGGGTGTCAGTTCTTATGAGGGTTGTTTTATTTCCAGTTCATCTTTACTCCTTGGGTTTTGTCTTTTTTGGGGTTCCCATTCTAAGCCTAGGGGGTTTAGCAGCATGCTCATCCCTCTCACCTTAGTAGATTGTATTCTAGGCAGACATTTACTTAAAATCCATTCATATTTCTTTACGGAAAAAAATTGTAGAGTTATCAACATTAAGGCAATCAGCTGTATCACAAAATTACTTTGTAATATGACAGAAATCTTTTCCCTTCTCCCAATATGATAGTTCTGTTTGTGTCCCTGAGGATGACTCATTTAATTACACCATTTTTGTGCCCGTAGCCCCTTGAATCTCAGCTCCTCAGCTGCCTTTAGTGGAATTGTCAGAAAATTGTCTTTATAGTAGATATCTTTATGGGACAAGTGACCCCAGCATCTGGGGTCACTTCCCTCAGTTTTTTTCTGCCCTATATATAATCTTGTTACCATAATTCTTCAACGACCTAGTTGCTTTCTGATGCCTTCAAAATGTGTGTCTCTCTGTGTGTATATGTATATGTGTGTGTGTTTGTATATATATATAGTGTGTGTGTGTGTATATATATATTTAATTTTGTCCAGTTTTTCTTGTAATTCTCATCAGTAGGATTGGTACTAATGAGGTGACGTATCCTGCCTTTACTAGAAGTGGAATTCTCCAGTGATATCTCTCATATTAAACTGCCTGTTGTCTATTTAACATCGCCTTATAAGCATCTCAGCTTACTATGGACCCCCAGTCCCATCCCATTTTCCCTCTGTATTTTGTTCTTGAGACATTGTTCGCCTAGGTTTTTAACCTCAAACCCTATCCCTTTGCTTTTGTTTTTCCCTCCATCCCTCCATATCCATTGGTCACGGAATCTTCAGTCACCATCTCCTCTCCATCTCCATCATCACTGTCTTTCTTAGTCCAGGTCTTTATTGGATTTCCCTTGAGTGTTTCATGCATTCCCTTCTGTCTCTCCAGCCCAGTATACCCCCAACACTCGTCTGCTCCATACTTGTAGCAATGTTTTGTTCCTGGAAAACAAATCTAGTCACTGTATTATTCTGACTGTGCATTTTTTGTTGGATTTTAATTTCCTAGAGTGCTATCAACATTCCTTGTGTAGTTGCCAAGGTCGCCACACCTGGGCCTCACCTTTCTCCAGCCTCCTCTCACTCCTTTGCTTGTCCCAGCCGTTTCTTACCCATGCCTTGTTTTCCCAGGGACCTCATTGCTCCCCTCATTCCTCTCCTTATTCTTCAGTTTTCAGCTCAGCTGTTACCTCTTCTGGCATGTGGTGGAGACATGTTCTATATTTGATTAACTAATAAGTGATAAATGGAAGAACGAGGTAGCCTGTATCTTTTTATTAGTGTGTGTGACAGTGAATAGCAGTGAAATGGTTAACTTGAGAGAATAATTTAGTAGTACATAGCAGGGATTTTAACAAATGAATTAACAATGAATATGTAAGATAAATGTATTTGAAAAACTCAATCTTTTAATTTCTTAGGTTTGAAGTTATGTTGTTATACTCTTATTTTTAAATGTCTGTGATCTGTGTTTTATTTTTGTTAATTTTCCCAGCTTCTAATCCTACGAGGACACCATCAGCCAATTACTGCTATGGCTTTTGGAAATAAAGTGAACCCACTTCTAATCTGCTCAGCATCACTGGATTATGTTATAATGTGGAACCTGGATGAATGTAGAGAGAAAGTACTTCAAGGTAAATGAAAATCTAAAACATGTTTTTAAAAACCTGCAAAAGGAATAACTCATCCTTCAGTATACTTGGTACCACCCAAGGGGTGTTTCCCTTGGGTAACAGCAGTCCCTCGGGGGGTTTGGGATAATTTTGTACTCTCTTTACCTTGAACCCAGGCATGCAAGCAGGCGCTTTATATGGGAAGGGCCCCAGGCCATTCAGACTTACGGACCTTTGCTGTCTGTTATGCTGATCTTATAGGCTCATTGGTTTTGATCTTATGTCCCTTTTTATTTTAAGAACTGTCCATTTTGTATCAACCTGAAAACATGTAGGAAAGTTGAAATATTCTTTCCTTGCACAGCAAGGGGTCTTGAGCACCTGTAATATTTCAGGCTGGAGACACAGTGGTGAATAGGAAGGGCTTGGTCCCAAATCCTGTGGAAGTCACAGCTCAGAGTTTGAGAGAGACACTGTGTAAGCCAGCGACTGAGTGGCTGTGAATTGTGAGTGTGCAGAGGAGAAGGCAGATGAGGCCAGGGCAGCGTGCACATGCATGGGAGCCTTTGAGAAGCAGGATCTCGGAGGGGCATGTGCGCTGAGGGTGAGGGTGAGAAGGGATGAAGGTGCCAAGGCCCTGGGAAGAGTGAGAACCTGCCTGTGTGCTTGGAGCATGCTGATGTTAGGAGAGTCTCATCTGAGGAAGTCGAAAAGTTAGGTGGGGACCACGTTAAGGAATTTGAGTTTTGTGCAATTATATAGAGAAGTTAGAGGATTACATTAAAACATAAATGCAAAGAGACTATAAATCTATGTATTCTATGTAGGGACATGAGTACGTGTCCCTCTCTAGACTGGGTGGCTGTGGGACATGAACATGTGTGTCTCTCTAGGCTCCGGGTGCCTGTGGGACATGAGCACGTGTCTCTGTCTAGACTTGGTGGCTGTGGGACATGAGCACATGTGTCTCTCACAGGCTCTGGGTGGAGTATATCTGCATTTTGCTGGTGATAGGTCCATGGTACACACTAGGACCAGATGACCTTGCCTGCCATTTTTTCTTTCACCTGTGTGGATTTGCATGACGGGCTCTGCATCAGGCTGCAGCTGCTGCACATGTCCGGGTCTTGGGAACCTCCTGGCTGCTTGTGGGTGTCCTGTCATTGCTTAGTCCCTGGAGGCCTGGGTTGGATAGGCTCCTACTCCTTTCCTTCCAATCAATGTTAGCTGAACCTATACATGAGGGTGGACATGGGGTTGGATGTGGGTGAGAAGCATCGAAACATGCAGTTTGATGTGCATGATTCTCACTGCACAGGTACTGCAGCCTCCAGAGAAAGGCATCTTCGTGTTTCGATGCTGAGAGAGTCTCTGCAGGGAAGTGCTGCATTCCCCAGGTTTTCAGAAGACTTCTGTATATCCAGTATTTTTGATATTCTTAAAGAATCAAAATCACATCAAAGCTCATTGTCATTCTCTCAGTAATTTTAGAATAGAGGGTTACATTCTCAGTACTTTTCTCAGATTAATGTAATGCTGAATGCATTTGGTAAACTGGCACTAATGGTGAAACTCACTCTAGGGCTGGTCCCTCGAGGGACTGTCATGGGCTCGCTTTTGGGAAAGGTGCTGTGTTTACAGTTGAGCCTGGATGATCATGTTGTTGCCGTGTGTGCTGGAAACAAAATATTCATGCTGGATATTGAGGTAAGATTGAAATTCACGTGGATTTCACGGAAGGGTTTAGCTGATGGGGCCTCCCAGGTTCTGGGACCTTGCCCAGCGGTCTTTTCTTTTTTCCTGTACTCCTTTTTTTTTAAGCTATATCTTCAATTTAGTTTACTTTTATAAAATCATATCTTTATCTTGCAATTGGAAAACCACTGGTATCAGATAGCAATATTTATATAAATATTAAAACTCTTTATGGAATCTGGGTGTCAGGTATGACTTTAGAGAAACATGTTCTGCAAAACTATTATTTCTCAGATATTCCCTGATTGTAGGCATCCTTCCTAGCATAGCGCTTTTGTTTATATCTTTTATCAAAATGTTCTTTTCATCAAGAATCAGACTTTTCCCACCAGGGTTAGTTAAAGGAAATGTGTCACCTCTTCCTGCCTGTGTGATTTCGACCTCGTGTGTGACTAGAACAGTCAGCTGCCCCATTGCAATGTTAGAAAGCAGTGTTAGAAATCAGGAAGTGGGAATCTAAGGGAACACGAAGGAGGACTTTTGTTTCCTCTGAATTGTTGCTCTGCCCAAGCCTGATTTTGTAGGTGACCCCAGGCCTGGGGTCGTTTTGTCAACATGGCTCACAAAGCTGTTGGCCTGAATAGCTTTTCTTTTGATAGCCACTTAATAAACGTAGGCGAGGAAGGATGTTCGGCATGGAATGTGAATTGGTTCTCATGGGCCTCATGTGTAATAGGCGTTTTGGGAGAGAAGACATTTATGTCTTCAGACTATTTTTGGACTAATTATGAAATTAAGGCTCATAAATTTAAAAAGTTCACATCATGAGTTAAGCCACAGAGAGATGATGGGAAGTATCTAGGAGTTAGGTAAAGGGCTTCACACTATTTCTAGTCTGTCTGTGAAAGCTTTCTGGATATGTTGGTGTTTGAGCTGTATTTCATGTTTTGTTGTAAACATCCTGTGATAGATTAACATTAGGCCACCCCACCATTTATAACAAAACTACCATTAATGTGCAAAGAATTAACATTGTTGTGTCAGGAAAAGGAAAACCAAAGTGAATTAGGAAGAAGCAGAAAACTGTTAGTGTTTGAAGGAAGATACTGGGTCCCAGATGGAGAGAACCATCAGCCTGGGGTCAGGTTGGAGCCACACCCCTGAGTCAGGCACATAGCAGGTGAGTAAGCAGGTGCCTGCTGCAGATGTGTGTGCAGCCCGTGAGATCCTCCCCACGCTTCCTTAGCAGCAGGCGTGTCAACTGAAAGACACTTCACTCGGGGAGAATGACTTTCAGACATGAGGAATGGTTGTCACGTGAGTCCGTGAAGTGCTCACATTCTTTTAACAGCATACTCAACAAGTCAACAGTTTATACCATTTGATTTTAAAGATTTCAAATGAATACTGAGCATTTCCTGGTAAAAGGCACTTTTTAATCAACATAAAATGTCAAAAGGAAATAACTTAAATATTTTTCAGGATATGATGTTATTCATATCATAGACAATGGACTAGCTTTATTTTATAGAAACTGGAGAAAATGGAAATGTATATTTCATAACACTCAGTGTCATAACTCTCCCTATTCCTACACAGGTTATAGTCTTGCCTTTTATTTTTAACAATCTGATGGTAACTGGCATAATGTACTCAGTATTCTAAGTTGTATTTGTTGATGGCGATATGTCGTATTACTAAAGAAAGTCTTCCAGAGTTAAATGTCTGTTTGTAAGTTAAGTCACCATATATATACATGTTTATTTTTTCTGCATGTATATTAAGGGATATTTGTCTTATTTAGATGGAGTGCTGTAAAATTCAAGAACAGTGCCCAGCACTTCGTGCCTGGAGTTCCCTGGGGATATTCTCAGGGCGATGACTGACCATTAGGAACCCCCGATGCTCTCACTACTCCATTCCTCAGTCATGCTGTTCAAGCCTGATTTCCATATAAACGGGAAGCCCTGTGTGTCTCCAGCTTGTGACGCTGACTTCTGGGGTGCTGTCTTGGCTGTCGGAGGTTTTAGGGACTTGAGGAGGAAAGGGTAACTCATGAGCGCCTATTGCCGCACCGTCTTGTCTTGTAGGAAGCCCTAGGTGGAGAACAGATGCTGAGGGATTGGGAAGGCAGAGCAGTACATTCTGAGTTACAGGCGGGGAGCCTCAGGGCAGATGCATGGGGCAGCCGGTGGGGAGACAGGATTCCTGAGGAGACGCCAGCTTCCTAATTCGCTCAGGGTTAGCTCCAGTCAGTGTCGGCTTTTAACACTGCTGAGACTGTGCCTGTCGCCTGAGCTTTCCTCTTAGCTCAGACACCTGACTTTTCACCCTTGGTTTATATACAGAGAATTCCAGCTTGAACAGAGGAATAATTTGGGCTTTATTTTAATAGCAGCGATTTTCTGTGACATACATAGAACGTCCTGATGTTAATAACCGCCACAAAGTCCCACCACCGACCTTCCTGCACACATTCTCTCAGACTCAGGCTGTTCGGGCCGAGCTGCAGGGCCACCTGGGCCCGGTGACTGCGGTGGAGTTCTGTCCCTGGCGAGCAGGCACCCTCATCTCGGCGTCTGAGGACAGAGGCTTTAAGGTGAGGGATGGACGCTGGATGGCGTTCCCGCGTGGCACGTGCTGTGGAAAGAACTGTGGTGACGGGAGCTGTGCGGTTGCTTCACGGCCACGGCCGCCTGAGTGATGTTGTTTCTACCTCACTTCTGCAAGGCGCCCGCTATCCTGATTTCCACAGAAACGCCAAGCCCGGATGTTTTGCCGGGGCCGCTGGCTGGGCTTGGATTCCTGACAGGACGGTTCTGCGGCCCCGGATTTCCCACAACTGCATTCAGGGCCTGGGAGCGCCCAGGCACGAATTCTTCTCCACGGCATTCCCAGGCCCAGAGCAGAAGAGCCAGTCCCAGGGTGTGGAGGGTTCAGTCGGCACAAAATGAGGCTCTAGAAGAAAATGGAATGCGAATTCAGTTTTTATCCAGCTGACATCAGTGTGCGCCTGACAGTGTAGACCTGACCAGCGAGTGTGCACCTGACCTGACAGGGTGTAGACTGCTACAGTTTCCGCTTGGTGCCTCTATCTTGGCAGCGTTGACCAAGTGCCTGGGAACTGTTTTTCACCTTGTTTCATTTTTGTTTCCAATTCTTCAAATCCACCAGGGTTTTATTTATGGAAGTGATGTTATTTTTTTCTTTTTGATTCTGACATATTTTATGGTGTTACTACATTTTTATTATTTTTGTGCTCATTTTATTGTTTTCTGTTTTAGATAACCATTTGTGTTGACTAATCTGATAGTGAATAGTACTGTTAGCTTCACCTGTTGCAATAATGGCAACGTTGTTACCTCTTCTAAAGAATCCTGTGTTTATCCAAAGGTCTGGGACCATTGTACAGGATCATTAATATACAGTTCATCTGTGTTATCAGGTAAATTTAAAACTTTCATGTTTTCTGTAAATAGGTTGTGTGTAACCCACTTTTTCTAGAGCATATTACAGGGCATAAGATGGAGCTGGGACATTCGAGTGGATCTGAATGAGGCAATCTCAGACTTACAGCCCTTCACTCCCGTCCACACAGGGAGAGGATTCACTTAACAGTGAATGTCCTTGATGTTTTTCACTTAAAATTAAATGGATGCTTGGAGTCTGGGCCTTTCTGTTTTGGAGGAGTAAAGCACGTTTGCTGTCAGATAAAATGCCTGAGTACCCAGGGAAGTTGAGCCTTCTGCTCTCTGTAGAAACACATCCCAGAACCAGCGGTGTTGGTAGGGCCAGGACTGCCCTGTCCATCCAGCGTGAGCTTGGGCGTGCGCCACACCTGGCCTCATGGTCAGGTCCTGAGCACGTGTGCAGCTCGTGAATGCCAGGGTCCTTGCGTTCTTCCCTCAGATGGCTTTCTGTTGGTAAATGAAGCTGGCACACGGCCACACAGCTACAGCATTGATGGTGCAGGCGTCCGTCCGCGGAGCACGGCATAAGGAGCGGTCTGTGACGCCCCAGCACCTCTCCCGTGCAGCCCCTGTGCTTGTCCTCCTGGCATCTTAGGGCACTGGTTTCCTGCATTCGCTTTGCTCCCCTTGTGCACGTTCTGTCTTCCCAGAAGAAGAGAGTTAGGGAATTAAAAGGAGAGCGTTCTTCCATGCGGTAAGTGACATGAAAATGCCACTTAAAGCATATACAGATACTTTGGTGACCTGGTAGAGTTATTGTTATATCTTCTCAAAGATTTAACATTCTTTCTGAGGTTAATGTATCCATGTGTGGACTATGGTGCTGTAATGACTTAAAAACATTGCTTTCTATCAGGGTGAAGCACATTTCTTGGAAGTACGTTGGAATCTTTTTTCTGAAATTAATTATATGGAATTACTGTTCGGTTGCCAAGAACAATGATACACTTGATCTTTGATTTCATTTATAGTTTAATTAGGATATGTAGTATTTTTCAATATTCATTTATCTAATGCTCCTAAATTACTGACAGTTTAGAGTAAGTTTTAAATGAAATGACATCCTAGGCAACAATTTTTTTTTAAGGAAACAAGACATCCATTTACTTGCTGTTTTCATCACTAAGTCCATAATTTTATTATTTCTGGCTGACTCAGGAATCCTTCTGCTCCAAGTGCAACGTCGATTAAACGGCAGTGCTGCCCTCCCTCTAGGCTATAAAGCAGCCGGAGCTGGGCCGTGGTTTAAGCCCACCAGGCCTTCTGTCGGGAGGTGGGATGGGATTCCTCGGGACCCATCTGTGGTGGACTCACCGGGCAGCCTTTTGGGGTGATGTCCCCAGCCTTCATTGTGTTTATGGGGTTTTCAACATTTGTATTCATGTGCAAGTTTTACTTTTTGGTGAAGAAATTATTTTGGAATAGTTCAAACTTGACTAACAGAAATACTGTAAGTAAATATTACGTGTAAAGAGATAAGTAAAACTGACAGTTCTCGGGTTAATTGGTACCAGGCACTTACAAAGCTAAATTTTCCGATGTTCCTTTCACCAGCATATCCTCTTCTCAGTTTATTCATTGATGCAGAAAGCAGGCAGCTGGTCACCGGGTGTGCTGACGGCCAGGTGAGACAGCCACAGAGTTAAGTTCCAGTTCCCAGACATGCCTGAACGTGAGCTTGTACACAAAGGTCTTTGTCTTCATGCTACTTTGTATTTTCCTGCGATTTGAAAAAACCTGTCCACCTCAGTGCTGAGAACGTGACCTTCTGTGGGTCTCAGCGTCACTGTGGGTTCAATATGGTCCTGGGCCCCCTGGTCTGCGGAGGAGCTGGGTCTGCATGTCCCAGAGCTCCATGCGTGGTTCTGGAGTGCAGCAAAAGTGAGGGCCACTCACGTGACCCTGAAAACCTGCTGAGAAGAGGGCTGTGAGCAGACGTCCCCCGCTCCCACGGGTGCTGCCCGCGCCCCGGAGAGGCGCCCTGGACGGCTCCTGTGTGGCATCCCCCGTGCCCGCACGCTGCCCGCGCCCCGGAGAGGCGCCCTGGACGGCTCCTGTGTGGCATCCCCCGTGCCCGCACGCTGCCCGCGCCCCGGAGAGGCGCCCTGGACGGCTCCTGTGTGGCATCCCCCGTGCCCGCACGCTGCCCGCGCCCCGGAGAGGCGCCCTGGACGGCTCCTGTGTGGCATCCCCCGTGCCCGCACGCTGCCCGCGCCCCGGAGAGGCGCCCTGGACGGCTCCTGTGTGGCATCCCCCGTGCTTCTTGTGCTCCCCTTTCCTGTCATCTTTACACACTGTTGAAAAACCTGAAGATGTTGGCCTTTTTCAAAACATTTTTTAGGTGAGCCTTTTAAGTTCATTTCACAAAGCCTGGATAAAGTTGCTGTTTTTATAATTTGAAAAAGATAATTTTGAAAACTTAGATTTTTTTTTTCCTTTTGACAAAGTTGACCGCTGTTGCCTTGTCTTCTCACCCAGGGCATGTGGGACGTGCTCTTGGCTGTGAAGCTGTGGGGTGTGTGCAGAGAGCCTGGGGCCTGGGGTTCCCAGAGGAGCATCTTGGGGAGGCCTGCACAGTAGGATCCTGCCCATGTGCCCTGAGCTGATGTGCCAGCCGTGTGAAAGTGCTCTGACACCGTGGGCCGTACGGAGGGCCTCCAGAGGGGATGTTGAAGGCAGGAGACAGCTGTGCCGGGAGCCTCTGCAGGCCGTGGAGGGCCCGTCCTGTGACGTGTCTGCCCTCCCTGCTCCACCTCTGGTGTTGCTGCTTCTGCGTCAGGACCCTTGCTGCAGCGCCATGTCTGCATCTTCTTTGCTTTTGTAGCTTTGGATCTTCAGTTTGATGGATGGACACCATTATCGTCGTGTGGCACGGGTTGACCTAAGGAAGAAGACAGAGACTTTCTCCACAAGAAGGGTTAAGTCTGGGCTGTGCAGCCAGCCAGGTGGGTTGCTCAGACCCTCCCTCAGGCCTCCCACTTGGCCCAGATCTTTCACCAGGCGCCATGTCAAGGGCCCTAGGTCACACAGGGGAGAGAGAGATCCCAATGTAGGAGAAGCCAAGGGCTGCAACCTCAGAAAACCACTGAGGCCCTGCAGGTCATGTGAGGGGTGGGCCATCAGCAGATGGAGGCACCTGGTGTGGGTGGGGACGGGGGTGAGAGGCTTTGGTGAACAGAAGAGCAGAGGCACCAAGGCAGCAGCTTTGCAGCTATGGGTTGCTTTCCTGCAGTGGGTGACCAAGGAGGGCAGGTCATGCTGATCAGAAAGGTACACTGCATGACTCAGATGCCACCTGCACCTACCCAGCACCCTCCACGTCCCCACCTGGCCTGTGAATCTTAGACGCCACCTACACCTGCCCAGCACCCTCACATCCTCACCTGGTCTCCTGCGCATCACAGATGCCACCTGCACCCGCCCAGCACCCTCGTACTCACCTGGTCTCCTGCGCATTGCAGATGCCACATGCACCCACCCAGCAACCTTGTCCTCACCTGGTCTCTGGCTGTCCAGAGTTGCTTCCTGTTGACGACAGCTCTCCTCAGGTGCGCTTTTTATCTCCTGTACTGTCACAAAGGAGCTGACCCTCTCCTGGAAGAAAATGTTGATTTTACTTTTCAATCCAGGGGCCACCTCTTTCATTGGTGTGTGCAGCTGACGTTTCATATTACAGAAATCATCTCTGGGCTCACAGCCTACACTCTCTTCCTCATTCTGGTTACTCATTCTTTCTTTTAGGTTGTGTTTTTTTGTAGATGACTTTAAACTATTTCTTTTCATATTAGGTCTGAAATTACTTTTATCCAGTATACCAATTTTTTCCTGATGTTTTAAACCTTGGTTTTTGTTATTTATTTGATAATATCTACTGCTGAAGGAAATCTTAAACTTAGTTTTAGGAAATATGAAGTTAAGTTCTTTCAATTGATTATCTCCTCTTTCCCACTCCCTTGCTCTGGTTCTGCACTTGAAGTTGCATTGCTCCCAGGTAGCGTCATGCTGGGTGTTACCTTAGTGCTTTCCTCGATGCGTGATCTGAGTGACTCCATGGTGCATACACATCATCCTGGGTGTTACCTTTGTGCTTTCCTCGACGCGTGATCCGAGTGACTCCGTGGTGCACACGCGTCATGCTGGGTGTTACCTTAGTGCTTTCCTTGACGCGTGATCTGAATGCTCCGCGGTGCACACGCATCATGCTGGGTGTTACCTTAGTGCTTTCCTTGACACGTGATCTGAGTACTCCGCGGTGCACACGCGTCATGCTGGGTGTTACCCTAGTGCTTTCCTCGACACGTGATCCGAATGCTCCGCGGTGCACGCGCGTCATGCTGGGTGTTACCTTAGTGCTTTCCTTGACACGTGATCTGAGTACTCCGCGGTGCACACGCGTCATGCTGGGTGTTACCCTAGTGCTTTCCTCGACACGTGATCCGAATGCTCCGCGGTGCATGCGCGTCATGCTGGGTGTTACCTTAGTGCTTTCCTCGACGCGTGATCCGAGTGACTCCGTGGTGCACACGCGTCATGCTGGGTGTTACCTTAGTGCTTTCCTCGACGCGTGATCCGAGTGACTCCACGGTGCACATTCACTGCAGCATCTCTGTGTGGCAGTCCTCAGCCTTTAAACTTGACGGATGCATTTAAGTTCACTTCTTAGATTCTCAATAATTCTGTCCCTAGAAGAAAGCCAGCTTCCCTCTACAAGTGCTCTGGGAAAAGGAGAGCAGGTTGAAGTAACATTTCCTGTACTGAGACTTGCACCCTGTGATCTCTCACTCATCCCAAATTCTGCATGTGGATGGTAAGTATCAAAAACTTTGCCTATGCCACATAAAGGAAACCTCTTAAATTCCTTAGATGAACATTAGGTTCATTTTCTAAGAATGACTGAGATAAAACCAAATTATTTTGGTCTCTGATTATTAGTAACTTCATTCTTGGGATTGCATGTTTTAAATCTTAAAGTTGGTAAACTTGGGCAATGATACGTAAGTGTCTTTAATAAAAGGAATTGGATGATTTTTAAGTTTATTACCAAAGTCTAGGCAGATCTTTGCCTCTGTGATACAACTTTTTCTTTAGAAAGAGGAAATGGTGATTGGAATGGCCTAGACTTTCCCATCTACCGCTGTGCTATACATTACACATTTAAAGTTAACCCCAGACTAATTTTATTTATTTCTGTGCTCAGTAGAAATATTATTACATATTTGGCAACATAAGGAAGTACTGTTTAACTGTGATTCAAGAATATATTACAATTATGTTTACTTCTCCTCCCCAAAATGCTTGAGATTAGGGGGCAACCTTGCTTTGAATGGCCTTGGCCGTTGCTTGTCTTTGTCTCTGTGCAGAGCTGCCCCTGGAGCAGAATATTCCCTGCTTGGTCCAAACCACAGAGAGTAAGCAGGGTGGGCATGGAGGCTGGACACGGTGCTCCCGGTGGGTGCATGGACCTGAGGCATTTTGAGGCTTCCCTGGCTTACCTCGAGCAGAGGGAGCCCTCAGAGCTAAGCCAGAGCCACATGACCCATTCTGTTGACGATGGTCGTTGGGTGAACCGTGGACTGGTGCTGGTGGATGCCCAGGAGGAGCCCAGGGTGCTGCCTGGGGCGGAGCTGGAGAGGGGAGGTCTGGAAAGCAGGTTCCAGCTGGGGGCCTCTGCCAAGTCCATGTCCAGCCTCCCTGGAGATGGCTTCTCAGTGTATTAACAGACCCCGTTGGCATTGGTATTAACTCTGCCGCCTCGGGCCAGCTACTTTCCTCCTGGAGTTGGTTCCTTATTCACAGAGGTGGGCAGCTTGTGTGGCCTTCAAGTCTAGTCACTCGGAGGCTACCTGAGCAGTGGCCTTGGCCCAGGCACTGGCACTGACCTTTTCTGTAACCTTAGAAGAAAATAGAAACCACAGAGGTCAGAGCGAGCGTCTTCACAGACATTAGCAGGTGCCCAGGGGATCACCACAAATGCGTTGGTGGCACAGATGTGGCCAGCCTGGCACAGATGTGGTTCTCACTGGCAAGAACCTGCCCCGGCCCACGCTCTCCACTCCTGCGGAGAGCTCACAGCCAGGCCAGGGGGCGCACGTGGGGCCCAACGCCCACGCTCCCCACTCCTGCGGAGAGCTCACAGCCAGGCCAAGGGGCGCACGTGGGGCCCAACGCCCACGCTCCCCACTCCTGCGGAGAGCTCACAGCCAGGCCAGGGGGCGCACGTGGGGCCCAACGCCCACACTCCCCACTCCTGCGGAGAGCTCACAGCCAGGCCAGGGGGCGCACGTGGGGCCCAACCTTCAGGAATAAGATTATTGTGTATTCTTTTCTTTTTTTCCTTAAATCAGTCTTTCTTCTGAGAACACCCGATGTGTGTGGATCGGAAGCTCAGTGGGCTTATTCGTATTTAACCTGGCAAACCTGGAAGTGGAAGCTGCTTTGTATTACAAGGGTAAGATCTTTGATTTCAACGCCATGTAACTGTAATGTTTTCCTTTGACTGGTATGTGGGGTAGTGTAAGTGTTTGTGGAGAAGGCCTTGCCGTGTGAATCTGAGGATGAGATGCTTCAGTCACAACTCAGCATTGAGCACGTGAGCACCTCTGTGCTGCTGGATCCGAAGGACGAGGGCCCTTCCCGGACCCTCGGGCACTCAGCCCTGGAGCCACTCCTTGCCTACATCTGCCAGGCCCTCGCCTGGCACTCCAGGCCGCCCGGGCCCCAGCAGCGTGGAACACCTGCAGGAACACCCTTGGGAAGCCCCTGGATTCTCCACCATCCTTAGAGAGCCTCCCAGAGCCCCAGGCTCGCACAGCGTAAACCCGGCCGAGGCGCACTCCTCTCCAACCCTGGCTCCCTTCCCCAGTTTCTGCCAGCTCCAGAAATGTAGGAATAGTCACCTCCACCCCCACCCCCTCCCCCAAGACCCCCATCTCATCCCCCCACCCCTCCTAACTCCATGGATGCCACCAGCCGCACTCTTTCTGCCCAGGAGCCCAGGCGACTTCTGAAAAGCAGGCTGGATTCCGTCCCTCTCCTCCACTGCAGCAGGGCCTCCTCGGCGGCCTCCCGGGCACTGCTCCTCTCGGTGCCTCCTTTCTAGCCCTGAACGCTCAGACCTCTGTGGGGCTGTGGGATGCATCTGTGTCTTCACACACGCCCTTCCCTTCAGCCGCCCATCCCTGCCCCTCCCCAGCTCAGCCAGGCGCAGCTTCTCCTTGAAAACTCAGCCTTTCCTTCCCCCAAATGGTCACAGCTCTAATTACACATTTCCTTTCTGATCTGGTGCTGGACATGTGGCTTCTCCAGGAGGCTGAGCTGCAGGTCTCAGTCCGAGTCACATCCCAGCCTCAGAGCGGAGCCTGGCATGTGTGACGCTCAGGGCCTGGTGTGTGTGTGGTGTGTGCGCTGGTGTGTGTGTGGCCTGGGGCCTTGTATGTGTGAGGATGTGGTGCACAGCCTGCAAAGTGTGTGGTGGGGCCTGGACTGTGTGTGGTGGGCTCTGGGCTGTGTGTGGTGGGCTCTGGGCAGTGACTCCGTGTGTATGTGCTACCTCCCTCCCCATCATGTTCTTCCTGGTCTTCGCTCAACTGAAGATTTCCAGAGCCTCAGCATCCTGCTGGCCGGATCGTGTGCCCTGAGGAACCGCACTGCGGATCAAAAGGTCAGTCCTGAGACGCGGCCCTCCCTGTCTATGAGACGTGCCTCTGATTTCTTCTTTCTTCAGAGTGATCCTGTAACGACTGGCTGAGTAAACGGGATTTTGTGTGTAAAAACGTTTTAGGAGTGACAGGGCGATGTCGCTGCTATGAGAATGAAGCAGCTGTTAGGATACGTGTGCGGATGCACGTTTCGTCTGCTTTTACTGGGTGGTGTCGCTAACGATGTTGAAACCGCGTCCCTGCAGGTGCTGTGCTTGCTGGCCTCCCTCTTTGGCGGGAAGATTGCCGTGTTGGAGATCAACCCGGCCGCGCTAGTCAGGGCTCAGCAGTGCCCCAGCATGGGGCAGAGCCTCTCGGTGCCAGCCAGGTAGAGTGTCTTCAAGTGTGGAGTGTGTGTGTGTGTTCACCAATAAGTGCCATCTGGATTTCTATGTTCAGAAATAAAGATTAGAAAACTCTGAGCTCTGGCCGGGCGCGGTGGCTCACGCCTATAATCCCAGCACTTTGGGAGGCCGAGGCGGGTGGATCACGAGGTCAGGAGATCGAGACCATCCTGGCTAACATGGTGAAACCCCATCTCTACTAAAAAATACAAAAAACAATTAGCCAGGCATGGTGGCAGGCGCCTGTAGTCCCAGCTAGTCGGGAGGCTGAGGCAGAAGAATGGTGGGAACCCGGGAGGCGGAGCTTGCAGTGAGCTGAGATCGCGCCACTGCACTGCAGCCTGGGTGACAGAGCGAGACTCCATCTCAAAAAAAAAAAAAAAGAAAACTCGGAGCTCTGCCAATGCTATTTGGAAGAAGGTTTTTCGTGCTGTTGCTTCTATCTTGTTGAAAACGAAATAGTTGATAGTTTATTTTAATTGAAACACTATTTCATAATAGAATGTACATTATAAAACAGCGCTTTTATTAAGAATATTTTTTTCCTACAAGGATAAGAATACACTTGACAGTTTTCATTTTCAGATACTGTTATGTCCACAGCTGCAGGAATCAGTCATTTGGAACTGTCTTTAAAGTGTGTGTCACTGAGGCATTTCCATCGTATCGTCGTTTGCGCTCCTAGTTTCATGGGGCTTGTTTCTGTTTCAGCTCCTGTGTCCTACCGACCTCTCCACTGTATCTGGGAATTGCCAAGGAGAAGAGTACCAAGGCTGCTAGTGAACAGCGACGTGGTCAGTACAGGGTGCTGTGAGATCTAAGAATACAAGGCTGATGCGTTCTCATTGTGGTTAGGGCTGCTGCATTGCTTTGCGAATTCTTATGTTAAAATATGCATTCCGTACTTCCTTCCATCCTTCTGTCCTTCATGTCTCTGCCTCTCGTGCGTGTTCCATGTCCGCTGTGGTGGGGAACTTGCTGGGTGCTTCGCCTCCTGAATTGGCCATCACTCATGGGATTCAGCAACGTGCCCAAGACTGACCGCTGTTCCTCTGGTGCCTGTTGCAGTGGGGGTGCAGAGTGGACCTTCAGCAATTACTGATTGTGAGAACATTTTTTTCCCCTTTTTTCTCTGCTGAGGAATTTGAAAGCAGATCCCGAGCGTGTGATTGTACTCCTGCACACTTGAGTGTGCATTTCTGGAACATGTATGTTTTTACCTAGCCACCATGACGTTATATCAAAACCAGTCATTTTTTGGAACCTTGTATTAGCAAGGCCATAATAAATTATTCTTGATTGCCTTGACAATATTTCCTATTGGTTTGTTCTGAGCAGCAGCCAAACAAATCCACATGTTGCATCTTTCAAATATGTATAAATTAACTTTCACTTTAAGATGGTAAACGTCATTATGTTCCCTTTCTTTCAAGGCTCACTGATAATTCTTTTTTCCCTTCAGTGACCAGTCTAACCCTTTAATTGGTCTTGTGAAACCTACTGGACCTCATTTGAAAAACGGAGGCATTTCCGCAGCCGCCTTTCACCTTCTGCCTGGTAGCTGCCTGACTGCTGGGCCTCACCTCCCAGAAGGGCCATCTCCCCGGCCAGCGACCTGGCGACCCCACCCTTGGGCCTCTCCCCGGGCCGGGCTCGGCTAGGCTGGGCTAGGGTTCCTGCGTCAGTCCGTCCTCAGACATGGGCTGTGTCCTTCATGCTCCCACGCAGCCCTTGAGCTTGACTTCGGGGACTTCTGGCCTCTCCCTTCCCTACCAGACTTTTTGAAATCAGGCCTCGAACACCTTCTGTGCCATTCCTGGGTCTCACTGACTGTGTGGTTCTGACCCGCCTTGCAGATCGGGGAGAGCTTTCAGGTGGAAGGCGGGGACTCAGAGCTGAGCCTGGGGCTGGAGCTGTTTGCTTGTTCGTCCTGCCATGGCGGTCCCTGCTGCTGGGGGTTTCCAGCAGGTCCCCCATTCCTCCGCCCTGTTTCCATGAAAGACCCACTGTCGGTGTGAACTGCCCGTCTCCTGCCGGTTTATGCTCTGCTGCCGTCCCATCACCATGGGGACAGTTCTGAGAAATTGTGAGAATGAAGGCCGGGGGGAGGCGGCCAGGCTCAGCCAGCATTGCAGCCTCTGGGCCAAGCTGACTCCTCGGCTGGGAGTGGCCTCTGACCTCCTTCCTCCTCATTAAGTCATGGAACTTCTGCCTTGTAAGGAGGTGCTAATTATTCACCATTGAAAAGGCATCTTAAATTGCAAAAGACACTATAGCAGAGAAGACAACAGCAAGTGGGTGTGAAGATGGCTGAGAAGAGAATGCCCCTGGGCTGCTGCGGCCTAATGCGGAGCTGGGAGCTGTCGGAGCTGGGAGCTGTCGCCTCCTCCTGGGCCATCCCAGCCTCCTCCTCCTGGGCCCTCCTGGGCCTTCTTGGCTCCTTCCTCCTGGGCCCTCCAGGCCTCCTCACGTGATCCCTCCCGGCCTCCTCGTTCTCAGCCCCCCGAACCTCTTCGTCTTCCTGGACCCCACAAGCCGCCTCACATGCTTTCCCCCCACCCCGCCTGGTCTCTCTTGGCCCTGTCAGTCTCACCTCCTACCATTCATCCTTAACAATTGACAGCAGCAGAAGTCAGATAAACCTCCAGGTGGACACAGGCAGGTCCCCAGGGAAACCCAACCTCCAAACCAAAGACAGCTTCACGTCTGAAAGCCAAACCACATGTCTCGGATGAATCCACAGACGGGATTGAGAACCTCTTTTCCTGTTTGGCATGCTTTCCTCTGATTGGCCCCCACCCTTCACCTATTTTACATATTCCCACTCCTCCCTAATTGGTTTTTGACACTGCTGTGCCCATCTTTGAGTTGTACCTTTTTTTTTTAACCTTTTTTGCATAGTCACAAACCAATCAACATGCACTCCCCCATTCTGAGTCCATAAAAGCCCCAAACTCAGCCACACTGGGGGACCACCTGACTGAGGGTAGGGGGCTGCCCTCTCCGGGTCCCCTCTCTGCTGAGAGCTGTCACTCAATAAAACTCTCCAGCTGGGTGCAGTGGCTCACGCCTGTAATCGCAGCACTTTGGGAGGCCGAGGCAGGCGGATCACGAGGTCAGGAGATTGAGACCATCATGGCTAACACGCTGAAACCCCGTCTCTACTAAAAATACAAGAAAAATTAGCTGGGCGTGGTTGGCGGGCGCCTGTAGTCCCAGCTACTCAGGAGGCTGAGGCAGGAGAATCGCTTGAACCCAGGAGGTGGAGGTTGCAGTGAGCTGAGATCGTGCCATTGCACTCTAGCCTGGGCAACAGGGCGAGACTCCGTCTCAAAAAATAAAAACAAAAAAAACTCTGCCCTGCTCACCCTTCAGTTGTCAGGCCAGGCAGGGGCATCGCCAGCCTCGGGGGTCTCCAGCTGGCAAAGAGGCACCGAGAAGTCTTTCATCACAATGAATCTTCTCATATGTCTAATCTGGGGGCTGTTTATATGTAGAGTAATATTCTTTCTTAAGTGCGTTCTTTTCTGATTTGTCTTTTTCACTTCGTGTCTGTGAGATTTGCTTCAGTTGCTATACAGCGTTCTGTTGTCTGGATATACTGCGGTTTATGTACCCACGATTTATTCAGTATTAACAGACGTTTGGCTTGTCCCAGGCTGCTGTTGTGAGCAGTCTTTGCAGCACCCTGCTGTACCCTGGAGCCGGGAGGGCTGCCCTGATCTTCTGTGCGGGCAGCTGCTGGGCTCGGGGTTCCCCACATGGCAGGTCGATGGCAGACGATGGCAAGGGTCTTCCCAGGTGGCTGGCCAGAGGTTACTCCAGCAGCACACGCCGCCTCTCCTGCCCGGAGCTCTTGCCATGGCTGCATGTCGCTGGACGCTGGAATTTCTGCTTACCCAGTGTGAGACAAGAATAGCACTGGGTGGTCACAGGAGGACGGAAAACCCAGGCAACAGCGAAGACAGGAACGTGGCAAAGTAACCACAGGGCGGCAGAAAACCCAAAGCGAGGGAGAGAGAAGGCGAACCCACCAGCGTGATGTGTCCTCTGTTCTCCCGGGAAAACCCGAGTAAGAGACAACGAGGCTGTGTTGGGGGTTACCTAAAAATCCCCTCCTTTCCCAGAATACCTGATGATGATCCCGCACTGTCACTAAAGAAACACCCGCAAAAGAACACAAACTCCTCTGTGCGCGCTTCCTTCTGAACGGGGCTCCTCCTCCTGAGCGAGCCGCCTCCTTCTGAGCGCCCCTCCTCCTCCTGAGCGCGCCTCCGTCTCCTGAACGCGCCTCCTTCTGCTGTGCGCGCCGCCTAACCCTGTGCGCGCCTCCTCCTGTGCGCGCCTCCTTCTCCTGTGCGCGCCTCCTCCTCAGCTCGCCTGGCTTCTCACTTAGGCGTGTGCTTTCGCTTTGCAGCAAAAGCTGCTGCTTTTCGCATCTAAATTCTTGCTCTGAAGGTGCCAAGAACCTGGAAACCGGCTGGGAGTGGGGTCTCACCAGCCTTTGGAGACCCTCCTGAGCCGTCTGGCAACCAGTGACGATACAGAGGTGTCTTATGATTTCGTTTGCGTTTTCCTGGTTAAACATGAGGTGGTTATTGCTTGTGTTTAATCAGATACGCTTTACTGTCATAAGCCTAATTTGCATTTATTATCTCTTCGCTATTATTTTGTACAGGATCTTTTGGATTCATGTTCTTGCGTGATTGATTTCTCAGGAACTTTCTGAGTTTGGTTTTGGTGTGCCAGCTCCACAGAATGAGCTAGGGAGAGCTTTCTCTGTTTCTATACCTGAATGCTTGGTGTAATATTTTAAATTAGGTATATGATTGATTTTGAGTATAAAACCAGCCTTGTATGTCAGGGATAAATCCCATGATGTATACTCTTTTTGTTGTGTTGTTGAATTTGGTTTGCTAATATTTTATTGAGGAGTTTTGCATCAATTTTCATTAGAGAAGTGGGCCTTTAGTTTTTTGTTTGTTTCTGTTTTGTTTGTTTTTGTATTTGTTTTTTGGAACTGAATGAAGTGCACTGTGTTCTCTCAAAGGAGATTTGCGTTGCTTTCTAGGGGTTTGGGTGCACAAATCCACAGCTTCCGGCCTTTTAAGCCACTTGTCAAGGTCACTCTGACTGCAGGGCCAGCAGCCTGGGACCAGTACAGACCATCACGGCACAGGCTTCCTGGGCTAGTCGGAGAAGGTGAAGCTCGCATAGTGGCCAGGGACTTGGCCTTTCTGCCCTCACCTCCCTGAGGCCACACAAATCCTCAGCCTGTGTGGCTGGAGGTGCCGCCATCCACAGCTCACCTCAGTTTCAATATCTTGTCCTCATTTTCTTTTCCCTTTTTACAAAATGAAGCACATATTTCTTCTGGCTTTTGTGGCGTTTCTCTGTGGGAGAGGCCATCTGAATACCTAACCAGTGTGTTACCCAGATAATGAAAGTTAGCATTCACTTTTTAAATAGCAGTACCCTCAAAAAATTGAAAAAGTCCTATGTAGTAATGATGCTAATGAAGAATTGAAAGTGTTTATTAGGTAAATAATATGGTCTTGCACATTGTTTATGTGGTAAAGACTGATTTTTGTAGTCTTGTAAAAGACATTTTCTGTTCATTTACTTTTTTCATTATAAGATATGTATAAAATAAAACTTGCCATTTTAACCATTTTTAGGTGTATGGTTCAGTGGGATTCCATACCCTCACATTGTTGTGCAATGTAAAAAAGCCTTTTTGAACCATTTGCTTAATTAATAACAAAGGAATTTATATGTATATATACATTTCTAGTAAAAAATTTTTGGAAACCTTGACTAACCAATATTAATTAAAATGGCTAATAGTTGGAATCATACTAGACTGTTCAGATGGTTTTCCAAGGTTCTGACTGTTTCCATGGAAAGAAACTCCCCTGTGAGAGTGGGCTCCATGCTGAGTGGCGAGCAGTGCCTCCTGCGTGTCCAACCCACGGGGTCCGCTCGTCTTGTCTGCCGCCATGGACGGCTGCGCATTTGGGAAGTGAGATCTGTGCACACAACCTGTCGTGAAGGAGACACGAGTCTCCTGATTTCACCTTTAAAACTTAACATGTTTGTTTCTTTAGCTTTTCTTCTTACATACGCTTCATTTAGATCACTCCTTAAAAGTGGAATTTTTAAACTTTTTGTCAACAAGGGTCATCTCGTTTCAGACTAGCATATGTGATGTACTGTGGTTCGCAACTAACGATAGCATTTAGAGTTTAGAACAAAACCTTCAGTAAGAACAATTATATAAATAGTTTTAATACAGAGATAACTTTTCTGTAGCAAGAAAGTGATTAAATTTTAACATGTTGATGTTTTGGGTGTAGTTTAGAAAATATTCCCATGGAAAATTAATGGATATGTTTCATTTACAGTAATGCTATAATCCCCAAATTTGCCTCCCTCTACTTACAACACTTACCCTTGTGGTAAGTTCACGTGATGTCAGAGTTTTTGTCAACTGGTAGTGCTATGCAAAATGTAAAATAGGCTAGGCCGGGCATAGTGGCTCACGCCTGTAATCCCAGCATTTTGGGAGGCTGCGGCAGGTGGATCACGAGGTCAGGCGTTCAAGACCATCCTGACCAACATGGTGAAACCCCCTCTCTATTAAAAATACAAAAATTAGCCAGGCGTGGTGGCGTGTGCCTGTAATCCCAGCTACTTAGGAGGCTGAGGCAGGAGAATTACTTGAACATGGGAGGTGGAGGTTGCAGTGAGCCGAGCTTGCACCACTGCAGTCCAGCCTTAGCGATAGAGCGAGACTCCGTCTCAACAACAACAACAACAACAAAACAACAACAACAAAACAACCAACTTGGGCTATTTTCTTATCCTTTTAATCCCTTGATTTAATCTTTTGCTGATGATGGTTGGTGTGACTTCAGATATGAAACCTCTTAAATTTATGGTCAGGAATTCATTCTGTTTGTGTGAATGTTTCTGTTTTGAAGAGACTCTGTTCTTCTCATGTCCATCATGAGATGCTAATTTTAAGTGTTTGTTTCTTCTTTAAAATTGCCTTTCCACAGCTGCACGGAACGTCATGAAGGACCAACGCCTGGTTTTCCATAGTAAAGTTAGGTCATCTGGTTATGCGTCAGCACCACAGTGAGTGAACTCATGTCAATGAGAGACAGAAATGCACCTGCGTCACAGATGCAGGATTTTAACACAAATAGGGACACACATACATCCCCGAGGGCCACAGTATGGAGAGAGGACATAGCAATAGAAACAGAAGTTAAAATGTGGTGGGTTGGACCCCAGCATGCCAGTTAGCAGCAGCTGCAGCAGCAAACGTTTCCTGAGCATTCACCATGTGCTGGGCCTCAGAGCAGTCCTCCGAGTCCTTTTCTGATAACGTGGTGGTCCCGGGAGGTGAGGGGAAGCTGGTGGGGTGTGGGGCTGGGAGAGCATGACGATGCTGTAAACAAACGTGGCCCATCAAGGCCGGACACGGTGCTCTTCTTAGAACACAGCTCTGCCGTAACATCAGAGCACGATAACAGAGTGCATTTAGGCCCTGAGTCCCTGAGTTAGCAAGACTGCTCAAAGGCAAGGAGATACAAAGCAGCTGAGAAACCATGAGGAGGCCTTGAGATTCCCTAAACCTTCAGGAGCCCACTCCTCAAAGGCAAATGTGACTTTTCTGAAGAAAATGCAGACATATCCCCCGCCTCCTACCTCACCTCTTGACTTTTTATGTCTCTTAACATAGCGGCCAAAATGGCTCTGTTACCTGGAGTCCCTGACCGCAGCGCACACGCTTGTCTCCCTGGTTGGCACTCACCTCTACCAAGCTCCCGTCTTCATGTGCCCCTGGCCACTCCCCCACTCCCCCACTCCCCCCCCCCGCCCCGCACTGCTGTGCTCCAGGCAGAAATCCCAGGCCACTCTGTGTAAAGACAGCCTCCAACCCTCCAAGCTCTTCTGTGCCCCTGGCCACTCCCCAACTCCCACCCCTCCCAGTGGTACTGCTGTGCTCCAGGCAGAAATCCCAGGCCACTCTGTGTAAACACATCTTCCAACCCTCTAAGCCCTTCCCTGCTCTGCTTGTTCTCTGGCTTGAACAATGGTGACTGTGTCTTATTATCTGTTCTTTAAACCCCTGTGCCTGGGACAGCACTCAGCACCCTGGACCCTCTCATAAGGCACTTTTGGAGGGATGGATGGATGGAGAGATGGACAGAAGGGGATGGAGGGATGAGAGATGGATGCGTGTGTGCATGGATGGTGGGGTGGAGGGATGGAGAGATGAGAGATGAATAAGTGGATAGATGGTGGGGATGGAGGGATGGAGGGATGAGAGATGGATGAGTGGGTGGGTGGATGGAGGGGATGGAGCAGTGCAGAGATGAGAGATGGATGAGTTGGTGGATGGATGGTGGGGATGGAGGGATAAGAGATGGATGAGTGGGAGCATGGATGGAGGGGATGGAGGGATGGGGAGATGAGCAATGGATGAATGGGTGCATGGATGGAGGGGATGAAGGAATGGAGGGATGAGAGATGGATGAGTAGGTAGATGGAGGGGGATGGAGGGATGGAGAGACGGATGGATGAGTGGGTGGATAGATGAGGGGAAAGAGGGATGGAGAGATGAGAGGTGGATGAGTGGGTGGATAGATGAGGGGATGGAGGGATGACGGATGAGTGGGTGGACAGATGGAGGGGATGGAGGGATGCAGAGATGAGGGATGGATGAGTGGGTGGGTGGATGGAGGGGATGGAGGGATGCAGAGATGAGGGATGGATGAGTGGGTGGGTAGATGGAGGGGATGGGGGGATGCAGAGATGAGGGATGGATGAGTAGGTGCATGGATGGTGGGAGATGGAGGGATGGAGAGATGAGAGATGGATAAGTAGAGGGATGGATGGAGGGATGGAGAGGGGCGGAGTTGAGAGATGGATGAGTGAGTGGATGGATGGAGGGGAAGGAGGGATGCAGAGATGAGAGATGGATGAGTAGATGGAGGTGATGGAGGGATGGGGAGATGAGGGATGGATGTGTGGGTGGATGGATGGAGGGGGAATAGAGGGATGGAGGGATGAGAGATGAATGCATGGGTGCATGGATGGTGGGGGATGGAGGGATGCGGAGGTGAGGGATGGCTGCATGGGTGGCTGGATGAAGGGGATGGAGGGATGGAGAGATGAGATATGGATGAGTGGCTCAATTGATGGGGGGGATGGATGGAGAGAGATGAGAGATGGATGTGTGAGGGATGGATGGCGAGAGATGAGAGATGGATGTGTGCGTGGATGGATGGAGGGGATGGAGGAATGGAGGGAGGGGTGGAGGGATGAGTGAATGGATGGGTGATGGTTGGATGGATGAATTCTGCTCCAATGGCATCTGCAGCTTTGTATGGATTCCCCAGTTCTGCCATATTAAGGCATGTCATCAGTGTCAGGCTTTGTGTGGGAGCCCCGGGGGATGAGGGGTTGATAGACATTGGTGGCCCTGAGTGCCAACCTGGGGCTTTGGACTTAAAGGAAAAGCCAAGCATCAGGGTCCTATTCCAGGATTTTAAAGGAGTCACAGGACAATGTGTAGCAGGGCGACATCTCTGAGGTAGCATGAGAGACACAGGAGGGGAGGAGGTGACTTAAGGGCTGGAGGACAGGTGGGAGGGGCCCGAAAGCATTTATGCAGACGTCTATATCTATGTATATAATTTTTTTCACTGTAAAATATAAATCTCTTAAGAAACTTAGACCTCTTAATATTTGAGAGTGATATTAGAGTTTTCTTTCCACAGTGTAACTATGTTTTCACCAAAGACCAACATCAAGAGTGAGGGGAAAGGATCTTCAAGGAGCAGGAGCAGCTGCGCACGGTGTGTGATGTAGCGTGCATTCCAAGTACATTTGAAATAACCTAGACCTTTCCAACACTTTAACTGGTTCTTTTCCAAACAGATATAAAACCTTATATGTGTACATGTGTTTACACACATATGTACACAGATATGTATATCTATATTATTTATATATCTTTTTAGCCAAATTTCTTTCCTGTTAATTTTTCAGACATGGTCTGTTCTTACCACCTTAACAATTTTGAAATAATAAATTTTTGTTAAAATTTAGTTTAGAAAATGCCGTAGCCGATGCTCCTCCCTGTCATGCAGGTGGATTGGGTGAAAATGTTGGGGCCGTTGTAGTGCCAGGTGCTCATTCTGAGTGGGCGTGGCCCACGCCATTGGGGAGGGCACCTGTCCACGGGACTGGCTCCACACTGGCTGCGGCTCTGACTGTGGGCATGTCCTGCATACACCTGGGCCCCTTGTGACTGGACAGGGAAGAGCTTGGGGGACATCTAGGGTCCCTCCCAGTCCTAGATTTAAGATTACATTGTCCGAGGAGAGATATGGGCTACTGCACTTAAAACTCATTTTAACGTACATGGGTCTACTTTGCAATCACTGCATTACAGAGCGCCAATATTGATTTTGCCCGCATTCACTGCATTTTTCTGCAGCCTTGCTGCTGTCCTGCCACGTTCTGCCTGATATTACGCACGTGCTTGCAGCAAAATGCATTCAGGCCTTATGCAGGTGAAATGTGGCATCAGAGTTCCGTTCAGCTCTGATTTTTTTGGTAATTTTTTCTGTGAGGGCCCCACTGTCCAGACAGAGCACGCTGGCTCTTCTGCATTTGGCTCTCTTGGGCCTTCTGCTGGGAGCTGCTGGGTAGCAGTGGTGGCGAGGCCCCAAATGCCACCCAGGGCTCGGGCGTGTGCACGGAAGGCATTGGCATGTGCACGGAAGGCATCTGTAGATGATTTGAGTGATTAGCATTACAACGCCACCCACAGCGGCATGAGACTGGAAAGTGAAATTCATTTTCTCTTAGTGAGAACCCTCACCCCCAAATCGTCACAGTACTCACATGAGTTTATATGAAACACAGCAAATCCTTGCTGTTTTATATGTAAAATATGTGTCTTTTTTGGCAATGTGGAATGTAAGTCTATTTAAAAGAGTTATTTCCTGATTTTGAATATAAGAGTCTAAATATAGACATATAGATAAATATTCAAGTTTACTGGAATACGATTATACATGTAGATGGGGGGAAGCCCACTTCGTTTCTTGCTTATGTTTTACTTCTAATCTCACTGTGAATGTCTCCCGATCACCGTTACCTGTGGCCTTCCCTCAGGGAGGCATACCCCGTGGAGTGCGCTGTGCCCACCAAGCCCGGCCCCCAGGTCGCTGCCGCCCCCACCTGCACACGTGTATGCTGCATCCAGTACTCAGGTGCGCCACGTCCTGCGGGAGCTGGGTAGCATTTCATTGTAAGAGTCTTTGATTCTGCCCACTGTAAACATTTTTCTATTGTATCATAATTGTAAATATATTTTTAAAAACCTTGGTTACTTGAAGTTGCATGGCATGGTTTGTGTCTGGATGAAAACCGAGACTGCGTTTCACTCGACTGTAGTGAGGGTGATCTCCAGGCATCTCACCCCTGCGTGGGCACAGACACTGGCACTCACTCACTAGCAGCGAATTTGCTGTTCTGTGTCCAGCTCCTCCGGGGTTTGCTCTGTTTGTCTGACCCCTCCTACAGACATGTTAAGGTGGGAGGGCTTCGGCAGGCAAAGAAGCTAATGGAACAGTCACTGCTTCCCTCTGGAGACGCGGCCTCTGCTCATGGATGGGCTGGAGGCGCCAGGCTGGGGATGGCATCATGCAGGCTGCGCACAGGATTCCTTCCTTACCGGACCCTCAGCCGGGACCTTTTCCTGCAGGGCTGAGTGTGTCTCGGCTTCCGTGACAGTCGCCCGATTCTCACGTGTGTCCTGATAATGCCTTCACCAGGCTTCTCTGGGACCTCAGCACTTTTTTCTAAATAGTGCTTGAAAGAAGGGAGGAGCAGCTTGTGAGAGTGCTCTTGACCTCTTGACCTCAGCTGGGTAGTTCCACCACCTGAACGCCTCTCAGAAGTGAGATTTCCTTGCAGGCAAGCTGTGCCCCTGCCTGGGGCTGGACACAAAGTCCTATCTGGGCCGGTACCCTGCCCTACCCTCATGCCATCTGTCCAGAGGGTTGAGTCGCCTAAGGGTTACCATGTACCACTCCGCTAAATTCCCTTTATTTTATTATATAATTGTAGCCAAAGAAGTTTTAAAGTCATTTTCGGAAATTAGATGTGTAGTATTATCAGTAAATGTCCTTCTGATCTTTGATAGACTGAACATTCCTTCAGTGTTATCTGCCCTCAAGTTTGAATATTGTGGGTGACATCTATCATTTCTTTCTTTTCTTTTTTTTTTTTTTTTGAGACAGAGACTCACTCTGTTGCCCAGGCTGGAGTGCAGTGGCACAATCTCGGCTCACTGCAATCTCCGCCTCCTGGGTTCAAGTGATTCTCCTGCCTCAGCGTCACGCGTAGCTAGGATTACAGGTGTGCACCACCATGCCTGGCTAATTTTTGTATTTTTAGTAGAGATGGGGTTTCACCATGTTGGCCACGCTGGCCTCAAAACTCCTGACGTCCGGTGATCCACCTGCCTCAGCCTCCCAAAGTGCTGGGATTACAGGTGTGAGCCGCTGCGCCCAGCTCTATCATTTATTTCTACCCTGTTTTTGGAAAATGTTTCAACATAACTGCTTAGCCAAATATGCCTCTGGGCAATCTGCTGATTTGAGGCAGGCTCCAGGACCTTGTTTCAGGGGCCATTGGCATCCTGTCCTGGGTGCAGGGGCCTTTTGGGTGCAGCTTTTCCTGTTCACAACCTTGAACAGCAGCCTCACTCTCTCATCCTGCTGCTCATCCTGCTGTTCCTCTTCTGTTAAGGGAGGATGGCGAGGATGACAAAGGCAGCGCCTTACAAGGTGTTGGGTAGAGGATGTGAGAAAGGATTAACACGGTCTGGCACCTGCAGACCCCCATGCCGATGTTAGTGTTTGTGTTTTAGAACCAGGTTAACTAGAAGTTCTACTCTTGCCTGTGGTCAATGTGACTTCTGTGAACTAGGCTTTTCTACAGTGTGACCCTGTGAACTAGGCTTTTCTATACTGTGACTCCTGTGAACTAGGCTTTTCTACAGTGTGAGTCGTATGAACTAGGATTTCCTACAGTGTGACTCCTGTGAACTAGGATTTTCTACAGTGTGACCCTGTGAACTAGGCTTTTCTACAGTGTGACTTCTGTGAACTAGGCTTTTCTACAGTGTGACCCTGTGAACTAGGCTTTTCTACAGTGTGACTCCTGTGAACTAGGCTTTTCTACAGTGTGACTTCTGTGAACTAGGCTTTTCTACAGTGTGACCCTGTGAACTAGGCTTTTCTACAGTGTGACTCATATGAACTAGGATTTTCTACAGTGTGACCCTGTGAACTAGGATTTTCTACAGTGTGACTCATATGAACTAGGCTTTTCTACAGTGTGACCCTGTGAACTAGGCTTTTCTACAGTGGGACTCCTGCGAACTAGGGTCTTCTACAGCGTGACTCGTGTGAACTAGGAATTTCTACAGTGTGACTCGTATGAACTAGGATTTTCTACAGTGTGACCCTGTGAACTAGGCTTTTCTACAGTGAGACTCATACGAACTAGGATTTTCTACAGCGTGACTCCTGTGAACTAGGCTTTTCTGTAGTGTGACTCCTGTGAACTAGGCTTTTCTACAGTGGGACTCCTGCGAACTAGGCTTTTCTACAGCGTAACTCGTGTGAACTAGGAATTTCTACAGTGTGACTCGTATGAACTAGGATTTTCTACAGTATGACCCGGTGAACTAGGCTTTTCTACAGTGAGACTCATACGAACTAGGATTTTCTACAGTGTGACTCCTGTGAACTAGGCTTTTCTATAGTGTGACTCCTGTGAACTAGGCTTTTCTACAGTGTGACTCCTACGAATTAGGCTTTTCTACAGTGTGAGTCCTATGAACTAGGATTTCCTACAGTGGGACTCCTGCGAACTAGGCTTTTCTACAGCGTGACTCGTGTGAACTAGGATTTTCTTTTTTTTTTTTTTTTTTTTTTATTTTTTTTTTTTATTTTTTTTTTTTTTGAGACGGAGTCTCGCTCTGTCACTCAGGCTGGAGTGCAGTGGCGGGATCTCGGCTCACTGCAAGCTCCGCCTCCCGGGTTCACGCCATTCTCCTGCCTCAGCCTCCCAAGTAGCTGGGACTACAGGCGCCCGCCACTACGCCCGGCTAATTTTTTGTATTTTTAGTAGAGACGGGGTTTCACCGTTTTAGCCGGGATGGTCTCGATCTCCTGACCTCGTGATCCGCCCGCCTCGGCCTCCCAAAGTGCTGGGATTACAGGCGTGAGCCACCGCGCCCGGCCTAGGATTTTCTACAGTGTGACTCGTATGAACTAGGATTTTCTACAGTGTGACTCATATGAACTAGGCTTTTCCACAGTGTGACTCCTGTGAACTAGGCTTTTCGACAGTGTGACTCCTGTGAACTAGGGTTTTCCACAGTGTGACTCCTGTGAACTAGGCTTTTCGACAGTGTGACTCCTGTGAACTAGGGTTTTCCACAGTGTGACTCCTGTGAACTAGGCTTTTCTACAGTGTGACTCCTGTGAACTAGGCTTTTCTACAGTGTGACTCCTGTGAACTAGGCTTTTCTACAGTGTGACTCCTGTGAACTAGGATTTTCGACAGTGTGACTCCTGTGAACTAGGATTTTCTACAGTGTGACTCGTATGAACTAGGCTTTTCTACAGTGTGACTCGTGTGAACTAGGCTTTTCTACAGTGTGACTCCTGTGAACTAGGCTTTTCTACAGTGTGACTCCTGTGAACTAGGCTTTTCTACAGTGTGACTCCTGTGAACTAGGGTTTTCAACAGTGTGACTCCTGTGAACTAGGCTTTTCTACAGTGTGACTCCTGTGAACTAGGCTTTTCTACAGTGTGACTCCTGTGAACTAGGCTTTTCAACAGTGTGACTCCTGTGAACTAGGCTTTTCGACAGTGTGACTCCTGTGAACTAGGATTTTCGACAGTGTGACTCGTATGAACTAGGCTTTTCTACAGTGTGACTCCTGTGAACTAGGCTTTTCAACAGTGTGACTCCTGTGAACTAGGGTTTTCTACAGTGTGACTCCTGTGAACTAGGCTTTTCTACAGTGTGACTCTTGTGAACTAGGCTTTTCTACAGTGTGACTTGTATGAACTGGGATTTTCTACAGTGTGACTCCTGTGAACTAGGCTTTTCTACAGTGTGACTCCTATGAATTAGGCTTTTCTAAGAAGTCTTTTTTTAAAATTCTTTTAACAGGAGATGGGCAGTGGCTGGCCTGTGGGTTGGCCAACCATCTGTTACTCGTTTTTGATGCCAGCCTGACTGGGACACCTGCTGTGTTTTCAGGTAAAACATGTCTTAATTTCAGTCAGTATGAACTTAAGGATGGGTCTCACTTAGGTCCTGGTTATCAGTTGCTAAAGGACACTTTTGTTTCCTTCAGGACATCAGCAAACCAAAGCCATGGCTTGAATTGGAGTCTAAACTAGATTTACTGAGATCTTCAACCAAACAGGGCAAACATAACTCATGAGAACAGCGTGGCAGCACTTTCGTGGCTGTTGCCCTGGAGGCCAAGAGCCATTCATTTGTAGAGTTTTAGGGGAGTGAATGAAGTCAAATCCTAAATAATTGAAATATATTTAATTAATGTAATCAAAAGGCATACAGTTGAAATATATTTTGAAATTTAGTGGGGTTTGTACATAGACATTTTTATAAATGTAACAAAGCAAACAATTTTTTTTTAAAAAAAGTAGATCTGAGAGCAACAGTGTTAAAATTATGACCATTTCAACTCATAACTGGGACATATATTTGATTCCTAATTCTAATCCCATAAAACCTGCCAGCTCTTCATTAGGATCCTGATATGGCTTGCTTTAGAACTTACACTTGGTAGATATTTTAACAGAAGCACAGAAACAACACAAAATATCTCACTAGTCCTTCTGTTTTTATACAGGTTGAGCATCCGTAATCCAAAATTCTGAAATCCAAATACCCCCAAATCCAGAACACTTTGAGTGCTGACATAACATCAAGGAGATGCTCGTTGAAGCATCTCAGATTTCAGATTTTTGGATTAGGGTTGCTTACCTGCCATAATGCAAATACTCCAAAATCTGAAAAAATGGGAACTCCAAAACACCTCTAATCCCAAGCATTGCGAATATGGGACACACAGCCTGTCGCGTGACCACCCCAAGGGCAGTCATTAGGAAACGCGGAGGTGGGGCCTGGTGGGGCTGAGTTGGGGACAGAGACAGTGGGAAGCAGGCCTAGGCAAGGCCACACCTGGGAGCAGATGAGCGCCCCCAGTGACTCCCGCCTCACACCCTCTGCTTGCTAACACCCAGGGCCAGGTCTAGCAGGCCCCCAAGGGCAGGCAGAGCCGGGCTCGGCTCCTGCATGAGCAAAGCTGCCGCCCCCTGCATGGTCTGGGTGGAGAACGGTTCTCCGGGCTTGGCCTGGATGCCACCCTTGCCCTTCGAGCGCCTTGCTCCTGGTCCCACCTCATATCTATCCTGCAGCCTCAGAATCTTCACAGTGCACCTGGGAGCCCTGAGCCGGCCTCTTTCGTGGCTGAATAGTTGATATGAGTGGTTGTTCTGTTGACTGTGGGTGTTTCCCTGTGTATTTTATTGTTGGAAAAAGGGCTTCTCACTAAACTGAAAAAATGTAGTGGGTTTTCAAATTCATCTTTACAAAAACTTGCTCTGTTTCTGTGGGCGGGGGGGAAGGGCCACATTTAACCATCTCAACTGCACAAGCCACATCGTTTCACTTTGGGTGTGTAACGTTTAATAGTGGCATCGCTCAACGTTGAAAATATGACTGGTCTCTCAGCACCTGCCCAGAACACAGAAAAATGAGTGTCTTTATTTCCATTATGATCTGTGACAAATAAGTATAAATTCAAATTCTCTCCTGGAGAGTTCAGGGGCCTCTGAGCATACAGTCAGGTAGCACATCCCAGCTTGAAAACCACTGAGAGCAACCGTATTTAATTTAATAAAGGAGTTATGTGTTTCTGCTTTAGATTTCAGAATTTTTCCTATCAAAAATTGTGTCTAGTCCAAAGACAGGTACTTGAGTCCCAGGCCTTCCGCCGAGCATGTGCCTGGCACAGAGTAGATTCTCAGCGATACGGGATGGCGGCTTCTGAGCGCGCTGCGCGGGAGAGCTGCGTCATCTGTGACGCGCCCTGGAGCTAGCGGTGATCGTTGTGAAGTTCTGGGGTCAGGCATTTCGGAAGATTAAATCTAAAATTCCATTACAGATAGTGGAACTGTATAAAAACGAGAAATCTTTGTCCAAGTATGAAGTGAAGATGCGCATCTCTCCTGGTCCCGAGCTCTTGGTTGGCTCGAGCTGCGCCGAGTGGCTTCTGCTCTGCTCCTTCTCGGAGCGGGGACTGCCCACGCCGGCCTCCATGCTGCTTATGTCCCCACACCCTTGACTGCTTCCCCAGCGCGGGGTCCATGTCCAGGGGAAGTCTAGGTCCAGAGGTCTAAAACCCTGACCTAGGTAGGGTTTTAGAATCCTTTTCACTCTGTTTCTGAAGCTTCTCATCTCATCACACTCACCACAGGGGAAACTGGCCAACTGAAAAGAGGAGGGAGGCCTTCCGTACCGTGAGGAGATCGTGGGGAGAGAGAGGAAGAGGCACCCATGTGGTCCCCCATGGGCACCTTGCTTCGTGGGGATTGGCTCCCGAGGGCCCGGCCTTGCCTGCGGTGATTCGTCTTCGATGCACCCTGCGGCCCGCAGCGCTTCACGCATGTGTTTGGGGCTGGAGCTCGGGAGAGGAGGGGGATCCCACCTTTGGCAAGTTCTAAGGAATCTCCATTGTTTTCATCCTGGGAGTGGGAGGTCCGTCCCTGACACTTGAGATGAAGGACCAAGCTGACTTGTCGGGGCTGAGCAGAAGGTGGCACTTCGCAACCCCTGCATTGCCGGTGCCTCTGCTGGCCTTGGTGGCTTAGTGGCCACTGGACGTGCAGCAAACGCTGTGCTGGTAGGAGGAGGTGGGAAGGACGAGAAAAACACATTTCTCAGTCTCACTAAGAAGGAAGGGCATGAGTAGCAGTGACTTGACCCTCCCTCCTGTGTGGCCTCACGTAGAAAACACATCCTCAGTCTCACTAAGAAGGAAGAGCATGGGTAGCAGTGACTTCACCCTCCCTCCTGTGCGACCTCTCGCGGCCTCTTGCAGCCAGGCAGTGGAGGCTGGTCTGAGCTTGATATTGGAAGACAGTGCGCCACATGGCTGGTAATGGAGTGACTTCTGAGGTCAGTCACCGGGCAGATACGTCAGGCCCTTCCCACTGGGAGGACGCCCTTATGGCCCAGGCTGCCTGGACCAGGCCCTGCAGCAGGTGTCTGTGAACCTGCGATATTCTTGGATGGTGCAGAGCTGCGGACACCGCTGGTGTTCGGTACAAGCGGCATGGGTGGTGTCTATTAATGGCAGTCACAAACGTGACTTTCCTTTGAGTCTTGCAGCTGCTGTTAGCTGGGCAGCAGTGAGGAATGTTTGGAGCTTTCCTTAACCAGCCTCTGTACTTTTGCTAAAACTGCCAGAACTCTACACGTGAGGGCAGCAAAGCTATTTCACGTTTTTCTGCGCTGTGAATTTCAGCTCTGCGTTTCCTGGCGTCCTGTTGCAGAACTGAGTTATGTTCATATTCTTATATCTTTCCTGGTTTTGCCTTTTTTATGTTGATACCCTGACAGATGTGATGTAGTGAGATTGCAGTTCATTGTCTAGTCTATAAATTGTGATGTGTGATTCACATGCTGAGGCCCACAGGAAGGGGTCTTCTGCTCCGTGGGGAGATCCCGGCTATGGCAGGAATTTTCTCGGGAGTTGTGGTTACCCATTCCCTGTGAGCTATGGAGGCAAAATGGGGTCGTCGAGCAGGTCTAGGGTCATTTGTCGTCAGGAAGCATGAGTGAGGCTGCCCGTCAGTCTTCTTCTTGCCATCCCAGCCCGGGTGCTCAGGGGTCAGAGGCTGCAGGGCTGGGTGCGGCCTCTCCTTGCCCTCACCTCCCCAGCTCGTCCCCTCTCGCCCTCCTCACCATGCCACACAGCTGGCTTTGGCTCCAGGGCCGACCTCTGAGAAGAAGCGCATCCCTGGTCGTCTTTGCTTTCTCCTTTCCTTTGTGTCCGCCGCTTCTTAGAACCGTCAGGTGGTGGCAGCTGAGAGACTGTTTGAAGATGCCTCCTGCCCTGACAGCCGTTCTAGGGGTTATGAGGCAAGACAGGTCCAGAAACCAGCACGTGCTCAGGGTCTGGGCCCCAGGGTTAGGCTGGGAGTAGGATGAGGTGGGGAGTGGACAGAAAAGCTCCTACAGGTGTACGAAATAAACACTGTGCCTCATCGCCTACCTTAGTTTAATATCAGAGCAGCACACACTGCTGATATTCAGACACCTGAAGACCAGCATTGGCGCTCTCAGAAATCAGCATCCAAGCAGCCATTGTGAGTTTAGACAAAACTTTTCAAATCTGTCACAACAAATGATCAACTTATATGTGTGTGCTCAGGGATTTTTTTTTTTCACTTTTTTCTTCAACGTTGACAGCAGTTCTTTAAAATACTGATACATTATCATGGAGTCCACAGATTTCTATACTGTAGTTCATAATACTAAATGTTATCATGTTCTTTTCTGAAAACATACACTCACAGATGCACACATAATGTTGAACTTCTTAGTTTAAGAAATGCGAGGTTTTACACTGCCGGGCCGAGGCGTTCACTCACACCCCAAACCCCAGCACCACACAGTACCCAGCACCACGCAGTACCCGGCACCACGCAGTACCCAGCACCACGCAGTACACGCTCCACACAGTACCCAGCACCACGCAGTACACGCCCCACACAGTACCCAGCACCACACAGTACCGAGCACCACATGGTACACGCTCCACACTGCCTGGCCGAGGCGTTCACTCACACCCCAAACCCTAGCACCACACAGTACCCAGCACCACGCAGTACCCAGCACCACGCAGTATCCAGCACCACGCAGTACCCAGCACTGCACAGTACCCAGCACCATGCAGTACACGCTCCTAACAAACCCACACCTGCACCTCCTGAATCTAAAATAAAAGTTGAAAAAATGGAACGTGAGGCTTTAGAGCAACTGCCTTCAGAAGCCACACTGAGTCTCTACTGAAGGGAGATGGTGCACCCTGCCTCAGGCTCTGCAGCCTCACTGTGGCGAGGAGAAGCCTCCTGGCGCGCCCCTAATTACTTGAAAAATGCTGTTCCAGTTGTGTTGTATGAAAGTACCAGATAAGTAGCACTCAGTCAAAACTGATATTAATAGTAGAAATAGTAACCTTCTGTGGTCATTCCTGTTAGGTCACGACGGGGCAGTGAATGCCGTGTGCTGGAGCCAGGACCGGAGGTGGCTGCTCTCTGCGGCCCGGGACGGGACCCTGCGAATGTGGTCGGCTCGTGGGGCAGAGCTCGCACTGCTTCTGGTAATGGACAGTCATCTCTGCCATGGGCAGTCATTTCCAAAGGAGCTGAGAGCTTCTCAAAAGTCTCATTCTTTTACCTTAACAGGAGATGAGGAAAGGGACGTAAGCCAAGAGTTTGCTTTAATGCAATAAAAGTTACTGATTAAAAGTTATTGCTTCAATGCAATAACAGTTATTGATTAGTTTCTTTTTTTTTTTTTTTTTTTTTTTTTTTTTGAGACGGAGTCTCGCTCTGTCGCCCAGGTCGGACTGCGGACTGCAGTGGCGCAATCTCGGCTCACTGCAAGCTCCGCTTCCCGGGTTCACGCCATTCTCCTGCCTCAGCCTCCCGAGTAGCTGGGACTACAGGCGCCCGCCACCGCGCCCGGCTAATTTTTTGTATTTTTAGTAGAGACGGGGTTTCACCTTGTTAGCCAGGATGGTCTCGATCTCCTGACCTCATGATCCACCCG
Organism: Homo sapiens; assembly: GCF_000001405.40. NCBI lineage: Eukaryota > Metazoa > Chordata > Mammalia > Primates > Hominidae > Homo > Homo sapiens. Next base: position 169,638,086 of record NC_000006.12, on the reverse strand, counting down.
CCTCGGCCTCCCAAAGTGCTGGGATTACAGGCGTGAGCCACCGCGCCCGGCCAATTAGTTTCTTAAATGTGTGTCTACATGTATATGTTCACACACATGCAATAGGCACAGACGCATATACATGCATACACATACGCACACTTACATACTTGCCACATATTCACATGCATGTAAGAGGCACACGCATATAGATGCATACACATACGCACACTTACATACTTGCCACATATTCACACACGTGTAGATGCATACACATACGCACACTTACATACTTGCCACATACTCAGACACACGCAGTAGGCACACGCATATAGATGCATACACATACGCACACTTATACTTACCACGTATTCACACACATGCAATAGGCACACACGCATATGGATGCATACGCATACACACACTTACATACTTGCCACATATTCACACACATGGAGATGCATACACATACGCATGCTTACATACTTGCCACATATTCACACGCATATAGATGCATACACATATGCACGCTTACATACTTGCCACATATTCACACACATGCAATAGGCACACACACATGTAGATGCATACACATACACTTACATATTTGCCACGTATTAATACACATGCAATAGGCACACACGCAGATAGATGCATACACATGCGCACACTTACACACTTGCCACATGCATGCATACATTCATATGGTTAAATCTATCCTTATGTTTGTTATGGTCTGCGAATGCCACATGATTAATACTGAAACATTTGAAGAATTTTAAATATTGATTCAGTGTGATTTCATAGTCCAGATAGCAGTAATGGCCAAGGGGCTATTACGTGGGGGAAGTATATTTTAGGGAGAGGAGTGACTTGTTTTGATGAACTTACGGGAGATCATTTGGGAGCAGAACAGGAAAGGAGAGACAGGAAGATGATAGATAACCTTATGACTAGGACAGGGAAAGAAAAGGCAATGGTAGGAAACTCACCTTCAAATCATGAAATTATGAGCAGGCGACTTGCAAAGAACATAACATAAAAAGCAGTCCAATTTTCAAAGATGTTGGGATTTATTTTCTTTGCGTCTTTTATAGAAAGGGGATTGAATACGAGAAAGACAAGAAAGGAAGTGTCAATTAAAGAAGACCTAGGGCCTCTAAAGGTGAAGCGTTTGGCAGCAGCTTCAGGAAGGAGTTTGCTGAGAGCTGTGGATGCCGTCAGCTTGCTCTGTGTCATAACGTTTGGTTGTGAGGTCTAAATTTGAGAGCAGACACCTCAGAACTGTATTTTAAAACATTTTGAATTTCAGCTTTAATAAAATCTTTGGTACTTAGTATGTTTACTGCTAAGTTTCGATTTTCTTTTAAAGTTGTTAAATGGCTGGAATTCAAAGCATTCATTACAGTAACATTTTAATCATATAATACCTTTCAGAAGTAGTAGGCAGAAACAAAAATTGTAGATTGGGTCTAACAAAGTTTATGTACACATTTAGAACAAATAGATGTTGGGTTTTAAGAAGAAATAATTTTATGTTTAGAGCAATAGTGTTTTTGTTAACATTTATTATATTGACAGTAATTACTGATTTGCATTACAGGGCAAAGACATGTTTTCTAAACCTATACAGTCTGCACAGTTCTATTATATAGATGCCTTTATATTGTTATCTTCTGGCCCTGAATTTCAGCTACTGAGGTATCACATTGACACTTGCAAAGATGAGATTAAGAGGTAGGCACCCCCCGCCCTGTGCATTATTTTTAGATCACAGGAAGCTGTTTCAATAATGTGATGTTGAAAGGTATTTACATTTTAAAATGTTGCCCCAAATTTAATAATGACCTCATATCACCAAACTCTTGATGAGAGGGAATTATCCAGATCCTACTCATTTTAAACCTTCCTTTGTATTACTATGCGCGGGGCCTTTGGCATGACGGAATCAGAGAATTTGGGGGATTTGAGAATCCTCAATTATCATCTCGGCTCTGCAGCATATTGAAGTGATGTTATGTGGGACAAATACTATTGATAACATAAAGTTAAATTATGAACTGTTTCAAATATATACATATATATGGGGAATAATAAATATCTTCTTAGCTACACCTAGCTTGGACAAGTATTAACATTTCACTATCTTTGTTTTCCAGAATTTTTAAAGAAATAAAATATTACAGAGGGAATTAGGAACCTATCTCCCAGTCCTGTCCTCTTCCCTTTTTCCTCCTTTTGAGATTGATATATTTGCTTCTTGGTCATAGTTTTGTATTTTTGCTGTATCTCTGTGTATTCATGTCATTTTATTTTTTTGAGTGTAACATGAGCACACCTTTCTTAATCAAAGTTACGTTTCTGAGATGTGTGCCTTCAGTTTGTTAATTGGGGCAGGTGCCCTGCGCTCGGAATGGGCACTGCATCTGCCTGCTTCTCTCATGGAGGGACATCGGGTTGGGACCTGCCAAGGGTTGGGCTTCCATCCGATCGCATCTGATAGATGGGCTTGCAAGGAATCCCCGATCTCACCCCGATCTCAATGAGAGCATCCCCACTCTCATCTATCCTGTGGCACAGCATCCCAGGAGTGACTTCTGGCCTGTGCTGGGGCGGGTTGCATGCAGAGGAAGGGCTCCAGGACCCAGCGGCCCCCTCCTGCGGCCCCTCCCTCAGCCTTGTCTTCAGAGGTGCCTGGGACTTTCAGTCCTAAAGTTTGTTTTTGAGACGGAGTCTCACTCTGTCGCTAGGCTGGAGTGCAGTGATGAGATCTTGGCTCACCGCAACCTCCGCCTCCCGAGTTCATGGGATTCTCCTGCATCAGCCTCCCAAGTGGCTGGGATTACAGGCGCCCCCCTTCCCCCACCTGCCCCCCAACCACACCTGGCTAATTTTTGTATTTTTAGTAGAGACGGGGTTGCACTATGTTGGCCAGGCTGGTCTCGAACTCCTGACCTCGTGATCTGCCCGCCTCGGCCTCCCAAAGTGCTGGGATTACAGGCATGAGCCACCACACCTGGCCTAAAGTTTATTTTTACTTACTGGGAGGGAGCTTCACAAGTCAGCTCATGTCACAGCGTTCCCATCTCGGCTGGCACAGCCCTTTGCCCCTGAGAGTTGGTGGATCCTCTTCTTGTTCCTGCCTCCTCTTTCTGATCTTGTGGGACTTTCTCTTAGAGATCACTTTGCAGGCACTTCAGTTGGGTTTCGGGAGGCAGTGAAGCTGAGGCATGTCTTCAGTTATATGTAGCGGGAGATGGGCAGGATTTTCTAAGCATACATGGAAATACCCTATAGAAAAAGGCTGGTGCATTTGATTACAGGCTGAAGAAGGAGGACGGCGTGGGGGATCTTTTGTATGTCAAAAATCACCACAAATAATTAGATGTTAATAGAAAAACAGGTTTTTTTTCCTAAAGAAAAATTAAGGTAGCTAATTCACTTTTCCCCTCAGTATCATAAAATATGATTTTTAAAGTGATATGAAAACTTTCTTTTCATGTTTAATGTTTTTAAAGATAAGGTGTTTAGTTGTAGCAGAAGGAAAGCAAAAATATTGATCATCTTGATTTTCTCTTCCAGATATAAACAGAAGAGCAAGTCCAAGCTGATTTGCAGGCTCTCCACGACGGGTGCAGTAGACATGACCAGTTTATCGGCAGTCAACGACTTTTATTCCCGTATCCTTTCTCCCGGATCCTGGTAGGGTTTTACGCCCTGAGTGTTGTTCCTCTGGCAGAGGCATGTGCTGAGCATCTCGTGAGTGTCAGGCATTGTGTGGGGCTCCGGGAATGCAGGGACCCTTCTCATGGAGCTCGCCATCCTTGTGTTAATTGTACGTGTAATAATTCATCTCAACATTGAGAAAGGGCCTCAGAGGAAGAAGAAACCTGAGTGCCGTACAGCTCATGCCATCCAGCAGGTGGGTGGGCTGACCTGGCCCTTCTGCTCTGGACTTTGTTGACTAATGTCTACTAATTTAGTCATTGTATCTCATCTGCATAGCTGGCAAAAATCATAGCGGTTGCTGTTCAAAATAATATGAAATGGAATCCCAGAACTTTAATTTTTGAGATTTTTATGGCTAACACCATTGCTTTTAATTTTCAAAGTTGATTTTAATTTATTTAGGGGAAAAGCTCCAGATCTTTAGGAATTCATTGTATAAAGTTTTAATTTACTCAAAGTTCAATCTACGTTGAACTCTATTGGAGGGTTTTGTAGTTGAACTAAAAGTGTTAGGAGGTTGCAGTATGTTTTCTTTAGAAACGTGGTAATTTCATGCTAGAATAGGTGTTAAAATACCTAGCAGAAATAAGAAATATGTCATTAGGATTATTCTAGCTTAAATGATGGTTTCTGGAATACGAGAGTACTAGAGTCAAGAGTAATCCAACGCTAACACCAGCATTACGGGTCTCTTGACTCCAGTGCACCTGGGTTCCCACCACCTATACACATTACTACAGCATTCAGGGCTGAGCATTGAGGCTTGGGGAGTGCTGGTGGTCACACGCGCCCTAAATGTACACATTGCTCCTCATAGGTCAAGTTTATGAAGCACGTCACGGTCACCTGCCGACATGGCACTGTCTGGGTTGTGTCTCCCATCGTGAAGCCTGCCCCAGGTGCTGTCACCCATTCTGTGGATCTGTCTAATCTTAGTCCAGCCCTTTCTGCTGAGTGCAGTATCTACATATTCAATTATTTGACATCTGATTTGGGTGTTTCATGGACATCTCAAACACCACGTATCTAAAGCTGGAACTCACACCTCAAAATAGCTACTGTGGTGGTCTCACTTTTCCTAAGCAGCCCTCCCCCACCCCCGTCCACCTGCTCTTGCCAACACCTGGAGTCAGATGGGGTGGGGCTGGACTGGACTCAGGACTTTTCCTGCGGCATTTCAGAAATTCTTAACTAGTCATCCATTCATGAGTCTTCTAATATTCCAAAGTTTTTATTAGTAAAAGAGAGGGAACTGTCCCTTCCCCATGGGTAAGAGTGTTGAGAAGAGCTCCCTAACTGGATTATCGCAGACATCGTACTCGCAGCTGGCCGGAACAGGACCGTGGAAGTGTTTGACCTCAACGCCGGCTGCAGTGCAGCGGTGATAGCGGAAGCCCACTCACGGCCTGTCCATCAAATCTGCCAAAATAAAGTGAGTAAGTTTTTGGATAACATGTATCATCTGTAAAACTATGTGCTTAAAGCATTTAACAGATACAAATGTATGATGCCATTTTATAAGTGTTTGCTACCAAATTCAATGTTAATTTTTATTGATCATTAAATTATTCGAAGCCTTGATGTTTGACCCTAGGAGATATTTTAATATCATGTTGAATGTTAAGTTTTCTACGTTTGTGTTTGATTATTTTATGGGCCCATATTAAGATTTTACTAGTAAAACATTCTTACATAAAACTTGATAAGGTTGTATATGTTAAGCAATAATGGATTGCATGGTAGACACATAGGTTCTATGAACTGGGGCAGCCTTGCTAAATCAGTAGCTTTTTTTTGAAGGTGGAGGCTGTTGGATACAGCCAGTCTGTTTTGACAGAGACAAAGTTTACAAATATCCACAGCGGTAGGTTAAAGGGTGGCATTACAGGAGAAACATTTGATGAGTTCATTGTCTGATAGCTGCACGGTTCAAAAGACACTTGGTACCCAAGAGGGCCTCTAAGTCTTGGGAACAAAACTGTATTTCTTAGGACTAAAACTGCAATTTTGGTTGTTGATATGCCTGGAAAGGTTTTCCAAGTTGAGGATTTAACTTACGATGCATCTGGCATTTATATCATGATTCAGGGTATCATTTTGCCAAGTGAAGTATTGCAATGTTGGTTAAACAGACTTTGTTATCCACAGGTTAACACATTTTGCGTCTTCTTTTTTTTTTTTTTTTTTTTGAGACAGAGTCTCTCGCTCTGTCACCCAGGCGGGAGTGCAGTGGCACTATCTCGGCTCACTGCAACCTCTGCTTCCTGGGTTCAAGCGATTCTCCTGCCTCAGCCTCCTGAGTAGCTGGGATTACAGGCATGAGCCACCACACCTGGCTAATTTGTTTTGTATTTTTAGTAGAGATGGAGTTTCACCATGTTGGTCAGGCTGGTCTCGAACTCCTGACCTTGTGATCAGCCTGCCTCGGCCTCCCAAAGTGCAGAGATTACAGGTGTGAGCCACCGTGCCTGGCCCACATTTTGAGTCTTTTAAATTTCTGTTTAATAGGACAGGTATGGTCTGATTATCTATAAAGTTTTTTAATCAGTTCAAATCAGAAAGAGCAAAGATTCTGGGCTGCTAAGTTAAATTACATTGAAGCAGATTTGTTCCTGCATCTTTTCTGGATAAAGGGGAGATGGAGGTGTCAGGGCCACAGGAAGACTTTAACGGGTGCAGCATGAGAGACCCCGGGATTCAGAGGCTCCGTGTCCAGGAAGATGGTCTCCCTGCATGTCGGTCTGGATGGCTCTTCAGAGAGGCAGATCCAGGGACTTGGCAGTGTGGGGTAGTCAGAGCTTCGGAGTCCAGGAGGACGCCTGGGGAGACTGCCTGCGGAAGCGAATTCCACCTCCGTGCCCTCCCTGTGGGCAGCCTTGGTCGGAGAAGGGAGGGTTTAAAGGCTCCGACAGGCGTCTTTATCTTGCCTTCCTTTTAATCTTCCACCCCCCCACCCCACCACCCAGTTCATTAATAGGACATTTCAAGTTTCAATAGGAGAAGGCTTTTCTGGTTTGAATAACACCATGGAAATATCAGCTTGGGGAGAGTTGTTGGAGAAAAGATTATTTTTCTGCATTTTTTCTTTTTGTTTAGACTCTTCCTGCGTATAAACCAGAGCAAACATGTTTTTAAACACTGTGCAGTGGGTGTCTCAGATGAGTGAAGGGATCCCTTTGAAGAATCCTGTAACTTCTTTACAAGGCTATGAAAACGGCATACTTCACAAACGAAGTGTGAATTAGTTGAATCAGTGCTGTGTGTAATACTCCATGTTTCTGTGTTTTCTGGGAAAGCTGTGAAGGAAAAAGAAGTCAGTTTGGTGATTTATGATGAGACTAGGCAGCACTGTTGGTATTTGAGAGCCATGATCTGATACTACTAATTTCGCAGTAAGATCTTTTAAATGAATTTAATAATTGAGTTACTAACTTTTAAAATGATTGTTAGCCTAATACCCACCTTATTGATTGATTGATTGATTTGAGATGGAATCTTCCTCTGTCTCCCAGGTTGGAGTGCAGTGCCATGATCTCGGCTCACTGCAACCTCCACCTCCTAGGTTCCAATGACTCTCCTGCCTCAGGCTCCCGAGTAGCTGGGATTACAGGCGCGTGCCACCACGCCTGGCTAATTTTTGTATTTTTAGTAGAGATGGAGTTTCACCATGTTGGCCGGGCTAGTCTCGAACTCCTGACCTTGTGATCCGCCCGCCTCGGCCTCCCAAAGTGCTGGGATTACAGGCGTGAGCCACTGCGCCCGACCAACCTGTCTTATTTTTTAGGTGTTATGATTCCTTTTAAATTCAAGTGCAGCTTAATGAGATATTGATAGCTAATATTTGGATGTAGAATGTTAAAGTATAAATCTGACCTACTAAATTTATTTAGTGAAACTTCCACGCAAAGACATTTGACTTTAAGATACCTGAGTGCAGACTAGGGTTTGCACCATCTTTGTGTCTGATCTTGGTCGTACCTGGAACCTGGAATCTGTTCACTTGACATGCGCCGATTTGAACTGTGACTCGCTGTTACCAACAGAAAGCAAAGGATTCGATTCTTTGTATAAGAAAGTAGATGTAAATCTAGAGAAAAAAATGGTTTCTTAAAAAGACTCGTCAGCATGTAGATTTCAGAGGTTAAAGTTTGACAAGTAGTATTTAAAATTTGTTGATATATTATTCTCAAAATGCAATGTCTAAAAATGTATCTAAAGATAAAGATTGCTAACAAGAAAAGTCTCTCCTGAGATGTTATGTAGTTGTCTATCTGGTCAGTTTTTCTAAAAGTCTGTGAGTCTTTAGATAATACAGTTAAGTGAGAATTGACCAAATTTCTTAAACATTGTCATTCTTGAGTTTAAAAATTTCAGTCGTGAAGATAAATGAATCTTATACGTGAAGTTTCTTTCATGTTGTAAATTTTACTTTTTTTTTTTTTTTTTTTTTTGAGATGAAGTTTCGCTCTTGTCGCCCAGGCTGGAGTGCAGTTGCGTGATCTCGGCTCACTGCAAGCTCCGCCTCCTGGGTTCAAGCGATACTCCTGCCTCAGCCTCCCGAGTAGCTGGGATTAGAGTCGTGGGCCACCACGCCTGGCTAATTTTTGTGTTTTTAGTAGAGAGGGGATTTCACCATGTTGGCCAGGCTGGTCTCAAACTCCTCACCTCAGGTGATCTGCCTGTCTCGGCCTCCCAAAGTGCTGGGATTACAAGCCTGAGCCACCGCGCCCGGCCAATTTTACATTTAAAACATATTGCTTACCATGCTTTCTGACACTTGCTGCTGCTTGTCTCAAACATTGTCAATTATTAGAAAAATATTTCTTAGTTCATTTAATTTTGTATTGGTTGTGCATGACTCTTATTAAAGGTGGTCATTGCAAAGCCAATTATAATTTATTTTTGGTGTTTGGAAAATGGTCTGTCAGCATTTCCATTATAAATCCCTATTTTCTTTCTCTTTTTGTTCTTTTCTTTCTGGGGTTTATGACAGAGCCATAAAACTTGGTCTAGATTAAAACTTGGCCTGTTAGAGCTTAGGCTGAGATTTTTTTTCAATTTAGTTCCCAAATTTTTAAAAATTGTTTCAGATGTTTAGGTTGCAAATGCAAAATATAATTTCGGAGTTTTTAATGCTTTCTAATTTATAACTTAAAAAATAACATGCAAGGTTTAAGATAATGGTAAAGATAATTCTTTTAACTTTAGCTAACCAATTTTCTAATATTTTCAAGAGAATTATTTTGGAAAATGATATGATGCTATTTGGTGTGATTTTGTAATTTTATTTCCTTTCCTCTCTGTTCCCACTTCATAATAGAAGAGTTTCTAACCTTTTGCATATATAAAGCTTTTCTCTGTTAAAGGGTTAAATGTATGTAAATCTCTTAGTATGTGCTAAGTCCATTAAGTGAAAGCTATTTTTCTAATTTTTAAAATATGAATTTGTGGAGGCAGATGGGTACTGCTTTAGAAAACTCTTACGTTCCACATGCAACTACTCTCACACAGTTCTTTTGTTCCTGTGAGTTTTAGGGATAAATGCACAAGAATTTCTCCACCTGCAGCAGCAGATCAGAAGCTGAGTTAGATATGGTTTCAGTGTTCAAAGAAATACAAGGCAGAAGGTGGTAGTCACGGGTGGAATAACATTCGCACAAGGCTGACTGTTCTAAGCACTATAAAATGATGTGGAATCGCTGCCAGAGAGTAGGGATGGGAACAGCCATCCTGTCCTGGGAGGATGAGAGAAGGCTGCATCTGAACTGGCATTACCCATTCTCACATACTGTTAGATAAAACTTTTGGTTTTACGAGGAGTTTAAAGGCACATAAAATGGAGAAATAGAAAGATTGAATAAACTTGTTTTACCTCCTGTGTGGTCAGCAAGTTTGCACTGAAAGCCGTGTGGTGTCCTGGTCTCCCTGTGACACGCTGTGTTCCTGCTGGTAGAGCGACTCATATTTTAAATCCTGCAGGCGGGCTGATGCGCATGAGGCTCCAAATGTGGAGTCTCAGTCTGTTGGGGCTGCTTTAACAAAATGCCCTAGACTGGGATATTTACAAGCAACAGAAATGTATTTGCTCACAGTTCTGGAGGCTGGCAAGTGTGAGATCAAGGCACTGGCAGATCAGCGTCTCATGAGGGCTTTCTGCTTGAGTGGCGGGGCCTTCCTGCTGTATCCTCAAGTGGTGGATGGAAATACAAACTCCTTGAAACCTCCCTCATAAGGGCATTCAGCCCATTCATGCAGACTCCACTCTCATGACCTAATCACTTCTCAAGGGCCCCACCTCTTAATACCATTGCAGTGGGGGTTTCAACTGATGAATTCTGGGGGGAGAGCAACTTCCAGACCATGGCGCCGAGTCACCCCTAGGTGCTTGCCAGAGTCTGTGTGTGGAATTTTTTGAGTGTCACAGCTAGGAACTAATGTTCACCAAGTCTCTGGAACGCCGTGGCCTTTCCCTGTGTGTTCTCACAGGCTCAGCGAGGACATTCGATGGATGAGGACTCAGAGTGCAGGGCCTCCCTCCTCCCTCTGCATGGGCTGTGAGCTGGGAGTTGGACTCCAGGCCTGCCTAGTTCCTCTGCCTGGATGCTGTTTTTCTTCCCTCCTTACCATCTAAATGTCAGGTTATCTCAACTGAACCCAGTATCTTGACCAGGTCAACCAGCTCCTGACACTTCACATCACACCCCATGCTGTGGCTGCACCTGCCTGAGCAATGTGGAGGCTCCCCGTGCACAGCACCAAGGGAGGAGGATGGAGACGCTGGGCCTGGCTCGCCTCGGGAGCCTCAGGACAGCAGGCATGGTGAATGGCGCTCCAGTACGTAGACGATCTCCACATTCTGATACGTGTTTTTCCTCTCTTCCTCTAGTGCTGATGTCATTTTGGCTTCTTTTATCTTTTATTTCAATAATTGAGGAGACTTGAGCCAGATGAGCTGTGTTTACATTTAGCTTTATTCTGGCTTTTAAAATATGTTGTGTTGGAAGCATCATCATAGATTTTTTAGAACACTTCAAGCCGTAAAAAGGCATTGACTTGGAGAACGAAGATATAGGAAGTGAATTTGTAGCATAATTAAGATTTGTTTTTAAAAAGATGTTTATATTTTGTTAGTTTGATTGTAATACATTTATTTTCAAGACTTAAAGCATCAAATTTCATTCTTGTCCCATTTAATTTACTGTAATGAACATTGTTTCTAAATATATGTTAGAAATCAGCAATTAGATGATGGTGGTGAGGAGTTATCGAGGAAATCATGGAGGAGGACCCTGACAAATTACAGCGGCGCTGGAGGACCAGTCCTGAGTTACAGCCGCTGTGGCCTTTCACATCAGAACTCTGCTCTCCTTACCAGGAAATGAGAAATGTGCTGTCAGGAGAAGGGCAGCTGCTGATCTGTTACAGTGAGGACTCTTTAGAGTCCAGGTTTTCAGCTCCTCGGAGACACAGGCACTGCCCAGTGGTGCTGTTGGCGTCCACAGCGGGGCATCCTCATGCCCAGTCCGCCGGGAGACTTCTGCCTTTATCTGTTTTACACACTGGATGAACGCATGGCCTCTCGAAGGGCTGGTTCTGTGTGTCTAAAAACCACTGCTGTGAAGGGTGACCATTTCGGCAAGGAAGTGCTCTGTTGTGGAACAATGGCCTCATCTACTTACTCACGGACGTGGTGTGAGTGTATTCTGAGCTGCACGGTGCGGACTCATGTGGAAAGCGGCGTGATGTCATCCTCAGGATCACCTTCCAGGTCAGAGGCAGGAGGTGTATTCAGTTTATGAAGTAGTCTGTGGGGCCTCTGAACAAGGCGGGGTCAGGGAAGGTGTTCCCCAGGAGGTGGTCCTGGGGCTGAGCCTTGAAGGAGGAGGGGACAGCTGCACCAGCAGGAGGGGCCTGGACCTGACCCCCCACCGCCCACTGTGTGGCCCAGAGAAGGCAGCAGGAGCCTGGCACAGCCTGCTGTGTTCTGCACCTAGCCCCACAGGCAATGCAACCCCCCTTGGCTGGTGCCTCTGCAGCCACCCTGCTCACTACAGCACAGCCCCCCTCTGTCACCCTCTGTGGGTGTGCAAAGCCTCAGGAAGGCGACACCCACACCCGCATAGGTGCAGGTGTGGGAGGCCTAGCGCTGCCGTCTTCTGTCCCACCTATGGCCTGCAGTTGCTCCCCAGCAGCTGTCCCCGCGGGCTTGTCTCCGCCTATCATCACCCACTGTGGACCTGTGCCTTCAGAACCCCATTCGGGTTATTTTAATCTTCACTGTCAATTCTTCAGAGGCCCCAGCAGCTTTTAGGATAAAAGCCCGAGGCTGCATGCAGACCCTGTACCACTTTCTCGTTCTTACCCTGTCAGTGTCCTTGGTGACGCCTCAGACCCAGTCTCAAGCTTGGCGCCCACATGAAGCCCGGGCTGCTGGGCTGGGCCATTCTCTCACACCCTGGTTGGCTTCTGTGGTGGCCTGGACAGTCACAGGAGGGCATCAGGGCCAGCTCCCATGTGACACACATGCTCTATCTGCTGAGAAGAGGCGGGCTCTGGTCTCAGAGTCACAGCATCATGAACGTGGAGCACGGGGCATCCTCATCCCCCCCAGAGCCCCAGACGGAGTAGGGGTGCCGGCGTGAGATCTGAGCAGGCACCACTGGCACCTAAGCTCTGACCCCATGGAGCAGCTAAGGCTCCACACTGGTTTCCCGACTGCACCTGCCTGCCGGTTTCCTGACTGCACCCACCTGACAGTGAGCCCAGTGAACGGGGCTGACTCTGAGACACAGGACTGACCCCGTCGGGCCTGGTCCCCGGCACTTCAGCCCAGGGCTCTCAGAAGATGGAGCTGAGCGTCCGCCAGCTGCACTCTGTCTGTGCTCTTGCTCTGTGGCCCGGGTCACGGGCAGACCCTTCCGACTGTCCAGGCTCAGTCTCCACCACCACCCCAGGAGGCCTCCCTGGCCTCTCAGTAGTTGGACTCGGCCCCTTACTTGGTCTTGTGTCTACACTGCTGTTCCAGGGCTCATCAGTGCAGTCGGAATGACGTGGAATTAATCCTCTCTCCTGTGAGAGTCTCATCTTGAGGACAGAGCCATCCGTTACTAGCATACAGTCGGTGCTCAAAAATTGCTTGCTTAGTCCAAGCCCAGTCCTGGCAGTTTTAAGGGGCCTGTTTGAGTTACAACCGTTGGATCTGCCTTCCTTTTTCAGTATTTCAGCAGGGCCATCGTGGACCCAGAAGAACTCCATGACCTGCTGCTGGCGCGGACACTCCAGGACTCAGCCTTTGGCTTTCCATAGTGGTGACATAAGAGAAGCAGCTACGTGTGTGTTTATTCCAGATGCCAAGTGAAGCCTAGAACAGGAGTTGCATCTTGCAGGTCCCCTCAGTGGATGGGCCGGGCCCCGAGGGTGAGGGCTGCCACAGTTGACTGCCCAGCCAGGCTGTGGGACGGCTGCTCTTGTACTCTCCATGCTCTGACTCAAGGGAACCTGTGTTCCTGGTCTCGTGCCATCTACCTGGAGCTGCAGTGAACACACATCTCGAATTTTTCATCCCATGGGGTTGCATGGCTGCGGCTCACGTGTCTCATGGGCCAGGCATCAGTCACAGGCCACAGCAAGGGCTCTAGTTGACGGTCAGGTGAGCTCTCTTCTCAGTGGTTGTCAAACTCTCATGGGAAAATTATTTAATTAAATTGGTTACTTTATCCTTTTTATTTATGAAAATTAATGAAGTTTTCTTTAGTTATTAGAGAACTTGGGAGGTCACCTGACTCCCTGGAAACGGTCGATGGCTGTTTTCGATTTAGGTCCTGCATGTCCCTGGCTGGGCTGAGGGGGATCGGGGATGGCACCAGGGCACAGCCCAGCCTCCCTCCGGCTCCCTAAGCAGTTCCGAGTGGACACGAGCGTTTCATTCACTAAGTCACTCGAGCTTGAGAGAGACGCATGAGGGGCTGCACTCTGGTGAGCTTCGAATCTCCTTTTGCACACCTGGAAGGTTCTCGTGGGTGTTCTTTGTCCTCGGATCCAGAGTGTATCTGATGCCACACGCCGCACACCTGATGCCACACACCTGACGCCACACACCTGACACCACACGCCACACACTGCGCACCTGACGCCCCACATGGCACACCTGATGCGCACACGGAACACCTGCCACATGCCGCACACCTGATGCCACACGCTGCACACCTGACGCCACACACCTGACGCCCCACACGGCACACCTGACACCACACACCTGACCCCACACACGGCACACCTGATGCCACATGCTGCACACGGCACACCTGACCCCACACACGGCACACCTGACCCCACACGCGGCATGTGGTGTCTCCAGGGCCCCATGTCCCCAATCCTGTGTCTGGTGTTCACCTCGCCTCGTGGGTGGCTGCCTGTTAGCTGGTTTTGCTGTTTGTGTTTGTGTCTACCTTCTTTTTGCTCAGGCTGTGTCACTCCTAGGCTCATTTACTAGGACCTAGAGAAGTGTGCCCTCAGCCAGTGTGAGGAAAACAGGCCCAGGCTGGCACTGAGTAGCCGTTGGGAGGAGTTTTCAATGTGCTAAATCCCATGATTGGGGCCTCACGTGTGTGTCAAAACACCATGCTGTACCCCAAAATATGTGCAGTTCTTATGGGTCAATTAAAAACAAAATAAATAAGTAAATGACCAGTTTTTCTTCTAAACGGTTCAGAATAATTCATCCCAAATGTGGGTTGTTGATGCTCCCCCACCATGGCTCTCTTGGGCACCCTGGCTGGACCCTCACTGTCTCTGCATGTGAGTGGGTACGCAGGCTGTGACTTCTGTGTGAAGCCTGCGGGCCCGGTGAGTGGTGCCGTCACTGGCTGAGGGCCACAGCTGAGCCACTGGGGTAACCGCCCAATGGTTCACCTTGTCTGCTGCCTAGATAGAGCCAGTTGATCAAGACAGGGGAATTGCAATAGAGAAAGGGTAATTCACACAGAGACGGCTGTATGGGAGACTGGAGTTTTATTATGACTCCAATCAGTCTCCCCAGGAATCTGGGGGTGGGAGTTTTTAAGGATAATTTGGTGGGTGGGTGGAGTCAGTGAATCACGAGTTCTGATTGGTCAGGTCAGAGGTGAAATCATCAGGAGTCAAAGCTGTCCTCTTGTGCTGAGTGAGTTCCTGGGTGGGGGCCGCACGACCAGCTGAACCAGTTTATTGATCGGGTGGGGTACCAGCTGATCCATTCAGTGCAGGGTATGCAAAATATCTCAAGCACTGATCTTAGGTTTTACAATAGTGATGTTATCCCCAGGAGCAATTTTGGGTAGGGGTGGGGGAGGTGGTCAGAATCTTGTAGCCTCCAGCTACATTACTCCTAAACCATAATTTCTAATCTTTGAGCTAATTTGTAGGTCCTACAAAGGCAGTCTGGTCCCCAGGCAAGAAGGGGATTTGTTTTGGGAAAGGGTTGTTACCATCTTTGTTTCAAAGCTAAACTATAAGTTCCTCCCCAAGTTAGTTTGGCCTCAGCCCAGGAATGAAAAGGACGGCTTGGAGGTTAGAAGCAAGATAGAGCTGGTTAGGTCAGGTTTCTTTCACTGTCTCAGTTGTAATTTTGCAATGGCTGTTTCACCGGGACGCTTCTCCCGTGTCGAAACACTGCAGTGCTCTCCTGAGGAGGGACACAGTAAAAATATCACTTCTTTGAAAAGTTTCCTGTTTTTATAGCTCTGGTAAAAATAATGAATAATAGATTTTATGTTAAACTTCGTTTTCAGTCATTTCTTCATCTCTTTGTGGAGATTGTTTTATTCATATTGTTTTCCAAGTGGTTCTGTTTTTTTCTATAAACATTCAGTGAAATGGCCATGGAGAGTAAAGTGTTAACAGTCTGACTTTGGGCTGAACTCTTAATTCAATACCTGTTCCTAATAGCAGTTAAATATACCACTGCTCATTTCCTCCCACCTTAAATTTGGTTTGTATGTGCGTGTGTGTGAACCCTGAACATCTGAGGCAGGTTTCAGTGAAACTGGAAAGTTTATTTTGCCCAGGTTGGGGATGGGTGCCGTGACACAGCCTCAGGAGGTCCTGACGACATTTGCCCGAGGTGGTCAGAACACAGTTTGATTTCACACGTTCTAGGGAGACATGAGACATCAGTCAACATACATAAGATGAACATTGCTTCGGTCTGGAAAGGTGGGACAACTCGAAGCAAAGGCAGGAAGACACAAATCAGGGAGGGGACCTTCAGGTCCTGGGTACATAAGGGACAAATGGTTGCATTCTTTTGAGTTTCTGATGAGTCTTTCCAAAGGGGGCAGTCAGATCTGCATTTATCTCAGTGAGCAGAGGGGTGACTTTGAATAGAATGGGAGGCAGGTTGGCCCTAAGCAGTTCCTAGCTTGACTTTTTCCCTTTAGCTTGGTGATTTGGGGGCCCAGAGATTTATTTTCCTTTCACAGTGTGTATATGTGTGCAAGTATATGTGCCTGTGTGTGAATGCCTGAGTGTGTTCATATGTATATGCGTGAATATGTGTGTATATGCGTGAATACGTGTGTATATGTATGAATGCATGTGTGGGTATGTATATGCATGCATGCATGTGTGTGCGTCTGTATATATGTGTGCGTGTGTGTGTGTATGTATATGTGTGAATGTGTATATGCGTGAATGCATGTGTGGGTATGTATATGCATGTGTGGGTATGTATATGCGTGAATGAATGTGTGGGTATGTATATGCATGTGTGGGTATGTATATGCGTGAATGCATGTGTGGGTATGTATATGCGTGCGTGCATGTGTATGTATATGCATGAATGCGTGTGTGTATGTATATGCGTGCGTGTGTGTGTATGTATATGTGTGAATGCATGTGTGGGTATGTATATGTGTGCATGCACATGTGCATATGTATATGTGTGTGTGCATGTGTGCATATGTATATGTGTGAATGCGCGTGTGTGTATGTATAGGCATGTGTGCATGTGTGTGCGTATGTCTACATGCATGCATGTGTGCGTATGTCTACATGCATGTGTGTGCGTATGTATATGTGTGAATGCGTGTGTGGGTATGTATATGCGTGCGTGCATGTGTGTGTGTGTGTGTATGCATGAATGTATGTGTGGGTATGTATATGCCTGTGTGCATGTGTGTGTATATGCATATGCGAGCGTGCATGGGTGTATGTATGTATATGTGCATGCATGTGTATGCATATGTATATGTGCTTTTAATTATAGTATTCATTAAAGTGCCTATTAATTAATTCATTTAAAATATCTATTAGCTGCTGCTGTGCACTTGGCAGTGTTCTGTGAATGAAGAGTTAGATGAAGTGAGGGCAAAGTCCTTGTGCTCAAGAATTGTATTTTCTTACATAGGAACACGTGTATTACACAAGGTCAGGTGCTCTGTGCTGACCAGGTAACTAGAGCAGCAGGTTCATGACACAGGGAAGGGTGCCAGGTCTATGTCTGGAGGAGCAGAGTGCAGGAGGAGCAGGTCTATGTCTATGTCTGGAGGAGCAGAGTACAGGAGGTGGACTGTGTGGTGAAGCCGGTGGAGGGGTGGACCTCGAGCCCCTTGTTAAATCAAAATATCTAAGACAGGTCTCGGTCAGTTTAGAAAGTTTATTTCACCAAGGTTAAGGATGCACCCATGACATAGCATCAGGAGTTCCTGACGATGGTGGTCGGGGCACCGCTTGGTTTTATACATTTTAGGGAGACATGAGATATCAATCAATATGTGTACCATGTACTTTGGTTCAGTCAGGTAAAGTGGGATTTGAGGCGAGGGCTTCCAGGTCATGAGTAGATAAGAGGCAAAAGGTTACATTCTTTTGAGTCCTTGATCAGCTTTCCACTGAATACACAATTTAGTCTAGCTCAGTGAATCATCATTTTTACATAAACAATAGGGGAGAGGAAGCAATGAGATACGCATTTGTTTCAGGGAAGCCTCGGAGGGATGTCTTTGAGTTCTGACTGTCCTTTGTCCACAAGGAATTTCCTTGTGGGCAAATTGTGAGGGAGGTCTGTAGCTTCTTATCTTTGTAGCTATCTTACTTAGGAATAGAATGGGAGGCAGGTTTTGCCTGAGGCAGTTCCCAGCTTGACTTTACCCTTGGCTTAGTGATTTGGGGGTCCCAAGATTCATTTTCTTGTCACATTCCTGATGGACATCTGGACAAGCTGGCTCCCTGAGACAGCATCCCTGCAGGTAAGGTGTGTCCTAAAGGGGTGAGGACTAGGCTCTGATTAAGGGGTCTGAGGAGTCATGCTTTAAAAACCATCAATTCTCGTCAGATGGGTTTTATTTAACCTTATGTATCATGACTTATTTTCCAACCTGGCTCTGGCATAACATTACAAGACAAGGAAGAAAATAAAAATATTTCACTCCAAAACATGTGTCTTTGCCATATGTCGAAATGGCCCTGCAAAGCTGTCCTTTGTGTGGGAAAACCAGTTCAGTCACATTAGTCATGCATCTGTGAAGAATCTCTATTAACATGGCTAGATCTCTTTCTTCCAGGCCCTCCCAATCCTAAACAGATTAAGAGTCTAGCACCTTTTAAAGATCTGAACAGGAAACATTTGTCACCTGTTGTCTCCAAGGGCAGCCACTAATGAGGCTTCAAAAGAACCTTGGTCTCCACAGTCTTTTATCTTAAACTGAACATTTCCTTTCTATTGATCCCAGGTCTTCAGAGAAACTCAACCAATTGTCAACCAGAAAATGTTTACTTTTACCTAGAGCCTGGAAGCCCCCACTTTGAGTTTTCCTGCCTTTCCCAGGTGGGAAACCAGTGTATTTCTGAAATGTCTTTGATTGATGTCTCATGCGTCCCTAAAATGTATAAAACCAAGCTGCACCTGACCACTTTGGGCACATGTTCTGAGGACCTCCTGAGGGCTGTGTCACGGGCCGTGGTCACTCATATTTGGCCCAGAATAAATTTCTTCCAATATTTTACAGAGTTTTACTCTTTCTGTCGACAAGAGGCGCATAGGATATTTCATTCCAAGTGCTGTGGTGAAGACTGTTTTTACAAGTTGGCCTTGTGAAGAGCCATTGTTGTGTAGATGTGCCTCGCTTTGTTCCTGGAATGACATGGTGACCGTCTAATTTCCCAATTCAAGGAGAGTTCCTCTCTTTTAAAATCTTAGCTTTTTGTTAAGAGGTTTAGTGTCTTTGCTTTAGGAAACTGCTTAAAATGTCTACATTTTTCAACAGCTTGAGCAATGACTATACAGTAGCCTGAATCCTGTCAAATCTATGTGGTCTTTCAGTAGGGATTGTAATATTTTGTGAATCATTGTGGTGTACTCTTGGATGAGAGGTGTTATATTAAGAAAAATAGTTCTGAGGTTTTTTATGGGAAAATTACGGGTTTTACTTCCTGAAAATAAACATCTGAATGGTATTTGATGGAATGAAAGGGAAAGAGTGTAAGGTTACAGAGGTTTACACTATTTTTTAATAGCTTTTTTAAAAAAACTTATCTTACATTTTTGTTCAGTTGCACAATGTACATCAAACTAACCATAGCCATGTGGGGGCTGCTACTCACAAACTGTCATCCTACAAGTCCAAATACAGGAGAAGCAGAAATTATCATTGGCCCAAATGCTGTATTTCCAGTAACATATAAAACAGGGCATTTCTAATTTCTTCTAAGCTTAGTAACCACCTCAGCCACATTAGTCATGCATCAATAATGTTTTTTTTTTTTTTTTTTTTTTGCAGTCATCCAAGTGCACCACCATTAACATGATCTCTTCTGAGAATTACTCCTATAGTTATCTTAATTCTGTTGGACAAATGGAATTTTAAATTCATTTTAGTATTGTATTAACAAGAGTGCCAGATGCATCAAAAAGTGATGGTCATATTTTCCTATTTTATGTGTTATATTATTAAATGGCTCATTTAAAAAATGAAAATGCATACGTGTTTTATGATTTATTGATATCCTTAAAGTCCTAGCAGGTGTAGATACTTTATATATTTTTAAAACTTGATAGGATACTACTCTTTGCCTGCCTCTGAATAAAATATGTACTATTTTGTGATATAAATACATAATACTAGACAGCTAATTTTAATTAAAAACAATGTGTAAAAGTTTAAACAGCTTTTTTAATGAAATAATTTTATTACATATGATTCTAGATTTCAGGAATAGTCACTTATGTTATTTTGCTTTATTAGTTTTAGATCTTGCTGTATTTTTAAAAAGGAAATGAAATGATTATTGATGCAGAGAAAACCCTACCCACATCCCTCCCTTTTCTTCTTCTCTGATAACCACTGCTGAATTTGGTATGGGTCTTTCCCTAGTACCCATTCAGAAGCAATGATACAGGAGTTAAGAAGAAATTACTTAGGCAGATAATGAAGGTATGGGAATCCTCCCTAAGGTTTTCCTTTTAATGAAGAACAGCCCCCAAATCATTTTCTTTTCTAACGAAGAGCAGGCTGTAAAATCGAGCTGCAGAGTTAGACAAACAAGTTGGAAGCTTGTAAACGCGAATACTGGCAGTTGTGCCAATAGGAAAGGCTACCTGGGAATAGGCATGTTCAAAATGGTGGCTCCATCTTTTCTTTTCTGCCAGCCATGTGTACAGTAAGGAGCAGGCAAGATGGCGCTGGCCAAGTAGAAAGTCCATTTGCATAATAAGATTAGGGTTGGGCGGCTGGGCACAGTGGCTCAGGCCTGTAATCCCAGCACTTTGGGAGGCAGAGGTGGGTGGATCACCTGAGGTCAGGAGTTCAAAACCAGACTGGCCAACATGGTGAAACCCGGTCTTTACTAAAAATACAAAAATTAGCCGGGTGTGGTGGCATGACCTTGTAATCCTAACCACTTGGGAGGCTGAGGCAGGAGAGTCACTTGAACCAGGGAGGAGAAGGTTGCAGTGAGCTGAGATCGTGCCATTGCACTCCACCCTGAACAACAAGAGTGAAACTCGGTCTCAAAAAAAAGATTAGGGTGGGGCAACCAGCCTTCCCTGCCTACCATGTAAAAGTCACACTTGATTGAACCAATCTGTGGGCTCTACATACATCAGGCACCGCCTCCTCAAGCTTGCCTATAAAATCTGGCACAGTCCACCACATGCCGGCTTTTCCCTTTGGGACACCCCTCTCTCTTGAAAGAGAGAGAGGGCTGCTCTCCTTTCTTTTTATTTTGCCTATGAAATCTTCGCTCCTAAACTTGCTGCTCATTTGTGACTGTGTCTTTAATCTTGGTGCTAGGCAACGAACCCTAGGTATTGATCCCCCACAAGGATGCTGCTTCAGCAACATTGTGCATTGTTGAGCCTAGCGTTAGCCTCTTACACATGGTGTCAAACCCCATATCTCCCTGTTGCTTGATTTTTCATGCTGAAATTGCACTTTACCAGTTTGGGCATGCACTATTTTTATTATCTTCCAGCACTAAATATTTTCTCATGTTTATTATGATGTTTTTCAACCCAAGCTTCAGATGTATGCTTTTAGATTTCCACATGAGTTAATTTTTGGTCATCTTTTTTGTTGTTGGTTTCTAATTTTATGGCATTGTGTTCAGAGCATGCACTCTCCATATATAGTATTGATTTTCTTGGTATCTTTGAGATTTTTTATCTATTGAAAACTGGACACTATGGTTTGTTTTTAATATTACATAGGTGTGTGAGAAAAATGTGGTTTTGCTGACTATTTGGTACATGTTTGCCCAGATATTCATTGACTCACCCTTGTTAATTGTGTTTAAATTGTTCAGGTCTTCCTAATTTCTTGTTGCTTGATTTTTTTAATTACTGAGAGATGTGTTAAAAATCTACCATTATGATTGTAATCTTGTCAGTTTCTTCTTCTTCTTCTTCTTATTTTTTTGGAGACGGAGTCTTGCTCTATCGCCAGGCTGGAGGGCAGTGGCGCAGTCTTGGCTCACTGCAACCTCCACCTCCTGGGTTCAAGCGATTCTCCTGCCTCAGCCTCCTGAGTAGCTGGGACTACAGGTGCCCGCCACCACACCCAGCTAATTTTTGTATTTTTAGTAGAGACAGGGTTTCACCATGTTGGCCAGGCTGGTCTCGATCTCTTGACCTCGTGATCCGCCCGCCTTGGCCTCCCAACACTTGGGATTACAGGTGTGAGCCACTGCACCCAGCTAGTTTCTTCTTGTAATTCTATTGAGTTTTGCTTTATGTATTTGAAGGGCATGTTATTAGGGATATTTAAGTTCAGTCTTCTTATATTTTCACGTGCAGTTATTTCTTTTATCATTTTTTTGAAGAAACTGTTTCTAATGAGGCTTTCTTTACCTTATATCTGTTTTTTTTTCTAGTGCTTATATAATCTTGCCTCCTCAGAGTTCGCGTGTGCTGTTTGCGCCTCAGCTTTCAGTTTTGACTTTTTTTTTTTTATTAGGTTTTCAGAACTTTTCTTAAAATCCAGCGTAAGTTCCTTATAGATGCTGGATATTAGACCTTTGTTAGATGCATAGTTTGCAAATATTTTCTCCCATTCTGTAGGTTGTCTGTTTACTCTGTTGATACTTTATTTTGCTGTGCAGAAGCTCTAAAGTTTAATTAGATCCCACTTGTCAATTTTTGCTTTTGTTGCAATTGCTTTTGGTGTCTTTGTCATGAAATCTTTGCCAGTTCTTGTGTCTAGGACGGTATTGCCTAGGTTATCTTCCACGGTTTTTATAGTTTTGGGTTTTGCATTTAAGTCTAATCCATCTTGAGTTGATTTTTGTGTATGGTGTAAGGAAGGGGTCCAGTTTCAACCTTCTGCACATTTAGCCAGTTATCCCAGCACCATTTATTGAATAGGGAGCCCTTTCCCCATTGCTTGTTTTTGTCGGCTTTGTTGAATATCAGTCGGTCGTAGGTATGTGGCTTTATTATCAATACTGTGCTATTTTGAGCTACATGATGAGAACTCATGAACACAAAGAAGAGAACCACAGACACTGGGGTCTGCTTGAGGGTGGAGGGTGGGAGGAGGGAGAGGAGCAGAAAACACAGCTATTGGTAGCAGGCTAAGTATCGGGGTGATGACATAATCTGTACAACAAACCCCTGTGCCACAAGTTTACTTATATAACAAACCCACACGTGTACCCCTGAACCTAAAACAAAAGTGAAATAATGACAATAATGATAATAATGAAATCCAGCCTAATATTATCTCTCTTTTCCTTGTTGAGTTTAGTCTGTTTGCAATTATGATTATTCATATATTTGATATCATTTTGTGCTTTCTCTTCCACATTTTTTATTTCTTCGCTTTCTACTTATCCTGAATTTTCTTTGTTTTTTTATTTCTTCTTCCTCACCCTCTATTGGATTGAACACATTTTTTAAAAGTTTACCTTTTCTCTTGAAAGGTTTGGTCATTACATAGTATTTCTGTTCTGTTCAGTTTTTTACTCTTTAGCCTACATATACTAGCAATTGCTGTCTGTCAGGTGTTGTTAGTGCCATTATCTTCTCTGTCTTTTTGTTAAACTAAGCCTACATTTTCTTCTTTTTATGCTGAGTACCTCATGTAACACCAGCATTCAGTAGATGATCTGTAAATATTTGTTGAATACCTGCTCAATTATTAGTGTGAATTATTATTATTTTAAAACATGTATTACAGCTTTGTTTCTTTTCTTTTCTTTTTCTTTTCTTTTTTTTTTTTGAGATGGAGTCTCACTCTGTTGCCCAGGCTGGAGTGCAGTGGTGTGATCTTGGCTCACTGCAACTTTCACCTCCTGGGTTGAAGCGATTCTCCTGCCTCAGTCTCCCCAGTAGCTGGGATTACAGGCACACACCACCACACCTGGCTAATTTTTTGTATTTTTATAGAGACGGGATTTCACCATGTTGGCCAGGTTGGTCTCACATTTTCCTGACCTCAGGTGATCTGCCCGCCTTGGCCTCCCAAAGTGCTGGGATTACAGGTGTAAGCCACTGTACCTGGCCTTGAATTATTATTAGTTTGTTATTATTGAACTTAGTAAGCCTTTATTTTCTGTTTGCAAATGAAGGATGACTTGTAGGCACATCTATCCTTCATGAAATTTGTCTTAATATTTTTAATATTCTTGACCTAGAAGGAGGATGGAAATCATTATTTATCACAAATGTTTAGGTGATGTTTTGTGTCAAATGGTTCTGTAGATGGAGCTGAGTTCAGTTCCACTTAGTGAGAATTGCTTCTGATAGCAGCACAGGGAAAGGGGAGCAAGTCAGAGTCAGGGCCGGGACTCGAGGCCCCGTGGGAGTTCACCCACATAGTCATCGCAGGAGCCTGCTGAGTGTCATTTAGGGGTTGATAATTGGCAGATTAATAACTCACCTTAACTTTAAGTGCCTTGTTGAGGGGCATCTTTCAGATGATTTATTGAATGTGGCTTATGGTCTATACTGTAAACATGAATTTTGGTGTATTACTATCTTGGTCTTTTTTGACCATTTTGTACTTCTGTAACTCTCAGTGGCATTACACATAAAGAGAACATACATCAATACTTCTCTAGGTCAAAATATACCCTCATTAACTACTTTATGTAGAAGTTTTTGGAGTCCAATTCTGAAATTGTTACAAGTAAGAAAAAAACTTTGTGTTAATATCTTACTTGAGAATCAGCTATTATGAGATATCATTAGCATAACGCTTATTAACTCAACCTTTGAAAGTACATCTTGATTTCCCCCTTAAAATTATAGGGTTCATCATTTACAACCCAACAGCCTCAGGCTTATAACCTTTTCCTGACCACGGCCATTGGCGATGGGATGAGACTGTGGGACCTGAGAACCCTGAGGTAAGGCTGTCCTGCGCCCTGCACTGCAGGGGTGGGGAGCTCAAGAGATATAAGCTCAATCTGATCTCTTTTCCGAATGTGATGAGGTTGTGGTTAATCTGTGCACACTGACTAATCTAAGACTGATTTATGCACAGAAAAGTTAGCTCTAACTTTGGAAGGGTGAAGCACTAGGTACTGGTCTCTCTGCTATATGTGGCTTAGGAGAGTAACCCCAGGCCCTTCCTGTGGGTCAGCGATGTTGAGGGAGACTTTGGAATCTCCTAAACCACAGTTACCCTATGGTGTGATTACTGCTCTCTCTCCCAAGTGTGTTCCCATCTCCACTGGGTGCCATCCACTAGGCACCGAGCACCCCCGTAACGCAGGGCCAGCGGCGCCTGACTCTCCTTTTCCTACCTCCTCAGGTCACAGTTGGGAGGGCATTTCCTTAGATATACTATCATTAAGTAAATTACTTCTCATTTCACATCAAGTATATTTTAGATGCTTTGTAGACTTTGAAAATACATTTTATAAAAGTTAGAAAGCACCTTAGTTTTATCAGCAAAATATTTACAGATCTTTTAGGACAGGAATTCTTGATATAACAATAATTGTTGTTTACTGTTGAATGCAATAATAAAACTTACAGGCAGGTTTGTTTACTATTATTATTTCAAATTAGTGATGAGAATCTGTATGAGCAATCATGTTGCACATGAGGATGTCTTAACCAGTGACTGACCATATCACATTGCTGGTGGCATAAGATTATGATGGAGCTGAAAAATTCTTTTTGTTTATTATTTCCTTTACTACTTTTTATCATGATTTTAGAGTGCATTCCTTCTACTTATAAAAAAAATTAACTATAAAGCAGCCTCAGGCAGGTCCTGCAGGAAGTGTCCAGAAGAAGACATTGCTTTTTTTTTTTTTTTTTTTTTTATGTTAGACAGAGTCTCGCTCTGTCACCCAGGCTGGAGTGCAGTGTTACATGATCTCAGCTCACTGCAACCTCCCTGCCCCACCACCCCACCCCTGAGCTCAAGGGATTGTCTTGCCTCAGCCTCGTGAGCAGCTGGGTTTACAGGCAAGTGCCACCATGCCCACCTAATTTTTTGTTTGTTTGTTTGTTCGTTTGTTTGTTTTGAGACGGAGTCTCGCTCTGTCACCCAGGCTGGAGTGCTGGAGTGCAGTGGCGCGATCTCAGCTCACTGCAAGCTCCGCCTCCTGGCTTCACGCCATTCTCCTGCCTCAGCCTCTCCGAGTAGCTGGGATTACAGGTGCCCGCCACCACGCCCAGCTAATTTTTTATATTTTTAGTAGAGATGGGGTCTCACCGTGGTCTCGATCTCCTGACCTCATGATCTGCCCGCCTTGGCCTCCCAAAGTGCTGGGATTACAAGCATGAGCCACCGTGCCCAGCCTGTTTGGTTTTTTTGAGATGGAGTCTTGCTCTGTCACCGAGGCTGGAGTGCAATGGTGTAATCTCAGCTCACTGCAACCTCTGCCTCCCAGGTTCAAGCCATTCTCCTGCCTCAGCCTCCTAAGTAGCTGGGACTGTAGGCATGCGCCACCACGCCCAGCTAATTTTTGTATTTTTAGTAGAGAACGCATTTTCACCATGTTGGCTAGGTTGGTCTCGAACTCCTGACCTCAAGTGATCCACCCGCCTCAGCCTCCCAAATTGCTGGGATTACAGGTGTGAGCCACTGTACCTGGCCAAGACATTGTTATCAGAGGGAGATGACAGCTCCATGCATTTCACTGCCCCTGAAGACCTTCCAGTGGGACCAGATGTGGAGGGGAAGACAGTGATATTGATGATCCCGACTCCATGCAGGCCTAGGCTAATGTTTGTGTTTATGCCTTAGTTTTTAACAAAAATGTTTTAAAAGTAAGAAAAAGCTCAAAATAGAAAAAAGCATGTAGAGTAAGAATATAAAGAAATAAAATATTTTTGTACAGCTGCACTATGCATTTGTGTTTTAAGCTAAGTGATATTAGCTTTGGGAGGCCGAGGTGGGCGGATCACCTGAGGTCAGGAGTTTGAGACCAGCCTGGCCAACATGGTGAAACCGCATCTCTACTAAAAATACGATAATTATCCAGGTGTGGTGGTGGGCACCTGTAATCCCACCTACTTGGGAGGATGAGTCAGGAGAATCACTTGAACTCAGGAGGCAGAGTTTGCAGTGAGCCAAAATCACACCACTGCACTCCAGCCTGGGTGACAGAGTGAGACTCTGTCTCAAAAAAAAAAAAAAAAAGTAAGTAAAAAAGTTACAGTAAACTAATATTAATTTATTACTGAGGAAATAAAAATATTTTAAAATAAATTTAGTGTAGCCTAAGTGTCCAGTGTTTATAACACCTATAGCAGTTGTGGTCATGCCCTTGACCTTCACATTCACTCACTTCTTGCTCAGTGACTTACTCAGAGCAACTGCCAGTCCTGCAAGCTCCATTCATGGCAAGGACCCTATACAGGTGCACCCTTTTTAATCTTTTATTTTATTTAATTGTTTTTATTTCAATAGTTTTTGGGGTACAAGTGGCTTTTGGTTACATGAATGAATTGTATAGTAGTGAAGTCTAAGGTTTTAGTGCACCTGCCACCTGAGTCTATACATTGTACCCAATATGTCATTTTTTATTCCTCACCCACCTGCCACCTGCCCCCTTGTGAGTCTCCAAATTCAATCATACCACTCTGTATGCCTTTGTGTACTCACAGCTTAGCTCCCACTTACAAGTAAGAATATAAGGTATTAGGTTTTTCATTTCTGAGTTACTTCACTTAAAATAATGGCCTCCAGCTCCACCCAAGCTGCTGCAAAAGACATTCTTTTGTTCTTTTTTATGGCTGAGTAGTAGTATTTCATGGTGTCTATATACCACATTTTCTTTTTTCACTCATTAGTTGATATGGTTTGGCTGTGTCCCCACCCAAATCTCATCTTGACTTGTACTCCCGTAATTCCCATGTGTTGTGGGAGGGACCCAGTGGGAGATGATTAAATAATGGGGGCATTTTCCCCCATACTGTTCTTGTGGTAGTGAATAAGTCTCATGAGATCTGATGGTTTTGTCAGGGGTTTCTGCTTTTGTGTCTTCCTCATTTTGTCTTTACCCTGCTGCCAACCATGTAAGACGGGGCTTGCTCCTCCTTGCCTTCCACCATGATTGTGAGGCTGCCCCAGCCTTATGGAACTGTAAGTCCAATTAAACCACTTTCTTCTGTAAATTGCCCAGTCTCGGGTATGTCTTTATCAGCAGTGCAAAAACAGACTAATACAGTAAATCGGTACCAGTAGAGTGGGGTGCTGCTGAGAAGATATCCAAAAATGTGGAAGCGACTTTGGAACTGGGTAACAGGCAGAGGTTGGAACAGTTTGGAGGGCTCAGAGGATAGGAAAATGTGGGAAAGTTTGCAAGTTCTTAGAGACTTGTTGAATGGCTTTGCCCAAAATGCTGATAGTGATATGGGGACAATAAGGTTCAGGCTGAGGTGGTCTCAGATGGAGATGAGGGACTTGTTAAGAACTGGAGCAAAGGTGACTTTTGTTATGTTTTAGCAAAGAGACTGATGGCATTTTGCCCCTGCCCTAGAGATTTGTGGACTTTGAACTTGAGAGAGATGTTTTAGGGTATCTGGTGGAAGAAATTTCTAAGCAGCAAAGTGTTTAAGAGGTAACTTGGGTGCTGTGAAAGACATTCAGTTTTAAAAGGGAAACGGCATAAAAGTTTGAAAAATTTGCAGCCTGACAATGCAATAGAAAAGAAAAATCCCATTTTCTGAGGAGAAATTCAAGCTGGCTGCAGAAATTTGCATACATACTGAGGAGCCAAATGTTAATCCCCAAGACAATGGGAAAATGTCTTCAGGACACGTCAGAGGTCCTCATGGCAGCCCCTCCCATCACAGACCCAGAGGTCTGGGAGGAAAAAGTGGTTTCATGGGTTGGCCCAGGGTCCCTGAGCTGTGTGCAGCCTGGGACTTGGTGCCCTGTGTCCCAGCCGCTCCAGCCATGGCTGAAAGGGGCCAACATAGAGCTCATGCCATGGCTTCAGAGGGTGCAAGCCCCAGTCCTTGGCAGCTTCTACATCATGTTGGGCCTACGGGTGCACAGAAGTCAAGCACTGAAGTTTGGGATCCTCTGCCTAGATTTCAGGAGATGTATGGAAGCACCTGGATGCCCACGCAGATGTTTTCTGTAGGGGTGGGGCTCCCTTGGAGAACCTCTGCTAGGGCAGTGCAAAGGGGAATTGTGGGGTCAGAGCCTCCACACAGAGTCCCTAATGGGGCACTGCCTAGTGGAGCTGTGAGAAGAGGGCCACCATCCTCCAGACCCCAGAATGATAGATCCATCTACAGCTTGCACCATGAGCACGGAAAAGCTGCAGACACTCAACACCAGGCTGTGAAAGCAGCTGGGAGGGAGGTTATGCTCCGCAAAGCCACAGGGACAGAGCTGCCCACGACCATGGGAACCCACCTCTTGCATCAGTGTGACCTGGATGTGAGACTTGATGTCAAAGGAGATCATTTTGGAGCTTTAAGATTTGACTGCCGCACTGGATTTCATACTTGAATGGGGCCTCTAGCCCCTTTGTTTTGGCCAGTTTCTCCCATTTGGAATGACTGTATTTACCCAATGCCTGTACCCCCATTGTATCTAGGAAGTAACTAGCTTGCTTTTGATATTACAGGCTCATAGGCAGAAGGGACTTGGCTTGTCCCAGATGAGACTTTGGACTGTGGACTTTTGGGTTAATGCTGAAATGAGTTAAGACTTTGAAGGACTGTTGGGAAGGCATGGTTGGTTTTGAAATGTGAGGACATGAGATTTGGAAGGCCGGGGTGGAATGATATGGTTTGGCTCTGTGTCCCCACCCAAATCTCATCTTGAATTGTACTCCCATAATTCCCATGTGTTGTGGGAGGGACCTGGTTGGAAATAATTGAATCATGTGGGCAGTTTCCCCCATACTGTTCTTGTGGTAGTGAATAAGTCTCATGAGATCCGATGGTTTTATCAGAGGTTTCTTCCTCATTCTGTCTTTGCTTGTTGCCATTCATGTAAGATGGGACTTGCCCCTCCTTGCCTTCCACCATGATTGTGAGGCTTTCCCAGGCATGTGCAACTGTAAGTTTAATTAAACCTCTTTCTTTTGTAAATTGCCCAGTCTAGGGTATGTCTTTATCAGCAGCATTAAAATGGACTAATACATTGGTCGATGGGCACTTAGATTGGTTCCATATCTTTACAATTGTGAATTGTACTGCAATAAACATACACACACAGTGTCTTCGTGATATAATGACTTATTTTCCTTTGGGTAGATACCAAGTAGTGAGACTGCTGGATTGTATGCCAGATCTGCTTTTAGTGCTGTAAGAAATCTACTTTTAGTTCCATGGAAAACAGTATGGAGATTTCATTTTCCTTTTATACCATATATTTACTGTGCCTTTTCTTTGTTTAGGTATATTAATAATTACCATTGTGTTACAGTTGCTTAGTACAGTTGCATGCTATACATGTTTGTAGCCTAGGAGCAATAGGCTACACCACACAGCTTAGGTGTGTAGTAGGCTACACCATCTAGGTATGTGTAAGTACACTCTGTGACATTCACACAGGGACAAAATTGCTTAACGACATATTTCTTGGAATGTATCCCCGGCATTAAGTGATGCATGACTGTGTAGTTAACTCCTGGCATCTTCTTAGTACTCAGCAAACAGCCAACAACATCCATTTTCTAGTGATTATTGCTTATTTATTTTTTATTTGTATATATTTAGGAGGTGCAAGTGTAATTTTGTTACATGGTTAGATTTGTAGTGGTGAAGTCCGGGCTTTTAAGGTATCCATCACTCAAATAATGTGCATTCTGCCCATTAAATAATTTTTCTTCCTGCATCCCCTTCCCACCCTCTACCCTTCTGAGTCTCCAGTGTCTATGGTTTCATACTCTATGTCCATGTGTACACATTATTTATCTGCCACACATAGGTGGGAACATGTGGTATTTGTCGTTCTGTTTCTGAGTTGTTTCACTTAAGATAATGCCCTCTACTTCCATCCATGTGCTGCAAAAGACATGATTTCATTTTTTTCATGGCTGAATAATATTATATTATATGTGTGTGTGTGTGTGTGTGTGTGTGTGTGTATACACACACAAGTATACTACATTTTCTTTATTCAGTCGCCTGTTAATGGGCACTTAGATTGATTCCATGTCTTTGGTATTATAAACAGTGTTGCAATAAACATATGAGTGCATGTGTCTTTTTGAAATCATGACTTCTTTTTCTTTTGGTAGATACCCAGCAGTGGGGTTTCTGAAATGAACGGTAGTTATATTTTTAGTTCTTTGAGAGATCTTCACATTGTTTTGCGTAGAGGTTGTACTAATTTACATTCCCATCAGCATTGTATAAACTTTCCCTTTTCCCTGCATCCTTGACAGTATCTGTTACTTTTTGCTTTTTTAGTAATAGCCATTCTGACTGGTGTAAGATGAAATCTCATTGTGGTTTTAATTTGCATTTCTCTGATGATTAGTGATGTTGAGCATTTTTCATATGCTTGCTGGCCATTTGTATATCCTCTTTTAAAAGGCTTTTATACTGTTGGTGGGAACGTACATTAGTTCAACCATTGTGGAAGACAATGTGGCATTTACTCAAAGGCCTAGAACCAGAAATATCATTTGACCCAGCAATCCCATTACTGGGTATATACCCAAAGGAATATAAATCATTCTATTATAAAGATACATGCATGCATATGTTCATTGCAGCACTATTCACAATAGCAAACACATGGAATCAACCCAGATGCCCATCAGTGATAGACTGGATAAAGAAAACGTGGTACATATACACCATGGAATACTAGGCAACCATAAAAAGGAATAAGATCATGTTTTTTGCAGGGACATGGATGGAGCTGGAAGCCATTATCCTCAGCAAACTAACACAGGAACATAAAACCAAACACTGCATGTTCTCACTTATAAGTGGGAGCTGAACAATGAGAACACATGGACACAAGGAATGGAACAACACACACTGGGGCCTGTCAGCGGAGTAAGGAGAGGAAGAGGATCAGGATAAATACCTGATGCTTGTGACGCTTAATACCTAGGTGATGGGTTGATCTGTGCAGCAAACCACCATAGCACATGTTACCTATGTTAACAAACCTGCACATCCTGCATATGTATCCTGGAACTTTAAATAAAGTAAAAATGTCTATTCATGTCCTTTGCCCACTTTTTAATGGATTTATTTGTGGTATTTTTTGTTGAGTCGTTTGAGTTCCTTGTAAATTTTGGATGTTAGTCCCCTGTAAAATGCATAGTTTGCAAGTTTTCCCCCATTCTGCAGGTTTTCCATTCACTCTGTTGATTATTTCTTTTGCTGTGCAGAGTATTTTTGTTTAATTAAGTCATATTTGTCTATTTTTATTTTTGTTACCTCTGGTTTTGAGTTCTTAGTCATGAATTCTTTGCCTAGACCAATGTCTGGAAGTGTTTTTTCTAGAATTTCTTCTAGTATTTTTATAGTTTCAGGTTTTACACTTAAGTCTTTAATCCATCTTGAGTTTATTTTTGTGTATGGGGAGAGATAAGGGTCCAATTTCATTCTTTTGCCTATAGCTATCCAATTTTTCAAGCACTATTTATTACAAAGGGTGTCCTTTCCCCATTGTTGATTTTGTCAGCTTTCAAAGATCAGTTGACTGTAAATATGTAGTTTTATTTCTGAGTTCTAGATTCTGTTCCATTGGTCTATATGTCTATTTTTATACCAGTACCATGTTGTTTTGGTTACTATAACCTTGTAGTATAATTTGAAGTCAGGGAAGGTGATGCCTCCAGCTTTGTTCTTTTTATTTAGGATTACTTTGGCCATTTGGGCTCTTTTTTGGTTCCTTATGAAGTTTAGGGTGTTTTTTTTTTTAATGTAAAAAATGACATTGGTATTTTGAAAGGCATTGCATTGTACCTATGGATTGCTTTGGGCAGTATGTTAATTTTAATGATATTAATTCTTCTGATCCATGAGCATAGGACGTTTTCCTATTTGTTTGTATTATCTGTAGTTTCTTTCATTGATGTTTTATAGTTTTCCGTATTGAGACCTTTTACCTCCTTGGTTAATTATATTCCTAGGTATTTCATTGTTTTTATAGCTATTGTAAATAGGACTGATGTCTGGTTCTCAGCTAAATCATTATTGATGTATAGAAATGCTACTGATTTTTACACATTGATTTTGTATCCTGAAATTTTACTGAATTTATTTATCAAATCTAAGAGTGTTTTTGATGGAGTCTTTAGGTTTTTCTAGATGTAAGATTATATTATCAGTGAGCAGGGATAATTTGATGTCCTCTTTACCAATTTGGATGCTTCTTTAAAAAAAAAAAACTTTTTTTTTTTTTTTTGCCTAATTGCTCTGGCTAGGACTTCTAGGACTATATTGAACAGAAATGGTGGTAGTGGGCATCCTTGTCTTGTTCCAGTTCTTAGAGGAAAGACTTTCAATTTTCCCCCATTCAGTATGACCTTGGCTATTGGACTGTTGTATATGGCCTTTATTATTTTTATGTATGTTCCTTCAATGCTTAGTTTTCATTGAGGATTTTTATGAAGAGATGCTGAATTTTATTAAGTGCTTTTTTTTGCATTTATTGAGATGATCATATATTTTTTTGTCCATGATTCTGTTTATGTTATGTATCACATTTATTGATTATTGTATGTTGAACCATCCTGGCATCCCTGGTATAAAACCCACTTGGTCATGGTGTATTATCTTCTTGATGTGCTATTGGATTCTGTTTGGTAGTATTTTGTTGAAAATTGTTTTTATGTTCATCAGGGATCTTGGACTGCAGTTTTCTTTCTTTGTTTTGTCCTTGTCTGGTTTTGGTATCAGAGTGATACTGGCCACATAGAATGAATTAGGGAGCATTCCCTTCTTCTTGACATTTTGGAACAGTTTCAGGATTGATAGTAGTTCTTCTTTATATGTTTGGTGGAATTTGCCTATGAATTCTTCTGGTCCTGGGCTTTTCTTTGTTGGGAGACTTTTTTTCTTGATTCAGTCTTTCTATTCATTATTGATCTGTTCAGGTTTTCTATTTCTTCCTGCTTCAAGCTTGGGAAGTTGTGTATTTCCAGGAACGTATCCATTTCCTCTAGGTTTTCTATTTTGTGAGTGTGTAGTTTTTCATTATAGTCTCTGATGATATTTTGCATTCCTGTGGTATTGGTTGTAATGTCTGTTTTTCATTTCTAATTTTGTTTACTTAGATTTCATTTTTTCTTGGTTAGTCTACAAGTGGTTTATCAATTTTGTTTATCTTCTCAAATAACTGACTTTTCATTTTGTTGATCTTTTAAATTGTTTTGTTGGTCTCTATTTCATTTAATTCTGCTCTGGTCTTTTAAATTTCTTTTCTGTTGCTAACTGTGGATTTGGTTTGGTCATGCTTTTCTTGTTCCTTGAGGTGCAACATTAGGTTGTTAATTTGATCTTTCTAGTTTTTTTGGTATAGGCATTTGATGGTATAAACTTTCCTCTTGACACTACTTTTACTGTATCATACAGGCTTTACTACGTTGTGTTATCACCTTCATTCATTTCAAAAATTTTAAAATTTCTCCTGAACCCAGTCCAATTACACTTCTAGAGCACTTATTAATGTGCCACGTGCTGTAAGAAGAAATTTCTTTATGAACTCATTTAAGCCCATTTCATGAATGGGGAAAATGCAGCACAGAGGTGAGCAACTCACCAAAGTTGCTCATTTGATGAGAAGGGGCTTAGCTGGGGTCAGGGTTGAGCCTGGCCCTGGATCACCTGCTCTTGGCCACTGCTCTCTATGGCCTCTTCACTGAGCTCATTAGACAAGAAACACATGATCGTGAGGGAAATGTTCATGGTGTATTCTGGGGTAGACATAGCAGGATATAAAGCTGCATAATATGCATCTCTACTTTGTTAAAGGAAAACAAAGACCTTTGCATATGCAGAGAAAATGTGCAGTATATGTGCCACAGTACTTTCTGGAGTTGTCATTTAATGGAAGGATTATGAGTACTTTGATGATTTTTCTCTTTGTGTTTCTTTTTTTTTAATAGTAAAGAATGTAAAAATTTAAAAATCAATGTAAAAGAAAAAAGGAATTAAATTTATGACAAATATTGTGACAAATGTTTATGACATTTTTATAAAGATTTAATCTTTTCTCAGTAGTACACTACAGTTCAGGTTATTTTCTACAGCCTATATTACCATCTACAGAATTTTTCTAGACAGAATTATCTTGGCCATTGCAACAGTGCACTCTAGCCTGGGTGACAGAGCGAGACTCTGTCTCAAAAAAAAAAAAAAAAGAATTATCTTGGCTAGGTGTGGTGGCTCAAACCTGTAATCCCAGCACTTTGGGAGGCCAAGGCAGGTGGATTACCTGAGGTCAGGAGTTCGAGACCAGCTTGGCCAACATGGTGAAACCACGTCTCTCCTAAAAATACAAAAATTAGCTGGGTGTGGTGGTGAATGCCTGTAATCCCAGCTACTTGGGAGGCTGAGGCTGGAGAATTGCTTGAACCCGGGAGGCAGAGGTTGCAGTGAGCCTAGATCATGCCACTGCACTCCAGCCTGGGTGACAGACAGAGTGAGATTCAATCTCAAAAAAAAAAAAGAAAAAAAAAAAAGAATTATCTTTGTAGAATTTATACTACATAGGACATGATTAACAAGAAATAACAAGAATTTCTTGGCATTTTTTTACAATAAACAAATTTTATATGGCACTTTTTAAATAGTTGTGAAACTTAACCACCCTCGATAGAATGTTTTGCCTCCAAAAAGTCTCTGAATAATTTAACTAAATAATTTATTATTTTAGAAGATTTGTTAAGTTTGTTTTGATATTTAAAAAATTTCCAGAATATGTTTACATTTAATATTTATCACATATAAAAGCTTATTTACTATTAGTTTTGTCATCTTTGGGAATTTAAGATTTTGAATAGTGTTTGAATTATTTTTAAATATCTCTAGAGAGACCCATTAACCATTTAATAATTCTCACATATAAAATATTCTTTCATTATTCTTTTGTTCCTTTTTGTGAAGAAAAGCAACAAGTTGTTTTCTTTCCTCTAATTTGCATTCAAATTTTAAAATGATTTTTCTCCTGGTGTTTCTTTCCTCCCTGTAGGTGTGAGCGCCACTTTGAAGGGCATCCAACCCGCGGCTATCCATGTGGAATCGCTTTCAGTCCTTGTGGACGATTCGCGGCTTGTGGGGCCGAGGACAGACACGTATGTACTGTTTGACTGTCTATAAATGTAGAGAGTCTAGACTTTGGTAATGTGTAGACTGTTTAATATTGTTGCATATTAGGATAGAAACCTACTTTCAGCTTGACTGTTGGTCAATATTTTAAGACTCTTACACAGTAATAGCATTTTAATAATGTGTGAGGTATGAAAGATGTTTTTACTGAAGCATGATAAACTAATCACTCATGAATTAATTATTAATCATTTCACAGATACTTGTTGAGTGCCTACTATTTGAAAGACACTGTGCTACACGTTATATTTTCTTGTTTATTACAAGATGATAATATTAATTAGTGAAACACCAGATCCTGTGTATTTAATGTGTTTAATGGTGTGATCCTTTCCTAAGTTAGATCCTTAGGAAACAATGTGCTTATATTAATGGAACTGCCCCCTCCACATTATGCGCATGCGCCTCATGGTGGATTTGGGGCAGGTACTAATACACATCCACTTGTCCATAATCTATTTTAAAAGGCTTGTATTAATTTCCTAGGGATGCCACAAACTACCACAAACTTGGAGGCTTAACCCTTTTCCCATTCGCCCCAAGAATACTCATGGGTGGCCTTGCAGCTGCAGCGTTCACCTCATGGTCATGTTGCCTCAGAATATCCTGCTTTGATTATTATTTTCTCATCGCTCTAGTATCCTGACTTTGGAAACAAAAAACATCATTCTATCTGTAGCATTCTGTTTTTAGTAGTGGTATTTTCATTTACAAAATGTAGTAATTATTGATTGCTGAAAATGCCAAATTCTAGAAAATGTTGCATTTCTAGTCATGATGATAACATCATTCCTGAATAGTTATTGGCTGAAGATTCATTTGATGAATCTGATTTTTCTGAAATAAATGATTCTGCTGATTCAGATGATTCTGATGTTCTGTTTAGAAATAACTTCAAGACCTGGTGGTGACAGAATCTCTCAGCATTTGCTTGTCTGTAAAGGATTTTATTTCTCCTTCACTTACGAAGCTTAGTTTGGCTGGATATGAAATTCTGGGTTGAAAATTCTTTTCTTTAAGAATGTTGAATATTGGCCCCCACTCTCTTCTGGCTTGTAGAGTTTCTCCCGAGAGATCAGCTGTTAGTCTGATGGGCTTCCCTTTGTGGGTAACCCGACCTTTCTCTGGCTGCCCTTAACATTTTTTCCTTCATTTCAACTTTGGTGAATCTGACAATAATGTGTCTTGGAGTTGCTCTTCTCAAGGAGTATCTTTTTGGCGTTCTCTGTATTTCCTGAATTTGAATGTTGGCCTGCCTTGCTAGATGGGGGAAGTTCTCCTGGATAACATCGGGCAAAGTATTTTCCAACTTGGTTCCATTCTCCCTGTCACTTTCAGGTACACCAATCAGACGTAGAATTGTTCTTTTCACATAGTCCCATATTTCTTGGAGGCTTTGTTTGTTTCTTTTTATTCTTTTTTCTCTAAACTTCTCTTTTCACTGCATTTCATTCATTTGATCTTCCATCACTGATACCCTTTCTTCCAGTTGATCGAATCAGCTACTGAGGCTTGTGCATTCGTCACGTAGTTCTCGTGCCGTGGTTTTCAGCTCCATTAGGTCCTTTAAGGACTTCTCTGCATTGGTAATTCTAGTTAGCCATTCGTCTAATTTTTTTTCAAGGTTTTTAACTTCTTTGCCATGGGTTCGAACTTCCTCCTTTAGCTCGGAGTAGTTTGATCGTCCGAAGCCTTCTTCTCTCAACTTGTCAAAGTCATTCTCCGTCCAGCTTTGTTCTGTTGCTGGTGAGGAGCTGCATTCCTTTGGAGGAGGAGTGGTGCTCTGATTTTTAGAGTTTCCAGGTTTTCTGCTCTGTTTTTTCCCCATCTTTGTGGTTTTATCTACCTTTGGTCTTTGATGATGGTGATGTATAGATGGGGTTTTGGTGTGGATGTCATATCTGTTTGTTAGTTTTCCTTCTAACAGTCAGGACCCTCAGCTGCAGGTCTGTTGGAGTTTGCTGGAGGTCCACACCATGCCTATTCCAAAATTGACCACATAGTTGGAAGTAAAGCACTCCTCAGCAAATGTAAAAGAGCAGAAATTATAACAAACTGTCTCTCAGACCACAGTGCGAACAAACTGGAACTCAGGATTAAGAAACGCACTCAAAACCGCTCAACTACATGGAAACTGAACAACCTGCTCCGGAATGACTACTGGGTACATAACGAAATGAAGGCAGAAATAAAGATGTTCTTTGAAACCAACGAGAACAAAGACACAACATACCAGAATCTCTGGGACACATTCAAAGCAGTGTGTAGAGGGAAATTTATAGCACTAAATGCCCACAAGAGAAAGCAGGAAAGATCTAAAAATTGACACCCTAACATCACAATTAAAAGAACTAGAGAAGCAAGAGCAAACACATTCAAAAGCTAACAGAGGGCAAGAAATAACTAAGATCAGAGCAGAACTGAAGGAAATAGAGACACAAAAAACCCTTCAAAAAATCAGTGAATCCAGGAGCCGGTTTTTTGAAAAGATCAACAAAATTGATAGACCGCTAGCAGGACTAATAAAGAAGAAAAGAGAGAAGAATCAAATAGATGCAATAAAAAACAATAAAGGGGATATCACCACCAATCCCACAGAAATACAAACTACCATCAGAGAATACTATAAACACCTCTACGCAAATAAACTAGAAAATCTAGAAGAAATGGATAAATTCCTCGACACGTACACTCTCCCAAGACTAAACCAGGAAGAAGTTGAATCTCTGAATAGACCAATAACAGGCTCTGAAATTGAGGCAATAATTAATAGCTTACCAACCAAAAAAAGTCCATAAATAAATAAACCATAACTAATGTGAACAATTCAGCTAAATTATAGATGTTACTGAATAGCTCTATGTCAAATACCAATCTCTTCTTTTTGTCTAGTGCTTCTCCTGTCCTGTTTAAATAATCTTTGTTCACTTCCAAATCATGATGGTATTGTCCTCTGTGCTCTTTTGAAAAGCTTTATTGTTTTTGAGAACACATGGACACAGGAAGGGGAACATCACACACCAGGGCCTGTTGTGGTGTGGGGGGAGGGGGGAGGGATAGCATTAGGAGATATACCTAATGTTAAATGACGAGTTAATGGGTGCAGCACACCAACATGGCACATGTATACATATGTAACAAACCTGCACGTTGTGCACATGTACCCTAAAACTTAAAGTATAATAAAAAAAAAGAAATAACTTCAAGAACAGTTTTTATATTTTATTTTCACGTTGAAAATCATTCAAATTTGCTTCAGCCTCAAATAGCACGTTTATGTAAAGTTAAATGAGCGCTGGCAGTAACCTGCATTTTTAAATTCTAAACAGGAAAAGGGTTAAAAAAATAGACACTTATTTTCTGTCGGCTCTGGAGGCCAGAAGTCTGAGATGAAAGCATCAGCAGGGCTGGCCCCTTCTGCAGGGTCCAAGGGAGGAACCCCTCACGCTTCCCTGGCCTCTGTGGCTGCTACAGTCCCTGGGGTTCCTTGGTGTGTGGCTGCGTCATGCTGGCCTCTGCGTCCATCTCCAAGTGGCCTTTCCTCCTCTGCACATCTCTCGTTTCCCCGTTCTTTCTCTTGGGGACACTAGCTAGGTTTGAATGTCTCCTCCAGAACTCATGTTGAAATTTACTTGCCATTCTAGCAGTATTCAGAGGTGGGAACTTTAAGAGGTGGATTAGGCCATGAGAGCTGGCCCTCCTGCAAGGATTAATGCCATTACCATGGGAGTGGGGTCCTTACAAAGGGTGAGTTTGTCCCTCTCTTGCCTCTAGGCCCTTTCACCTTGTGCTGTGTGATTATGCAGAAGGGAAGCCTTGCCAGATTCTGGCTCTTTGACCTTGGGCTTTCCAGCCTCCAGGACTGTAAGAATATACATTTCCATTCTTTGTATATTACGCAGTTTCAGGTATTGTGTTATAGCATCACAAAACAGACTAAGACAACACTGATAATGGATTTACAGCCCACCCTAAATCCAAGCTGATCTCAATACCCTTCAGTTAATTTCTTCTGCAGAAAATCCTTTTTCCAAATAAGATCACATTCTTCATATTCAGGTTCAGCACTAGCTATGATGGAATAGCGTGAAACTAACTAGGGTGCCTATCAGAACTACTACACAAACCCTGGTTTAACTAGGTTATGAGATGCAAAGGGGCAGCTCACATTCTGTAGGTACTTTTTCTCTGAAGGAGTTTGCCATTTCTAAACAAAAAAAAAAAGAGACCTATGTTTCAGGCAAAGGCCATACAGAGGGATGCATCTGTGTGTGTGTGTGTGTGTGTGTGTGTGTGTGTGTGTGTGTATGAATGGTAAGAGGTGAAGTTGTGCATAAAAATTGGCAGAACTTTTTTTTGATATTGCAGGGATGTAGAGATAAAAACTTGAAAACTTTAGGGCCATGGAGGGTCAAGTGCCATGCCTGACACTACCAGTATTCCTGTCAACATATTTTATTCAATTCTGGAGCTAAGGAGGGCAAGAAACAGGTAGGCTCAGCAGAAGACCTTTAGAAGCAGAGTAGGGTTTTTAACAATATTTCAGGGCTGAGGCTATGAATATTAGAGGTCAGTACCTGCTAGTAGGGTGGGAATTCCCAATGGACACCTTAGCTTACCCCTGGATAAACCAGGAGTTGATGGAATCTCACCCAAGCTGCAATCCAGCCTTGAGTCTGCTCAACTCTGTTTATAGTAAGGAAGTCTTTTCTTGCTTCATCTGCCCACCTTTCTGGAGTACAATAATGTAATTTTGAGCCTTGGGAGTTTTTTTTGTAATATACATAGCATTTAGCTTTCAGTCAAAAATTACAAGTATGTCAAGAGGCAAAAAATCAAGAAAAAAAAACATAATAGAAACAATACTATGGGTGACCCAGGTATTGGACTTAGCAGACAAGGTTTTAAAAATAACCATGATTAATATATTCAGGGAAATAGAGTACAAGTCAGAGACCACAGATATAAGGATGGAGAATTTTACTGCATTGTTGGACTTTCCTAGAACTGAAAGATATATCATTGGAAATTAAGAGTGTAGAGACAGAAGTGTTGAAAGTAGCAGGATGGGAAATGAAGCTGATATGATAATACTTTAGTGTAAAGTAGACTTTGGGTCTTAATGCATTACTAAAAATAATGAACAACATTTAATATGACAAAGATGCCAATTTATGTAGAAAATGTCATAAACCTGTATGCACCCAATAACGTAGTTTCAAAATATATAAATCAAAAATGATATAACTCTAAGAAGAAAAAGAAGTATCTTCAATCATAATGGAAGACTTTAACAAACTTCTCTTAATGACTAGAAATGACTAGAAAACAGATTATTGATGATCATGACACTTTTTAATGTAAATATGATTACACTTTTCTTTGTAAATACTATGTGTTTAAAATATTCTGCAAGCTCTCTATGTAGAACCAAGATCTTATGTGTGTCTTAAAAGGACTTTCACAACATGCCTCCAAATTACCTATCTTCTCTCTCTATTTTTTTCTATATCTCCTGATTTCTGTGTCATACAACTTCTAGATATCACAGTTTTTTTTAATAATACAAAAAAAAATAAGGATGAACCAAAAAATATTCTCACAGACAACAAGAGTACACCATAAAAATGTGTCTGCTAAACAGGTGAAAACTAATGATATATTTGCAAATTAGCTTAAGAAAGTTAAGAAAACACATAAAACATCAGAAATTGCTAGACAACAGGAATATATGAAATGAGAACTGATGAAAATTAGGAAAGCATTAGAAAAAAATTCAGAAATAAAGACCAAATACAAAGGAATATAATAGAAAGCAAATACAGAGAGCACAATAGGGAAAAAGGATACAAATGAGAGAAGTAAATAAAGAAAATGATAAAAGACATTCAAGATGAAAGGTAAATATAGAAGTTCGGTAAAAGAGATTCAACCTACATGTAAAAGGAGTCCCTGGACATTTTTTTAAAAAGTCAATTAAACAGAACAAATACTATGATAGTTCAAAAATATATTTTCTAAAATTAAAAAAATTTAGTTAAATCTAGATATTGAACGAATACCTGGGAAAATTGACTCAGACTAGTTTGCACAGAAATATAGCTTAACAAATCTATTTGACTATAAACATTAACAAAAAAACACCTTTGTGGATCCATGTAAAATGTTCAAATGCTTATAAGGGAAAGAGTATCAGCTTGGATTGGATTTTTGTAAATCATCTTTTTTTGTTAAAAAAACATTGGGAAGAATGTATTTTACTTACTCAAAAAGAGAATCTGAGTCAAGAATTTTAATATCCAGCTAAATTTTTTTTTGAGTATAAAACCAGACACACAGTTATGAATATGCCAGAACTGAATGGTGTTCCCTTGAGTTATATTGAAAAAAAAAAAAATAAAGC
This sequence comes from Homo sapiens, assembly GCF_000001405.40. Lineage (NCBI taxonomy): Eukaryota > Metazoa > Chordata > Mammalia > Primates > Hominidae > Homo > Homo sapiens. Next base: position 169,595,781 of record NC_000006.12, on the reverse strand, counting down.
TGTATAAAACCAAGGTAAGATTGAAGAAGTTTCAGCAAAAGCCTCAAGGTGAGCACTGAATATGTTTAACTATGTAAGATAAAAAATGGGAATGAAGGTACCAGAATACTTTGTAAATATTCTATCTGTTATAGTTTAATAGTACAAAACTGGGAGATGTGAGAATATAACTAGAAAGTAGAATACCTCTCTTGATTCTCCTTGTAGATGTTAATTGAATAAGAAGAGATCAGTTGAAGCTGACAATAGAATTGTAAACTCTTAAATGTAATTAAGAGTATAAATATTAAGATAATTATGATTAAAATTGGATGTAGAGGAAGAGAGATGGAAAAATGGTTGCTAGACAACCTCACTATTGGGCATAGTAGGGAACTAACATGCATTGTCTTAGAGAGGAGTGGACCAAGAGTTTTGCATAAAGCTTTTAATAAAAGATAACTGCTGGAAGAAGAATTCTACCATTTTTAAGTGCCCAAAGAACTATCTAGATAGGACAAATAAAATAAACCGTAAACTGCCATACATTAAATAGAATTAAAAATAAAATACTATGATGAAACTGAGATGAAAATGTCAGTCATATTGATGTCTTTGTGGTTGTTGTTTTTGTTTATTTTTGAGTCTTGCTCTGTTAGCCCAGGCTGAAGTGCAGTGGCACGATCATGGCTTACTATGAGCTTGAACTTCTGGTCTCAATCCATCCTCTTGCCCCAGCCTTCCACATAGCTGGAACTACAGGCACATGCCACCCAGCCTGGCTCATTAGTTTTTTAGAGATGAGGTTTCACTATGTGGTCCAGGCTGCTCTCAAACAATTGGCTTCAGGCCTGCAGCCTCAGCCTCCCAAAGTGCTGGGATTATAGGCCTGAGCCACCATGCCTGGCTCATATCAATGTTTAAGGAAAAAAAGAAAAAAACTTTCAGATTGGATTTTACAGATGAGGAAAAAAATCTGAGTCCATGCTGAATACAGGAGATGCTTTAATCCGAAGTGATCCAGAAAGGATAAAGAGAAGAGATGTGAAATGTATACCAGGCAAATGAAAATAAAAATAAAGCAGATTATATGATTTTAGTATCGCACAAAACACAATTCAACCAAAAAATTATGAGGCAAAGATACTTATAATGCCAAAGACTAAAATTCACAATGAAAATACAGTATATGTTAGTATCTAATTTTGAAGAAAATAAACAAATTTCACAAGGTGGAAACAATAAGAACCAAATAATAAGTAGCCACACATTAATAATGGAGACTAACGTATCTGTCTCAGTCCTTGGCAGGTCAAGTGCACAGAAATTATAAGGTTATAGGAAACCTCTATATCATAATTGATAATGCATTATCTTGTAGATATTCATAGTAATGTTTGTCTGCCAGCAAGGAAAGTGTCTTATTTTCAAGTGCACATCAAACATCTATGAACAATGACCATAAATGAATCCAGAGAAAAGCTCAATACATTAAAATAAGAACAAAAAATCAACATTTTCTCACTATAATGCAATCAAAGTACAAATTTAAAAACCAAAAAATTTCTTGCTTCTAAATATTAAAATTCCATCTGTTAAGCAACTCTTGGTTTAAAGGTGTCAAACAAAATAGGAAATTGTAGAATTTCTTGAAAATAATGTTGTTTCTAACATGATATATCAGTGTCTCTGGAATACCCATAAACCAGTTTTTGAAGGGAAATTTATAGCACCAAATACCTATATCACAGACGTTTTTAAAAGGGAAAAAATAAATGAATATCTACCTAAAAAGCCAGACAGGGAACAACAAAGTAAATCAGAAGAAATAAATGGATAGAGATAAAAGCAGGTGATAAGTTAGAAAACAGAGAATCAGTAGAATTAATAAATAAATTAAAACACTAGTTGTGTTTTTTGTTTTTTGTTTGTTTGTTTGTTTGTTTGTTTTTTTGAGACAGAGTCTTGCTCTGTTGCCCAGGTTGGAGTTCAGTGCCGCGATCTCAGCTCACTGTAACCTCCGCCTCCCGGGTTCAAGAGGTTCTCCTGCCTCAGCCTCCTGAGTAGCTGGGATTACAGGCGCCCGCCACCACGCCCAGCTATGTTTTTGTATTTTTGGTAGAGATGGGGTTTCACTATGTTGGCCAGGCTGGTCTCAAACTCCTGACCTCAAGTGATCCACCTACCTTGGCCTCCCAAAGTGCAGGGATTACAGGCATGAGCCACCATACCTGGCCAAAACACTAGCTTTTTAAAAACACAAGCAACAAAATAAACTTAATAGTGCAATTTTTTTTATAAAGAGAGAAAGCTTAATCTATAATAAGAAATGAGGAGGAGGCAGAAGCATGGAGCAGAAGGATTTTGAAAATCATGAGACTGCTTCTCATAATTTGTGCAAATTAATATGAAAGCCTCTATACAAATGGTTGAGTCACAGAAATTTAGTTTATCAAACTGGCCCCCAAAGTAGAAACAAATTTAACAGGCCACTTTTCGTAGAAGAAATAGAGAACGTTTCCTAAGAACTCCTTGTGAAATAGTACCAGGCCCATGTGCTTTCTCAGGGGATTTTACCAACCTCTTAAACATCAAATAGTCCCAAAGATACTTAACTGTTTTAAAGCATAGAGAAATAAGGAAGACATCAGACTGCTTTTTGAAGTAACCATAACTGATAGAAAACTTGATGAAATTTCAGAAAGGAGTTATATTTCATTTATGAATATCAATTGAAAAGCTTAAATAGGAACATAGAATTAGTGCATTAACAATAATTTATCATGTCCAAGTGGGGTTTATGCGTAGAATGCAAGCATGATTCACTATCAATAAATCCACTAATAATTCCCTCATAATATTAACTGATACAAAAAGAGGACTCTTATAACCATGTTCCTGGATGCTTCAATAAAATTCTGGATTCATTTCTGCTAAAACACCCGGTAAAAGAGGAATCCATGAATGCCTCTTTCAAATGATAAAATGCTTATCTCAGCCCAAAAGCTGACATCTTACTGAGAAAACTTTAGAGGCATTCTGTGGTTGGGAACAGAGCCAGAATGTTCATTAATTCCATGACTATTTTACAGGGTATTGGAGGTATTTCTCTTGAAATTAGACAGGACAACTTAACAGATATTACCACTGAAAAGAACAGCTAAAATTATTCATAGGTGACAAGATTGCATATCTGGAAAACCCAAGATAATTAGTGGCCAATATGAACAATAAAATAATTAAGTGAAAGATTAGTAGTAGTATTTAAACTAATATATGGAATTCAATGGTCTTTATAGATATAAAAAATAACCTCTGAAAAGTTATAGTGGAAGAGGAGAACTCATTGAGAATAGCCTCAAAAAGGATAAACCATTCCGGTATTAACAAGATTTCTGCAAAACCTGCATTAAGAACATTTTTTTCCCCCAGAAGTGTAGACCTGGACAAACGCAAAATCCTAACTTGTTCTTGGATAGGAAGATTTAGTTTCCTAAAGAAGGCAGTTCTCTGTAGGTAATGTGTAGATTTAACACTCCCCCAACAACAACAACAACAAAATGCCAGTAGGTTTTTCTGTAGCTGTACTGTTAGACTGAAAGTTACTTGGGAGAATAAACAAGTAACAATGGTCCAAATACCCCCGGAAAAAAGAACATGATGATGAGGAGAACTTGCCCTGTCAGCCGTTAACCTCTGTTGGAAAGCCTTTCGAATTAAAACCATGTGCAACTGGTGCACGAATACCAGTATTTCTTAGCTCCTGCCACGGAAGGTGCTTGGAAGCAGTGACATTCCAGCCATCACCCTTAGTACCCTCTTTGCAACCTCTAAATGCCGTTCCCCACTAATAGAAGCCAGAACTCCCTGGGTGGAGAGCTGGTTCCAGGTCTGTGGCAGAAGACTTACAAGATGAGCCAGGGACATCTTGTGCCAAAGAGAAAAGAAATCAAAGGGTAATGGAGTCATATAACAAGGCCACAGGCAACAGCCAATTCCCAAGGCCTTAAAGCTGCTGCTGCCTTAGGCATGCACTACTGTCTGCTGGTTAGACCAGCGGGCAGCACCACACCTGTGCCGTATTCTGTTGGCCAGCGGAGGGCTAGCTGACCATCCAAAGAGTAATGACTGTGATTGACTTCAACATTGTATATCTAAACCCTCATCATTTTTGATAATGCTCCCCCCAAAAAGCTATAGCTAAAAACAAAAACATAAAATGTCATTGGTCCCCATTTGGAGGTAACTAGGGCACCTGTCCCTTAGTCAGAAGTGTGTCTTATAAAGGAAAATAATTAAACATTTGTCTGCCTTTCCTGTTCGGACTGTATTTTAAGTAAACCAAATACCCTACTTGGTAAGGGAAAGTTATTTCTTAGAGAATTGCAGACAAGTAGAATGGATGAATGGCAGAATTAGAAAATCACCCTCTTCAATCTCAGATGGAGTAATTGACTTAGGCAAATGTCATCAGTAGGTGAAATTATCAGATGAAGATCATGGCCCAAAGGAAGCTTGAATAATAGACATTTTGCTTAAGAACACATACAGATGGCCAATGGGTACAGGAAAAAAGGGCTCACATCACCAATCATCAGGGAAATGCAAGTCAAAACCATATTGAGACACCACCTCACACCTGTTAGAATATCAGAAAGACAGGTGATGATGAGGATGTGGAGAAAGGGGAGCTCCCGCACAGTCGGTGGGAATGCAAAATGAGGTAGCCACTGCGGAAAATGTGTGTTGTTTCCTCAAAGAGCAAAAAGTAGAATCCACATGATCCAGCAATCTCACTCCTGGGTATTTGTCCAAAAGAATTGAAATCCGTATATGGAAGAGATACCTGCGCTTCCATGGCCATTGCAGCACTCTTCACAGTATCCACAGTGTGGAAGTACCCTAAATGTCCGTCTCAGGGGAATGGATAAGGAACATGGAGCGTAGACACAGAATGGCATATTATCCCAGGCCTTAAAAAGTTACTGCTGCCTCAGGTATTTACCACTGTCCACTGGTTAGACCGGTGGGTGGTACCACACCAGTGCCCTGTTCTGCTACGTCTTTACAAGAGGAAGTGCCAGAGAAAAGGGTGGGGTTTATTACTGTGTGTGCCATATTTATTTTGCCAGACCTTGATGGAGGTTGACAAGAGTTGGAGATTGTGCGTCAGCCTTGCAGCCTGATGAGATGGTGCCATTCGCCTCCCATGGCTGGTGTGGCGGGCGGCCAGGTGGCCCTGCGTGCCACCATCAGGAATTCTCTAACAGAGCCTCTGCCTCTTGCTGTAAGGAGGCAAGGCTTCTGTCTTAGTGTGACTTTGTTTTAAATCTTGCACGTTTTGGTCTTCTGAGAATAGTTTACTTTTTTATAAACTAAAAATTCAGTATCTGAAGAAATGTGCAGAATATTCAGAAAATATCATTTCTGGAATTATTTTCAAAAGCAAAATAAGTGAGCATAATATGATAGTTGATTCCCCTGTGGAAAATATCACTACCATTGTCAAGTTTCAGGAGTGCAACACTCACTTCTGTTTGTAATTCTTTGTCTCCTTTCTGCTGTGGGGTTAATTTGGGTAAAGGGAAATGAAGGTCACGTTAGGTACTCTGTGAAAGGAAAAATGAAAGAAACTTCATTCTCACAGATGTGGCTCAACAGAGTTACAAAATAGTTGTAATGAATCGGTGTAGTCCTGTTTCCAAAACACTTCTCTTCTTCAGTAGTACATTCAGTCCCTTACAATTTTTGTAAAAACATTTTTGAGCAGTCAAGCGTTATTCCAGCACCCACAGATTTATGCCACATCCTCATCTTTTGCCTGAAAAATATTGCTTCCCTTGATTTGGTTCTGGCATAAGATTTACCCGCATAGGTTTTATTTCCAACTCTGTTTGTTTTCTGAGTATGTCTTAGCCACAGCTCGTTTCTCTGTGGTGGGTGAAGTGCTTCATGAATCCAGTGAGTACCTCTAATTAAAATGTTTCTTTCACACATGGATTGTGGTTACATTGAATCATTTGCAGAGCTGTTCATTACCATCGCTCTGTGTCATACAAGAGGCTTATTGTCCTTCTGTATTTATGACACTGTGTAGGATCACAGCATAAGAAACCTGCCTATCTACTAAAATATTGATATTTGGGCTTCCAATTGCTGTGTCACATGTAAAGTTGTCATGATCAGAAAATTCATGTACCCCAAGAATCCCCTGGACCAAAAGATGTTTCATTTAATTTCATTCTCACTGAGGAAACAAAAGGCCTTTCCTGGATACGTTTTACCTCACCTCCTGCCACTGTATTATGTCATTCAGTGTGTGTTTTGAGGTTTCATGCAAATGGGAGCCAGCTGATCTCAGGAAGCGCTTTTCAAGAGGTGAGTGGCCTTGGAAGGCTGCCTGCCCTCAGCCTGGCTTCCTTGTCTATAGAATTGGGGCAATAAGTGTTTTCTTCATAGTGCTGTTGAGAGGGTTACACGAGAAAATTTATGTAAAATTCTTATCAGTGCCTGGCAAAAGGTCAGTGTCCAGAAAGTACTTGCTGCTGTTAACCTCTGTATTTTATCATTGGAAATAATGGATGGAAAAGAGACTCAGTCATTATAATTTCCCTTATCCATTTAATCTAAACAGCAGGCAGACAGGAGTTCTGAAGAGTGGATCCTCAGAAACCCTTTGATATTAAATCAGTCCTGAATTAAAAATAGCAAAATAAGCAAAGATGGTTTTGGAAACACCTGTGAGATTAGAGGGAATTTGAGGATGCCCTAAACCATGTGTGAATGGGAGTTGTCTTTGGCAGCCTAGTGAAATAAATAGCAAAACCTTAGTCAGAAAAATCAGTTTGGAATCTCAGCACTGAGGCTCCGTGGCTGTCCTGGCAAAGTGCTCTCTACCTGTCATGGTTTCCTCAATAAAAAAATGGAGATTTCAATAAAATATGGATGCACCTTGGTCCGTTATTGTAAATGGTTTATGTAACAGTTGTGTTTTGTAAATAGTGACACACTGTGTAAATGTTAGGGTTACCCTCACCCAGTGGTTCCCAAAGTGGGGTGCCCTGGACCAGCAGCAGCAGCCTGACCTGGGAACCTGTTAGGAGTGCACATTCCCAGGCCCCACGCCACCCCTTACAGCAGCAACTGCACGGGAATACTTTTCAAATAAGCATGTGCTTGTGGCAGAAGAAAATAAAATGTAGACATTTGATTTCTCCACTTTCCTTAAAAATTCAGCTGACCCTTGAACAACATGGGTTTGAAATGCACGGGTCCACTTATACATGATTTTTTTTCAACAAATATATTAACATTTTTGGAGATTTTCAACAACTTGAAAAAACTCACAGATGAACCACATAGCCTAAAAGTATAAGAAAATTAAAAACATATGTCATGAATGCATAAACTATATGTAGATACTAGTCTGTTTTATCCTTGACTATCATAAAATATACACACATCTTTTTAAAAAGTTAAAATTTATTAGAATGTATGCACATTCTCAGTCAAGAGAAATATAAACAAATGCAGAAATGCTGTATGAAATCATCACTTCATAAACTCAACTGTAGTCCCTCCAGCACTCCTGTCCTCATTTCATCACCCCTGCTCTTGCTGTTGTGGTGAGCTCAGGAGTTACAAGTATCCCTTAAAATGCTGTGTGATGCTCATCGCCTCTGCATGAGCTGTTCGTCTCTCCAGTAAATTGTGTGTTACCGTAAAAGGCGGTCTCTTATAGCTCTCGTGTATTTTTCATTGTGTTTAATGCAATACTGTAAACCTTGAATTACACCATGGGGCCCATAGGAAGTGCCCCTGGAGATGCTGAACCTTCTCCCAAGAAGCAGGGAAAGCCACGGCTTTACAGAAAAAGCTGAATTGCTTGGTATGTACCATAGACTGGCAGTCGCTGCCATTTCAGGATAAATGAATCCAGTGTAAGAAATAGTGTAAAAAAAGAAAAGGAAACTCATGGAGACATGGCTGCAGCTATGCCAGCAGGCACGAAAACCTTGCACGTTTTGTTAAATCCTTTTTAATCTCATTGCAAATGCAGCTTTTATGTGGGTACAGGATTGTTATGAGAAAGGCATACTGTAGATTCTAATATGATTCAAGAAAAAGTGAAGTCATTATCTGACAAAGCAAAGGGAAGGTGAAGGATGGCTTGATAATTTTAGAAGAGGTTTGGCTTAAAAAGTTCAAGATAACAGGAGAAGCAGCTTCTGCTGACCAAGAGGCAGCAGCTGAGTTCCCAGACATCATTAAGGAAATCATTGAGGGCCGGGCGCAGTGGCTCACACCTGTAATCCCAGCACTTTGGGAGGCCAAGGCGGGTGGATCACCTGAGGTCAAGAGTTCGAGACCAGCCTGGCTAACATGGTGAAACCCCGTCTCTATTAAAAATACAAAAACTAGCCGCGTGTGGTGCTAGGCACCTGTAATCCAAACTACTTGAGAGACTGAGGCAGGAGAATCGCTTGAGCCCAGGAGGTGGAGGTTGTAGTGAGCTGAGATTGCACCACTGCACTCCAGCCTGGGCGACAGAGCAAGATGCTGTCTTTAAAAAAAAAAAAAAAAAAAAAGAAAATCCTTGAGGAGAAAGGATATCTTCCTGAACAGGTTTTTAGTGCAGATGTAAGTGCCCAATTCTTAGGGAAAAACATGCCACAAAGGACATTTATTGGTAAGGAAGAGAAGGAACACCAGACTTAAGGCAGGAAGGGATAGGTCAACTCTACTGGTTTGTGCAAATGCAGCTGAGCTTGTGATCGGGGCTGTCCTTATCCATAAAACTGAGCCTTGGAGGGAAAAAAACACCACCTGCCAATCTTTTCATTGTTCACCAAGAAAGCAGGACAGTGAGAACGTTTTCCTGGATTGGTTCCATTGATACTTTGTCCCTGAAGTCAGGAAGCGACTGCCTTTTTTTTTTTTTTTTTTTTTTTTTTTGAGACAGAGTCTAGCTGTGTCGCCAGGCTGGAGTGCAGTAGTGCAATCTCAGCCCACTGCAACCACTGCCTCCTGGGTTCAAGCAATTCTCCTGCCTCAGCCTCCTGAGTAGCTGTGATTACAGGCACGTGCCACCACGCCCAGCTAATTTTTGAATTTTTAGTAGAGACGGGGTTTCACCATGTTGGCAAGGATGGCCTCGATCTCATGATCCGCCCACCTTGGCCTCCCAAAGTGCTGGGATTACAGGCGTGAGCCACCGTGCCCGGCCATGACTGCCTTTTAAAGTTCTTTTGATATTGGACAATGCCCCTGGCCACCCAGAACCCAATGAGTTTAACACCAAAGGCGTCAAAGTGGTCTTGCCCCCAAACATCTGTCATCCAGCCTCTAGATCAGAGGGTCATTACACATGGAACCCTATGGAAAGGGTTGTCAATGCTATGGAAGATAACTTTGATAGAGAGAGCATCATGAAAATCTGGAAAGATTGCACCATTGAAGAGGCCATTACTGTTATAGGAAAAGCCATGCGGGCCATCAACCCTGAAACAATTCCCACTGGAGAGAACTGTCCAGAGTTGTGCATGACCTCACGGGATTTATGACAGGGCCAATCAAGGAAATCATGAAAGAGATCGTGGATATGGCAAAAATGGTTTCAAGCTATGGATCTTGGAGAAATTCAAGAGCTAACAGACACCACACCAGAGGAGTGCTTCAAACCAATGCCAGACAGTGAGGAAGAAGACATGGAAGAAGCAGTGCCAGGAAACAAATTGACATTAAACAATCTGGAAGAAGGGTTCTGATGACTCAATGCTTTTGATGTCTTTCACGACACGGATCCTTCTATGATATAGGCACTGAAACGAAAGCAAATGGTAGGAGAAGGATTGGTACCATATGGAAAAATGTTTAGAGAAATGAAAAAGCAAAAATGTCAGGCAGAAAATACGACGTATTTCTGTAAAGTTACACCGAGTGAGCCTGCCTCTGCTGCCTCCCCTTCCACCTCCTCCACCTCTTCTGCCTCGGCCACCGCTGAGACGGCAAAACCAACCCCTGCTACTCCTCCTCCCCAGCCCACTCAACATGAAGTCAATGAGGATGAAGTCCTCTATGATGCCACTCAGTGAATAGTGAATATATTTTCTCTTCCTTATAATTTTTTAAATATCATTTTCTTTTCTTTAGCTTACTGTATTGTAAGAATAAAGTATTAATACATATAGCATATGAAATATATGGTAATTGATTGTTTATGTTATTGGTAAGGATTCTGGTCAACAGTAGGTTATGAGTAAAGTTTTTGGAGAGTCAAAAGCTTCATGTGGATTTTTGACTGCTTGGAGGGCCAGCACCTCTAGCCACCATGTTGCTCAAGGGTCGACTGTATATCAGACATTTATTTGTAGACTTTACTTCAAAACCTGCTTAGTCATTGACAGAATCATTGGGAAGGCCTACATCTGAAGGACTCATTCTTACATTAAAATAGTTCTTTTAGGTGATTATTTTATTTGCTGAGCCGAAGCTCTTTAGTTTGATGCAGTCCCATTTATTTACTTTTGTAGCCTGAGCTTTTCTTCTGACGTTCAAAATATTATTGCCAAGGTCAATATTGAGGTGCTTTTCCACTATGTTCTCTTCTAGGAGTTTTATGATTTTAGGCCTTTCATCCATTTTGAGTTGATTTTTATGTATGGTAAAATAAAGGTCCAATTTCATTCTTTTGTGTGCAGAAATCCAGTTTTCCTAACACCATTTATTAAAGAGATTATCCTTTCCTCATTGTGTCCTCTTGATGGCCTTATTGAAAATTAGTTGTCCATATACATTTAGATTTATTTCTGAGCTCTATACTCTGTCTAATTGGTCTGTGTTTGTGTTTTTTGGCAGTACCACATTGTTTTAGTTATTATAGCTTTGTAATATAATCTTAAATCAAGTGTGATGCCTCCAACTTTATTTTTCTTAAGTGAAAAAGCAACCTATGGACTGGGAAAAATTATTTGCAAACCACATACCTGATAAGGGTTTAATATCCAAAATTTATAAAGAACTCTTGCAACTCAATAGCAGAAAAACAAATGACCTGATTAAAAAATGAGTAAAGGACCTGGATAGACATTTCTCCAAAGACAATATAAAAATGGCCAAAAAGCTATACGAAAAGGTGCTCCACATCACTAATCATAAGGGAAATGCAAATTGAAACCACTGAGCTAGCACCTCATACCTGTAAGGATGGCTGTTATCAAAAAGACAAGAGATAGCAAATGTTGTGAGGGTGTGAAACAAGGGAACCCTGTGCACTGTTGGTGGGAATGTAGGTTGGTGCAGCCATCTGGAAAACAGTATAGAGAACAGTGACAGTAGAACTATAGTATGACCCAGCAGTCCTTCTGGTATATGCTCAAAGGAGAGGCAATCAGCACCACTTAAAGTCACCTGCCCTCCCATGTTCATTAGCATTAGTCACAACAGCCAAGCTATAGAAACAACCTAAAAGCTCATCAATGAACAAATTAATAAAAAATATGATATAGGAGTGTGTGTGCCTATGTCTGTACACACATGTACACACAACGGTATAGCCTGCCATTTGCCACAGTGTGGATGGACCTGGAGGACATTATGTTAAGTGAAATAAACCAGACACAAAAAGAAAAAGACTGCAGGATCTCACTTCTGTGTGAAATCTGTATCTTAACAAGAGCTCAAAGACACAAGATAGATGATGGAAGGAAGTGTGGTTAACAGGGTAGACATAGGCGGGGAGGGGGAGATGTGGGTCAAAGGATACGAAACAGCAGCTGCGAGGATGGAGAAGTCCAGGTATCTAACGTGCAACATGAGTGCTCAAGTTAGTAAAACCATGGTGTATTAGGGATTTTCCTGAACTACATAGATTTTAGCTGTTCTTGTCACAAATACAAGTAGCGATGTGAGATGATAGATATGAGAGTCCACCTCTCCACAGTAACTAGTACTATTATCTTCATATCTGTAGGCATGGATCCCATAAAATCATATTGCAAACTTCAAATATACACAATACGCTTCATTTTTTAAAAATAGTAGGTTTTTGCGGGAAAAAGGAATTGTCTTTGACACCTTCCTCCTGCTGCAATGTGACGTTGCTCTTTATTACTAGTAGGCTTTCAGAAAATATTTGTTGATACACTTTGTTACTTAATGATTATCTCATCTCTCAATTCCATCAGAATGGTATCTGATAACAGATTTTGTCTCCAAAATAAACTATTTGATGGCAATTCTGGATATATATCCAGAATTTTATGTGTGTGTGTGTGTGTGTGTGTGTGTGTATATATACATATATATATATATATGTATATATACACACACACACACACAATTAAAGAGGAACTTATTTATCAACAGCTATAAAAAATCTAAGTATTTGAATTGCTCAAATTCTAAGCTGATGAGTAGGAAGCAAAGCATAGTGTATGTACCTATCTCCTACCTCAAGTTTATGGGGGAGGACAATAGAGCATCTTTTTTTTTTTTTTTTTTCCATTCAATTTGGAACTTCAAGGTAAGGTTGAATTACAGAATCTATACTCCTTCCTTAAAATTAGTCATCAATCATGAGCACATATTTAAAACTGTTCACAGGGTACTATAGAGGTTTTTGATAGTAAATAGAAAGTATGACATAAGTTCACTAAGATGTTAAAAATCTACAAGAGAGAAGGGGAAAAGATGCCTATTTTATAAAGTTAGTTCCCCAGCTTGGATGATGTTTTGTCAGGCATCTTGGTTGTTGCTGTTGTATCTGATCAACTACACTAATCTATAGATGGTCCCTCTGCTCTGCCTAGCTTACAGGTGATTCCTGACTCTGAGTTAACATGGCACACCTGCTCATCTTGTCTTGTAGGCTTACGTGTATGAAATGGGCTCAAGCACGTTTTCTCACCGGCTGGCTGGGCACACAGACACTGTCACTGGAGTGGCCTTCAACCCATCAGCGCCCCAGGTACAGTCTTGCTGAGTGGGTGGGGCGCCTCTGCTGCATACAAGTCTTACATTATATTTTTGTATCTTTATGACTTTATTTTGGTGAAATCTTATAATACTTAAGGTTACATGCCAGTGTTCACTGAGTGCAAGGAGAACTTAGGAAATATATTTTTATTGGCGAGAGAGAGAGAAATAAACCTTTATTGTGGAGAAATGAATCTGGAAAAGTTTCTTTTATAATGAAGGTGTTTGCCACTCAGCAGTCATGCATGTTTGATTGAATGAAACAGGAACGTATGGGAAGACCTGTGGACAAATACGGTTACATGTAGACAAATACGGTTACATGGGGCACTAACATGAACACCAGTGCCAGCAAGAAAGCAAGCAGCAGAGCAAGTAAGAACGGGATTTTGAAAATTCTTATGGAAAAAAGTCTGCAGCATTTCCAGAAACTTTCTTAATTAGAAGAAAACATGAAAATAACCGTTGCAAATCAATTGTATATAAAAATGAATGGTCTTCTATTAAAATGTAGAGGGAGATTTTTTGCAAAGGATTAAAAATATTAGGTATTGGCCAGGCGCAGTGGCTCACACCTGTAATCCCAGCACTTTGGGAGGCCGAGGCGGGTGAATCACCTGAGGTCAGGAGTCCAAGACCAGCCTGGCCAACATGGCGAAACGCCATCTCTACTAAAAAATACAAAAATGAGCCGACCATGGTGGTGGGCGCGTATAATCCCAGCTACTTGGGAGGCTGAGGCAGGAGAATCGCTTGAACCTGGGAGGCGGCGGTTGCAGTGAGTCGAGACCATGCCACTACACTCCAGCCTGGGCAACAAAATGAGACTCTGTCTCAAAAAAAATAAAAAATAAATATCAGGTATTAGTTATCTCCAGTGTTTGGGAATAATTTCATTTTGTCTCTTTAAGATTGAGACTTTGATTCAGAGAATAGCGTCACTGTGTGACTGTGTGCTCTGGCCTAGCGCGTGTGACCAGGTGGAACGGCACTCCACACGTGTCTTGTGACCCGCTCTTCTCTGCTATAGGACGTATCGCCGTGGTTCAGGGCATGTTGCCGTGCCTGGCACACGCGGTACTACCGCTGTATATTGAATAATATTGAATATTGGAAATGAGTAAGTGCATCTTGTGCTGTCATGGACCAGAGCTTCCATCAGCATCACCGCTGAATTCCATCCTTGGCCCTAATTCATCTTTTCAGTCTGCTCCAGATGGGAATTTGAATTTATGTTTTCCTTCCCTATTATAAATAATACTGCGACATACGTCCTGATGATGCTTCACTCTTTCCATGATGAGACTGCCATATACACTGTAACGGACCTGCTTTTCTTGATAATATTTGTGCCATCACCTATTCCACATTTGTAAAACGTATTGTTTTGAGTTGTTGTAATCTTTTATAATCCTTTGAATAGCATTTGGGCAGTGAGATGGAGGGGTGGTCAGAAAGAAAGAAAAATGAAAAGTGCAAAGCTAGACCCAGCAGGGTGGGCGGTGGGGAGAGGTGTAGTGATTTATGGGGGGAGTCAGATGTTAGCTGTCCTGACACTTCAGTATTTGGCATCAAAATGTCTTTCAGCCTGACTGACAGAATGTTTTTGAATACTTGAAACTTTTCAGTGAGAAAAAGGTTGGGTAGGTCTCTCTTGCCCTTGAGATTAATGAATAAAAGAAGCAAATATGGCGTAAATATAGTTATACAAAATAAAGAGGAAAAAGCAACAAGTTGTAGTTGTCATGAACCTTGCTTCCTGACGAAGGGCCGCTAAAGAACAGGCAGCGAGAAACCAGTTATGTATACGTATACATCACACTGATTCATTAAGGATAATGATATCATATACCGAATTTATATATATATATATGTATATATATATATATATATAAAATTCACTAAGTTCCTTATTTTTAAAAATTTCCTTATTTTTAAAAATTTGGCTGGTTCCTTATTTTTAAAAATTTCCTTTCTTTACTGATATTAGTCCACTTTCTTCCACATATATCACCTCACTACCGTTCTGTTTCCCAGCATTATAAATCAAACAACTGGAAGTAGTTTTTATTTTCATACATAGTATTAAAATAATTACTTACCATGACTACAGTAACTCTTAAAATATGTTTTCTGATCACTTAAATTTTCTCAGGATTGGACAATGTTGGTAATTATTGAAGAGACAGTTAACCACATAAAACTGTGTAAAATTAAGATTTGGAAATAACCACAGGCAGGACAAGTTTTTGTTAAAAGTAAACATGATAAAGAAGCACGTGGGATGGTGGGACAGGACACCGAAAATCTTCTCCTTCACAAAGGCAATGAAAACAGTCACAGAAATTGTCAAAACCAGCTTTCTTAGAACTCTGAAAATTAACCAGAGGCTTGCAACAATCCAAAGAGCATGTATGCAAGAAAAATGGCCAAGTCTCAGTAAGACAGCAACCTTTGAAGGCTATCCTGCATAATTTAATAAGAAAGGAGAGCTTCACTTTAAAATGAATACCCTTGGTTAGCAAATGAAGTTCTTGTGTGAAGCACAGGTAAACTTGGAGGTGGTGTTTATTTAATACGTGATTCCATTTAGCGGTATATGAGGGTGCTGCTGTTTTGAAGGAAAGATAGTATGCTCCTAAGCATGGTTTATTTTGTTTATGATATAAAAACATACACACAAGGAAAACATGGGAACAAGTGTGGTCAAATATTGGAAGTCTGTGCCACAAACACCAACAGCATTTCCCCTAATGACTGGATCTGGTAATGAGAGAATGCTGGAGCTGTGAAAATCGGGGAGTGAAACGGTGAGAGCATAGCTCACACTTGGGGGATTGCTACTTTCTTTATTGACTATGATCAACTGTTCAGAATTTTACAGGACAAGTCCAGACCTGATGCAGGAAATCCCAAAATTGGGGCTTAGCCCAGCAGGGTTCTTGGCTTTGCTCAGGAAAGAATTCAAGAGTGAGGTGGCAGTGAAAGAGCAGGTTTTTTCGAGCAAAGTGTGTAGCAGAACGGTAGCTGCACAGGCAGAGTGGCCCCGAACAGCACGCATTGGTTGCTGGTGAGCATAGTTATACCCACTCTTAATTATATGCTACATAAGGGGTGGGCTATTCATGAGCTTTCTGGAAAAGGGGTGGGAGTTCCGGAACCACATAAGGTCACTTCTGGGTTGTTTCCATGCATTTGTAATCTGTCATGGTACCAGTGGGAGTGTCTTATGCAGATGAATTATAATTAGTGCATAATGAGTAATGAGGGCAACCAGAGATGGCTTCAGCACCATCTTGGCCCCAGCTGGTTTGGGCCAGTTCCTGTGCTACATCCTGTTTTGATCAGCAGGGTCATGACCCAGGCTCTGGAAACAAGCCTTGCTGACCCCTGCCTCAGACCCCCTAATTTCTCATTTCTGATGGGTACTTGGTAGTTCTTTCTCACTCTCTATAAATTTAACTTAAAACATATATCTTATGATAAATACATTTTTAGCTCCACAGTCATTACTGCTACTTTGAAGTGGGCTGTTTTGACAAATGGCTTAAGGCTCTCTCTTCTACCTCCACATTACAGCCTCATCAAATGATCAGACCTTTCATCTATGACTTAAGCAAGTTTTTCTTGATAAAATGCAAAGCTGGTCATTGCAGGATGACACCAGGAGTAAGCGGGTTTTGGGAATGGCCAGTTCACTATTGACTGTTGTTAACCTGGTGGAGAAATGTCACAGAAGCATGTCTGGTGCCACTGACACCAAGCCTGCGACGGTCTTTGCAATCAGGAGGAGAAACTCATGGAAATCGGCTCAGCCAGGAGGCAGACTCTGGCTGCTGCCGTGTACCTAGGGTGCTGGTGAGAGACCTTACATAAGGAACCTGGAGTGTGATGACGTCTACGGCAGCTCCCACACTTCTTACTCCTTCATAACACAGGTGTCTATCAGGCTGTAGACATCTTGATCTCCCTGAGTCTCTCAGATACAGAATGGTCATTAATAGCATTAGTCCTGTGTATTTTACAAGGTTGCTTGGGAACAAATGATGCCGTATAAAATAATAACCAAAGCTACTGTTGAGCGTCCCCCAAGAGCGAGGAGCTGTTTGAGGGTCTTTCCTCGTTATCGAGTTCTTGTCCGCAGCTTTGTTTGCAGATGTTAGTGCAGCTGTGTCTCAGATGAGTGATCCAGACAGATCAATTTATATGCAGTTCAGAGTTTGCACCAGCATCCCCACGGCTTCCAAGCCCATGCACTTTCGCCCCCCTGGGAGCTTCTATGTAGGAAATCTATTAAGTGCTGCACACAATTGTAATAAGATAAAATACCTTGTTCCTGCCATTCGTATTTAAATATTTATTTTAAAGTTCTTTTTGAAATTGGAAAAAAAACCCAATCTAGATAGACTTGCCATTCATCCAAAACCTAGGCCGTGTTTGCAAGTGCTTCCACGCTGAAACAACTTTCTGGCCTCTCACATTCATAAGAGGACTTTCTGGAAGATAAGCCCGTGCCATTGTTTTTATATCCCAAACGGCAGCCCACATGGTCGCTATGGATAAGAAAGTAAACTTTATGCTGACCTCTCACCTAACGCACCGTGTGGGCGCCGTTATTCCAGGACCATGTCACACTTTCACAGTTGGAGAGCGCCTTACAGCTTGAAATCTCAGAAGGACCTGCGTTTCCCCACTAAGCATGCTCCAGGGTCAGCACTGCGGAGCGATGACACCAACCTCCCAGTAGGAGGATAAAACACACATTAGAGAAACGCGTTTCCAGAATAGGGGAATCAATGGGTGAAGATGGTTGGGGAGAGAGAGAGACGGATGGAATTTTTTTATGTGAATTGGCTCACTCAGTTGTGGAGGCTGAGAAGTCTCAAGATCTGCTGTCTGCAAGCTGGAGCCCAGGAAAGCTGGTGGCTTGTGCCAGCCTGAGTCCAAAGGCCTGAGAATGGGGTAAGAGTTGGAGGGTACAGGTCTAAGTCCTAGCCCAAGGGGAGGAGACCAGTGTCCCAGCGCAAACCGGCAGAAACGCAAATGGTTTAAAAGCTGCTGCGGCGAATGTCTTGGAGGGACGCTTGGACGCTTCCCGTCGCCGCTGTAACGAACCACTCCCATGGGCCGCGGAGGAAAAGGCCGGTTTCCCGACTGCAGTTCCGTGGTGGGGAGGCTGCGGGGCTCACGGGCTAAGCTCCCCACGCAGGGCCGGTTCTTGGCCTTTTCTGGCTTCCGGAGGCGCCGTCGTCCTGCTTCGGGGCCGAGTTCGTCTCCCGTTGCTCACTCCGACCATCTCCCCGCCCGTCCTCCACGTGTGGACCCTTTGTCCTTATCCTGCCCGCTGTGGTTACACCTGGGACATCCAGAACCATCTCCCCGTCTCCAGGCCCCCGACGCAGCCATACCCGCCAAGTCCCCTTTCCCTGTGGGCGAATCTGTGGCCGCCCGTTCGCAGATGCCCGGACCGTGGTGTGGACATCGGGGGGCGCCATTCCTGGCTCGGCGCGGACGCCCCCTCCTCGGCGCGGGCCTGCCCGGACCCCGCCCTCAGCCACCACCTCCGCGTCCCATTCCCACTTTCCCAGGTTGCCCCTGGTGCCCTCGCAGCACCCACCCGGCAGAAAATCACCTGTGGACTGAGCCGGCGAGTTGGTGCGTCTTTCCGTGGGCGCAGGGGTCTCGTCTCCCCATCACCGCTGGCGTCCCTCTTGTGGCCCACGTAACTCTTTTTTTTTTTTCCTTTTCTTTTTGAGCATATTTGAGAGGATCCTTCTTCCTTGCTACCAATTAAGCCAGTTTACATTCACATAAAATACATAATCGCTGTATGATTCACGAATGTATAATTACTTAACTGTGATTTTCATAATTCTGTCTGTGCTAATTATAAACACACTCTTGAGGAAAGTTACCATCTTTCTTTCTTCGTTTCCTCTATTAAGAAAGTACCCTGTAAAGTACTTGGTACATTTTGAAAGATCCGTGAGTTCCAGTCTTGAAAAATAATTTCTTTCCTTTTCCTTTTCCTTTTTTTTCTTTTCTTGTCTTTTTTTTTTTTGTGAGAAAGGGTCTCACTCTTGCCCAGGCTAGAGTACAGTGATGCAATCACAGCTCAGTGCAGCCTCGAACTCCTGGGTTCAAGCAATCCTCCTGCCTCAACCTCCTAAGTAGCTGATACTACAGGCATGCACCACCCCACCTGGCTCATGTTTTAATTTTTATTTTTAATAGAGATGGGGTCTCACTATTTTGCCCAGGCTGGTCTCAAACTCCTGCCCTCAAGCAATCCTCCCACCTCAGCCTCCCAAAGTGCTGGGACTACAGGTCTATATGCCACCATGCCTGGTCTGAAAAATAATTTATTTTATGGTAATCTTCATCTTTGAGTTTTGTTATATGACAGAATTTCCCGAATACCAGAGGCTTTCCCTGACACTCATGGAAGGTCATCCAATTCTGTCTGGCATCCCCTTCATCTCGGAGCATGGCCGACTGGTGAAGTCCCACCAGACCTGCTGGCTGCCATGGGGCAAGGTGGAGGCTGGCCACCATCCCATACCCCATGGTCATGCCCACCATGAGGCCCAGCCCAGCCCAGCAGAGTGGATAGTGAGTCCCCTGAGGGTGGGTGGACACAGAGAAGGAATATTTCCAAACATGAACACACTCTACCACATTTCATGTTGTAATGTTATTGAATTTTAGGAGTGGTGTTCATCTGGTGCTGTCTCTGTCTATAGAAGTATCTAAAGCAGGCCCGTTACTCCAAAAGCTTTGCAGTATGCAGTTTTTCCAGTCATGGTTATCAGACACGTCTCTGAAATAGCAACGCTTCTTCAGGAACGCATGGCAGATGGGCTTAGAAGCCTTCATTTTGCAGGAAAACATTTATTTGATTTTAAGATACACGTTATCCCTTCACTAACATTTGTGAAATTGTTGAACCTTAAAATATTCATCCTTCCTTTTTAAAGTAGCATGTTCTTTCTCTGTTCTGTTAAATCTCTGGTGCACCCTACACATAATGTTGTTTAAAATCATGCCCATAAAATGAAACATGTGACTCAAGCTTTTGTTTTAAGAAAATCTATTAGATGGTGCATCAAAATAATGATTTGAAATTTTTATTTTAGGAAAAGACCCTTCTAAGTTCCAGCCCAGGCATATTAACATGTAAAGTGCATGTGTTGGCCTAGAGAGCGGGCTGCGTTATTGAGGAGAGTAGGATGTTAGCTCACACAGGGCAGCCCCTCCCACCAGACAGGAAACTCAGGCTGCCTGCCTTCAACAGCTCAGGATCAGTGTTGGGAGCGATAAGACCAACCTCCCAGTAGGAGGATAAAACACATGTTACAGAAACACGTTTGCAGAGAAACGGAATCAGTAGGTGATGGTGGGTGGATGGATGGATGGATGGATGGATGGATGGATGGAGAGAGGGAGGGATGGATGGATGGAGAGAGAGAGAGGGAGGGAGGGATGGATGGATGGAGAGAGAGAGAGGGAGGGAGGGATGGATGGATGGAGAGAGGGAGGGAGGGAGGGATGGATGGAGAGAGAGGGAAGGAGGGATGGATGGATGGATAGAGAGGGAGAGAGATGGATGGATGGATGGGTGGATGGATGGATGAAATTTTTTATGTGAATTGGCTCATGCAGTTGTGGAGGCCGAGAAGTCCCAAGATCTGCTGTCTGCAAGCTGGAGCCCCAGGATAGCTGGTGGTGGTGTTCCCGCCTGAGTCCAAAGGCCTGAGAATGGGGGAAGAATTGGGGGGTACTGGTTTAAGTCCCAGCCCAAGGGCAGGAGAACACTAGTGTCCCAGCTCAAAGAGGCAGATAGACAAATACCAGGGTGAAGTCCCCTCCTCTGCCTTTCTGTCCTGTTCAGGCAGGATTCGATGGATTGCATGATGCCCACCCATGCTCCCTGCTTCCTCCCTTTCATCTCATGCCTTTGAGTGACTTCCCTGATCTGAATACGTGCCTGCAGAGATAAGCTATTGGCCTTCTAGCTCTCCTTTCCTGGATGTGTGGCTGGCCTGGCCCCTCCACAGTGGCTTCTGTGGTGTCGGGACTGAGGGTGAGAGCACTGGGCTGTGAGAAAGGGTTGGGGACAGGGCGCCGGCCCCCACCACACACTCACCGAGTCCTGGAAGCTGGCACCCTCTCCATGACTTCAGGCTCATGAACGCACTTCGTGAAAGATCTGGCACTGCAGGATGAGCTTCCCACCTCTCGCTGGGACCGAGGCTGGCACGTTCTGGGAACCCTGCTTTCGAGTGTGTCACCTGGGGCGGATGTGGCACTCACCGATCTTGTTTCAGGGAACTCACATCACTTTTGAAAAGCGGGAGACAGATTCCATGACTTGTTTTTGTTTTGTTTTAATACATTTTAATTGTGAGAACGATTATCCCCTTTCCAAAACTAAAGTTTTGAGCCTCTCAGAGTAAATTTCTAGATACGCTTAAAAAAAAGTAATGTTTTTCATCACTGTTACTGCTCAGTTGTCAAAATAAGACTTGTGAGTCTTTGGGAAGAAGAGGATTATACTTGTACTTACAAAATTATTCTAACAATGCCTGTGGCTAAGAGGACCCTCAAAATGAGTAAGGAACTGTAACAGCTCACAAGGGACCACAGGCTCTGCAGAGTGGCTTCGGAATCCAAGACTCTGAAGCACACCTGGGTGTCCTGCCAGGAACTGCAGCTGCGCGCCACATGCGCCCTGTCAGATGTGACTTAGGGATGCGTTGTCAGCTTCAGTTTGTTGGACATCTGAGGACAGTGGTATATTTGCCATAAGATATCAGTGTAGCTGTTTAACTGCTTAGGATGGGAACACAAATTCAAGAAGCTCCATAGTTAAATTATCCTGGCTGAGATGGTAGCCAAGCAAGACTTATTTCCAGCAAAAAACTAGCAAGGCAGAAGTATCTCAAACCACAGATGCAAAAGACGAAAGAAAGCTGTGATGTAACTGATGGGTCCCTGAGTGTGAAAGTGTGGGCTGCAGAGGGAGCCTACTGTTCACACAGGGAGTTCAGGAAGAACAGGAAGCGTGCAGGTTAAGTATGGAGAAAGCTGCTTCACACGCGGATACACAGAGATATAATTTATTGGAATGGATAGCAGAGTCACAAATATCACATTACCTTATATTATCAAATTGATTTTATATTACTATCGCAATCATCAATTTTCTATTGTCAGTTGTAAAATAGTTACAGTCATCCCTCGGTCTACATGGGGGATTGGTTCCAGGTCCCCCGTGTGCTCCCAAATCCTCACACACTCAAGTCCTACAGAACCCACATAGTCTGCCCTCCATTTGCCTGGGTTTCACATCCTGGGGGGCTGTATTTTTGATCCGAGTTTGGTTGAAAAATAATCCATCTATAAGTGGACTTGCACAGTTCAAACCCTTGTTCAGGGGTCAACTGTAATGAAATAAAAGAGGATTAATGTAAGATGATATAAAAACTTTTCATATTGTATTGGGTAGTTGGGCTTTATTTTCAATTTTGCATTTCTCAGTTGTGCAGGATTTATCATAAGACTTGCTTTGGTCTTTCCAGCTATACTGAGTTACATCTAAACCATGTCAGTACTGTTACCCTAGAACACAATGTAGAAACTTGGGGGGTTCTCGGAGAGTTTCAGTGAAAGACAAGACACAGACGAAGGCGGAGGTCTGCGTGCAGAGCCCAGGTGCACCCCGGGAGGCTCGGGCTGCAACACAACCTCCTGGGAAGGGAAGAAAGCAGGAGTGCGGAGGGAAGGTCTGCAGGGTGGCGTGGGGACGGCTCTGTTTTGGGGGCTGGTATGCGGCGCATTGACACATGCAGGAAAGGCAGAAACAGACATTTGCAAACTGATTTATCTATAAGTAGTTATATCATGTAGAGTGGACATTGACATGGTTTTCAATATTTTGGTACTATAAGTAGTGTTTTGATGTATGTCTTTGGGCATAAAATGTTTTTTGTATCTGGGTTTATTTTCTCAAGATAGATTACTTTCTCAACAAGTAGTATTACTGAGAAAAATAAACTTTTAAAGGGTTCTGCTATAGACAAATGCTTCTCAAAGTGTTTCCTCTTGTTTGCTTCCTCACCAGCTTTGGTTGTTCACACTTGCATTACGTTTGTTAATTATCAAGAAACAGTAACTCCCGATTTTAATTTACTGCTCTTTGAATACTAATGAGATTGCACATTGTCCCACAGGCTACTAGGTATTGGAATTCTTCTAATTTTTTTTTTTTTTTTTTTTTTTTTTGAGATGGAGTCTCGCTCTGTCGCCCACGCTGGAGTGCAGTGGCACGATCTCGGTTCACTGCAACCTCCGCCTTCCAGGTTCAAGCAATTCTTCTGCCTCAGCCTCCCGAGTAGCTGGGATTACAGGTACCCACCACCACACCCAGCTAATTTTTGTATTTTTAGTAGAGACGGGGTTTCACCATGTTGGCCAGGATGGGATGGTCTCGATCTCTTGATCTCGTGATCTGCCCACCTCGGCCTCCCAAAATGCTGGGATTACCGGCGTGAGCCACCACGCCCGGCCCAGAATTCTTTTAATTTTTAAATTGCATGTTTATATCCTTCATCTCTTTATACTTCAGACTCAATGTTTTACCTAATGATTGCTGTAGCTTTTAATTTAAAACTAAAATTTTCATCTTTGTATTTACACTATATGTTTCCTCTAGATTTGGTTTGGCTTTTTGTGTTTTGTTTTCTTTTTCCAGTTTGATTTATTCTGATTACCTTAGGCCTAGAAAATTTTTCCTCCAGAGATCTGTGTCTCTGCTGAAATTACAGAACTTTTAACATATTATAATAATTTTTAATTCCTGACTGACAGTGCCAATATCTGGGTTATTTCTGAATATAGTTCTGTTAATTGCTCTGTCGAGAGACAGTTGATCTCCCTCCAAACCTCCCCTGCTCTTTGGTGTGTGTTGTAGTTTTTTGTTTGTTTGTTTTAGACAGGGTCTTGCTCTGTCACCCAGGCTGGAGTCCAGTGGTGTGATCACGGCTGACTACAGCCTCAAACCCCCTGGCTCCAGTGATGCTCCCACCTCAGCTTCCTGAGTTGCTCGGACTGGCAGTCTCAAGCCACCACCCCCGACTAATTATTTATTTATTTATTGTTTGTATTAAGATGGAGTCTCACCAGTTTGCCTAGGCTGGCCTTGAACTCCTGGGCTCAAGCGATCCTCCTGCCTCGGCTTCCCAAAGTGCTGGGATTGCAGGTGCGAGCTGCCGCACGTGGCCCAATGCAGTTTTTGAGTGGTTGCTGGGTGTTGAATGTGGAACGTAAATGTTTATGCCAGGATAGCATGGCTCTTTTCCTGCTAATTGCTGGTTTGAGTCCGAAAAGTTGGGAATTCAGCTGCATGTCGTTCACTTTATTAAGACTTTGATGAGAGTGGGGTTATCAGAAGTAATCTGTGTGAGTCATTGTACAAATAGAAATGCAAAGACAGCATTGTTAACTTCTGGGAAACTTTAAATCTCCAGTATTCTTCATTGAGTCATCTTTTTATTTATTTTTTTTTTAATTTTTTTCTGACTAAGGTATGTGGGTGTGAAATTTAAATCTGTTTTATTTAGGCTGTATTACTTTGAGAGTTGTGGTTTAGCTTTGCCAGGGAAAAATGACATAAGCATATACCTGGAGGAAAGGTTACATTCCTTGGTTTTTACATGGGATAAAAACCTGTGATATTTGTGATCACTGTATCCGCTAATTTATAAATTCAGGAGCAAGATTGCACTATTTCTTTCTAAGAACTCATAATTGAAACAGTCTGCTCTGTGGTGATGCTTGTATACAGAGAATACCGGGCAGGGAGTGGGCCTGGCCGAGAGGGCAAGGCTGAGGTGCAGCTCCTGCTGTCCCCTCCTTCCTGGCCGCCACGGGAGACTCCTGGCCTGCGTCCTGTCTTATGAGGAGAGATTTCCTAAATAGAGCTTTTTTCTTTTTTTTTGAAACGGAATTTCGCTCTTGTGGCCCAGGCTGGAGTGCAATGGCACAATCGCAGCTCACTGTGACCTCCGCCTCCCAGGTTTAAGCAATTCTCCTGCCGCAGCCTCCCGAGTAGTTGGGATTACAGGTGCCCGCCACCACGCCTGGCTAATTTTTGTATTTTTAGTAGAGACGAGGTTTCACTATGTTGGCCAGGATAGTCTCCAACTCCTGACCTCAGGTGATCCGCCCGCCTAGGCCTCCCAAAGTGTTGGGATTACAGGCGTGAGCCACTGCACCTGGCCAGTTGAGCTTTTTAAAGATAACAGAAAGGACTGCTGAGAATGAGTAAACCTATGTCCGTAAAGAGAATTGCATGATTTACTGCAAGTATTCCTGGGAGTGAAGCATCACGTACACACTGCTGGTCTCGTGTCCTCCTGAAGATAGCCCCTCACACTTCACAGTGGTTGGAGAAGGTTCTTTTTCTCTCCTGTCTTCCCTCTGGGTCCCACCTGGTCTAGCATTTTCATCTGTGTTGAAATTTGTTTTTCATTTCTGTTTTAGTCCTTGTGTTTGTCCTTGTTGAAAGTTAAGTTGTCAGCTACCCAGGTCTTTCTCGTTGACTAAACCACCCCCCAACCCCATGCTCCATGAAGAGCACCTGTGGTTTCCTTGTGGCCATGAGTGTTGTGGTGGGACCAGCATCAAGCGCAAGAGATCTGCCGAGTCCACGTGGATACACTATGACCCCGCAGACCATGAAGGTAGATGAGGAGGTAATGGCATTCCGTGGTGCCCAATGTGATGGCATCAGGGTTCTTCCTAGCAGCATGGAAGACACTCCTGCCCTCAAGAGGGCTAAGTCCAGTAAAACCCAACCAACAGGAGATAGTTGGGCAGGAAGACTCATTCTGAGTGTAGATGGCTCTGGGTTTTGTGAGAGGGTGAAATCTTTGGTCGTTAAACAATTCTAGCTGCCCTAGAATGGTAACCCCAAGTCACTTCAGACTGGAAAAGATTTTAGTGGCTAGAATTAAATGTAGAGATGGCAAAATACACCAAAGCCACAGCATTAATAGACTTGCATGAATTTAGGAATAACCTGGAATAATTAATATTTAAGGCATTTGCAATGCTTTAAGGATGTTGATATTTTAAAAGATCTGATTCTAATTTGACATCTGTATTGACCTTGGACTTGTGACTTCTTAGTTGAGAAAAAAAGGAAAATATTACTAAGTTTATAAGTATTTAAATTTTTAAGAGAACTTAAAATTCACCATATTTATGTTTGCTTTGTTAGATTTTTAATAATTGATTAAGAACTCAGGACCATCTTACATTTTATTTTTGTCATTTAAGTATTCAAGAAAATCTTATATAGTACATTTAAAATGAAGCTTAACAATTTTAAAATACTTTAACAAAGTTGTAACTTTAACTCATTGCCTGAGGGATTTAATCTGTTCATTGTGAGTTAACTGAACATGAATCAAAGGCTACTTTGCATGTGATTGTTAAAATATACTAGATTTCTAAATGTAATAAAAAATATTAAATAGGATTAAAGGCTTAGAGACTAGGGTTTTAAAACGTTAAGTGTTTAATGAATTGAATTTTAAATTTATAAACATCAAAATAAACCATAAATAATTTTCCTGTGTACAAAACCATCTTGGTGCATCAGAAACTCATGCTGCAGTAGCATCACGGTCCCACGGTTGTGTGTTGGCTGTTTGCTTGCCACTCCAACCTCTGTGCATTCCTGCTGTCTTTGTGGAATTGTTTGCTGCGTTCTCTGTTGATGGAAGAGGGGCTTCAAAGCTTTTGGGTGGGCGGCGTCTCTTCCTCTTGGGAGCGAGCAGGGACAGCAAACCAGGGGCATGCGGCTTCCTTCTAAAACCATATGGCACCACAGCCCTACGATTGATACTGAGACACGGTACCACATCCCACAGAGAAGTTGCACAGGGGTGAGGGGCATGAAATGAAAGAACAACCCATTTCCTCTCAGTTCTGTTTTCTTCTAAGATTTGAAATCTTTAAATAAAACAGCTAAGCATACTGGAAAACAGTGGAGCCTCTATCAGGTGTTGCATGGCCCCTTAATCCATGAGACTGTGAGGTCATCAATCCATCCGTTTCCATCTGTCCTTCAAGAATATGTAGGATTGGAAAGTTGGGTCTTCCCTGTTTGTCAACCAATTAGCTTAATTTTATTTTCTTTGAAAAGAGAAAGTGAGCATTTTAGGGTTTATGTTCTCTTCTTCAGCATTTTGAGAATTTGTTTTCAACTGGGTCTTCTACATCATCCACTTTATTTCCCACAGCTGCAGGTCCCTACTGAGCTTAGTGACTTGAAGTAGTGAGTGCAGTGACTTGAAGAGTGAGCTTGTGTCCTTACTCCCTGGGCATGGCTGTCTCATTTCAGCTGTGCCTTTCCTGTTGGCTCCTACAGATTCTTGCTTATTTTTCATGGAAGACATGTACTAGATGTGGAGCAAGTATGTTATAAGAAATGTTTTTTTTCCTTCAGAAGTGGTTTTCAGTGTTTTTTTACTTTGAAACCCTTTGTCCAAATGGAACCTTGCACAATCATGGGGGCTTTCTGGCTGGGTGGTGGCAGAGCCTGGGACTCACCTTCTGCCTCTTTCTCCTTCAGTCTGTGGTTCCTGAGTGTGGTTCCTGAGTGATTGCTGTCAGACTCAGGCTTCCACGGACCTGTTTGAGAACCACTGGTCTCCCCAAGCCCTGCTGAGGGAGACGCTCTTCCTGGTGGAGCTGACGCTCCCTCTCCTTTACAGTGCGGTTTCGGCAGCTCCCTTGGGTCTCTGTTTACTCATCCTGGAACACAGATGCTGCTTTTCTGCGCTGTGTTCTCAGCACTGGAGCTGGCGGCCCTTCCTCCCAGCTTTACGTCTGCAGAGTGGCTGGGGTACAAGGGCCAGCCTCTCTAGGAACACAGTGGACCGCCGCTCTCACTCCTCTTCTGTGGGATTCCGACTTTATTCTCAGAGTTGCAGCTTCCAAGTTGGTGTGGAAAGAGAGGTGCAGGTCCTGGGAGCATCCTAAAAAGCAGGACTCGCAGCCCTGGGTTTTGCCTCTTCTAAGACAGGAATCCGCTGTGGGGCTGAAGGGGTTGGAGAGAGCTTCCAAAATTTCTTCCCGGCAGTACAGTTTTATTGTTTCAGAGCGTGGCACAGGTGTGGGCCACACTGTGTTTCTCAGCACGCCGCCTTCAGTCTTGCTTGTGGTTATTGGAAGCACCTCCTAGGCTCTTGCACTAGAGCGTCTGCGCCTGGTGCTGTGTGTGAAGTTCTCATCTTTTGCTGTTGGGGAGCGTCAGGGAGCCCCCCAGGAGTTCCTGCCCTGGCTTCATTTAGCCAGGAAGTCTCTATAAGAAGCCAAGCTACTTAGAACTTGAGGACATCTTACTGGGAATTTCACACTGGCCAGAAAGTGATACTCCTAAACTAGTCAGTTCCACAACAGGCACATGCACTGTTCTGCCACGCAGACCGTCTGTGAGGGTGCCCTTCTCTGTAACTGCGCCAACCTGGACTCCTCACACCTGCAGGGAAGGGCCCCGTTCAAATGGTGTTTATCACGGACAAAGCCAAAGTGTGCGTGACTGACCTACATGATGCCAGATGTGTGGCATCCCGGGTCCTCCCCAGCAGCACCGATCACCCCAGGTGTCACTGTCACAGCCCAAAGTGCCTGACTCATTTCCAAAGGTCCCCCAGACAGCCCCACCTGGCTCGGGCTGCTGCCTATCAGACTCTGGGGCACGCAGACATCGTTGTTGGCCTGCTTGGTGCCTGAGGCTCTCAGGCATTGCCCAGCACTTGAGGTGTCTCTATGTGGGATGCCTCCCCTCTGCCCTGGCCTATTATGCATTTTTAATAAATGGAGCCAAGTAGAGTAAATATTAATTTTGTTTTTACAGTTGAGTTCCCAGTTTCAGTGTCCACACTTGTTATCCACTGTCTCAAATGCACATCTGTGCATGTTCTTAGTCAAGCACAGACTATGGCTGATTTTGTTACCAAATTCAGTCCTGATACTGTCCGAATCCCCCACACTGGAATCTGATTATCCTTTTTAGAAAGCGTTTCTACAGGATGTATGCGTGGCAGCCTCGCAACACCCAGGGTGAGAGTGAGTGCTCCAGTAGTCTCTAACGTTGCCTCAACTCCAACAGGCCCCGAAATTCAGGTTCCTTGGCTATTTGTTTTAAACAATACAAAAATACTCAGTACATGCCCATCTTAATAAATGACAGAACAGTGAGAACCAATTAATGGTCATCGTCAAAATATTTATGTCATTTCTCATCACGTGACATAGTTTGAGTTGTCATTTTGTTTCTCATCCCGTGACGTGGTTTGAGAGTCTCTTCGAGGCCCCCGGGACAGTGGCCACTCTCAGGGTCTGTGGCAGGTGCTGGAGGGCCGGCCCCTCTGTGGGTTGGGGGCTCCCTGCCAGGAGCAAGGGCTGTCAGACCACCTTGCCCTCACCACTGCCCAGGTGAGCAGGGCTGCTGTCTAGCCACAAGCTTTCTTCCCTGCTGTCACTCTCAGAATTGACTTGAGGAATTTTAGAAATCAGAATCAGAGCTTTGTCTAGTGGTGCTATTGTTTACGCTACAAAATGTTTTATTTCTTACATAATTGATCTGGTTTCTTCTAACGAGTAACAATACATTACAAAATGTTTTATTTCTTACATAATTGATCTGGTTCCTTCTAACGAGTAACAATACATTACAAAATGTTTTATTTCTTACATAATTGATCTGGTTTCTTCTAATGAATAACAACAGACAAAACTGAGCTATTGAAGACACATTGATCATAAAAGTCAAAGCTGAGCTCATAATTATCAGTTAATTAAAAAATGGGGCTATAGGTGCAGTGGCTCACGCCTGTAATCCCAACACTTTGGGAAGCTGAGGCAGGAGGATCGTTTGAGCCCAGGAGAGCAGTCTGGGCAACATCGTGAGACCTGATTTCTACAAAAATGAAAAATCAGCTGCGTGTGGTGGCTCATGCCTGTAGTCCCAGCTACGCGGGAGCCTGGGAGGTCGATGCTGCAAGTGAGCCAGGATTGGACCACTGCACTCCAGCCTGGGCAACAGAGCGAGACCCTATCCCTAAAAACAGAATAATTTTAAAAATGTTACTTGGTTTACAAAACTTGTTCTTTAACATTGACTCTTTAGGAACAGATTAAGTAAAGGAAATGAAGTGGCTTGTGTGCATGCTCGAACCCTTCCAGCATCTGTGTGATTATGAACACACATTGTGAACGGGACACTCAGTTTCTCCACTGCGTAAGACAAGCGGGGAAATACAGATTTCCAATACCTGGTGGGGGTGTTTTTAGGGGATGAGACTTCAGGGTCCCTTTGAAATATTAAATGGATCCCAGATGCGGGGCAGTGTTCCGCCTTATCTGAAATACAGTCTGGATTTCCTTAGATGTTTCTAATTTAGAATATTATGTAGAACTGCATATTAAAATTTAGTCTTCTGGTGAGTGACTAAAGTTTAATCTTGGTATAAAATTTTGCCCCCCAAAAATTAGGCTTTGCATTTGGAAACTGGCCTTCAGTCTCGGCAGAAGCACACACAACAACGTTAGCAGTTTGTTCACTGGGAAGGGAGTACTAGGTATCTCTTGATTCGCAGTTTCTATCCCGTGCTGGTCAGAACACATCTCCCGCCGTGTAAGCAAGGTGGCGGGACTGCACTCCCAGGCCGGGAGGCTTCTGAGGCTTGGCTAGACTGGGCTCAGCTCGGCGAGGCTTCAGGCTGGTGGAAGGGAGTGCTCGCTGACAGCGTACCTGGTGGGGGTCTCCCCGGCTCTCGTGTGCTGGTCCCTGGCATGGTCACTTAACTCCCGACCCGTTCTGCACCTGTGGTTGCGTGTGGGGTCCACATGGGTGTTGGCATGAGGACGCGGGCGTTCATTACTTCACTCACTCACGCGTTTGGTTACCTGAGGCACATCAAGGGCTAGCTGACGGAATGGGGGCAGGGCCAGAAAACTGGGCTGGGAGATGGGAGCCATGGAGCGTTCCAGTGCTAGAAGAGAAGTCAGGGCCACTCCCAGGGCAGATGGGTGAGCCTGAGAGTCTCGTGGGAGCCAGTGTGAGCACCGGGCTCTGTCCAGGTGCTGAGTGGTAGAGCTGCCTCCAGCTGGCGCTGTCCTCCAGGGAGCCTCACACCTTACTCGCAGCCCAGCACACTCTCCCCAAATGTGGAGGGTGGTCAGCCACGGAGAGGTCAGGAGGTGGTGAGGGAGGGACACGGATCCAGGAACCACAAAGCAGTGCAGGCTCTCACAGCCTCGTGTTGCCTGCCGCTGCCCTGTGCCACCGTGATGGTGAATACCACGTGCCAACTTGACTGGATTGAAGGACGCAAAGTATTGTCCTGGCTGTGTCTGTGAGGGTGTTGCCAGAGGAGATTACCATTGGAGTCTGTGAGCTGGGAAAGGCAGGCCCACCCTCAATGTGGGTGGCCACCATCTAATCAGCTGCCGGCTTGGCTAGGATAAAAGCAGGCAGAGGAACGTGGAAGGACTAGACTTGCTGAGTCTCCTGGCCTCCATCTTTCTCCCATGCTGGATGCTTCCTGCCCTCGAACATCAGACTCCAGGTTCTTCAGCTTTTGGACTCTTGGACCTTGGACTTACACTAGTGGTTTGCCAGGGGCTCTTGGGCCTTCGGCCACAGACTGAAGGCTACATTGTTTGCTTCCCTACTTTTGAGGTTTTGGGACTTGGTCTGGCTTCCTTGCTCCTCAGCTTGTAGACAGAGCATTGTGGGACTTCGCCTGGTGATGGTGTGAGTGAATTCTCCTAATAAACTCCCCTCCATATACTCATCATCTATCCTATGAGTCCTGTCCCTTTAGGGATCCCTGACTGATACAGCCACTGTCTTGTGAAGGCTGGATCATGTCACGGATGTGATGTTTTTAGCGCCTCTGAGCTGCTCGAGAATTGCAGACTCTTCCTTTTAAACCTCCACCCACCCGTGTCCCCCTTCAGGTGTGGGCTCAGAAATCACAAAATTAAGGCAGACTCTGAATTTGGAAAGTAAACTTTCTTATCCTCATGGGTTAGATTTTTAAATTGTAAAATAAGAAAGAAAATCTGTTTTGATTAAACTTATATCTTAATGATGTTGAAGCAGAAGAGACGGCTGTGGCTGCATCCCTGTGGCCAGGGCCTTCCTCTTGTCTCTCGTGAGCACAGTTCCACGCAGCCTCCTTCACAGACATCCCCTCTGCTCTCGAATACAGCTTTTCTTTTAAGGTACACTTGAATTTTAAACTGAAAATAACCTTTGGTTTGTTAGAGACTCACGGATGTTAGTTCAGGCACATGTTTGGAGTTGAAGCCAAGTTGGGTCTGACTGGTGTGAGCTGAACACTTCAGTGTTCAGGGTCTGGCTTGGTAGAGACCCTGTTGGGGTTGTGGGCTCCCGTCAGGACTCACGCGTGGTTCAGCTGCTACTTTTTTGGCTTTGTTTTGTCTTTTTCACCGACTCCATTTCTTCTGTCCCCGACCCTGGCTGCAGCGGAGTTGCAGGAAAGAGGTGGAGGAGGCTGGGTTCAACTGCGGCTGGCAGAGCAGCCTCGGAGGCCACAGTGCAGGGAGGCGTCCAGGGCGGACTGAGCAGGAAACCTTTCTCCATGTGCGGGTTTCTCTGGGGTCCGCTGTCAGCTTTATTGTCTCCTCACTCGATGCTGCCTCTGACTTTATCATACTTTTCCTCATCTTAAACTGTGATCTCTGATTATTTTCCAAAAGCCCCAGCGTGTCTCCTTTAGACCCATTTGCTCCGGGCATTCCCCCGGCAGCGCTGCTGTGCTCACAGTCCGGACTCTGAGCCAGGCCAGGCATTTCCTTCCCGGGCTGTGGCCTCCTCTCCTCCTGACTTGTCACCTGCAACTCCCAGAGCCTGAGCAGGAGCCGTGGAGCCCTCCTGCAAGCTCATCCTCTATCTCATCGGCCTCCTCACCCCTCGCTGTTCCTTATTTCACTTCTGCAGATTGTACAGATTTTTTCTTTTTTAACCAGTTTCTATGTCTCAAATGTCCCTGAGCCTAACCTTCCGTCCAGCTCCCACTGGTCTCACTGTGATGCCCATGTGCCCTCCCCATGTCCCCTCCAATCTCCCCTATCCTGTGCCCGGGGCACTCACGCAGCCTGGCACAGAGTGGAGAGGCTGGAGCTTGTCATCCTGCAGAGTTGGAGTCACCTCTGTGCCTCCCTTGGGCCCCCCTTCTGTTCTCAGAAGCCCCTGACACAGCTGTAGGTGCTCTACACTCCCCCATATGCTGCCTTAGGGGATCCCCCAAATTGTGAAAATGTTTATGTACTCATTTAGTTCAAAATACTTTTGAAATTCTCTTTTGATTTTTGTCATTGATTCATGGGTTATCTAAAATTAGTGTGCTGTTTTGTTTTCAAATGTTTGAGGTCTTTCTTCAACTCTTATTGATTTCCAATTTAATACCACATGGATAGAGGAAATACTTTGCATGGCTTGAATGGATTGCTTTTGCTTTGTGTTCTGTGTACACCTGGAAAGAATGTAGACTCTGCTGTTGGCGGCGCAGTACCCGAGAAACGTGTCGTGTTGGTTAGGTGTGTTCCTCAAGTCTTCCGCGTCCTTATGTGGTATGTGTTTGTCCTTTCCAGGATTGACAGCGGCACTGAAATCTCTGACTATACCTCTAGGTTTTCTCTTTTCCTTGTAATTCTATCAGTTTTTTGTTTTGTTTATTTCAAAGCTACTTTATTAGGTTTGGGTTATTATGTCCTCTTAATGAGTAGACACCTTCATTGTGATGACATGGTGGTCTTTATTCCTGGGAATATTTTTTGCTTTGAAATATACTTTGTCCGATATTAATATAGCCACTCTAGCTTTCTTTTGTTAGTGTTAGGATGGTATATCTTTTAAAATTATTTGTTTAAACCTATTTGGGTCTCTTTGTTTGAAGTGCATTTCTTATAGGCTGTATTTAATTACATCTTGATCTTTTATGCAATTTGACTATTTCTGCCTTTTAATGTGTGGGTTTAGACCATTCATATTTAATGTGATTATTAATGTGATTATGTTTCAAACTCTGTCTTGCTTATTCATTTTCTATTTGCTCCTTCTGATCTTTGTTTTTTTATTTTTGTGCTTTCTTTTGGCCCCATTAGATATTTTTTGTATTTCCATTTATCATCTTTTTTTTTGGCTTCTTAGGTGTAACTCTTTGTTTAGTTAATTTGAGGTTTCTTTAATTTAAAGTATAAATCTTTAGCTGTGGTATTCTATTGTTAAGTGATATGAAACCACTTCATCTCACAATAGCAAACTTCCATTTCTCCTCTCCAGGCTGGGTGCTATTATTGTCATGCATTTTACTTTTACAATGTTATGATCTAAATGTTTGTTTTCTGCCCCCCAAATTCATATGTTGAAAGCCTCTCTCTTAAGATGATGGTGTTCAGAGGTGGGACCATCAGGAGGTGATGAGGTCATGAGGGAAGAGCCTCCTGACAGGAATTAATGCCCCCATAAAAGAGGCTTGAGGGCACTTTGTTGGCGCTTTCTACCATGTGAGGGGCAGTGAGAAGGCACTGTCTATGAGGAGGAGGCCCCTCACCAGGCACTGCCAGCACCTTCATCCTGGACCTCCAGCCTCCAGGACGGTGAGAGATAACTGTCTGTTGTTTACAAACCACCCAGTTTATGGCATTTTTGTGACAGCAGCCTGAATGGACTAAGACCACATTTGTTCTAAATTCCACACTAGATCATTATCAATTTTGTTTAAACAGTTACCTCTTAAAAATATTTAAATAATAAGAACAAAAATTCTATATATTTGTCTATGTAGTTCCTCAGCAAACCTTTTGAACTTTGATTTTCTTATCTCTAAAATTAGGTGTTGGATTATACGATCTTTCTGTCCCTTAAGTAGGTCTCGCCTCCACAGAGTGGATTGATATGGTGTGACACTCTGTGAGGGGCGTGTGTGTATCTGCATGGGGTAGTATAAAATGTGTAGTTTACATTTTTACAATAGTTTATGTTTTATAAATATGTAATATATAAAAACATTAATAATAAAGCAATCTGATAATGATTGTATGTACTGGATATGTAGCTGAGGATGATGGGGTAAAGTGACCAAAGTTAGTGTCCCATCAACAAGAGGGCCAGCATCAAGCCCATCTTCAAATTCAGAGCCACAAGGCCCTGGCCCTTGGACCTGGCTGTGCCCGACACCTTGGTGCCTTCCCGTCAGGCTTGGGCAGCCTCCCTGCACACTGGCCTTGCCTGGCTCTCACTTGGAGTTTCTTGTCTGGGCCATGTGCACACACCTTACTTCTTATTTGTAGCCAAAGACAAAATGGTTTGAGGTTGTATTGGTCCATTTTATGCTGCTGATAAAGACATACCTGAGACTGGGGAGAAAAGTAGGTTTAATTTGACTTGCGGTTCCATATGGCTGGGGAGGCCTCCCAGACATGGCGGAGGGTAAAAGGCACTTTTTACATGGTGGCAGGGAAGAGAGAATGAGAGAGAAGCAAAAGCAGAAATCCCTGCTAAAACCATCAGATCTCGTGAGACTTAGTCACTATCACGAGAACAGCACGGGAAAGACAGGCTCCCGTGATTCAGTTACCTTCCCCTGGGTCCCTCCCACAACTTGTGGGAATTCTGGGAGATACGATTCAAGTGGAGATTTGGGTGGGGACACAGCCAAACCATATCAGAGGTCAATTTAAACATTTACTTGCACTGATTAGGTGCTTACTGTGTCACAGTCACCATCCTTAAGTGCTTTATGTAATCATCACAGCCTTAACAAGCGGATACCTCATTACCTTCCTATCGCAGGTAAGGAAACTGAGGCATAAAGAAGTTAAAATGCCTGAACAAAAGCACACAGTGGGTAAGTGGACACGCAAGGCTTCGCACCTCATTGATCTGACTTCAGATTCCATCTTCTTGGCATGGTGCCCACCTACGCACCACAGAGCTGTATAAGGGCAGAAGAGAGGAGTGTGTTCTGCTGCCACCAGCAAGCACTGGGAATCATCTTGAAGAAAAGCGGGGTGAGCTGTACGGAGCCTTTCGGGGCAGATTCAAGAGCAGAAAGCCGTGTCTTTCTTACTATGGACACTCGGGAACTGGAGAAAGGTTTCCTTCTCAAATTTATTGACTAGAACTCAGTTCCAAATCAACATTTCAAAAAAGTTTCTTATTTCTGTGAGAGGCAACATATATTATATTTCTACTAATGTGGCATTAATGCTTGTTTTTTTCTTTTTTAGTCCCTGAGTGGTTTCAAATGTGTGTTTTCATGTACAATTTATAGTTCTGAAGAGTGTGTCATTTCCAGATATTTCCTGACTGTCTCATCAATGCCCACATCATTAAAGTTAATTTCATGCCTAAGGAATCTACACTACCTTCCATTTGGAAAATGTTCTGCAGATTCTAGCAAAGTCAACAGCCAAACCGTGAATGTAAAGGCTGCCGTACAGACTACAGAAGTAGGCAGCTTGCCATTGCCACGCTACCTACTTTACATTCAAGTGATTTATATAAGAGCCAAAAAAATGTGCTCCACATAGTATTGATCTTTCACTGCCATGCAGGGATGAGCTGTCCAGATGATAAATTAAGACAATGAGAACATAAGGGATTGGCTTCAAGATTTGTGGTTGCCGACGGAATTTCTTCAGCAGAAAGAGAAGGAAACTGAACTACGGAACTGGTAGGATATTATTATTTTTACTGTAAACGATCCAAGCCTGTCAGGCCTGTAACTTCCAAGTGCAATGTATTATGATCTACAGTGTAAAACAAAAGATTCTGAATTTGAGTCAGTAATAGCTGGTTTATTCCAGGATTCAAATGTAAGTAACTTACTCTCACCAACAGTAGTCAAAATGAGAAGCCTGCTATGCTGTGGATTTATGGCTCATGGACTCTGGATGAGTTCTGCATTTATCTTCGTGGAGTGACGAATAATTGAATTGGAAAATCATGGCATCCAGAATGGAACTGCATAAAAATCTGCTGGAGTGTTTCCGAAAAAATGAAGACCTCTGGGCCCTTATCCCAGACTTTCTATTTCAGTGGTCCATGGAAGAGCCTGCAAGCTTGGCTTTTCCATCTCAGGACTTAGCTGCAGGGTCTCAGGGCACACTGCAGAGACTCGTCATCCTGTTGCCTGGAGGTGTGCACTGGCTATTTGCAGATGAGCCGCCATCCCGATGACTGCCCAATCCTCGGCTGCCTGTGCTCCGGGTCTCCATTCATTTGACCAGCAAGACCCACATCCAGCAGCAAGGACTCCACCGGGATGGGAGCCTGGTGCTTATTCTCGAACTCAGCAATCCAGCAGTGCACCTGGCTCTGTTTCCAGCCTGGCCAATGATATTCTAAGCATGAATTATTACATATTACTAATTATTAAAAATTAAATGTAATATCTTGAGCATGCCCTGTTCAATTGATGCTTCCTGAGGCCAGAATATCAACTGATCTGTTAGAATAGCAATCAGAAGAGGCTAAATTCAAATATGATCAAAATCAGTAATTAACATACTCTGACACAAGATCACTTCAGTGAGGAGTTTTTATGTGCAGAAGCCATCGCTGCTTGTGGGAAATAGAAATGTCAAAGGGAGTATTGGACTTAGACCAATTTCTGATGAAATGCAGGGCACACCTTTTTGTTTGAACCCAGAAATTTGTGGATAGTGTTGGGAAATATAGTGACCTGATTTATGCTCTCATAGTTCTTAGCCATCATAGAAACACTATAAAGTTAAGAGGGCTTTATAGACACTTAGGCTGCTATAAAAAATTATCCCATTTTTATATTCAAGTCAATATGTTTTTTCAAGTCTAAAACAGTGTACAGTATAGAAAAGGGCAATGAAGACAGTCTCTTATTTTAGTGATAATCTTCTGTCCTGATAACTTATTAAGTGGAGGGGAATGCAAGTTTTTAAAAAATACTTTGATGTTTTTATTTTTATTGAAAAAAATGTTAGAGACAGCATCTCCCTCTTGCCCAAGCTCAACTCTTGGGCTCCTGCAATCTTCCCACCCCAGCCTCCTGAGTGTCTGGGACCACAGGTGTGGGCCACCATGCCCAGCTTATACTTTGATGTTTTTAATCAAAATAAAAGAATTTTGGAAGAAGAATTGAAAAGGAAAGATTGAAGATAAAGAAATAAAAGTATTGGCAGTTCATCTGCAGAGGCACTGAATAAGCACATGTTCTAAATCATGTAGGGTGAGGGCTCCTTTCTTTGTCTGGGGTTACAATGAACAAATGAACAGCCAGAGGCCCCAGTCCCGCATCACAGGTGCACCTGCACCGCACCCCCCACCTCAGGGTCTTCCCCACGTCCCCAGTCAGTCCTCATTTCCACTCTCCAAGGTGGAAACTGCTCTTGTGTCCATCACAGACTGGCTTTGTCTGTTCCGGGTTGTCACATGAATGCCATTTGGCAAGTTTTCTTCTCTGCTTGGCCTCTGTGTAATGATTTTGAAAATCCTCCACAATGTTGCACGCATTCTGGTTCCTTCCTTTATATCACCGAGGCATTTTCCCCTGTGTGGGAGAAACACAGTTTACCCAGCCCTCAGTTGGGGATCTTTTGATGTTTCCAGTTTTTGGTGATTACAAATAATGCTGCCATAAAAATTCTTGTACAGCTGTTTGTGTGAACACATGTTCTCGTTTCTCTTGCGAGAGACACGAGTGCAGTTGCTGAGGGCGATGTGTGCTTAACCGCAACGTAACTGCCTCTCAGTTTTGCATGGGGTTGTACATCTTGACACTCCCCAGCAAGGTATGAGAGTCTCAGTGCCATCATCTCAGTTACATGTGGTTTCTTTAGTCTTTTTAATTTTAGCCTTGAGGTGGTTGCGGAGTAGTATTTTCATTGTGGTTTTAATTTGCATTTCTTTTGTAATGAATGATGTTGAGCACTTTACCATATACTTATATGCCCATTTTTAATTGGGTTCTTTTCTAAATTATTGAATTATAGAACTTTTCTTTTTTAATGTATTCTCAGCTCTAGACAGGTATTGCAGTATTTCCCCTAATCTATGGGTTGCTTATTGGTGTCATCATGGCATCCTTTAATGAACAGAAATTTTACATTTTTATGAAATCTAGTTTTTAATTAAAATTAGATTTGCTTAATGCTTTCTGTGGCCTAAGAAACCTTTGCTAACCCAGAGACTGAGAAGATATTCTTCTGTGTTTCCTTCTAGGATGTTTGTGGTTTTTTATTCCATTTGGATCTATAACCCGTTGCTACATGACAGTATTAGCAAAACTGCTGTGGCTTGAAACCACACCCTCTTTATCTCACAGCTCCTGTGGGTCACGAGTCAGGGTTCGGGGGAGCTGGGTCCTCTGCCCAGGGTCTCACTAGGCTGAGACCAAGCTGTTGGCAGGGCCTTGGTTACCTTCTGAGGCTTCCCTGGGGACAGATCTGCTTGCAAGCTCACCAAGGACTTGGCAGATTTTAATTCCTTGTGACTGCAGGACTGAGGGCTTCAGTTCCTTGCTGGCTACAGGGTGGAAGCCATCATCAGCTCCCTGAGGCCCCCAAGGCTCCTACCTCACAGGTAGGAGCCCAGCACAACCACATGCCTCCTCACAGCCAGCAAGCGAGAGAGACTCCAGCAGGATGCAACTGTGTGCACAGGCATGCCTTGGTTCATCACACATGCTGTGTTATATGCCACAGGCGCCTCCCATGCTCACAGACAGGGGTCACATGAGGGCATGGGTCCCTCCTCTACCTCCATCACAAACTGATTTTGGGTGGGGAGAAAGGTAAGGTAAAGAGTCATTTTTCCCTATATGAGTATCGGTTTGCTCCAGCAACACGTGTTAAAAACAATTTCCTTTTCCCGCTAAATTTCACTGGTGTTCTTGGTGGAACTTCATTATCTCTGCAAGTTAAATCTCTTGCTTAATAATCTTATTGTAATTTCAGAAGATATTTCAAGTGAATTTGGTTTATTCTTCCAGTGGTATGGTTGTTATTAGTTATATAGTTGCCTAGTGAAGAAAATTATTGTCTCTCCTAATGTTTGGTAATCTTACGGGCTCCATTACAAAAGTGAAGGCTCACTAATATTATTCTGGAAAATTACTCACTTAAGATTGGTTAATTATATTGTAATTGACCTCATGTGTCATATGGCCATAGTTTTGGTGTGTTAATTTACAATTTTTATTTTTCCCCTAAGAATTTTTGTGAGAAATATAAATGATGATTGTTTTTTCATCCTCTTCACTGCCTGTAGGATTGAGTCCTAACAAGGCTGAGCTCGTGCTGCCAAGTCTACCTTTCCGCCTGGTCTCCCTTCCATCCTTCTCTGGTGCACTGGTCCCCAGAGCCCTCTCCTCCTCTGGGGATGAGCTCAGCCTGGAGCAGTCTGCTCTTCTTTGCTTGGAATGTGTTTTTCCCACTTGCTCTTTTCAGACTCCTCCTTAGCCCTTCGTCCTCCTTCAAATGTTGTCCTCTCTGAGACATCCCCTGAAATGAAGTTAACGTCAGACCTTGGTGTCTCCATCGCAGGCTTTAGATGCTGATGTGAAGAGGACCCGGGCATCACATTGTAAACCGTCAACTTATATATCCTGTGTGCCACTGGAATTTTAGTTATTCAAGGGAAGAATAGTTTTTCATTTTTATTCTTGTTAGTCAGCCTAATCATCAGTATAGATCAGATGCTCAGTGAATGCTGGTGAAATAAATCAATCCATGTTCTTATGTTATAACTAGTTATTTCTAACAACTTTACTTATGTTAATATTGCCTAGAAAGTACAGTATTTTTCATCCAAGAGTATTTATGTCATCGTGGAGGCAAAAATATACATCTACCACACAGAATTCTAGAAAACAAAATGTATGTAGTCAATTTACTTTTAAAACATTTAAAATGATAAATCACCAGAAGCCAAGCGAGTTTTATGCATAAAAGTAGGCTGTAATGTAACCTAGGAGGTTACTAATGCACTCGTGGGGAAAGTACAGCGAATCCCCTTTTACGGTTGCACATGGTGGTGGTTGACCAGCACAGAGGGTGGTGGTGCAGTCATTGCTTGAGCTGAAACGCAGAAGAACCGGGTGGCACAGAAGCCACACGGGAACAGTGTTTGCTTTGCAGCTCCGAAAGTTTGGGATCTGGAATGCAGAAATGCTTATATTTTTAAGGATGCACCCTACTTCAATATTTTGATTTGGTTATACTTCAGGCTATTTTAATATCTAAAATTGTATTTCGCCAGCAATGATTTATATAAAGAGTACTGGAGTTGACAAGCAGGGCCATGAATCGTAGCACATCTGTGATTTGCTTGCAAAGCACCGACAGGGGCAGCTTTGCTCGTATTTTCTTGGTCAGAGGACTTGCCTCTGCTGATGGGTCCCGTCTTCCTGCATTCACCATCAACCTTTCCCTTAGAGCGTGGTAGGCACTTGTGCCCGACTGCAGCCCCGTCCCACCCAGCCGCTGAGTCCTTCCAGCCCCTGAGGCTGAAGGGAGCATGGGCTGGGCATGAACTGGGCATGAACTAGAACCCGGGCATGACCACCCGCTTCTAGCCTCAGCTCTGCCCTTTGCTGTTGGGTTTCTTGAGTTGCCTTATTCCACTTGGTTATTACTTCGTTTCCTCAGGTAATCAGGACTTTGTCAGCTTGTCTGTCCATGCGAAATTGTAGCAGAACTAGAACAATAGCACACTAAAAAAAGTGACTTAAAAGATTACAAAGAATAATTTCATTTTAAAGATCAAAAATCTGCCATTTAGAGAATTTAGGAATTGTAAGATGTCATAGACCTAATTTGTGGCAAACTTTAGAGTAAAATCAGGTCTTCTGCTCTCAGCCAGCATTCTTTCTCTCACTCCATTCTGCCTCTTCAGAACATCTGGAGGGTTCCAGGGCTTTGGAACACAATATATTATGAACATGTGAACGGTAACGTCCCCATTTGTGGGAGTATTTTCAGTTTGTTCTGGGAGAAGAGAACCTTAAGTATCTCCTTAAGCATGTTATGCTCTTCTAGCAGGTCGTAATGTTCACATAAAAATATCAATTTAGCCTTCAAAGCAGGCCTTAAAAGAAGGTGTTATCATTCCCTTATATAGAAAGGAGCCTGAGATTTAAAGCGCTTGAGGTTGACCCCTGGCCACTAAGTTACTAAATGACAGAGAAGGTTCTGAAGCAGAAATCCTGCATCCAAGACCAGAAATCCTCCTACTATAGAACAGCTGATCTGTGTGTTTTGGCCTTTCCATTTTATGACACTTTTGTGGCACTCCATTTCTAATTTATATTCTAAGATGTGTCATAAAGATTCAATGAAAATTTGGCAGAGAATATTTTATATTGCTCTTCTTTTCTAAAGATAAAAATGGTACCATGTCTTCCTCCTGACCTGTGTACTAAACCGGAAAGAATGGCTTGCGGATGGGCAGGGAGACGTTGCTGGGCCGGGCTGGGAGTGAGAGGTCGGCGGCTCCCTAGAGCAGGGGCCACATCGGGACAGCCAGGACTCTGGTGCTGCCTGAAAACATTCCCTGAGCACCCGCAGTCCCTGTGGATGCTGCTGTCCCACAGTGCTCTGGTCTCTCTGATGGCGTCCCCGCCCAGGCCCTCCCCACCTCCCTGCATACACACACACACACACACACACACACACACACACACAGGCCCTCCAGGCCCTCCCCACCTCCCTGCATACACACACACACACACACACACACACACACACACACACACACACACACACACACCGGGCAGGCCCTCCCCAAACAGCACACAGAGCGCGTGCGAGCCGCGCTTAGCTGCCTTTTAAAATGACATCTGCTGCTGCGGAACTCTCAAGTTCATGCAATGAGGACGTCATGAAGGATGATTATTTTAGCCTCAACTGAGAGAGAGTCTTTTAAAACAGTTAAAAATCCTCAGTTACAGACAACATGCATGAAAATACAATTCATTTTTACATATATGGTAATACAAAATTCCACTAACAATGTTTAAACATTAGATATTAGAAGATAGTGAGGGATAATTACATCACAATAAATTAGGTTCCAGGGAGGCAGTTGATCAATTTAGAGCAAGCACTTTCTTCAGTGGAACCTGGCATGAATCTTGCCTTTACCTCTTTCTGGCTATATGACCTTGAACAAGTGATTTCACCTCTTTTATTGCTAGTTTCATCAGTGAAATATTATTAAATTAATTCAAGAAAGTTTATGAGGGAGCTACTGCAGGGTGTACGGCTGTTAAATATATATCATTTGTCCAACACAGCTGTATTCCATGCCCTCTGCGTTCAGCTGTTGCTCTGGGAGTGAGGGCTGCAGCGGGAACAGGCTGAAAGTCCTCGTGGAGCTGGCGTTTCAGCGTGTTTGTGTTTGTGCAGTGGGGGAGACGAACAATAATAACATGAGTGGTCATCTACGTGCTTATTAAAAGGCCACGGGTTCTATGGCTAAACGGAAGGAAGTGGGGGGCAGCTTGTGCAGGTGGGGACAGCGACTCTGCATGTGTGGTCGGGGTGGGCTGCATGACTGCCGGGTGGTGGGACGATGAGAACACAGGCCCGAGCAGGATGGAGCCTGGATGCTTGGGTCAGCAGGACGGACACTGGAGCAGCAAGTGAGAGGGAGACCTCCTGAGTGACTGGGGGCAGTGGGGCCCAGACCCCTGTTGCCTTTCTTTGTATGCGGCTTCTCTGCGTGGGACGGAACCCACGGGAGGGTATTGAGTAGATCACTGAGAAAAATCTGACTTCTAAGACAGGGGTTTGCAGATGACCCTGTTTTTGTAAATAAAGTTTTATCAGTACGCAGGCATTCATGTAAGTGTCGACTGTGACTGCGTTCAGAATAGCAGCAGCGGAGTTGCGTGGTTATGACGCAAGCGACCTGGCCTTCAAAGCCAGAATCGTCTTTACTCTCTGGCTGCTAATAAGACACGTTTTTTCTTTTCTTTTCTTTTTCTTTTTTTTTTTTTTTTTTGAGATGGAGTCTCGCTCTTATTGCCCAGGCTGGAGTGCAATGGCGCAATCTCAGCTCACTCCAACCTCCACCTCCTGGGTTCAAGTGATTCTCCTGCCTCAGCCTCCTGAGTAGCTGGGATTACAGGCACCCACCACCATGCCCAGCTAATTTTTTTGTATTTTTAGTAGAGACAGGGTTTCACCATGTTGGCCAGGCTGGTCTCGAACTCGTGACCTCAGGTAATCCATCCACCTTGGCCTCCTAAAGTACTGGATCCTCCTCTTGTTTTAACAGAGTCACTCAGGTTGTTATGTTGAGAAAAAACTAGAGGAAGAGGTTGGACACAGGAGACCAACTAGGAGGTGCCTGGAGTAAA
This sequence comes from Homo sapiens, assembly GCF_000001405.40. NCBI lineage: Eukaryota > Metazoa > Chordata > Mammalia > Primates > Hominidae > Homo > Homo sapiens. Next base: position 169,551,379 of record NC_000006.12, on the reverse strand, counting down.
TCAGGAGAGATAGTGGTAAGTTCTGTGAAAAACGTAACCCAGATAAGGGGGCCCAGTGAGGGTGAGCGTGGGGTCTCTCTGTGTCTAAATTACTTAGCGAAGTGATTGGAGCCTTATGAGTCCCAGTTCATTAGCTGTAGGGGTGGTAGAAATCAGTTTGTTTACTGTAGTAGTTTCATCCAACTGAAGTATGATTTGTATTTATAAAGTGGGGACTCATTCACCTTTCCAAAATAGCATGAATGGACATGCCAGCTCAAACGCCTTTGGAATTTTATAGTATTTTTCCTCATTTATTTTTCCTTAGAAGAGTTTATGTTCTTTATTTATTTTAATCTATGCCCACATAAAAATAACTCAAAATGTCCAGGTGCGGTGGCTGACACCTGTAAACCCTCCACTTTGAGAGGCCGAGGTAGGCAGATTGCTTCAGTCCAGGAGTTCAAGACCAGCTTGGGCAACATAGTGAGACCCCGTCTCTACAAAACATACAAAAGTTAACCAGGCGTGGTGGCGCATGCCTGTGGTCTCAGCTACTTGGGATGCTGAGGTGGGAGGATTGCTTGAGCCCAGGAGGTCAAGGCTGCAGTGAGCTGTGATTGAGTCACTGCACTCCAGCCTGGGCAACAGAGAAAGACCCTGTCTCAAAAATAAAATAAGGCCAGGTGTGGTGGCTCACACCTGTAATCCCAGCACTTTGGGAGGCTGAGGCGAGTGGATCACTTGAGGTTAGCAGTTCAAGACCAGCCTGGAAATCATGGTGAAACCTCATCTCTACTAAAAATACAAAAACTAGCCTGAGTATGGTGGCACATGCCTGTAGTCCTAGCTACTCAGGTGGCTGAGGCAGGAGAATTGCTTGAACCCAGGAGGTGGAGGTTGCAATGAGCCGAGATTGTGCCACTGCACTCCAGCCTGGGTGACAGAGTGATACCCTATCTCAAAATAAATAAATAAATAAATAATATAAAATACAATAACAATAAAAATAACTCAGAATGACACACAAGCATTAACTGGATCTGTGGGCCCAGTAGCCTAGACTACCATTTCATGTACTCAGTGGACAGCAGTTCCTGGCCTCATTAACCTTCTTGTTGATGCTAGATGTGTTATTTTAGAAACATACAAAGTAACTGAACACTCTTATAACGATATGTGCAGCTTTTCTGAAAGTTTACTTAAACAAATTCTTTTTAAAGAGCAGTTTTAGGTTCACAGCAAAATTGTGAGGAAAGTATGGAGATTTCCCTTGTGCCTCCTGGCCCCCTGTCCCTATCTTCCACCAGAGTGGTACGTTTGTTACTGTTACCATTGTTGATGAACCTACATTGACACATCATCATCACCAAAGTCCACAGTTTATCAGCATTCACTCTTGGTGGTGTGCCTTCTATGGGTTCTGACAGGCCTATAATGGCATCATCCACCATGACAGCATCATAGTGTATGTTCTCTACATACTGTAGTTCCACTGCCTTAAGAATCTGCCTATTCATCCCTCTCTCCTTCCTAACTCCTGTCAACCACTGGTTTCTTTACTGTCTCCATAGTGTTGCCTTTTCCAGGAGATCATAGAGTTGGAATCACACAGCATGCAGCCTATTCAGATTGGCATCTTTCTCTGCATAGCATGTGTTTAAGCTTCCTCTGTGTCTTTTCATGGCTTGCTTGCTCACTTCTTTTTAGTGCTGGATCACACTCTGTCATCTGGATGCACCACAGTTTTATTTATCAGTTCACCTACTGAAGCACGTCTTTGTAGCTTTCATATTTTGCAATTATGAATAAAGCTGCTGTAAACATCCATGTGCAATTTTTGTGTGATGAACAATTTTCAGCTTATTTTGGTAAATACCAAGGAGTACAGTTTCTGAATCATATGGTAAGTGTATGTTTAGTTCTGTGGGAAACTGCCAAATTGTCTTCCAAAAAGGCTGCACCATTTTGCACTCCCACCAGCAATGAATGGGAGTTCCTGTTGCTCCACATCCTCACCAGCATTTGGTGTTTTCCATGTTCTGGACTTTAGCCATTCTCATAGGTGTGCAAATAATCTCATTGTTGTTTAAATGTGCATTTTCCTGATGATGTGATGTGGAGTATTTTTATATGCTTATTTGCCATCGGTATGTCCCTCTTTGGTGAGGCATCTGTTGACATCTTTGGCCCAATTTTTTATCGGGTTATTTTCTTTTGTATATATTAGATAGCAGTTCTTTATCGGATTTGTCTTTTGCGTTTATTTTCTCCCGGTTTGTGGCTTATCTTCTCATTCACTTGACATTATCCATTTCAGAGAAGTTTTTAATTCCAGTGAAGTCCTGATTTTCAGTTATTCTTTCATAGATCATGCTTTTTTTGTTGTATCTAAAAATTCATTGCCATACCCAAGGTCATCTAGGTTTTCTTCTATGTTATCTTCTAGGAATTATATAGCTTTGCATTTTGCAGTTAGGTTTGTGATCAGTTATGAGTTAACTTTTGTGTGAAGGGTGTAAGGTCTATGTCCAGATTCATTTGTTTTTTTGCATGTGAATGTCCAGTTGTTCTATAGCACCATTTGTTAAAGACTATTTTCTTCATTGTATTGTCTTTGCTCCTCTGTCAAAGATCTGTTGGCTGTATTTATGTGGGTCTATTTCTGGGCTCTCTATTCTGTTCCATTGTTCTGTTTGTCTCTTCTTTTTCCAACACAGCACTGTCTTGATTACTATAGATTCATAGTAAGTCTTGAAGTAGGGAACTGTTACCCCTTCAACTTTGTTCTTCTCTTTCAATACTGAGTTGGCTCTTCTCAGTATATGAAATATGAAATATTTCTATGTATATATGAAAGGTCTTTTGCTTTTCATACATACAGTGTGATGTTTCAATACATGTATACACTTTATAATGATCAAATCAGGGTAATTCACATATCAGTCACTTCAAACCTTTATTATTTCTTGGTGTTGGTAAAATTCAGAATCCTCTCTTCTAGCTGTTTAAAAAATACAATAAATTATTGTTTATTATAGTTTTTTTGCCTTTCTATGTAAATTTCAGAATCATTTTGTTGATATACACAAAATAATTAGCTGCACTTTTGATTGGGGTTGCACTGAATGTGTAGATCGAATTGGGAAGAACCGACACCTGGACAGTATTGTCTTCCTATCCATGGACATGGAATAGCTCTCCATTTATTTAGTTCTTCTTTGATATCCTTCATTAGAGTTTTGTCATTTTCCTCATATAGACCTTGTACTTATTTTGATAGATTTATACCTGTTTCATTTTTGGGTTGCTAATGTAAATGATATTGTGTTTTTAATTTCAAATTCCACTTGTTCATTGTTGGTATATAGGAAAGTGATTAACTTTTATGTATTAACCTTGAAAGTGATTAACTTTTGTATATTGACCTTGAATTCTGCAATCCTGCTAAAATCACTGTTTGTTCCAGAAGGTTTTTTTTTTTTGGTAAATTCTTTCAAATGTTCTATGTAGACAATCATGTCATCTACAAAGTCAGTTTTGTTTCTTCTTTACCAATCTGTATACCTTTTATTTCCTTTTCTTGTCTTATTGCATTAGCTAGGAATTCCAGTATAATGTTGAAAAGCAGCAGTGAAAGGGGATATCCTTGCTTTGTTCCTGATCTTAGTGGGAAAGCTTTAAATTTCTCACCATTAAGTGTGATGTTAGATGTAGGTTTTTGGTAGATATTCTTTATGAAGTTGAAGAAGTTCTCTGTTCTTAGTTTACTGAGAATTTTTATTATGAATGGATGTGGTATTTTGTCAAATGATTTTCAGTATCTATTGATATTTTTTAGCCTATTGATGGGATAGATTACATTAATTGATTTTTAAATGTTGAATCAGCCTTGCATACCTGGGATAAATCCCACCTGGTCAAGGTGTATAATTTCTTTCGTACATTGTTGGATTCAACTTATTAATATTTTATTGAGGATTTTTGCATCTGTCTACATGAGAAATATTAGTCTCTAGTTGTCTTTTTTTTGTTGTTTTTTACTGTCCTTGGTTTTTTTGTTAGAGTAATGCTGGCCTCATAGAATGAGTTTGGAAGCATTCTTTCTGTTTCTATCCTTTAAAGGAGATTATAGAGAATTGGATTCATTTCTTATTTAAATATCTGGTATAATTCACCAGTGAACCCATCTGGGCCTAGTGATTTCTGGTTTGAGAAGTTATTAATTATTGATTCAATTTTGGATATAGTCTTATTTAGATTGTTTCTTCTTGTGTGAGTTTTGGCATATTGTGTCTTTCAAAGAATTGGTCCATTTTGTTTAGGTTATCATATTTATGGGCATAAAGTTGTTTATAGAATTCTTTTTTTATCTTTTTTATATTATAAGATCTGTACTTGTGGTGTCCCCTCTTTCATTTCTCATATTAGTAATTTGTGTCCTGTCCCTTTTTTTCTTGGCTATCTCCCCACTTTCACTTGTGAGAACATAGTCAAGAGCTCGATTGTAAGTAAAAACTGTCTCTAACAAACTAAGGAGGCCCTGTGAGATCTCGCCAGTAGTTTGAGTTTTACGTAAGCCAGCGCCCCTAGTACAGTTATTGTTGATTAGAAACATGGCCAGACAGCTGGAGATTTTACATAGAAAGTTCTTTCATAAAATTATTCTCATTTTGTGGTAGCTCCTTGACCATTGCATCCATGCTAAGCTTTGCTTGAGCTGTGGAACCCTTCCATGATGGGTTTGAGGGTCTGGGGATAGAAGGGATTTGTGCCCTATTTCTCATCTGGAAACTGGAGAAGAGACGGCCTCAGGTGTGCTCAGTGGCACGAAGAGGGTGGCTTCAGTGGTTTAGAATCTGCGGCCAGGCAAGTCTGAGGAGACTGTGGATACACATCTGCCCTATCCTCAGTGTCCCCACGGCTCTCCCTGAGCTCCTGAGGGCCCAGGAAGACTCAAAAGGGAAGCAGAAGGGAGTGCACGTGGAGGCTGACAGTGTACCAGCTTCCTGTGGGAGCTGGAGCCCAGGTCCCTGCAGCCCAGCAGAGTGGCTGTCACAGAGCTGCCGTGAACGCTGCTGTACACAGGTTTTGTGTGAAAAGAAGTTGTCTTTCCTCTGGGGCAAATTAGGTATGCAGTTGCTGGGTTGCTGGGCAGTTGCTTGTTTCCTTTTATTGGAAACACTGAGTTGTGTTCAGAGTGACCATACCCTCTTACATTCCCACCAGCAGTGTGTGTGAGTGATTCATTTCTTCGTGTCCTTGCCAGCATTTGATGTTGTCACTGTTTTCTATTTGAGCCACAGAGATAAGTGTGTCTGATAGATACTGCATTGCGGCTTTGATCTGTGTTTTCCTTAATGGCCGGCGAGGCTGAGCATCTTTAATGTGCTTATTTGTCATCTGTGTAAGCCTCTTGGTGGCTTATAGAATATCTGTTCATATCGCTTACCCTTTTTCTTTTTTTCTTCTCTTTTTCTAATTGTACTCTTTGTTGTTTTCCTGTTGAGTTTTGAGAGTCACGTTATATGTATGTATATATAATTACTATGTATCATAAAATTTATATGTATGTGTGCATATATAGAAAGTATGTAGTCTAGATACTAGTGTTTTGTCAGATATCTATCTTGAAAATATTTTCTCCAATTCTGTAACTTGCCTTTTCACCTTTTTATCCTCTTGACAGGGTCTTTCACAGAGCAGAAGTTTTTTATTTTTTGGAGACAGGGTCTCACTCTGTCACCAAGGCTGGAGCGCAGTGGCACAATCTCAGCTCACTGCAGTCTCTGCCTCCCAGACTCAAGTGATCCTCTGACCTTAGCCTCCTGAGTAGCTGGGACTATAGGCACCACCACGCTGCACTAATTTTTGTATTTTTACGTAGAGATGGGGTCTCACCACCTCAAACTCCTGGGCTCAAGTGATCCACCCGCTTTGGCCTCCCAAAGTGCTAGGATTACAGGTGTGAGCCACCAGGCTTGGCTGGATGAGGTATAATTTATCAACTTTTCCTTTTATAGATTCTTCTTTGGTGCAAAGTATAAAAACTCTGCCTAACCCTTGATCCCATGGATGTTTTCTTATGTGTTTTTCTAAAAGTTTTATAATTTGTTTTACACCTTTATCAAATATTGGTTGGGCATATTTGTGTAGGTCTGTTTCTTCATTCTCTATCCTGTTTCATTGCTCTGTCTTTGTCTCTTCACCAATACCATACTGTCTTGATTAGTGTGGCTGTAAAGTAAGCTATACTGTGAGATAGAGTAATTCCTCTCATTTTATTCTTGTTTGTCAAGTTTTAGCTATTGTAGGGCTTATGCCATTCCAGATAAATATTAGAATAAGCTTGTCTGTGTCTACAAAAATTCTTTTTGGAATTTTGATAAAAATTGCATTAACCCTATAGATAAATCTAGGGGAGAATTTACATTTTTACTATGTTGAGTCTTCCAGTACATGGAACATGGTTTGTATTTCCATTTATTTTGATATTTGATTTCTTTTGTCAACATTTTGTAATGGTCAGCATGCATATACTATAGACTTTTCAAAAAAGTTATACCTAGGTATATAATTTTCTTTAGAATGAATGTAAATAATACTGTGTTTTAAAAGTTGGTTTCCACATGATCATTTTTAGTATATAGAAATGAGACTGATTTGGGCTGAGTGCAGTGGCTCACACCTGTAATCCCAGCACTTTGGGAGGCCAAAGCAGGTGGCTCACTTGAGGCCAGGTGTTTGAGACCAGCTCGGCCAACATGGGGAAACCCCAACTCTAATAAAAATACAAAAATTAGCTGGGCGTGGTGGTGCCTGTGGTCCCAGCTACTTGGAAGGCTGAGGTAAGAGGATTGCTTGAACCTGGGAGGTGGAGGTTGCAGTGAGCCAAGATGGCGCCACTACACTCCAGCCTGGGTGACAGAGCGAGACTCCATCTCAAACAAACAAACAAACAAAAAAAAAAAAAAGGAAAAGAAATGAGACTGATTTTATGTGATGATATTATATCTTGCAACTTTGATGAATTTACTTATTAGTTCTAAGAGTTTTTTTTTAATAAATTTCTTGGGATTTTCTCTGTAAATAAGCATGTCATCTGCAAATAGGGACAGTTTATTTCCTTCCCCAAATCTGTCCTACTCTTGCCTATCTCAGTCGCTATACCTTAGAGCACTATGTGGACTGAGAGTGTGAGAGTAGACATCTTTTCATTATCCCCAGACTTAGGGGGAGAGCATCCAATCATCACCATTAAGTGTGATGTTAGTTGTGTTTTCTTGATGCTGTTTATCAAGGCAATGTTCCTCTCTTCCTGAATTGCTGAGTTTATCATAAATATGTGTTGCCTTTTCCAAATACTTTTCTGCAACAATTGTTATATATAATTTTTCTTCTTTAGCTTGTTGATGTGGTCAACTGTGATGTTTTGATATTGTATAATGTAATATGTCAATATTTGAAATCTGCATGACTCAGTGAACTGATGTTTTCTATATGATTAATGCATGTTGTTACAAAATCATGCATTGGTAAAAATCTGTTCAAAGTGGAAGATACACCAGTAGATTTTAATGCTTCAAAATGCAATTTATTGACAAGGTTTCAAGTTTCACAACTCACATAACCTTTAGGAAATATATACTCATCATGTTTTGAAGTAGTATTAAAAAAGAATATTCAAATTATCTGAAATGACTATTAAAAATACTTCTTCCTTTCCCAACCTCATATCTTCAACCCAAACAACAGATTGCAACAGACTAAATGCTGAAAAAATATAAAATCATGCCATTCATCTCACCAAATTTGTTTTTGTTTAGGAAAATATAATTACCTTATAAAATAAGTTATGTTAAAAGGTAATGGATTTATTATTATGAATTTAAATAAATACATATTTTTAAAACTTTTCATTTTCAATTTCTAATTTGCTAAATATTGGTAGAAAAGACCCACATGAGTAAAAGCCCTTTGGAATCCTCAATAACTTTTAAGAGTATGAAGGGGGTATTAAGACCAAAATGTTTAAGAACTGTTGTCCTATGATGGGATTATTCTGGCTTTAAATAGTTCCTTGTACTCACTTTGGTATGACATTTCTCTAGAACTTTGCCTATGTGCTGAGTGTTCAGATTTATTGGTGTAAAGTTGTTCATTGCATTTTCTTATTTTTTGCTTAACTTTTTAAAAGTTTTTGATATTATTTGAAACTTATAGAAAAGATATAAAACGAATATGTAAAATACTATATATTTTACCCAGATTAAATAATTGTTTTATTTACACATTTCCCATTTTCTTTATTGATTTATTATTTATTCATATTCCTTCCTTCTCATTCTTCTTACATGTAGCTGATTAGCACCTTCACTCTGGTTAGTCCATGCTGAGATGCTCTGTAAGTCTAAAATACATTTGAGATTTTGAAGCCATAGTACAAAAGATACGTTTTCTCAATAATAACTTTTATCTTGATTATGTATTGAAATATTTTCATGTAATGAATTAACTCAAATATCAAAATTAAATTACTTTATTTAAAATATGGCTACTGGAAAATTTAAGATTATACATATGGCTTGCATAATATTTTTATTAGATTGTGTATATATTATAAATTTAGTTTCCAAACTGCTTGAGAGTTAGTTGAAATATGATTCCCTTTATGCCTAAACACTTTAGTATGCATTCCCTAAGACCTGGGACATCCCCTTACATAAATAGAGGACAATTACCGAAGTCAGGAAATGTAACATTAATACAAGACTATTATCTATTTATCTACTCTACAGTTCACTTCCAATTTTAACATTTAAAAATGCTTTGTCACCATTTTCCTCTTCAGGATGATGCATTTCATTTAGTTATTTTGTCTTAGTCTCTTGGAATAAATTCTAAGCCTTTCTGTCTTTCTTGACCTTGACATTTTAAAAAAGTACAAGTCAATTCCTTTGTAAAATTTCCTCATTTGACTTTTTTGATATTTTCTTATAATTAGATATTTTTTTGGTCAGGAATGCCACAGAAACAAAGTTGTACTTTTATCAGTAGTTAAATGATGTTGGTTTGTTGCAATTACTTTGTTTAATTTAATAACTGGCTAAGATACTGCTTATCAGATTTCCCTATTATAAAGTCAATATTTTTCTTTATAAAATTAATAAGTGGTTTTTGGCTACATACTTTGATATAAATATCCTATTTATCATTAAACTTTTAACTACCAATCTGATGATTCGTTGATAAAATTCGGCATTTTTGCATATACATTTTTACCTCCTTAAACTCACCTTTAAAAATAAATTATGAGCTAGACAGTATAGTATGAAAGTGTCATCCTCAGGATTTCTGCAAATGTCTAAAATCTATACCCCTTTCCTATGAAGAGTTTGAAGCAGGAGCAGTGGACCTATGTAACAACAGTTTGTCTTCAGAAATCATGAAATTGTTCCCTTAATATAAAATTTTGTTCCCTATTTGTCTAGAGGAGGAGAACACCTAGAAATAGTCATTCATTAAGAAAATAATTAATCTTTATTAAGTGACCATGTTAAGATTTATCATCATTATTTATTACATTAGAATTTTTTAAGTCTCAAGATATTTTGCTTAACTTATGCCTACTTCTTGGATAGAGTATAAAATTCATTAAGTACTTTTTTCTTTTCCGTTTACCAGATTTGCTTATGGTTGCAACTTGTAGGGGTTACCGGGACCATCAGTCCTTTTGCTGAAAATTTTCTAGTCATCTGTCAGTTAGACCAAGCTTTTCTTCTATTAGATCTCTCAAAAAGAGTTCGTGGTTAGAGAACACCCAAGTTCCTGCAGGTTAAAGCTACTTTTCTATGGCCTCGTGCCTGAAGGCCAGGCTGGCTGGTTCTGCAATTCTCAGCACACGTTTTCTTATTGACATGTCTGACAGCGGTGCTGCCCTGTGCTGTGTGCTGTGCTTGATGCAGTCAGATTCCTCTGCAGCTCATTGATCCCCATAGAGAATTATCAATGAAGTCTGATTGTTTCACTGATACACAGCTCAGAGTAGATCGTTGTGGGTCAGGATATAGATTTGTGTCCTTTTTTATGAATCTGGAAGTTTTTCTTATAGTTTTAAATATTGGTTTGTTCTACTGTTTATTTTTACTTTCTTCAGAGACTCTGGTTTTGTGTATGTTATTTCTTCTTGGCCTGTCATTCATTTTACTGTTTTCCTTGTCCTTTTTATGTCTTTTTAACCTCATTTCTATTTTAGGGTTTTTTTTTTTCTTGCCTTTCCTTAATGGTCCTTATTACATTTTTATTTGAGTCTGCTTTTCCTTGTTCACCTTGCAATTTATTGTAAATTCCGAGGGAGGCTTATTTCAGATAGAAAACAACCAATTAAATTGAAGGCTAGAATAAAGATTTCTTCAGTGATGCAGAGAAATGGTGTTCATGTCCAAGGCACTCCCCCTGGAGAGTTTACTTGAGCAGATACACCAATAAAATGAGGGTTCTGAGAACAGAGAAGGCACAGAATCCAGGAAATAACTAATCTAACCCAGGAGAGTGATGGAGGGAAATCTCAGGCCTCAGCTATGTCTCAGGGTTAGAAAATACCAGGTCCAGGTTCATGCAGGTGGACAGAAAATTTTGAGAAGATCTCGGGGTAAAAAGAGATTCTATTCAGGCCAGGCGCGGTGTCTCATGCCTGTAATACCAGCACTTTGGGAGGCCAAGGTGGGAGGATCATGAGGTCAGGAGTTTGAGACTAGCCTGACCAAAAAATGGTGAAACCCTGTCTCTACTAAAAATACAAAAATTAGCTGGGCATGGTGGCGTCTGCCTGTAATCCCAGCTACTCAGGAGGCTGAGGCAGGAGAATTGCTTGAACTCGGGAGGCAGAGTTTGCAGTGAGCCGAGATCTCGCCACTGCACTCCAGCCTGGGTGACAGAGCCAGACTCCCTCTAAAGAAAAAAAAAAAAAGATTCTATTCAATAAGAGCAATACTGAGAAGATAGAAAATCTTCCAGATATGACAGAAGTATTTTTCATTAATAAATGAAAGAAAAATAAGTTTAAGAAAACAAAAGAATATATGATTTCAATGTGAAAGAAGTCAATATAATTTTAAGCATCGTGATCATAAGCAAGTTATGTGGTGTGGGGCAAGAGTGCATTTCAGTTGGGTGTGAGGAATGTTTTGCTTTTGTTACCTAAATAGTCATTCTAGGGGCCATAGAGAAGGAACAGCAATCCTAGTATGTTCTTGACTGCATGATGAATAATTTTACACAAGCAAAAGAAAGAAAATTATGATTAATGATTTTGAATTTCTTTATACCATCCATAGGAAAGGATAGAAAACCTGGTTGTAGCTATAGAAAACCACCTAAATGTTAACGGCTATGGCCATTCAAAATTTGGTTAAAATTTGGTTAAAATGTGAGAAGTGAAGGTGGGTAGGCCTGATGTCGGGAGGTAGCATTGCTGATGGACTCATTTTTCAGAGAGAGGAGTCTATGTAGGTTAACAGAAGAAAATAGTAAGAATCATAATATCATTGTATAGCCCTGGGAATGTGAAGTCCACAGGGGTTATTGTGTTTCCCAGGGCTTACTGTGGCTGAGGTAACCTCTCTTCTTTCACAGGAGGGAGCCAGCAGACACAAGCTGGGGGTTTTAAATTCCTTCACCCCCACCTGTGGACAGGACACAAACTGGTTTTGATCAGGAACAGCACCCAGCATCGTCAGTCTTAGCACTGACATTGCCTCCTTGGAACAGGCTTGTGAGTGGGGAGGGCTGGGATGAAAGACTGTTGATTTGGGGTATAAGTTCTCTGAACTGCTTAGATTCAGATGTGAATCATGTTATTTGATAAGTTTTGTTTTGTTTTTTTTAAGTAAGGGATGGTGGTGGATGTCTAACATGATACACGGAGCAAGAAGGAAGTGAGGCATTTGGGGCAGTAGGCAAAATGAAACACTGACAGAGACGGCTGACTGCCAGAGCTTTATCTGGAATCACTATTTCCTGTCAACATGAAATGGAATATTTTGGCTGGGTCAGTTGCTTATCCTTTGTCCAATTAACTGTGGACAAGTGATGGCCAAGTTGCTTCCCAGCGGGTTGGGGCGATGGGGGAGATCCCTCAATGAAGGATGTGGAGGTCCAGTTCTTATAGGCAGTGGACAGAAGGGACTGGGACACTGTGGTGAGGCTGTCAGAAGACCAGGGGGCTGTGCGACGGAAACAACTCCAAAGCTTTGTACACTGTTAGTACAAAATGGAAGGCATGTAAACCATGAAAGGACAGTGTGCATCCACCCAGTTGTGAATTACACCCTAAGCTATTGCTTATTAATGATAAGGGACTAGAATGTCAACTCATTCTAATAAATTAGAGGAGATTCAAATTTGTCTTCAAAATAAAATCTTTCTTATGCTGAGCTATGTTTCCTTAATTAAGATAGAACAGGGTAAGTGCGAGAAACTATATGGCCTACACATTTATTTGGTAGTCTGTAATGTGTGTATTTCATGGGATTGTATCATAGGAGTAATGTCATGATTACAAAATGTCATTTACTATGTGTACTGAAGAACAAAAAATCTTCATATTACTGCATATGGTTAGTGTTTGTATATATACATGCACATATATATATATAAGTGTGTTTGTGTGTGTGTGTGTGTGTGTGTGTGTGTGTGTATTCCAGTATGTGGAGGCTTGACTATGTTGCAGGCCTATATAAATAAACCAGTGAAAAGGGAGACCTTAACTGAAATTGCAAGGTCCTAGAGGGAGATGAGTTTTCCTGGAATGAAAAAAAGGAGAGGAAGAGTAGGAAAATAACTATTTCGAAGGAAAATATCTATTTCTGGTTTCAGGAGTGACTTAAAGAATTTCATTTTAGCTTGTGAAAGGTGGGATATCCGTTCTTAAGAGTGACCTTATGGGAGGAGTCCAACCATTTGCTTTGCTTCCATGTTATTGAACTATGTCGCACGGTTGGAAGTTTCAGAGAGATTGATTTTCGCTCAGTGTGACAAAGCACTTTCTTCAGATTAAATGACATAAGAGTACAGGCTGTTGAAAAGAAGTTTCATGCTACTCTAAGCAGACTGAAGGATCATCTGGAGATGTTACAGAGAATGTGTGTAAGGTTAGTGATTGACTAAACTACACACAAGGTGTTTCACCACCCTGTGACCATCAGGATCCTGCCAGACTTAATGTTCAAATTTGAACACTTTATTATGGAAATTTTAAACATATATTCAATGTTAATATAATTTCCACACACCCAACTGTGGCTAGCCTAGCTGCCCCAGTTGTCAGCTCACGGCTTATCTTGCTCCATCTCTCCCCACCCCCACCACACATACACACCCAATTTATTTTGAAGAAAATCTTTGGCATCCCATCATTTTGTCTGTAAATGCTTCAATATATAGTGATATCTACAAAAATCAGGGACTCTTGGCCATATATTTTTAAACAACTTTATTGAGATATGATTTTCACACTCCTGGTCATTACTTTAATACATAACCCAAACCCTTCTATTTCTTGCCATTTCCCCCGGCTTTTGTCCAGACCACCGTCTCTTAACAGCTGGGCTGCTTCAGAATACTCTGGCTTCCCCCCATGTCCATTACTGCCTCTTCTACACCCACAGCCAGATGGCCTAAGACACAGGTCAGATCAAGTGATTCTTCTGGCACTACCCCCATGGTGGTTCATTCTACCCAGAATAAGATCGAAGCCCACGCCCATCACATCAGTGACCTCCCATCATCTGGTCCTTGCTCACATTCCACCCTCCATCCACTCTCCCCCATCTGATACTCTCCAACATTGTAGGCAATTTTTCTGCTTCTCAATCATTTCTATTTTACACCAAGCTCTTCCACTTTGGGAGTTTGGCATGTGCTATTCTTCCTGACTAGGATGGTTTTGCAGAGATTTTCTTATGAATGACTTCTTGTCTTTCAGATCTCAGGTCCTAAATCATACCTTCAGAGAGTCCTTCTCTGACCACCCAATTTAAAGCAGCCCTCTTACTCATTCCCTATCACATCACCCTATTCTATGTTCATCACAGCACACAAATCTCTAAAATTGTCTTGTCTATTCATATATTTCCTTATTGGATGCTCCTCCCTGAAGAGCATAAGCTACGTAAGAAGAGAGATCTTGCCTGTATTGTATAATGTCTGGGAGGCAGCTGGCCTGCGATTCCTCCCTCTCAACCACTAGGAATACCAAGGGGCACTTGAAGAAAAAGAAAGAAGACAGGTGACCTACACGCGTCTCTGTTATATGAGGATAATAGGCCTCCTGGTAAATAGAGTCATGATGTTTGCTATGAAAAGAGCCCTTATCTATGTTCTGGTTTTAGCAGGATTTCTCTGGGTTAGGATTGCATGGTAAATAAATTTGTGGTCTATGGATCCATGAGTCATGGCTCTGTAGAGAACCAGACAGCTATTTGAAGTATTAAATGGAGATGTTTCATAACCTACATCCCTGTCCCTATGTGAACTAAACCACGTACCTTACCCAGAGACTAAGAGGGAAGGGAAGACCTGGAGACCCACACACGATGTCTTAACCTCTTCCTGCTTTTCTTGTGCCTCTTGGTGGCTGTATCCCTCTAATGATTGGAAAAGCTGGGTCCTAGGTGAGATTTCTGGTTTGTGTCTGACTTAACATCTGATCACTTTTGTGAGCCCAGCTGCCTAATCCCAGAGCCTAGAAAACTTCTTGGCTTAAAGAGCATTTGGTGAATATTTGTTGTGTGAGTGAGCATGATCACACATTTGTGCAAGGGTTGGCAGAGCCATGGTTTTCTTTTGTAGTTTTTTTGTTTCATTTATAAGCAATCCGTGTCAGAATAAGACCAGTTTCATTAGTTCTGCACTTTAAGTGGGAGATTCAGACATCTAGAAATAAACTTAGGATTATTACAGCATTTGTTAGAATTGAGGTTCATAAAAATAATGGACCTAATTTGGAAAATGTGGCCTTGCAAATATTTAATGACTTCACTGTAGCTGGTGGAGTGAAAGTGTAGCTCTGGTGATGCACATGGACTGAACTTGAGGAAAGTGGGGTGTCCTTGCTGTTATGCAAGGCTCATATCAGATGTGGTCCTTATATAAGGCTTATGATTGTATTTTTGAAAGCTCTACCTGAAGGGAATCTTAAAAGGAAAAAGTCCTCAAGTTATAAACCGCAGAAAACCTTATGCTTTTTTGAACTATTAGCCCAGTACTTCATTTTTATTCCTTTTGAGCCTATTTTTTTCTGTTGGCACAGAGGATAATTTAATGCTTTCCAGAAATGAAATCTTACAGGCATGCTGGCAACTTCTGGATTTGCTTCTGTAAAGTGATCTCTCAGCCTTGTGTGTAGTTATTGGTTTTAATTCCTTTAAATTAAAGTATGTGGGAACAGTATTGGATTTAATGGAGACAAAGTCTGGAACAGTGGATTGGCCCTGGTATTTTCTGCTGGAAACATTACTCTGAAGTGAATACACTGGGTGTCAGAGCTAAACAATAATTGCTCTTGTTTATCATTTACAGTGTGTACAGATCTGGTGAGAAACCTGTACTCTCTAACCTTCATCTTGAACCTCCTTTGTTGCTCTTGTCTGACTTACCAAGTTCTGTGGTCCACATACTTTATGAAAGTGGAGCTTTCCTAAGCTGGGGTGGTCTTGGACAGGCAGATGCACATGGTTAAGTTAAACGACATGGTCGTTTTAAGCTGCATTAAGTACATCTGGGCAACAGTTAGTAAGCCCTTCCCAGGATAAGGTGAACTACTGGAACATATTTTATTGCCTTTTAATTTTGCCTTTGGATTTTCATGATTTATGTTAGATTATAAAAGAAAGAAAGAAAAAAGGACTTATAATAGGTTAACCTATTTTTTCCTCGTTGCTGAATTTGAGTTTGAAATCCTTCATGGTATTCCTGTGTGGCTCCAATACCTTTTGATTGTCAGATCCAAGAAAATCTAATACAGTTTTGAGTCGTAAAACTGTGGAAAGGGAAAATCGGCCCTGACATGTCAAGCAAGCTGTATTTATTATTTGGATCTGAATAGATTTTTATCTGATGTTCCTTAGGTGCTCTGATGCTTCTTAGGTGATCTAAATGTAGTTGTTTACTCTACTGTTAGGTATCAAACAATGAAAGGATCTTCATACCAGATGGGCCCTAAAGACCACCTGATTCCATTTTTAGCCAAAAGAAAATAAGTGACTAATTGAAAATTACGTGCTTGTTCATAGCAGAGCTAGCATCATAGAGGTCTTCTTGAATCCTGGATTGGTGCTGTTTTTGCACTATGCCATGGTAGCCTTGTAGTATTAGAAGTTTGCCTTTGAATGATTTGGTATTTTATTTTCTAGACAAGTTTTTTTTTTTGTAAAATTATACCTTAAATAATTCACAGAAGAATTTAATAGATATCCATAGGTATTTTTCATACTAACATGTTCTTAAGTATAAATAAGTTCATGTTTTACCTAGCTAACAAATTAGTATATCCAGATGTTGAATATATGAAATTCCTAAAGCAGGGAAGCAAAGAATAAGAGCTAGAGCTGACCAAGAAAAAAAAAGAGAAGACTCAAATTACTAAAATCAGGAACAAAAGAGAGACCATTACCACCAACTTTATAGAGATTTTAAAAATTATAAATGAATATTTTAACTACTATATTACAATAAATTAGATAATTTAGATTAAATGGACAAATTCCTAGAAAGACATGAGTTACTGAAATTGATTCAAGAATAAGTAGAACATTGAACTAGATCTATAACAAGTAAAGAGATTAACTTAGTAATAATAATAAAAAAAACTTCCCACAAAGAAAAGCCAAGGATAAGATGGCTTCACTGGTTATTCCTACCAGACTCTTAAAAGGGAATTAATATGAATTCTTCACAAACTCTTCCAATAGATAGAAGAGGAGAGAATACATCACTCTGTGAGATGAGTATTACCCTGAGTCCAAAACCAGATTAAAAACATCAAAAAAATTAGAAAACCAAGACCAATGTTTTCTGTGAATAGAAATACAAAAATCTCCAACAAATTACTAGCAAATAAAATCTAGCAATCTATGAAAAGGATTACACACCATCAGCAAGTGGGATTCGTCCCCGGAATGCAAGGTTGGTTTAACAAATGCAAATTAGCACATGTAATGCATCACATCAGCAAAACAAAACCACACAATCATATCACATACACAGGAAAATGATTTGACAAAATGTAACAACCATCCGTGATACAAACACTTAGCAACAGCAACAGCAGCAAATGGAAGGGGGCTTCCTTAACCTAATAAAGCCACCTGTGAACCCTGTGACTAGCAGCAGTCTTAATGGTTTTCGGCTGGGTGCTTTCCCCAAGATGAGGAAAAACAAGGATGTTCATTCTCACCACTTCTGTTCATCATTGTATTGGATGTTCTAGTTAGGGCAGTTAGGCAGAATACACATGCACACAGGCACATGTATGCATACACGTGCACATGTGCACACACACACACACACACACACACAGGCTTACCTTCTTGAGAACCATTACCAGTTGGTGATGCATGGTTGCTTGTGAGATTGTCACCTTCCTTGAGAGTTTTGGGGTGAAGCACATGCTCATCACTGCAGCAGATGGGATCACAGGCCGGTGCCTGCATGGTTCTGTGAACACAGCTCCTTCCTTGGGGGCTCTGCCTGTGTTTGCAGCTCCATTGCTGGTGGTGCCCAATGTGGGATCTCTGCTCATTCCCTCTTGCCTCTCTGCCTTTTCTGTTTCTGAGCACAGGGAATAGATGACCCATTAAAGGAGGGTGACTAAAACCTTACTCCTGCTGTCTTTAGGGAACTTCTGAGATTCCAACTAGGCATTGCTTTCTGATGGATCTTTCTCAGGAAATACATTCTCCATTGTTTTCTATTTAGTCACTTTTGTTATTTCCATGCAAAAAAGTTTCAGGAGTCCCCAGTCACTCCTGGGCATAGGATATAAGACTCATTTCTGTCTAGCACCCA
This sequence comes from Homo sapiens, assembly GCF_000001405.40. Lineage (NCBI taxonomy): Eukaryota > Metazoa > Chordata > Mammalia > Primates > Hominidae > Homo > Homo sapiens. Next base: position 169,533,334 of record NC_000006.12, on the reverse strand, counting down.
ATCGTTCTCACCTCACCACCGCCCCCGCCCCCCCCAATTTTCCTGCAAAGCCATTTACTCCAACCCATGTGGGCTGTCTCCCTCCTTCCATGCCACGCTGTCTCACATGGCCATGCCTGTGTCCTGTGCTTTCTTTGGAAACCCTGAGCTCCACTACCTCCCTTGCTAATCCTCATCTTCCCTTGAAGCTCTGTCTAACACATGTGTTCTTCCCTGGGAGCCTGTCTTCCTCTGAGCAGGTCTCAGGCTTTTCTGCTCAGCTCTTTCACAGACCTGTAATTCACTTTTCTGTTTCCCCTACAGACTTTGATCTCTTGAGACCTCTACATCTCGGGAGTCTGACACACACATATATATGTTTTTGTTTTTGTTTTTGCCATAAACTGTAGGTGCTCAAAAATAGGTGCTGGATTGCTATCAATAGTCAGGAGACCTCCCAGTGATACAGGCCCAGGGATAATTCCCCTTCTAGGTGTAACTTCATCTGAAGCATCTTTTTTTTTTTTTTAATTTTAAGTTTTCCTGTTTTTGGGGTCTAGATTAAGGGACTGCCAGAAGCCAGAGGTTGCAATTGTTATTTCAGTTAACCAACTATGAAAAGAACATGTTTTACCCAACAACAAATATACACATCTACCCATTGACAAATACACCTATGTCACATAAAAATTGAAACTAAATAAAATTTCATTTATATGACTAAAGTAAACAAAACTTCAAATACAATTGAATGTAATTTTCATTGTGCATTTGTGGGTATTCTGCTAAAAGACTGGCAATGTATTTCTCATTTATTAATAATAAAAAATAGGAAGTTGAGGCAGTTCCCTCTGCTCTGTTCAAGTTATGGATTTGATAAAAAAAAATTTTCTACTCAATATTAGATCTTTATTCAATAATTTGTTATAGACTTTGGTAAAATCCATGTCTGCTTTCTTTTTTGCAATTAGAAATAAATGAAGTAAACTTATTTGAGAAGATTTTCTATTTTGATTGCTTTTTGATTCCCATTTTTAGTATTTTCTATTTCTATTAATGTCTCATCTTGTACTCATTCTCAGTGACTCCAAGTATTAAAAAATAAGGGAATTATGTGAAGTATAAAAATGTTAAATGTTTTTCCCTGAAAAAATATAAGTTTGAAAAAGTTAAGAAATTTAAAAAATTGAAGGTTATATGTCTTCAAATAATTATTCAAAAATTTTCACTTGTATTAAAATTAAAAATGTACAATGATAAGTATATAATTTGTTGTATCTAAACTTTAAATACAGCTGAAATGTTTTAGTTTATTTAAGACTTTAAAGATACTTTTATTGGGAAAAAAGAAAATTACAATAGAACCTTCAAGATCTGCCTTTGCCACTGTAAAGAGTAGTAATTAACACATCACACTGGTTACATCCAAAGACAAAGCTACATGGAGAATAAAGGCCGAGACAGGCGGATCACGAGGAGTTTGAGACCATCGTCGCCAACATGGTGAAACCCCATCTCTACTAAAAATACAAAAATTAGCCAGGCATGGTGGTGGGTGCCTGTAATCCCAGCTACTTGGGAGGCTGAGGCAGGAAAATCGCTTGAAACCAGAAGGTGGAGGTTGCAGTGAGCTGAGATCGCACCACTGCACTCCAGCCTGGGCAAAAAAGTGACACTCCATTTCAAAAAAAAAAAAAAAACAAACTGTTTAATGTTGCAGAATTCTCCTCACCTGCCCTGTGCACCTGCTGTGATTTCATGTCGATTGCAGACCATGAGACCATGAGTAGAGCAGGTAACACTCAGCGAGCTGGATGCTGGGGTGCTTCTGGGAAACAAGCTCTATTCTGCAGGAGTCTGCTGCCCATCTGCTCTCTGCCAGGAAGTATTTGACAAGTTACTACTGAATTGTCTTTCTCTTATCCAAATGTTTCTGTTCCTCAGATGGATTGGAAGCAGTGTTTGCTCCCCAATGTCCACGGGATTAAGATATAATTGTCTTTGGTTTTGAAAGGCAGTAATCTTTACTGGTTTAAGGAAGGAATCAACACGAATGAACTCCAGTAGAAAAAAAATGAAGATTCAATGTCATTCTTAATTCTAGAAAACTTCCTTGCTTCCTAACTCTGGACCTAAGAAAAGAAAACCAGCATCAATTCACTTATTGAAATGCTAATGTCAAGAAGGTACATTTTTATGTACAAAATGTAATCCATATATCCATTCATTCAACACATATTTAATGAGTGCCATGAAAACAGGTGAACAGGGCTGGCCAAGATTCTGTTTTCATGGACCTTAATCTAGTGAAAAACACAGACAACATGTCAGGCAGTGCTAGGTGCTGTGGCAGAAAGGGTAGAATTTGATACAAAGCCACTGCTATGTGTGGGAGGCTGAGATCAGACCAGACATCAGCTTTTTAACATGAGGAAGGATGTGGCTGCATCTCAGACATGAGACGTGCATGCATGAATGTTAGGAAGGTTTACAGTGATTCTTAGAAATGTAACCTCTAATCACAGAATTTAGACCTATGCCTCCTGGTAAATTTAGAATTGAGCCTTTGTTATGGATGCATTATTTTCATTGAGTTTACAGAATGGAGAGGTTCGATGTTCTGTGAGTGAGGGAGGGTGGAGAGGCACCGGCCTCAAGAAGGCTGAGCTGCTGCTGGGCGGTGCTGCGTTATACCAGCCATAAACATCGGCCACCTCCATGCGTTGCAGTCTCCTATGTAACGTGGGTGAGCCAGTGAAACCACAGAATCATCCCAAAGGTTGTGTCATGCTTTCATACAGTTGAGGCCATTTACATCCCCTCCTAAAATGTACACAGTCATGCATACTGAGGAGCAGAGGTGGGGAGGCCCTAGTGTGTGCAGCTTGTGGAAAACAGAGCAGCATTTGTAAATGTTGATACGTAGAACAAGAAACTTATCAAAGGAGGGACAAGAGAAAAGGCAGGTCTCTAAAATTAGTCACTGAGGACTTGTTTTCATCTCTGTTTTGAAAGGTCATGGGGGTTTCTCTTGAGCTAGAATGGAGGCAATTTGTGCAGTGCATGGACCAATCAGTGTGAGGGTGCCTGAGTTTCCAGTGACATATTTGCAACTGTTTGTGTTCATAGCTTTTGAGCTATGGCCATGGAAGATGGTTCGTATTATATTTAATGGTTGTTGATCCAGTATCTGGCCAGTGGAAGATATTTGTTCCTGATGGTCTGGCAGAGCTTTCGGCTCTGCAAACACTCATTGCTGTGGCTTCCAGCCCGAGCACACTGCGGTCACATCGCAGGAATGTGACAGTTGGACTGTAATTTTAGTTCTGCTCAATTTCTTTGTAAATGATTTATAAACCCAACTTGAAAAATTAATCTTTAAATAGGTTGCAGCATTTTAGTTATACTCAACACATAGGATTCCTATTACACATCTAATTCTATTATTTCTAGTTATGGCACAGTGCTATTGAAGTTTGTGAATTACAAAAACATGGCAACTATTTTTTTTTTCATTCAAGGATAAATAGCCTTAAAGTAAACAACTAAATAATACCAAGGGAAAAGATACAATGTAATTTTCTACATATAAAACCCCACAATTTAAAAGCTTATGCAAATTTTGAAGGATTTGTGCTTATAGTATTCTAATAGATATTTTAAATGGTGGTCCATTTGAATGAGCCTGTCCAAAATATGTTTATTTCAGTTATTTACTGAAAGACAAGCTAGAGTTGAATTAAAAAGTGAAGCATAACTCTGATTTAATGAGTGCAGTTTGGCCATTTAAAAAACCCTCTATTCTTAGTAGAGTCTTTGTAGAATATGCATTTATTTTATGGGAAATGTAAGATGCAGATACAGAAAAATAGTATGTTGGTGTAATTATTTTTTAACTTCAGAAATATTATTTCTAAACGTTTTCTTACTTTTTAAAGAAACAACATATTTTGGAAAATAGAAACTATAAATAGACAAAACAAAGGAAACAAACGAAGGGAAAAAACACAATAGCTTATTAGCATTAGCTGCCCCCCCCCCCCGCAGAGGTCACCACCGTTAACGTGCTAGCGTGTAAACTTCATTCTCTCCCTGAATGTGTGGGTGTGTATGCGTCTATTCACACATATATGCACACGCACATAGTGAAATGAGATTCTAGTGCAAATACTGTTTTTTAGCCTGATTTTTCACCTCCTTAGTTATGATGGTTGCATATAATTCTTTTATGTGGGTGCACCATAATTTATCTGATTCATGTTCTATTGTACATTCAGGTAGCTTCCAATTTGTGTTGTAAATATAAACAACGCTATGATAAGCATCTCTGTGAACACATTTTCATACTAGGGTGAGTATTTTCTCTTAATACTTTTTAGGAGTGTAACTGCTGAGTCAGTGTCTTCACTGTTTAATAGCTGTTGATACATATTGCCAAATTTTCTCCAAAAAGTTTGGGCCAACATGTGTATCTTCTAATAGACTGTGAGCAAACTATTTGTCTACATCAAACAATAAAAATTATTTTAGGCCAGGTGTGATGGCTCATACCTGCAATCCTAACACTTTGGGAGGCTGAAGCGGGCGGATCACTTGAGGCCGGGAGTTCGAGACCTGCCTGGCCAACATGGTGAAACCCCGTCTCTACTAAAAATATAAAAATTAGCCAGGCCTGTTGGCCCATGCCTGTAATCCCAGCTATTTGGGAGGTCAAGGCACAAGAATCTCTTGAACCTGAGAGGCAGAGGTTGCAGTGAGCCAAGATTGTGCCACTGCACTCCAGCCTGGGTGACAGAGCAAAACTCTGTCTCAAAGAATGTATATATTATTTTAAAGATGTTTGTTAACACAAATCACAGTTGTTTGCCCAGGCTGGATGGGCCTAGGAGGGAAAGTGACTTATACTTCCCCTTCTTATGGATGGAGCCACTCACTTCCTGCCTGAAAAACCCAAAGTAGGGACTTCTCTGGATCAGAAAGGGTTTCAGTTGTTAGACCGCAAAAAATGGAACCATATTTAGTATACTGGGCATTTGTATTTCAGTTTTTGTTTATCCACTGTTTAAGTAACTTTTTTCATTGAAATACTCTTTTTTCAGTAATGCCTTTCCATATGAGAATAATTTTTCAGTTCGTGATATTGTAAAAAGTCCTTAGATCTATTTTTATTATTAGATGTAGAAGAACTTTATTAATATGTTTCTAACTTTACATTGCACATTTATGTAATTTGTTCTTACATATTTTAAATTTTATTTGGAACTTAATCCTTGTGGATTATATTTGCATGTATGGTATTGTGTAAGGCTGTTACCCATTTATTTTTCTCTCTAAAGATTAGTGAGGTACCCAGTTAGGAATCATTTCTTCCTTATTAATTAGAAATGCCAAATTTGTCATATGACAAATTTTAGGTATTATTTGGTCTATTTCTTAACGTTGTTTTTCATTTCAAAGCCAGTCTATCAATTTTGATTATGTAGCTTTACAATAAATATTTCTCAATGTCCTTTTAAAAATCTTTTACTTAGCTGACGTTTTACAAAATTTATTGTACAAATTTTAATATATGCTCCTATCACCAGCTTAAACCAGTAACACCCAGCTAATCCCTTTTCATCTGCTCCAGCCCCATTACAAAATTATTTTGAAGTAAATCTCAAATAGCATTTCATCTGTAAATATTTTATTGTATATTTCTATTAGATATTTTTATTAAGATATAATTTACATGACTTAAAATTCATCATTTTTAACTGTGCAGTTTACTTGGTTTGAGTGTATTCATATATTGTGCAACCATTACCACTGTTTAATTCTGGGACACTTGAATCACCCTGAAAAGAAACCCTGTAACTATTAGCAGTCAGTCCCAATTCCCCACTCCCGAATCATCTAGCAACCACTGGTCTAATTTCTGTTTCTATGGATTTCTAAATATTTCAATTAAGTGACATGTTACAATATGTGGCCTTTTGTGTCTGACCTCTTTTATGCAGCTTAATGTTCTCAAGGTTTGTGTTATATCATGTATTAGTACTTAATTTTTGTGGCTGAAAAAATTCCAAAGTATGGATATACCACAGTTTATCCATTTATCTGTTGTAGTATTTTGGAGTTGTTTCCACTTTTTGGCTATAGTGAATAATGCTGTTGTGAAGATTTATTTACAATTTTTTGTGTTAACATATCTTTTCAATTATTTGTGTATATGTAGGAGTGGAATTTCTGGGTCATATGGCAATTCTACGTTTAACTGTTGGAAGAATTGCTAAACCTTTATACCAGTGGCTACATTATTTTACATTCCCACTAGCCGTGTATAAGGATTCCAGTTGCTCTACATCTTTGCCAACACTTATTTTCCATTTTAAAAAAGTATAACTATTCATGCGGAGTGGTACCTCAGGGTTTGATTTGCATTTCCATAATAATTAATGATGTTGAATATCTTTTCATGTGTTTCTTGGCTATCTGCATATCTTCTTTGGAGAAATGTCTATTCAAATTATTTGCCCATTTTAAAATTGGGTTATTTGACATTTATTTTTGAGCTTTAATCATTCTTTATTTATTCTGAATAATATATATTCAACTCATATCAAATATATAACTGGCAACTATTTTCTTTCATTCTGTGGATTTTTCATTTTCCTTATAGTATCTTTTAGTAAGCAAAATTTTAATTTCATTTATTTTTTTGGATGCTTATTTTATCTTATTTTATTTTTATTTATTGTTCTGAGACAGAGTCTTGCTCTGTCACCCAGGCTGGAGTACAGTGGCGCAGTCTCTGCTCACTGCAACCTCTGCCTCCCAGGTTTAAGCGATTCTCCTGCCTCAGCCTCCCGAGTAGCTGGGACTATGGGCGCCCACCACCATGCCTGGCTGATTTTTGTATTTTTAGTAGAGGTGGGGTTTCACCATGTTGGCCAGGCTGGTCTTGAACTCCTGACCTCAAATGATCCACCTACCTCGGCCTCCCAAACTGCTGAGATTACAGGTGCGAGCCACCGCGCCTGGCCTTGGATGCTTATTTTAGATGTCACATCAAAGAATCATCTGCTAAAGCCAAGAACATGAAAATTTACTCCTATGTTCCAAGAGTTTTATAGCTTTAGCTGTGACATTTAAGCCTCTGATCCATTTGCACATAATGTATTATTGTAAACTATAGCCACCTTACTGCCCTGTCCAGCACTAGGTCTTAGTTCTTCTATCCAGTGGTACATTTGTGCCCGTTAATTGATTTCTCATCATTCCCCTGCCCTTCTCAGCCTCTGGTAACCACCACTCTATTCTCTATCTATCTTCATGAGATCCACTTTTTTTCTGTCCTCCACATATGAGGGGGAATGTGCAATATTTATCTTTTTGTGTCTGGCTTGTTTCACTGAGTGACTTCCAGTTCCATCTATGTTGCTGCAGGTGACAGGATTGCATTGTTTATGGCTGAACAATATTCCATTGTGTATATATACCACATTTTCTTTATCCATTTGTCCACTGATGGACATTTACATTGATTCTATATTTTGGCTGTTGCGAATAGTTCTGTAATAAACATGAGAGTGCGTGTATCTCTTTGATATATTGATTTAGATACATACCCAGTAGTGGATGGCTGGATCATATATATGGTAATTCTATTTATAATTTTTTTGAGGAGCCTCCATACAGTTTTCCTTAGTGGCTGTGCCAATTTATATTCTTAACAACAGTGTATTAGGGTTCCTCTTTTTCTACATCCTTGCCCGCATATGTCATTCCCTGTCTTTTTGAGAAAAGCTTTTTTTTTCTTTTTTCTTTTTTTTTTTTTTGAGATGGAGTCTTGCTCTGTCACCCAGGCTGGAGTACAGTGGCCCAAGCTCGGCTCACTGCAAGCTCCACCTCCCGGGTTCATGCCATTCTCCTGCCTCAGCCTCCCGAGTAGCTGGGACTACAGGCGCCCACCACCACGCCCGGCTAATTTTTTGTATTTTTAGTAGAGACGGGGTTTCACCGTGTTAGCCAGGATGGTCTCGATCTCCTGACCTCACAATCCGCCTGTCTTGGCCTCCCAAAGTGCTGGGATTACAGGCGTAAACCACCACGCCTGGCCGATAAAAGCATTTTAACCGGGGTGAAATGATATCTCATTGTGGTTTTAATGTACATTTATCTGATGATAAGTGATATTGAGCATTTTTTCATATACCTATTAGCTACTTGTATGTCTTCTTTTGAGAAACGTCTATTCAGATTTTTTTTAATTGGATTTAATTTTTTATTTTTACTATCATGCTGCTTCAGCTGCTTATATATTCTGGTTATTAATTCCTTGTCAGATAGATAATGTGCAAGTATTTTCTCCCATCCTCTGGGTTGTCTCTTCACTTAATGTTTCACTTACTGTACAAAAGCTTTCTACCTTGATGTCTTTCCATTTGTCTATTTTTGCTTTGGTTGCCTGTGCTTTTGCGATTTTACACAAAAAAATCTTTGCCCAGACCACAATCCTTGAGCATTTGCCCAATATTTTCTTCCAGTAGTTTCATAGATTCAGGTCTTGGATTTAAGTCTTTAATCCATTTTTATTTGATTTTTGTATATGAGGAGGGATAGGGGTTCAGTTTCATTCTTCTGCATATGGTTATTCAGTTTTCCCAGCACCATTTATTGAAGAGACTGTCCTTTCTCCATTGCAACTTTTTGCTGCCTTTGTCAAAAATGAGTTGGCTGTGAATGTTTGGATTTATATCTGGGTCTCTATTCTGTTTCATTGCTCTATGTGCCTGTTGTTATGCCAGTTCAATGCTGATTTGGTTACTATAAATTTGGAGGATATTTTGAAGTCAGGTGAGTGTGACACCTTCAGCTTTGTTCTTTTTGCTCAGGATTACATTGGCTATTTGGAGTCTTTTGTGGGTCTATATAAATATTAGAAAATTTTTTCTTATTTCTGTGAAGAATTTCACTGGAATTTTAATAGGAATTGCATTGAATCTGTAAGTTACTTTGGGTAGAATTATTTTAACAATATTAATTCTCCCAATCCATGAGCATGGAATATCTTTCCATTTTAAAATGTCCTCTTCGGTTTCTTTCATCATTGTTTTATATTTTTCCTTATTAGATCTTTCACCACATTGGATAAATTGATTCCTAGGCATTTTATATTCTTTGTAGCTATTGTAATGGGATTGCTTTCTTGATTTCTTTTTAAGATTGTTTGCTGTTGGTGTATATAAATACTACTGATTTTTTAAAGTTGATTGTGTATCCTGCAACTTTACTGACTTTATCAGTTCTAAGAGTTTTTTGGTTGAGTTTTTAGGTTTTTCTAAGTACAAGATCATGTCATTTGTGAATGAAGCTAATTAGACTTCTTCCCTACCTATTATGTCTATTAATTCTTTCTCTTACCTAATTGCTCTGGCCAGGGCTTCCAGGACTATGTGGAAAAAACATGGTAAAAGTAGAGATTCTTGTTTTGTTCCAAATCTTAGAGGAAAGGGTTTCAATTTTTACTTATTCAGTACAGTGTTAGCTGTGGTTTTGTCATATATAGCCTTTATTATTTTGACGTATGTTCCTTCTATACCTAGTTTGTTGAGGGTTTTTTTAATCATAAAAGGATGTTTAGTATTATCAAATGATTTTCCAACATCTATTGAAATGATGACATAGTTTTTATCCTTAATTCTGTTGATGTGATGTATCCTGTTTATTAATTTGTATATGTTGGCATCCCCAGGATGAATCCCATGAATCCCACCTGACCACAGTGAATGATCTTTTTAATGGGTTGTTGAATTTGGTTTGCTAGTGTGTTGCTGAGGATTTTCACATCTATATTCATCGTGGATATTAGCCTGTAGTTTTCTTTTTTGTTGTGTCCTTGTCTGGTTTTGATATCAGAGTAATGCTGGCCTCATAGGATGAGTTTAGAAGTATTATCTCCTCTTCAATTTTATTTAAAAGTTTGAGTGAAATTGGTATAAGTTCTTAATTTAGTGTTTGATAGAATTCAGCAGTGAAGTCAACAGATTGTGGGCTTTTCTTTAATGGAATACTTTTTATTACAGCTTTGATCTCATTACTCATTACTGGTTTATTGAAGTTTTCTATTTCTTCATGGTTCAGTCTTGATAAATTGCATGTGTCCAGAAATTTATCCGTTTCTTCTAGATTTTTCAATTTGTTGGCATATCATTGTTCATAATAGTCTCTAATGAGTCTTTGTATTTCTGTGGTCCCAGTTGTTATGTTTTCTTTTGTGTTTCTGATACTGTTTATTTGGATTCTCTCTCTATTTTTCTTAGTCTAGCCAAATGTTTGTCAGTAAAACCAACTTTTCATTTTGTTGATTTTCTTTATTGCTTTTTAAATCTCATTCATTTATTTTTCCTCTGATCTTTATTATTTTCCTTCTACTAATTTTGGGTTTGGTTTATTCTTTCTTTCCTCTTTCTTTGAGGAACATTGTTAGGTGGTTTATTTGAAGCCTTTCTACTTTTTTGAATTATGAAGAAAGTTTATTCCTATAAACTTCCCTCTTAGTACTATTTTTGCTATATCCATAGATTTTGGTATATTACATTTTATTTTTTTAAGATATTTTTAAATTTTCTTCTTAATTTATTCATTGATCCATTGGTCATTTAGAGGCATGTTGTTTGATTTTCATGTGTTTGTGTATTTTCCAAGGTTTCTCTTGTTATTGATATCTAGTTTTATTTCATTGTGGTCAAAAAAGATACTTGATATGATTTCTAATTTTTGAATTTGTTGATACTTGTTTTGTGTTCTATGATATGATCTGTTCTGTAGAATGTTCCATGTGCTGATGAAAGGAGTATGTATTCTGCAGCAACTGCGTGAAATGTTCTGTAAATGACATTTAGGCCTATTTGGTCAAGGGTGTAGCTTAACTCCAATATTTGTTGATTTTCTGTATGGATGATCTGTTCATTACTGAAAATGGGGTATTGAAGTTCCCTGTTATTATTACATTACAATCTATCTCTCCCTTTAGATTTATTAATGTTTATATACTTGGGAGCTATGGTGTTGGGTGCGTAGATATTTATGATTTTATATCTTCTTGCTGAATTGACCCCTTTATCATTATATAGTGTTTTTGTCTCTTTTTACAGTCTTTGATTTGTAGTCTATTATCTGATATAAGTATAGCTACTCTTGACCTTTTTTGGTTGCTAGTTATATGGAATATCTTTTTCCACCCCTTCACTTTCAGTCTGTGTGTCTTTATAGAGGAAGTGAATTTCCTGTGGGCAGCATATAGTTGGGTCATGTTTCTTTATTCATTCAGCCACTCTATGCCTTTTAATTGGAGAATTTAGTCCATTTACATTCAGTGTTATTGTTGATAAGTGAAGACTTACAATGGCCATTTTTTGCTTGTTTTCTGGTTGTTTTGTAACCCCTCTCTTTGCTTGTTTTCTGGTTGTTTTGTAACCCCTCTCTTCTTTTTTTCTTTCTGTCTTCCTTTGTGTTTAAGTGATTTCCTCTGGTAGTATGTTTTAATTTGTTGCTTTTAATTTTTTGTCACTCTTTTATAGGTTTTTGCATTGTGGTTACTATGAGGCTTACAAAACACATAGATATAATAAGTTATTTTAAATAAATGACAACTTAGATCACAAAGAAAAAATAGAAACAAAGAAAAAAATACTCTACATTTTAAGCTCCATCTATTTTGACTTTTAGTAGTCTCAATTTACATATTTTTTACGTTACCTGTTTCTTAAAAGGCCGCTGTAGCTATTATTGTTTTTGAAATATTTGTCTTTTGGGCTTCATACTATTGTTATGAGTGGACTGAACACCACAATTATAGTAGTAGAGCATTTTGGGTTTGTCTAATGCACTAAATTGTATCAGTGGGTTTAATACCTTGAAATGCTTTCTTCTTGCATGTTAAGTGTTTTTTATTTTTTTCTTTAGATTGAAGACCTTTCTTTAGCATTTCTTATAGACAGGTCTCCTGGTGGTGAATTATCTCAGCTTTTGTTTATCTGGGAAAGACCTTGTCTCTTCTTCATATTCGAAAGATAGCTTTATGGAGACAATATTCTTGGATATAAGTTATTTTTTTTTTCTTTCAGCACTTTGAAAATGTCATCCTACTCACTCCTGGCATGTACAGTTTCCACTGAGAAGTCTGTTGCCAGATGAATCGGATCTCCTTTACATTTTATTTACTTTTCTCTTGCTGCTTTTAGGATTATCTCTCTTTCCTTGAGGTTTAAGAGTTTGATTATTATGTGCCTTTTGGTAGCTTTATTTGAGTGAAATCGGTTTGATGTTCTCTGACCTTCCCTTACCTGGATATTTATCTCTTTCTCAAAGTTTGGCAAGTTTTCTGTTAATATGTCTTTGAATAAGCTTTCTACCTCCTTGTTCTTGTTCAACTTGTTCAACTTGAACACTAATAATTCTTAGATTTTATCTTTTGAGGTAGTTTTCCATGTCTTATAGGCATTCTTCATTGCTTTTCATTTTTTTCCTTTTTTTCTCTTTCTGTATTTCAGGTAACCTGTCTTTGAACTCACTGATTCTTTCCTCTGCTTGATCCATTCTACTGTTGAGAGCCTCTCATGATTTTTTTCAGTTCAGCAAATGTATTTCTCAGTTCCAAGATTTTCTCTTTAATCGCTTTGTTAATTTTTTCTGATAAATTTCTGAATTGCTTTTCTGTGTTACCTTGAAGATCACCAAGTTTCCTTAAAACTGCTACTTTGCATTCTTGGTGAGAGAGTTCACATTATCATCATCTTGTGAGAGTCAGTCACTGGTTCCCAGCTTTGTATGTTTGAGGTAGTCATGGTTCCCTGTTTGCTGTTGTTTCGTGTGCATGTACATCTGTGTCTTTGTATTGAAGTATTATTTATTCCAGTATTCTCTATCTGGTTTGTTTTGATTTTTTATCAGATATGTTTACTAAAAAATTCTTTGTAATTTACTTTTCAATTTTCTTTTTGTTAAAAACAATCTGCTATGTTGCTGCCTCCTTTTTGGCACTAGATGGTGCCTTAAGCTCAGGTTTGCCTCAGTTCTAGTAAATAATCAGAGTACCACTTATCCTGAACAGGAGAAATGCCAAAGGGATATTCCAGCAGTGTGGGAAGCTGGCTATGGGTTCATGCCCTGGGGAGTAATGGAATAAACCTCCTACAGTGTGGTGATGCTGAGCAGCCACTCCGATTTGGTATCTCTTTTTGTCAAGCTACAGAGAAAAATTTCTAGGGTGGGATGGTAGTCCCACTTCCCCCTTTTGTCTCTGGCTCTTCATAGGGATATTTTTCTTTTCGGGCACTCCTGATGCTTCCCAGGGGTTTAGGGAGGGAGAGGTCTCCTGTCAAGTAGTTCAAGATGGTGGGGAAGCTGGTCGTCCACCTCAATCTCACTTTTTTGTGTGTGTAGAAACCATGAGTTGGGGGGAGATTTTCCATGTACTTCATGTCAAGAAGATGGGGGAAAACCATCACAGATGAGGAAGTCCAGTTCTCTCACTGTTGTCTCAGAGTTTTTTCACTTCTCTGTGGCCCCAAGAACTATCTCATCTTCATATTTGAGTTCTGAGATGTTGATGGGGATAATATTGGTGTGTATATTTATTTTTGTTTTTGTTGGTTGGGGGGTGATATAGTTTGGATATTCCCACCACCCAAATCTCATGTTGAAATGTAATCCCCCACATTGGAGGGAGGGCCTGGTGGGAGGTGTGTGGGTCATGAGGGCAGATCTCTCATGGCTTGGTGCTCTCCTTACAATAGTGGGTGAGTTCTTATGAGATCTGGTTGTTTAAGTATATGGCACCTTCCCACCCCCCATTCTCTCTTGTACCTGTTCTGCCACATAATGTGCCAGCTCCTGCTTTGCCTTCTGCCATGAATTAAAGCTCCCTGAGTCCTCCTCAGGAGCCAAGAAAATGATAGTGCCATGCTTCCTGTATATCCTGCAGAATTGTGAGCCAATTAAACCTCTTTTCTTAATAAATTGCCAAGTCTCATGTATTTCTTTTTAGCAATACAAGAATGAACTAACACAGAAAATTGGTACTGAAGAGTGGGATATTGCTGTGAAGATATCTGAAAATGTGGAAGGGACTTTGGAACTGGGTAACAGGCAGAGCTTGGAAGAGTTTGGAGAGCTCAGAAGAAAACAGAAAGATAAGGGAAAATCTGGAACTTCTTAGAGACTGGTTAAATGGTTATGACCAAAATGTTGATAGTGCTATGGACAGTGAAGGCTGATGAAGTCTCAGATGGAAATGAGGAACTTATGGAGAACTGGAGCAAAGGTCACCCTTGTTATGCCCTAGCAAAGAAGTTGGCTGCATTCTGTTTGTGCCCTAGGGACTTGTGGAAATTTGAACTTCAGAGTGACAACCTAGGGTATCTGGTAAAGGAAATTTCTAAGCAACAAAGTGTTCAAGATGTGGCCTGGCTGCTTCTAACAGGCTTTGGTCAGATGCGGGAGCAGAGAAATGACTTAAAGTTGGAATTTGTATTGGAACAAGAAACAGAGCATATAAGTTTGGAAAATTTGCAGCCTGGCCATGTGGCAGAGAAAGAAAAAGCATTTTCAGGGGAGGAATTCAAGCAGGTTGCTGAGCAACCACTTCCTAGAGAAACTTGCATAACTAAAAGACAGCCAAGACAATGGGAAAAAGGCCTCAAAGGCATTTCAGAGATCTAAGAGGCAGCCCCTCCTGTCATAGCCCCAGAAGCCTAGGAGAGAAGAATGATTCCATGGGCTAGGCCCAGAGCCCCACTGCCCTGTGCAGTCTTGGAACAGTGCTGCCTGCATCTAGGCCATTCTAGCTCCAGCCACAGCTCAAAGGACCCCAGGTACAGTTTGTGCTGTCACTTAAGAGGGCACAAGCCATAAGCCTTGGTGGCTTCCATGTGGCATTAAGCCTGTAGGAATGCAGAGTGCAAGAGTGAAGGAGGCTTGGCCTAGATTTCAGAAGATATATGAAAAAGGCTGGATGCCAGGCAGAAGCCTGCTGCAGGGGCAGAGTCCCCATGTAGAACCTCTACTAGGGCAGTTCAGAGGGGAAATTCAGGGTTGCTAGACCCACACAGAGTCCCCAAGAGGGCTCTGCTTAGTGGAGCTGTGGGAATGGGGTGCTGCCCTCTAGACCCCAGAATGGTAGATCACTGGCAGCTTGCACCCTGTGCCTAGAAAAGCTGCAGGTACTCAGTTCTAACCTGTGAGAGCAGCCATTGGGTCTGAAGCCTGCAAACCCATAGGGGCAGAACTTCCCAAGGCCTTGGTCACCCACTTCTTGCAGTAGTGTTCCCAGCATGTGGGACATAAAGGAAAAGATGATTATTTTGGAACTTTAAGATTTAATGACTGCCTTGCTGGGTTTCAAAGTTGCAACAAACTTCAAGTAGGATAAACTCTGTTATCTGTACCTAGACACATCATAAGCAATGTGCCAAAAGACAGAGAGACAATTTTTGAAAGCAGCAAGACATAAGTGGTTTATCACATGCAAGCAATCTTGAACAAGATTATCAGTTGATTTCTCATTAGAAACCATGGTGTCTAAAAGGCAATGAGGTCCAATACTGAAAAATAAAAAGTTCAACCAATCATTCTATATCCAGCAAAATGATCCTTCAAAAATGTAGAAGAAATTAAGGCATTCCAATATAAACAAAAATTAAGAGGGTCCATTGTTGCCAGAACTTCCCTATAACCAATGCCATAGGGAGTCTTTTGAGTTGAATAGAAAATAACTCAAACCCACATGAAGAAAGGTAACTAAATAGGTAAATATAAAAGATAGCATAAATGTATTTTTGTTGTAACTTCTTTTAGTTTTTTAATCTTTTATTATACAGGTGCAAAAAGCAATAACTATAAACAATAGTTATAGACTCTCAGTTCCAAAATGATGATGTGGAAGCAGGCTGGCTTCACTCTGTTCCCCCAGTGGTAGGCTGTTCTTGTGTTGCTATAAAGAAATACCTGAGGCTGGGTAATTTATAAAGAAAAGAGGTTTAATTGGCTCATGGTTCCGCAGGCTTTACAGGAAGCATGGTGCTGGTATCTGCTCAGCTTCTGGGGAGGCCTCAGGGAGCTTTAACTCAGGGATGAAGGTGAAGTAGGAGCAGATGTGTCACATGGCAGAGTTGGAGCAAGAGAAAGAGAGTTGGTGGTGGGGAAGTGCCACACACTTAACCAGATCTCAAGAGCACTCACTCACCATTGCAAAGACAGCATCAAGCCATGAAGGATCCACCCCCATGACCCAAACACCTCCCACCAGGCCCCATCTCCAACATTGGAGATTACATTTCAACATGAAATCCAAACTACATCATTCTACCCCTCCTTCTGCCCAGCCTCAAATCTCAGGTCCTTCTCACATTGCAAAATACAGTCATGACTTCTCAATAGTCCCCCAAAGTCTTACCTCATTTCAGCATTCACTCAGGACAGATGTTTTCCTAAATGCCTGGAACCAACACATCTTTCAGTCTTTGCTAAGGGAGGGGTGTGTGTGTGTGTGTGTGTGTGTGTGTGTGTGTGTGTGTGTGTGTGTTGGAGCATGCCTTTAACTCTCAGCCAGGCAGTTTGCAGTTCTGTCTTACCCATCATTTATTCAGAGAGCCTTCAGAGCCGTCTCAGGTTCTTTGTTAGCATGCCCAGCTCTTGGGGACACACATGACCTTCTAGATTTCCAGGATGTAATAGAACTTTTAAGCCCTATGGACATCTCCCGTCAGCAGTCTTCCCTCTCAAGGTTTTTGGTTTGTACATCGTCTTCCCCAACAGGAAGCAGCAACTAAAACATTCATCTGTAAATGTTTTAGACAAATGTCCCCACCGCCCATTCCCCACCGCAGCAGAATTAGCCCCCCTGGAGGAGTTCTGGAGGAGTTCTGAGTCAGGTGAGAGAAAGACAAGCCTTTTAAGCCAGTCTTCCAGGGAGGCATCAGATAGGTCACAGTAAATTATTAAAGTCTTTGTGAATGAGATCTGTTCTGCTCCATCCAGTACATGGAATGCAGGTACTTATTTTCATGGCTCCTTACCGTTGAGCTAGGGAGTTGAAAATGGAGCTGGAGAAAGTCAAAATGCAGCAAATCTTGTGATCCTTATTTCTTACTACAGCAGATTCAGGATTCAGCTGTTATGTTGAGTAAGGGCTCTTCCAGTTGTTGCAGCCCTTTGGTGAATTTTCAGAGTTCTGAAGAAAGTTGATTCTGACAGTTTTTGACAGTTTTCTTATTGCTTTTATGGAATGGTGAAAGTTGGAATTTCTTATTTTTCTACCGTTCTCCTCTTAGCTATTTTTGTATTTATATTTCCAGATGAATGCTGGAGTTACTTATTCACATTGAAGTTATTGAATGATTGATTACATTCAACTCATAGATCAATTTGCAGTGAATTAAGATCTTTATAATTTGAATATGTCAACTGGGGGCATAATACACTTTTCTGCTTATTTGTGTTTTCTTATGTATCTTTTAAAATTATTAAATATATATAATATATATCCTTCACAAATTTTAAATTTATCCCTTTTATTTTACTGTTACTTTACTTATATTTTAAATGTTTATAATAGTTAAGTATATAATAAAATATATGCTTATTTATATTTATTATATTTGGCTGAAGTTATCCATAAAGTCTATTTTAATCATTACCTTTATCCATTACCTTTTCTAAGAATATTTTGTTGGCACAAAGAAAGGCTTTCAATTACCAAATTATGATTTTACTGAACACTTTTATTCATATACCACTCTTAAGTTTTTAAAATAAGTACTCATGTGTAAATAATGGTAACTTTGACATCTAATTCTGACATTTATGAAATTCATACAAAACAGACATGCATAACCCAATAACTTATAATTGAGCTTTGTCCCAATAAGATCTGTATCCATTTCCCTAAAAGCTATTCAGTATTCATTATTCTAGCTTTTATGATCATTACCGCTTTCATTTTATTTTTAATTTTAAAGGCACACATTCCTAAAGCCTATGTATTCCTGTTTTGAACTTGCTACGAATAGCACACAGTAGAGTTTTATGCTTTGGTCATTGTAAGACTGCCCCGGGTCTCCTTCTCCATTTCTTTTGCTGCACACACGCACACATTTCTGTTGATACACAGTTAGGACAGGACTCGGTGGGTCATAGCTATGTGTATTTTCAGCTTTAGTAAATTAAGGGAGTTTTCCAAAGAAGTTGTACTAATTTAAAGACCCACGACCCATGAATGAGAGTTTGTTTCTCCACATACTTACCAACAATTAGTGTTATCAGTCTTTTAAATTTAATTTTAGTCTTTCTTATGTGCATATATTAGTATTAAATGCAAGTGGTGAGATCTTGTTTCCAATCTCGTAGGGAAAGCTCTCAACATTTCACCACTAAGTTTGATGTTTGCTGTAGATTTATTTTTAAAATAAAATAAAAAGTAATTATTATTTTTGTAATTACTATTTGTCAAATAAAAAATTTCCTTTTATTCCTTGTTTGCTAAGAATGTATGCTAAATTTTAACACATGCTATTTCTGAAGCTATTGAAATGATCATATATATATATATATATATTCTCTTTTTTTCTGTTATAGTAAGAACGATTAGAATGATGTCTTTAACAATGTTAAGCCAACCTTTTATTCCTAGAATAAATCCAACTTGCTCTTAGTGTATTAACCTTTTAAAATATTGAGGGATTTGTTTGATCATTTTTTATTAAAAAATTAATGTTTATTATTGACCTAGACATATATTTTAATATCTATATTTTATATATATATTTTTCCCCCAAATATATAAATATATATATAGTTGGGGAAAAAATACATATTATATATATACATATATATTTGTATGTGTATATACACATTTTTTTGGTATATTAACAATAGTTTATTACATTTCCAAGACATCTGGGTATAAAATTTCTACATTTGATAAGAAAACACTATAATTTTGCAAATTATAAGCTATTATAATTTGAAGGGCAATCTAAAAAATATATTTTGTCAGTTTGACTTCTCTTTTCTATTTGAAAGGAAATAATTTATAATAATTTATGTATACTGGTTATAGCTATTTGTTCTATTATTTGAACTAAAATCCTTTGTTTGAAAAAAGATGTAAACTACCATATCTATATATGTATATGTGTATGTATATAAGAATAATATATATATTCTTACAATAGTCTTGTTAGTTTTTTGTTGTGGAGGTGTGGTTTTTATTGTTTCCTCTCTTCATCCATCCTGAAATAACGTGAACCTTATCCAGACTTGGAATCAGTCAGCAATCAATGTAGATTGCCAGCTGCTATTCCCTTTTGCTCTAATTGTATGTCCCGCAGTTCTGAGATAAGAGCTAAAGCCCACTGTGCAATGCCATGTCTTTCAGTGGCTCTGTTCTACAGAAGTGCTGCTTTTTCCTCCTGTACTGTCTAGAGCTTTAATGCTGTGAGTAATGACAGCAGAGACATTTTCTCTTTAGGGCTGTGCCCATGTCTATTGGCACAGGGATTGGCAGAGGTAGACAGTCTATGTTAAACAAGTGAATGACTGACCACAGTTTCCAGCACATGTTGCTGTTTATAAGTAATTACTTATAAATAAACACATTGTTTATAAGTAATTACTTATAAATAAACACATTGTTTATAAGTAATTACTTATAAATAAACACATTGTTTATAAGTAATTACTGCATAGAATGTTCTGTTCCGAGACTCTCCTACTTAGTGCCTGGTTGTTTTCTGGAAGTTACTGCCTTTGAATCCATGTAAATGTGTCAACATGGATAAATGAGACCTACTTCAGTTTATACAACTCCCCAAAATTTTGAATTAGGGAATGAACACTGGGGCTCTGAATCTAGAATTTTGAAACATGGCTGCAAATCCTTCAACACTTCTTTCCTCGAGAGGTGGGCATCTGTGTTCCCTCCCCTTAAGCCTGGGCGTCCCGGGACCACTCTGACCAATTGTGCATGGCAGGAAGGAGGCTGTACAATTTCCAGGGCCAAGCCATAGAAACAGATACAGCTTCTAGTAATACTTTGTTTGCCAGAACATTCTCTCTTGGAAACTGAGCTGCACTGTGAGGGGCCCACCTCACTGAGGCCACCATGCTGGAGACTGTCTAGGTGCCCCCAGAAATTCCTGCTGAGCCCGCCCCCAACCAAGCACCACAGGGTGACTGCTGTCAGCACAACACGAAACAGAAGACTCACCCACAAAACAGTGAAATATCAGAAAATGGTTATTATTTTAAACCACTAAGTTTGAGAGTAGTTTATGGTGCAACAATAAGTAACTGGAACGTTTAGAAAAAAATTTTTTAATGTATTCTTTATTTCGTGAAAGTATATTTTCTTAAGCAGTGTCCGTCTCCTTTAGAGTTGGTGGTGATCTCATACATGTTTTGGCATCACTGTTCTATTAGCCTTAGTTTTCTATGTGTTTTCTATCTTCACAGATTTTCTTTTAACATGAAAACACTGCTTCAGAACTACTAGCCATGAACTATTTTTTCACATTCTTTCTTGAAACGTCAAACATGACTTTCTTTTAATACAAAATCAAAGGTGATTCAAGCCATTACCTCTACTATCTAAAGAGGTAAAACTAGACAAAGTTTCTATTGCATTCTAATGTTAAAATGTTCACATTTGCAGCATTTAAACAGCCTTTAAATAACATCATTAAAATCTAGCTTATGTGTGGTTTAGAAAGCCAGTAGGATTGACTTATGATCTCTCAGTAGCTCTTACTAAACATTTTCTTGCTTTGCTAATCTTAGACTCCTCTAGAGTAAAGTAGCTAAATGAATTAACATTACAAATTAAAGTTCCCATTGGGCTTATCGTTGTATTTCTATTTTGTAGGCTTGATTTAAAATTTAATTTAATTTTTGGTCATTCTAGGATAAAGAACCCTTTAAAAATTGTAAGTTAAATTTTATTTAGGAATCAACTTAAATTACACTTAGACATAAAGTTGAAATGACATTTCATTATTTCAAATCAAAGTATTGGATTTTTGAAAAGTAAAAAAGCTCTTCTTTGGTATATTAACAATAGTTTATTACATTTCCAAGACATCTAGGTATAAAATTTCTAGACTTGGTAAGAAAACACTATAAAATTATAATTTTGCAAATTACAAGCTATTACAATTTGTAGGGCAATCTAAAAAATATATTTTGTCAGTTTGACTTCTCTTTTCTATTTGAAAGGAAATAATTTATAATAATTTATGTATACTGGTTATAGCTATTTGTTCTATTATTTGAACTAAAATCCTTTGTTTGAAAAAAGATGTACACTGCCATCTGCAGATACATGAGTGTGACAGCCTGTATTTGGATGAAAGTCCTTACTGAGACCCTTGCTTCCCCAATCATTACATTTTATAAAGACTCCACTTTCCTTTTAGGAAAGCAGTAAACCAATGGCCATGGATTTTATTGTTTAAAGATTATAAAACAGTAAATTATCCATTCACCCATCTATCCATCAATTTTTTATGAATGATAAAACCATATAAAATGATGGCAGATATGAATAGTAGCTGAAGATATTAAGTATAATTTGGGTACTCAGATATTATCTAGAGCAAGAGTTGGCAAATATTTTTTTTTTGTAAAAGGCCAAATAGTAAATATTTTAGGCTTTGTGGATCAGGAAGGAAAACTGAGGATATTATGTATGTACTTAGAGAATAAGAAAGAACACAAGTTTATGCAGTCTTTTCATAGGCAACATTGAAAATATACTAATAAAAACTGAGTGTAATTTTCTTATAATACAGATCTATGATTAAGAGAATGAAATTATATTTTGGGGGGAAGGCAACACTTTATTTGGGGTTCAAAGTTAGCATTCCCTAACATCAAAATTAATTGCAAATATTAATCTGTTAGTGCTGATCTGTAATGAAATTTCACATATTTCATGTTTGAAAACGTCTCTTCACACAAATAGGTACTGCCAAACATACAAATCCATAAGTATTTGATTTTAATGGAACATATTTATTGTTTGATAAACATTCAGAGAATGGTATTAGATTTTACACTTGATATTTGCCTGTTAAGATCTTATTACATTGCAGAATAATCACTTTCAATGGAAGGTTACACAAAGGCTCCTCAAAGGCAGCTAAATGGATTTTGAAATGTGGAAATTGCCTTTGTTTTTGTATCAAAGTCTGAAACACACTACTGGAACTGGAACTGTGGCTTGAGATTGAGAAATGTTTCTGCTTTAATTGTGTGTGGGAATGGCTACCTTGCTGCTTCTTGTAACTTTTGACAGGATGAGCAATGTATAAAGCTGCTGATGTTGCTTGTGATTCAAACGTTAGTTGTCACCAAAATTAGTTTACCTCAGGAAAAGTTTTGCATATATATTTTTTTTGCCTTGTAATCTTAGGTTGAATTCACTAAGAAATAGTATCAAGCAATTCCATTGTCATTTAGAGTTTGATAAAAATGGAGGAAGAAATTGTTCTCATTCAGAAAACTTTGTCTTTTTTTTGTCTTTTTTTATTATTATTATACTTTAAGTTTTAGGATACATGTGCACAACGTGCAGGTTTGTTACATATGTATACATGTGCCATGTTGGTGTGCTGCACCCATTAACTCGTCATTTAGCATTAGGTATATCTCCTAATGCTATCCTTCCCCCCTCCCCCCACCCCACAACAGTCCCCAGTGTGTGATATTCCCCTTCCTGTGTCCATGTGTTCTCATTGTTCAATTCCCACCTATGGGTGAGAACATGCGGTGTTTGGTTTTTTGTCCTTGCGATAGTTTGCTGAGAATGATGGTTCCCAGCTTCATCCATGTCCCTACAAAGGACATGAACTCATCATTTTTTATGGCTGCATAGTATTCCATGGTGTATATGTGCCACATTTTCTTAATCCAGTCTATCATTGTTGGATATTTGGGTTGGTTCCAAGTCTTTGCTATTGTGAATAGTGCCACAATAAACATACGTGTGCATGTGTCTTTAGAGCAGCATGATTTAGAATCCTTTGGGTATATACCCAGTAATGGGATGGCTGAGTCAAATGGTATTTCTAGTTCTAGATCCCTGAGGAATTGCCACGCCAACTTCCACAATGGTTGAACTAGTTTACAGTCCCACCAACAGTGTAAAAGTGTTCCTATTTCTCCACATCCTCTCCAGCACCTGTTGTTTCCTGACTTTTTAATGATCGCCATTCTAACTGGTGTGAGGTGGTATCTCATTGTGGTTTCGATTTGCATTTCTCTGATGGCCAGTGATGATGAGCATTTTTTCATGTGTTTTTTGGCTGCATAAATGTCTTCTTTTGAAAAGTATCTGTTCATATCCTTTGCCCACTTTTTGATGGGGTTGTTTGTTTCTTTCTTGTAAATTTGTTTGAGTTCATTGTAGATTCTGGATATAAGCTCTTTGTCAGATGAGTAGGTTGCAAAAATTTTCTCCCATTCTGTAGGTTGCCTGTTCACTGTGATGGTGGTTTCTTTTGCTGTGCAGAAGCTCTTTAGTTTAATTAGATCCCATTTGTCAATTTTGGCTTTTGTTGCCACTGCTTTTGGTGTTTTAGACATGAAGTCCTTGCCCATGCCTATGTCCTGAATGGTATTGCCTAGGTTTTCTTCTAGGGTTTTTATGGTTTTAGGTCTAACATGTAAGTCTTTAATCCATCTTGAATTAATTTTTGTATAAGGTGTAAGGAAGGGATCCAGTTTCAGCTTTCTACATATGGCTAGCCAGTTTTCCCAGCACCATTTATTAAATAGGGAATCCTTTCCCCATTGCTTGTTTTTGTCAGGTTTGTCAAAGATCAGATAGTTGTAGATATGCGGCATTATTTCTGAGGGCTCTGTTCTGTTCCATTGGTCTATATCTCTGTTTTCGTACCAGTACCATGCTGTTTTGGTTACTGTAGCCTTGTAGTATAGTTTGAAGTCAGGTAGCGTGATGCCTTCAGCTTTGTTCTTTTGGCTTAGGATTGACTTGGCAATGCGGGCTCTTTTTTGGTTCCATATGAACTTTAAAATAGTTTTTTCCAATTCTGTGAAGAAAGTCATTGGTAGCTTGATGGGGATGGCATTGAATCTATAAATTACGTTGGGCAGTGTGGCCATTTTCACGATATTGGTTCTTCCTACCCGTGAGCATGGAATGTTCTTCCATTTGTTTGTATCCTCTTTTATTTCATTGAGCAGTGGTTTGTAGTTCTCCTTGAAGAAGTCCTTCACATCCCTTATAAGTTGGATTCCTAGGTATTTTATTCTCATTGAAGCAATTGTGAATGGGAGTTCACTCATGATTTGGAAAATTTTGTCTTCATCCTGAGCTCAACAACAACGATAAAACCTGACTGCTATGGAGCCATGTGGCTGCTGTGTGGAGGGCAGCTCAGGACATGTAGCTTCCGTTTCTGACAAAACTTTAAGGATGAAAGTTAAATATACCAGAGTGAATAAAGTCCATCATTTATGCTACTGGTTTAATAACGTGATAGATTCAAATATTTTCTACAAAGTATCTACTGATAATATAATACATAATTATAAGTTTTAAACACTTTACATTTCCACAAGTGTTGTAAAGTTGTTTAAGCCTTTTCTCCTCATATTTCTTGATGTGTTTTACCACCTGCAGTTGTAACACATCTTAGCAGATTCCACTTCAGATTGTACTGAATCTTTGTCTTCCCAAATCCTTTCAGAATATTCTTGTGTGCAATTGTTCCATGCAGACAATTCATAGAGACTAATTTTCAGTCACTTTAGACTATTCACTCTTAAACAACAACTAAGTAGTACAGTAACATTTGTTGAGTCATTGAGTGAAAAAAAAAGAAATTAAAAATAATTTGCCCTCAACTCTTGAACATCTCTTCTAGCCAAAAACCTAACAGTCTCAGATGAGCTTATTTGCTCTGATGCATTTCTCTGGCTGCTGCAATCAACCATGATTTAATCAACTAATAATTGGTGTATGGCTTTCCTCATTTGGCTAACAAGCCATTCAGAAAGTTACTTTGCTTGTAGCTTGATTTTAATGTATTTTTATTTTTTGAATAAATTCTCTGTGTTGAGATGTTCTGTTTTAAGTTTTTTTGTTTTTCTGATCACTGCTGTCCTGTGAGTTGGGCCGATTTTATGTGAGCCTGGTCTGGTCATATAGATGCTTCTGGAGTCCTTTCAGCTCCACTGGAGTGCACAGCATATGAAACACAATGCTCTGCCATTCATCTGTATAAAAATAATCCACACTCTGCTGTGCCCTAAAAGCATGGCAGTTGAGGTCCACTTTTCTCTTCGTGTTTTGACATGATGGGTATACTATGAAGATTTAAAATAAACCATTCATAGTACAGAAGTACATGCAGCAGTTGGAAGGTCAGTTTATAAGGGCATTGCTGTGACCTGTAGAGTGGCTAGCACAGTTGTGAAGCTGTGAGAGTGCCACATGTGGTCTCCATCACAGCCACTCCACTTCACCATGTGTCAAGAAAGCCACAGACAATATGTACTCAAGAGGATGTGTCTGTGTACCAATAAAACTTTATTTATGAACATTGAAAAATATTCTTTAGTGTTTTCAACCATTTCAAAATATAAACATTATTCTTATCTACTGGATATGCAGAAACAGGCAATGAGCAGGTCTGTTTCATGAGCCATAGTTTGCTGAAAACTTTCCTGAAAGTTACAGGGAAGGCTGGTGGGGTTTGCTATTAGCAGACAAGAAGCGTAGAATTTCTGTCCTGGGTGAGGGATCTAGGAGCTCCAACCTGTCAACCATGCTTCTGGCTGATATGCTCCAGGTTACAATATGTCTTCACTCAGTTGAAAGGATGAAAGCTCTCAGTGAGCCCCGTCAAGATGGAGTAGTGTCATGGGTAGTTACACTGAGAACATCTATGAAGCAGAGCGTGCCCAGCCGTGTGCCCAGAACCACTGTGGGTGTGTACCTGCAAGTGAATTGATGTTCCTTCCCCAGTCAAAACAATCTTACACACGTGCTGCTTCTTTCTTTCCCCACCTCAAACTCCTTTCAATAAGTCAGGTCAAAAAGGACAGGAAAGGGGGAAAAAAGGCAGCTTATAGATGCCACATGTCCACATTTGTGCTTACCTTATTCTCAACCAAACTTGTTAGGAAACAAAGTTGGAAACACAAAGTAGAATTTGGAAAATCAAATCTGAAATGGAAAGAATAGTGTTTTTTAGGACTCAAAATATTTTATTTCTAAAACATTACACAATTGAAAGTAATGTTTAATCAGATTTCATTTTATGCCATTAGAATGTCAAGTGTTGTTTGGATTAAATTCTAATCCTTATATAGATGCATCTAAATGCAGTTAATATGCTACATAATAAGGTAGTTTAAAGTCCATATCATTTAGCATTTAATAAAGGTACACATTCAGTTATACCAAATTAATGAATGGATTCCTAATCAAAGCAGAAGAACACATATGGAAGTTGTCCAACAACCAAGCCACATGTGGAAATATCTGTTTCTCTGTTGATGTGTCCCAAGTTATAACTAACACATCTCTGGTCCATGTTATTCTTGTTCACCTTTGATTGCAGTACAATCTATTTTTCCAAAGTACTATATATTTACTGCAAAGGACACACAGTTTTTGAGGATATAAATGTAGGTGTACAGCTAATCTGTAATGACCATGTTTTTACCCTACTCATGTGCTTCTGTGAATTTGTTGCCGTCTATGGCTTTCTTTCATTCTTGGAATCACCATGTTTCTCTCCTTACTCAATCAAACTTGCTCTTAATTGGGCACAATGTTTTTGTTTCACTGGACTTCCAGACAGTCATTACTAAGGAGGCAAAATTTAGAAATTATAAATCCAGACATTTGAGAAAGTTACTCCATTAAGATTAGCACCAACAACACCCTTGATTTTTTTAATCACTTACCTCAAGTTCTGTCAGCATGTAACAGATTAAAATTTACAGTTGCTCAACATTTGTTAGGTAAGACAGAGTATCTTAATGGCATACGGATTATAATGTATCCTGACCAGTGTCTCCCTGGAAATCTCAAATGAATGTGATGTTTATGCCAATTTTCTCCCATCAAAAGGAAAACAAAAGTAAAATGAAAAATAGGGAAAATTAGTGCTTGGAAATTCTTCAGAGCTTCTAAAGTTGCAGTGTTTAATTTTTAGCTCAGATGAAATACTGCACAATTGTAAATAAATTACAATTCCATTGAAAACAAAGGAAAATGTACAAAAGCAAATGTCTGCTGTAGAGTTAACTTCTGGGAGCTTTGTTTATGAGTTTAAAAGTTTAGGGGGTTTAGGTGGTATATGTGTTTCTGATGATGACACTGACTGAAGTGGTGCATGTGGGCAGCGTGCAGTGTGTCCGAAGTGTGGCCCCCTGGCTAGCAGCTTCAGCATCACTGTGATGTGTTAGACAAGCAGATTCTCAGGTCCCCTGCCCAGTCCTAATGAATCAAAAATCTGGGAGGGTCCAGCACTCAGCATTTTAATAAGCCTTCCAGATGACTGTGATCACACAAAATTTGTGAGACACTGGCATGGCATGATGGTGAAGGGAACTGGATCTGCCAGCACTTCTTAAACTTCAGTGTGCCTTCTACGCAGTTGAGGATTGTTTGCTGCTGCAGATTCTAATCCATTAGGTCTGGGGTGAGCTGGAGACTCACATGTGATGGCAATTGTTTCTGGTCTGAGGACTATTCTTGGAGTATAGGAATGCTATCAGTCTGCTTGGGCTTGGTTCTCCATTCTACCAGTAAGTTAGATAACCTAGGACAAATTTCTCAAATTATGAGTCCCTGTTTCCCTAAGTATAGAGAAGGAATAACAAATGTACCTTATGATGGTGCTTTGAGGCTTAAATGAAATGGTGCATGTGCCTATCTGTGATAAGAGATAAATGAATATGAGCTTTTATTATTATTGCCCTCATAGGTTAAGATTGATGGCTTAATGTAAGTGTTAACTGATGCATTAGAAAAATCACTCATAACATTAACTCCCCCTGCTGCCCCATGAATAGAACTAGATCTTGATAATTAGCAAGTGATTTCTGATTGGAGCTTACTAAGTTCTTAAGAATATTTACAATAACTTAATGAGCAGTATTCAAGTTGATAGGATTTTATATGATCTACATTCATCTCCAAAGGAAAATTTACTTAGGTGTAGCATTTTTCATATAGAATACTGCATATCACTTATTAATTCACAGATATAATTGTAGCCAAGTAATAATATTGTCTTTCTTGCTAGATTTCATGTAAGGATCTCTGGCAAAGTATGCAAGATGAAGTAAAACATACAGTTTTCACTTGTTTTTTAGAAGCCCTATTGTCTACAATAGATTTTCCACAAAAGTCTTCAAAGAATATAAAGTAGGTAACAGGCCAGGTGTAGTAGATCATACCTGTAATCACAGCACCTTGGGAGGCTGAGGTGGCAGAATTGCTTGAGGCCAGGAGTTCGAGACCAGCCTGGGCAACATAGCAAGACCTAAAAATTAGCCACATGTGGTGGTGCATGCCTGTTGTCCCAGCTACTCAGGAGGCTTTTTCCCAAGCGAGGCAGGATCGCTTGAGCCTGGGAGATTGAAGCTGCAGTGAGCCAAGCTCACGCCACTGCACTCCAGCCTGGGCAACAGAGTGAGACCCTGTCTCAAAAAAAAATCTTTTTTTAAAGTGAGTATATTAGTCTGTTCTCATGCTGCTAATAAAGACATACCTGAGACTGGGTAATTTATAAAGGAAAGAGGTTTAATTGACTCACAGTTCCACATGGCTGGGGAGCCTCACAATCATGGTGGAAGGTGAATGAAGGGCAAAGTCACATCTTACATGGTGGCAGCCATTTATAAAACCATCAGATCTTGAGAGACTTAATCACTATCACAAGAAAAGTATGAAGGAAACCGCCCCCATGATTCAGTTATCTCCACCTGGTCCTACCCTTGACACATGGACTCTTACAATTCAAGGTGAGATTTGGGTGGGGACACAGATCCAAACCATATCAGTGAGTAACATGATACATTCATCTAACACAGAAGTCTACTATGTATCTTAACATTTTATTATGAAAATATTCTGATATACAGAGAAATTGAAACAGTTTGTAGTGAACAGTTGAATTCCTACTAGTA